>NC_000019.10:34740874-35365874 GCF_000001405.40 Homo sapiens
ATTCAAAGTCTACTCTTTCTGAACCACAAAAAATTTCTGCTGAAGGGAATTCACACAAATATGATATATTAAAGAAGAACTTACCAAAAAAGTCAGTTATAAAAAATGAGAAAGTCAATGGTGGAAAGAAACTTTTGAATTCTAATAAAAGTGGGGCAGCCTTCAGCCAGGGCAAATCTCTTACCCTTCCCCAGACTTGTAATAGAGAGAAAATCTATACATGCAGTGAATGTGGGAAAGCCTTTGGCAAACAGTCAATCCTCAATCGCCACTGGAGAATTCATACAGGAGAGAAGCCCTATGAATGTCGTGAATGTGGGAAGACTTTTAGCCATGGCTCATCCCTTACACGACATCTGATAAGCCATAGTGGAGAGAAACCTTACAAATGTATTGAATGTGGGAAGGCCTTTAGCCATGTCTCATCACTTACTAACCATCAGAGCACTCACACTGGAGAGAAACCATATGAATGTATGAACTGTGGAAAGTCTTTTAGTCGTGTGTCCCATCTTATTGAACATCTAAGAATTCATACTCAAGAAAAACTCTATGAGTGTCGTATATGTGGAAAGGCCTTCATTCATAGGTCATCTCTCATTCACCATCAGAAAATCCATACTGGAGAGAAGCCTTATGAATGTAGAGAATGTGGGAAAGCTTTCTGCTGTAGCTCACACCTTACTCGACATCAAAGAATTCACACTATGGAGAAACAATATGAATGCAACAAATGTCTGAAAGTCTTTAGTAGCCTCTCATTTCTTGTTCAGCATCAGAGTATTCATACTGAAGAAAAACCCTTTGAATGTCAGAAATGCAGGAAATCCTTCAACCAGCTTGAATCACTGAATATGCATTTGAGAAATCACATTAGATTGAAACCCTACGAATGCAGTATATGTGGGAAAGCCTTTAGTCATAGGTCATCCCTGCTTCAACATCACAGAATTCATACTGGAGAGAAACCTTATGAATGTATTAAATGTGGGAAGACCTTCAGCTGTAGTTCAAACCTTACCGTACATCAGAGAATTCACACTGGAGAAAAGCCATATAAATGTAATGAGTGTGGGAAAGCTTTTAGCAAAGGCTCAAATCTTACTGCCCATCAAAGAGTACATAATGGAGAGAAACCCAATAGTGTGGTAAGTGTGGAAAAGCCTTTAGACTATATGAATCACTATACATGTGAGAAATCTTACAGAAGAGAAACTGTATGAAGCAGTGGTTATCATGGTAAATTTCCTAGATTCTCCCTTATTTAACATTAGAAAAATTTATACTGGGGAAAGTCTTATGAATGTGGTGAATATAGGAAGACCTTTTAGCAAAGATGCAGGCCAGTTTGTTTATTAGACTTTATACTGTAGAGAAATCATATGAAGACCATAAATGTGGGAAAGCCTTTGTCAGTATTAATCCCTTAATTGACATAAGTATACTCACACTAGGATAAAACCCTGTACATGTAGCAAATGTGGGAAAGACTACAGACAATAGGAATCTTTTACAAACTCCTACAGGAGAGAAGCTGTATGAATGTAGAAAATTTAGAAATTGAGGGAAGTCTTCAGTTCCAAGTATATCCCTTATTCTACAGCAGAGAACTCAAAATGGAGAGAAATCTCATTTAAGAGATGTAGCAAAGTGTTCACTAAGAGTGTTTATCTTGGTACACATCAGAAGATTAATGGTAGAACAACCTGAAGGATTTAGGAGTTATGTGTAAATCTTTGCAGTCATGCTATTTGTAAACTGGATTCTACAGGAGAGCAAATAAACATTATAATAAAATATGCATTTCTTAGAGCAGTAGCTTGCAGTTTCAGTTGAGTTCTACTTAGAAATTCTTTTTAGCTAGTGGGCATGTGAAGATATTTAGTCACCCAGAGGAGCCAGTAAGTGTTATAATATTGAAAATTAAAGCTGCAAAAGAAATAAAGTGATGTTAATAAAAGTTTTGGCATCTAATAAAATCATTTTGTATATCACAAACTCTTTCACTGTGACTATTTCCTGTAAAAAAAATTTCACTAAGATTAGCCTTAGCGTAGCCTTTAGTGGGAGACTAGCAAACCTAGAGAAAAATGACCTGCTCTTTATACTAAGAATAGCAGTATTTTGATGAGGATTATTCAGAGTCAATTTCCAGTAGGCTTAATCAAATACATTTCAAAAAAATTTACTGAGCATCACTCGTGTATTATTACACAGCGATGGGATATAGGAATCCAGTAGTTCTGAGCTTTAGTGGTGTGTCAAAGTCAGTAGGAGGGCTTGTTAAAGCACAGATTGCTAAGTCTGAATCTTAGGGTTTCTGTATGAGTTGATTTGAATTTGCATTTTTCATGCGTTCTTAGGCGACACACTGTCCAGAAAGCACATTTTGATAACCATTGTAATAATGAACAAAACAAATCTGATCTTTTTCTCGCAGGGATGTTATCTGACAAGAAAGATGGATAGCAAATAAATTTGAAATAATGGTTTACAAGTGCTATGAGGACATAACCAAGAAACAACATACTACAAGAGATCAGAGCAGGCTTAGCGAGATGTGATTTTTGAAATGAATCCTAAATGATGAACACTAATTATGTAATGAGTACTACTCATGTAGCCATGTGCATCCCTGCATGTGCCTGTGCGTGTGTGTATGCGGTGTGCTGGGTGTTAATCTAGGTAAAGCAGACAGTCGAGTTCTGTCATACTTGCTGCAGCTGGATTCCACGTTCCCATGTCTAGTTTCAGATTCTGTGGCTTTGAGGTAGTGCTGCTGGCAGCATCATTGCAGCAACCGTCATTTCTCTATCCCTGAGTCATAGTTACGGGAGTTTACCTTGAAATCACTAGCCCAGAAGTGTTCTCATTACTTTTACAGCCCACCTACCAATTTTGAAAGCACTAATTTGCAGCAATATATGTCTTGAAATAGTTAAGAGAGATTTTGTTCTCTGCACTGAACCTTGACAGATAATTATGTTTTGTAAGGAGGCAGGATGGCTTCAAATATTCTAAGTTCTAGATAAGAAATGGAACAGTCTCACTGGCCCTGTGATTAGAATCCTATCTTGTGATTAGAAAGGTAATGCAGATCAATTTGATTTGGAGTGTATGGACACTGATGCAAGTGAAGGGGTGTGATATGGATTATGCTTCAGATTTTGTTCTTTATCTCAGGTGAGAGTAGTAAGATATGTTATTTTAAAAAGGAACATTATGTTATAGTTATGATAATTCTGGTGTGGAATGAGTGATAAGGTTTCTGACTTTCAACAAAATGTATCTCCTCTGATATATGTGCTACCTTAACAGAAAGCCAAAGCACAGAGGCATATTCCAATAGCAATTTGCAAGAGACAGTAGGTTTGGAATGGGGTGGTAAACTTTTACTATTTTGCAGGGATTTTATCTTTCATTTGATTTATTTTTAATCATGAAATTTATATTGAAATTCTGTGAAACATTGAAGGATCTTTGGAAGATTTATAATTAGGGAAGGGCCAGATGTAGTGGCTAATGTCTGTACTCCCAGCACTTTGGGAGACCGAGGCAGGAGGATTGCTTGAGGCCAGGAGTTTGAGACCAGCCTGGGCAATATAGCAAAACTCATTAGTCTGTTAAAAAAAAAAATTACCCAGGTGTAGGCACACATCTGCAGTCCTAGCTATTCAGGAGGCTGAGTGGGGAGGGATTGCTTGAGTACAGGAGTTTTAAGGTCACAGTGAGCTATCATCACACCACTGCTTTCCAGCCTGGACAGCAGAACACCACCCTGTCTCCAAAGTAAATAAATACAATTAAGGAAGCATGATGTGGTATCAGACAGTTGCAAGTATGGATAGACTGGCTACCACATATATACTTATGGGATAATGAGAGTAGCTTTCTTTTCTCTCATTCTGTGTCCTTTCTCTGCTCTCCCAAGCAACTGGTACCACAGAGATGAAGTAGTCCTATAATGCCCAGATTTTGTTTCCACTACACATAGTTTAATGCTACCATGTCACTTTGTTATGAGAGGATTCATCGAAATACCTGTGCTTTGTCATTTAAAAAGCATGGGCATACACATGATAATGCTTTACGTTTCTGGATTTAAAGTGCCTTCACAATACAGAACTAGGAAAAAGAAGGCCATCTTTTTAAATGAAGATAGTTTTAAGAGAGCAATAAGAGACTATTACTTTGTTATGATAGAAGGTTGGGCTGATGTCATAATGATGTTATGATGTCACTGACATCATATTATTTCCTCAGTCATACCTATTAACCATTTCTTGAGCATCCACTATGGGCTTAATAGATAAGAAACACTCCATACCCTTTAAGAGCCCTGAGGTGTGTGTGTGTGAACAGCATTAAACTTTGGAGTCATGTTACCTGGGTTTAAATCCAAGTTGCATGAATACTGGCTTTGTGTGACCTTGGACAAACTATTTCACTGTGTCTTGCCTCAGTTTCTCCATCTGTAAAATGATAATAAAGCTATCTCACAGCATTATTATGAAGATTAAATGCATTAATTGGTGTAAAGTGTTTACAACAATCCCTGGCCTCTCAATAGCATTCAATAAGTATTAGCTATTGATTACATCATCATTGTCTTCTCATGGTTGCTTCATCATTCTGGTCTCAAAGGTCACATCTAATCACTTGTCACTCCCATGTGTTTACTGTTTAACATTTTTAGAGGAGAGCTCTTACAAAACCCCCCGATTAACTTCCAACAAATTCTTGAGTATCTGAGCCATTTTGAGGGAGGGAATGTTTCTTGCCCTAAATAATCTGAGGAGAAACAAAGAGACCAGGTAGGAGATGAGATGGGAACCTAGCAGGTCTATGGGAAGGAAGGAGGGTGCCCTACAGATTTGGAAAACGGGCCGAGTGAAGGAGGCATCAGGCTTCCACATGAAGGAAAGGGGAGGCTCTACCCAGAGACCAGAAGCCTACAGGTCTTCATCATCATCTCTGAATACAGAGTCCTGTGGGCTGGGTGCCACTGCTTTCACTCTTCCTAAATGGAGGTTAGAGCCTGTCATTGAAGGTCACTGATGCCTGGAAAGTCAAACAGTTTCCTTGTTAGCCTTGGGCCAGTCAGATGTGATTAGAGCTCAGTTGTTGGTAAACATCTAGAAAGAAGCAAGGCACATATCACTGAGCACTTCCTGGGAACTTATTTTTTTGCTGCTGAGGGGGAGTCAGTCTTTAAACAAATTGCAATTGTGTTAGAGAAAAAAGCTTTATATGCAAAAGTAATTGATGCAAGATACAAGACAATGACAAGGCCATATGGCCCAAGAGGTGCAGAGTGTAAGCACTCTGGCATCAAAGATAAATAGGGAAAAACTATAATCATAATACAATACTGTTAATAGCAGCAGCAACTGGGCCTTGTGTTTGCACTGTGTGCTGCATTGAGACAATTAAATGTTCTATGCTCTGGATCCAAATTCCTAGGTGTGAATTCAGCCTATTGGGACTGTCGCTTGCTTACTCTATAAACTTGGTGAAGTCACTTCATTTCCCAATTTTTCCATCAAAACAAAAACAATTCCCATCTTACCAGCTGGTTGTAAGAATTAAAAGATTTATAAAGCAAGCAACAAAGTGCCTCTGCATGGAAGTTTGTTGCCGTGTTTTTCCTGCTTTTAATAATCTTCCCACATACTGTAAGGTAAATGCCATAATCATCTTCATGCTAGTGACCTGAGTCTCTCTCAGAGTCACACATCTTAGGAATATAGGCTACATTTGAACATTCAGTAAAAGACCACACAATATTGCCCTCCTAGGACAGATCTCAGAAGACTGGGGTTTCTCTTGGCAACCATACAGGCTCTCTTGGCCTCCCTGAACAAAAAAATGTCTCCTTTGGCCATGCTGTTCCTTCTGCCTAGAATGTGTCCCATACCCCATTTATTACCACGCTTACCTGCCGAGGGAGTCCTGCCTACCTTGCAAAGCTCACTAGGTGTGTCAAAGATGAACAAAGCTGGACATTTATGACAGTGGGGAGAACGGACTTTAATTGGTAATAACTATTGCAATGGGGAAAGGAATTTGGCATGAACTGAACCCAGCTTTGATTTGTACAGAGGTGAATGAGTATGTTAAAGGAAGGGTGAGGAAATAGGGAGGGGGTGGAGAAGAGGGGCTCAGTAGAGTCAGAAAAGTGAAAAATTACAAAACACAGGAAGGGAGGGGGCTGGTCTATGTGCAGTCTATCTGGGTTTGCTACTGGCACTTGAATTAGGATCCTATCCTCCCACAGAGACTGTGAGACAGGGGTCTTATCTTCAGGTGTTGGCTGGAAGAAATTCTTTGGACAGCCTTGAGTTTTTCAGGCCAGCACTTTAAAAGTTATTAGAAAGTGTTAGTGTTGTTCAAGTCTTAATAGGCAAAAGTTGACAGGCCTATTAAAGAAGGCTCAGAGGGGCCTAGCTAGAGTTTGGTGAAAGAAAGAGAAATCTTTGTCAGGTATCACCTCAGGCTTCCCCAGCCCACTGAGGAGGAATGGTGGTGAAGAAGAAGAAAGAACAAAGGCTCAAGGGCTCAACATACAGGATGTGAGTTTCCGCCAAGAGTTGTGTGACCCTGAGAAGATAACTTAAGTTTTCCAAACCTCAGGTTCCTTTTCTGTAAAGCAGGAATAATAGAACCTAACTCTGAGGAAATTGGGATTAAATGAAGTGCTACATAACAAGTTACCCTCAGAACTCAATAAATGTAGTTATTATTGTTACTTAGCCTCTTTGCTTCCACACCACCCTGGAAAACCGAACCAAGTCCTGATCTCTACTTTTGTAAGTGTGCCACATTCTCTGCACAAAGATTCCAGAAGATGAGAAATACTTAATCTAGAGCTAGCAAGGCCAAAGGGAAAAAAAAAAAAGACTCTCCTAGTAGGTGACATTGACATTGGTGCAGAACAGGGAAGGATGCAAAGGAGGAGAGGAGAGGGAGAGGCACTGCAGAGATCTGGACTCAGTGTCCCAGGCAGAGAGAAACACTGGGAAGTGGGAAAGAGCTTAGAATGATCAGGACAGCTTGGCAGGAGAGCAGTGAGCAAAGGAAGATGGAGTAGAGGGCAGATTTATAGGCCTAAGGATGTATCTCCCTAGAAATAGCATCCAGAGGGATGTTCCTTGCACAGTGCTGGGCACTGGGAACACACATCACACATTAGCCATCTCTGATACTCTCATCTAGAAAGAATGATGGTTAATATTTCCCCTTTAAGCCTTCCTTGAGGAAAATGGAGGTGAAGGATAGCAAGATAGCTTGCACAAGGCCACAGCCCTGAGATAGGGTACAGCATGATCCAAACATGTCTCTGGATTCTGCAGGCCATGCCTCTCCCAAGGATCTGCACATGCCACTGTACATGAATGGGGGATACTAAGAAGTTATAGTTCATACTTCCCCACCACATACCACCAATTGCCAAGAAAGAGGAACTTTCTTTTGTAATACTTGATTTAATTCTAGGACTCTGGACTGAGAGTGACCCTATCAGCAGGAAGAGAAGGCCTGAAGAATCCCAGGATGCCACGATCCTCCATGTCAGCATGCCACAGCCATGTGGTTGAGAGTCCAAGAATGTGAGACTAGTTAACACACCTGTGCTAGGAGGGAGGCGACTGTATCAGTACTTCACTCAGCTGAACTCTCTCCTAGGCCCTACAAAGGTGTCTAGATGAGTCCTATCCTCCTTACTGGCCTTCCTAGCTTGGTCCCAAAGAGTCACCTGCTCCCCCTGGGTGGTGTGGTCAGACAGGTCATGTGACAAATGAAAGTCCACTGTAGCAGTGCCAATAGTGCAGGCCACAATAATGCAGGCTGCAGGAAACACTCCTGTCCTAGGCTCTCATTTGGGCATATGAAGCACATCCTTCTAGGTAATGTAGCTCTTCATATTCTTCGAGGCAATGGCTAAGTAGCACCCAGAGGGCCACTAGGAATGAGCATCAAAAGACTCTTATGAAGAGAGTGGTACTTCATTTCTTAAAGGTGAGTACCCAGTTTTCCATATTTTACTGCCTGCAACAGATCACATAAATATTTAGAGACATATTATTTCAGATACTATAAAATACTACAAAACCAAATATGTGGAGTATGATTTCAGGGAAAATGACCAAATAGGAAGTGCCACGAATCTGCCACTGTACCTGAAAAACTATTCTGGCATCTTTCTGAAGTAACTATGTTGGAACTCCAGAGTTTACCTGAATGCTTGTAATTTCCAGCTTGCCTAATAAATTACAATTTGTGTTGATTGCAGCCATCAGAGTGGTATTGGCTACACATTCCTCACTCCCAGCTCCATGGCAAGCAGCTTTGGGGATGGGAATGTCATTCTGGTGCAGATTTCTGGAGCCAGGGTGGGCAATAAGTCCCTTATCCCACAGATACTGAGGTTTTGTGTTCTGACTGTGGATTGGTGCTTCTGATCTTGTGGGCTTGTAGGCTAGTCATCATTGTTTCAACCCCCACTGGATGAAGTGTCTTTTCACAGATATAAAAGAATTGCACCTATTTTTTTGTTTGTCTTCAAAAACAACTACATATACGGAAGAATTCAGAAAGCCACCTCACATGCCCATGGAAAGATGCAAGCACTGAAAAGACCTTCTTCAGTTTTCACTTTAGGCCGATCTCTGGCACATAATTATCCCATAATAATGAAAACAGAGGCAAAAATGCAGCAAATCCAGGGAAAGGTGGCGGGAAATATGATTTCCAGAGTTACCACATGGTAAGATTCAAATGCCCAGTCTTCTACAACAACAAAAACCTGAAGGCATGCCAAAAAAACATAAAAGTATGGCCCAATTAAAGGAACAAAATGAATGGAGGGAAAACATACTTGAGGAAACCCAGATGTCAGTCTCGCCAGAAAAAGACAACTGTCTTAAAGATGCTTAAAAAGCTAAAGACATGAACAAAGGAAAAAGATGTATGAGCAAAATGAGGATAGAAATAAAGAGATAAAATGATTTCTAAAAAGAACAAAAAACATTCTAGATCAAAATTTACAGTAATGGAAACAAAATATGAATACAATAAAGGGATTCAGAAGACATGCAATCAGAGGAGAGATTCAGCAAACTTAAAAACAGGAAAATACAAATTATCAATATAAAAAAGAATGAGGATTGGAACTTTAGCACAACAACAATTTGGGAATCCCTGAAGGGGAAAAGAAAGAAAGGGGCAGAGAAAAATACTTGAAGACATAATGGCTGAAAAATCTCCAAATTTGATGAAAGATATGAATTTGCCAACCCAGCAAGAGTTCACCATGAATGAACTCTAAGCAGGAGAATTGTGAAGAGACCCACACTGAGACACATAATCAAATGTCAAAAGCCAAAGACAGATAATCTTGAAAATAGGAAGAGAGAAGCAACTCCTCTCATATAGGGGATCCTCAAGACTATTAGCCAGTGTCTCATCAGAAACCTTGGAAGCTAGAAGGAAGTGGGTCAATAAACGTAAAGGGTGAAGAAAAAAAGCTGTCAATAGAGAATTTTATATTCAGCAAAATGTTCTTGAAAAATTATGGAGAAATTCACATATTCCCAGATAAACAAAAGTGGAGGGAGTTGATTATCACTAGACCTGCTCTGCAAAAAAAAAAAAAAAAAAAAAAAAAGGCTAAAGGAGGTCTATCAGGTTGAAATTAAAAGAAGCTAAAATGTACCCAATGACAAAACTCCATGGACATAATCAGTACTGGAGCTCAAATTACAGTTATACCGGGGGATCCCATTAAATTTAAGCATTGTGCCTCTCCTATCTTAAGAAAGTCACTATATATAAAATAGAGAAAAAGTAGGAATGCCTCACTTTAAATGTAGCCTTGCCTATATTTCCCAAGTCATAATACCCATTGCCCTAATATATCCCATATTGGAGCATAGATGCTCTAACATAAATCATAAATTAAGGTAGGTCTTTTACAAACTGGCTTGATAAAATGGGACCCCATGAATACCCAGTTAAAATAGTTAATCTGGTCCAATATAGGGTACAACAGGGCCTTCAAGGGTTAAACCTAATTAATAAAAAGGCAATTATCCCAACTGCTTCTCTATTTGATATCCCAATCTTGCCTGTTAAACCTGGGGGATAAAAAAAGGGTAAAGTGCCTCATGGTGCATTACTATAACCTTAACAATGTGTTCCTACCAATTAGGGCCCCCATACAAAACAGCTAATATTATTAAAATTACTGATTCTATTAAATCAATAATGAGCAAATATTTTGCTTTTATAGATTTGGAGAGTGTGTTCTGTTCCAGGCCCATTTCAATAGCCTCTCAACTACAGTTCACCTTCATTTCTGAAGGAACACAATACTCCTGTTTCAGGCTACCTGTGGGGTACCTCAGCAGCTCTGCCATCACACACAGTCTTTGCAAGATAGATCATAGCTGCATCCATTTTTCTCCAGGAGCACAGGGTGGAAGGCTGGATCGAGGGTGCTTATTTTCCTTGGACTCAATGACCATAGAGACTGTCCCATGCTTCAGGCAGCTACTCATCTGCTATGGCACCCATTTGAGCCTAGACTTCCACAAACAAAAACAGAAGATCTGTTGAATGTACTGCACACTGTTCTGGTAACTATTGGTCTCCTTACTGCTGATTGGGATGATTCACTGGTTTTCAATTCAGAGGTCTAAACTCCCCAAATAAGCCTCAACCAAACATGGCAAATGCTGAGTTGCACATCAACTTGAGAGGGTACCCATTTAAAAAGGACACCCAAGTCCCACATCTCAGATGATTTCACCCTTGCCCAGAAGCTCACTGCTGGAGATGACACTGCCCCAGCCCAAGTCTTTGCCATTGTAGATGACTTTACCTCTTGTGCCAGGGACAACTTCACCCCAGATATGAAAACCTCTGTCCCAGTGGTGCCTATGGAGTGCCTCTCCTAAGGCATGCATTAAACATGGGGTATTTATGCTTTTCTCCCTTGGATGTTAAAGGTTCTACTATGTTTCTGAGCTTGCTGTCTGCCTAACCTATGATTCTGGTATATTCCTTGCTCTTTGCCAAAATGTACACCCTACACTTCCATGTCTAACAGGAAATCTAGTAGAGGTTACTACTATCTATGCCGTTCTAAAAATTAGTGGAAATTACTGCTTTCCTCGGGAGGCATCTGCCTCAAATCAGTCAACCCCTTCTCCCCCTAGAAAGAGTACCATTTACTCCCTGATGCCTTTTCTACTCTCACCTTGCATCTCCTACTATGATCACTCTTTCCCCTTGATCACACACAAATACCACTAACCTTTACATATACCTATCATTTCATACCCTTCCAACATTACAACTGCCAAACTTGTCACTTTGACCTGAACATGTTTCTAATGCACTTAATAACACTACCAAGATATTGTTAGTGACCCTAAAGATTTCAGAACTACTGTCTTGGATAATACCATATAACCAAATTTAAAAACTCCCAAAGCGCCATTTGCTTAAATCTACCACCTGCCTTCATTCCTCACCAGGGATGGCTACATGTTATGACCAAGTTAACCTATGGGCTTACCACTTGTGCCCAGGAGCCAACCAGCAGTGGCCAATTCCCCACCCCGAGGCCTTCACCCTCCTTACAATGATACTCTCATGGGTACACTATACTCTGAATAATGGCACATTTGGTTTTTTTTGTGGCTTGAAATCACAGGCACAGCACCTTATGTATTTTTCCTTGCCAATCACCCTGGATGTTTTCCCTAATAAAATCTGGTAAATAGTGTTTACACTGGGGATTGCCATGGTTCTTTGTCCACTTGGTACTTCCCTGTTTCCATTAACCCAAAGACACAAGGCAAAATGGGCAGTGTTTATCCCTATCTTAATAGGACTTGCCATAGGCACAGGAGCCACCACTGCTGACACCAATACAGCAGGCTTTGTCGAATAAGATCAAATCATAACTGCCAAGCAGCGTCATTACGTGGCCCTTTCAGATCATATTCAAAGGCTGTACAAAATACTGTCCTTAATACAACAAGCCCATGAGTCTCTAGCTCAAATGGCAATAGATAACAGGCTGGCTCTTGACTATTAGCCAGGGAAGGAGGAGTTTGTGCCACTCAGGATACCTCCTACTGTATGTACATTAATAACTCTGGACAGGTACAGGCCAACTATGAGGAACAGGTCAAAAGGTAAAGGTTTTTCATGACTTAGCCAAATATTCCAACAGATTCCCTTAAATCCAGGGGTGCCTGGCCCATTCTCTTGGCTTTCCTCCACAAAGTGGGATGCCGTGTTACAAACTGGATACCAAACCCTCATCATATGCCTAATAGGACTCTTCTGAGCTGTTACCTTTATTAAAGTTTACCTTCAGTGGCTAAGTCATGCTGTCCCAGGCACCTTTAACATCACAACCCAGGTGGCAAGTGTTATCCATCCGATTAGTATTGTAATGATGTTGAGGCACCACAGGGCAAACTGTAATGTAAATTTTAAAGCACTGTATTTTCCTGCTGCCTCGGTATCCCCACAAACAGGCTGTGAGCCCCCCAGCCAGCTATACCAGTGTGATTAGGCTGGCCCTGCCACAAGTTCTGTTGTGCTGTTTGTGTACTCCATCCTGGCTGCCAATAAAGGCACTTCCCCATAGGTCTTCATTCTCTTGGCTCCCTAACAGCTCAGTTGAGCCAGCCTCCTTGATGCTGTCTGTGCCCCCTTGGTTCCCTTGGTGTGCAATGACTCTCTCTCTAGGACCTGTAAGTATAATAAAACTTTGTTCTTTGACAAGCCTCTCCTGCGTTTCCTCCTCTGCCTACACCTGACTGACAGTCCTATGAGCACACAATTTAAATAGTTCTAACAACACAGGAATCATGCAAAATATTCAATCCAAAGGCAGAAGTGGGGTCGGGGGAGAAAATAAAGAGAATAGATTAAACAAAGAGAAAAACCAATAGCAAAATGATAAATTGAAACCCAGCAATATAATCACACTAAATTCAATGACCTAATTAAAAGGCAGAGATTTTCAAAGTAGATAAAATGCAAGATCCAATAATATTTCGTACAAGAAAACCATTTTAAATATAATGACAAAAATTAATTAAAAATCAAAGGACATGGCTGGGTGTGGCGGCTCATGCCTGTAATTCCAGCACTTTGGGAGGCCAAGGCAGGCTGATCACCTGAGGTCAGGAGTTCAAGACCAGCCTGACCAACATGGAGAAACCCTATCTCTACTAAGGATACAAAATTAGCAGGGCGTAGTGGCAGGCGCCCGTAATCCCAGCTACTTGGGAGGCTGAGGCAGGAGAATCGCTTGAACCTGGGAGGCAGAGGTCGTGGTGAGCCGAGATTGCGCCATTGCACTCCAGCCTGGGCAACAAAAGCGAAACTCTGTCTCAAAAAAAAAAAAAAAAAAATCAAAGGACACAGATACACCATTGTAATAGTAAGCAAAAGAGCACTAGAGAGGCTGTATTAATATTACACAAAGTTAACTTCAGAACAAAGACTATTACCTAAATATTTATATACCTAATGAAAGAACTTAAAAATGATAGATATGCAAAGAGAAATAGACAAATCCATAATTACAGTAGTTTTTTTAAAAAAGAAAACACCATTCTCTACATAAGTGACAGAACAAGTAGAAAATCAGGACTCAGAAGACATGAGCAACACTCTCGACCATATTGACTTACTTGACATTTATAGAACACCCAACAAGATCAGAATGCACACTATTTTCAGTAATAATGTGTAAACATTCTTCCAGGATAGACCACATTCCAGATCATAAAACAAACCTCGACAAATAGAAAAGGGTTCAAGTCATGCAAAGTATGTTCTCAGACCATAATCAAACTTCATAGATCAAAGAAGAAATCAAAAGGGAAATTAAAAATTATTAGAACTGATTGAAAATTATGTCAGAATTTATGGAATGCTACTAAACCAGTATCTGGAGTGAAATTTATAGCATTAAAGGCCTATATTAGAAAAAGAATGAAAGGTCTCAAATTAATGACCTCAGCTTTAGAAGGTTGAGAAATTCTGACCCAAGTGTAAAACATACAACTGTTAAATTTTTAGAAAAAAGGAAAAAAAAATTTTGTGTATCTGCTAAAATCATCCCATGACTTCACATAGCAATTAGAATTAAATCCAAATTTCATGGTACCCTATCTGTGCATATGGCCTGCTACTCCACTCCATCATTAATTTCTATTCTCCCTGTCAAGCCACACTACATTGAGCTGTATCCTCCAACAGTCCAAGCTCTTGTCACCCTTGAGGTCTTGGATATGTGGTTCTCTCTTCGGGACTCCTGTATGCTTCCTGGTTCTGCATATCACCTAACAGACTGTAGGTTCATTTTCCCATGTGTTTAATGTCCACCTTCCTACTCTTACAGAGAGTAACACAGCTCCATGGAGAAGTGCATGGCCAAGGTCACCCAATGGGTCATGGAAACACTAAATGATCCGAAATCCCAATCTATCATCTAGGCTCTTAGCCACCAGGCTCAAGATAGGTACAGCCACAGCTACAGCAGAGGTGGTCACTGTGAGGGAGGATGGGGTCTTCAGCTCTTCCCAATGAGTAGAAAACTAAACTGCTATCTGTATATATGATTGTGAATTCTATATTTGAGAATTCACCTACTAAAATTTTGTTATAACTCCAAAATCAATACTTTGAGGTTTTTGCATTTTTGCAGTCATTTGCAGACATGTGCAGAGTGATGAAAAAAATGATTCATCAAGCCTGCATGTCACCAGCTGAGGTCAAAGGTGATGCCTACTTTCTTGTTTCGGCATTCATAATGTCGTGTCATTTTCAGTCATTTAGTGCACAATGGCTCATGCCTGTAATCCCAGCACTTTGGGAGGTTGAGGTGGGTGGATCACTTGAGGTCAGGAGTTCGAGACCAGCCTGGCCAACGTGGTGAAACCCCGTGTCTACTAAAAATACAAAAATTAGCCAGGTGTGGTTGTGGTTGCCTGTAATCCCAGCTACTTGGGAGGCTGAGACAGGAGAATTGCTTGAACCCGGGAGGCGGAGGTTGCAGTAAGCCAAGTTCGCACCATTGCACTCCAGCCTGAGCAAGAAGAGTGAAACTCTGATTCAAAAAAAAAAAAAAAAAAAAAGATTCATTCAGTCATGAGTTATACTGCTGTTGTCTGAGAGTTCAATGTCTACAAATCAACAACACAATACAACCAGAAATAGGAGGAGGAAATTCACCTGTCTGTACATGAGGCAGCTCCTAAAAGTATAAAAAGGAACATCTATAATGCATAATGCATGATGAAGTTATAGAAAACATGAAAAAAGGCTAAATTTATGGGTGAATCAGATGATGACCAATAGAAAAGAATAGAGGACAGCATTATTGTGAGTCTTAAAGCCAAAGAAATTTATGGTCACGATACCTAAGTAAGGAAAATGCTAACCCTGCTCAGCTAGTGCTGGCTACTCACACATTTCAAAAGGCACTACAACATAAAATGTATTAAACTTGCAGGCAAATTCTTCTGGGGGCTGTGGAAGAATTTAAATAATATCCACTAAATGTTATACAGGAAAAGGGTTATGTGAAAAACCAGGTTTCAACACTGATGAGAATGGCTTGTTTTAAAAGAAAATGAATCTATATAGCACAAATGGCCTCCAAAGTCCCTTACTTTAAATCATTCAAAGATCCTGCAACCTTGCTACTGTGCATCAGTACTAATGGTGACTATAAGTGCAAACCACTAATGGTGTAGAGAACCCCAAATCCGTAGGAACTTAAAGAGAAAAACCTGAGCCATATGCAAGTCCACTGTAAGTGGAACAGAAAAGCATGGATGACTTCAGAACTATTCTGGGATTGGTTTTACAACTGCTTCATCCAAGAAGTTGAATGCTATCTCCAAGGCAAAAACTTTGCCTTCAAAGTTTAATTAATTTTAAATAATGCTCCAGTTCATTGCCATAAAGAACTTGAAAATTCCCACTGCAACCTAGACATTCTTTTTATGGCCACAAACACATGTGTCATACAACCCTTCAATCAGAGCATACTTAAAAGCTTTCAGGGTGCACAACATGAATGACCTTTATAGCAAGGCTTGTGAGGCTCTCAACACCAACAAGGAAACCACCGTTTTGGACTACTGGAAGCCAGTCACTGTATGCAATGTTATTTAGGCATCAAAGTCAGTGATGATAAAGATGGTGACGAAGGTCAGCCTAAGATTCCAAGAACTGTTCTCACAGCAGCAAAAATATCAAACTGAAATCCTGCCCTGGAAACATTTTCAATTACATGGAAGAATGTGACCCTATGCTCGAATGTAGCCTCAAATTTAAGCCCCTAACCTCCAATGCACTCCTTTATGCTGGGACACTGAGGTGGAGCCGGGCACAGTGGCTCACGCCTGTAATCCCAACACTTTGGAGGCCGAGGAAGGAGGATCACTTGAGTCCAGGAGTTTGAGACCACCTGAGCAATATAGTGAGACCCCCATCTCTACAAAAAACAAATTAGCTGGGCATTATGGCACATACCTGTGATCCCAGCTACTTGGGAGGCTCAGGTGGGAGGATTGCTTCAGCCCAGGAGGCAAGGCTGCAGTCAGCCGTGATCACTCCACTGCGCTCTAGCCTGGGCAACAGAGTGAAACCCTGTCTCAAAAAAGATAAAAACACTTTAGGCGAAAAGCCAGACAAGGCTGATGCAATTTTTCATGCCAGCTCAGGAGGGAAAACTGCTGATGATGTCAACAAGTGGCAAAAGTCAAACTCCTGAAGTAAAACTGCCAGATGTTGATATGGCACCCTCAGTAATGCCTTCCTCTTCTGAAAAGTAAGTTGCATCAACCTCTTCCTTAGTTTTTTGGGGGTAAGTTAAAGTCAAGCAGTTTAACCATACAGTGCGCTGTCCCATCACACATCTTGCAGCTCCATCAAAAGTACAATTTTAATCTTTTTTTAATCTTTAATGTTTTTCCCCCAGGACTATCTTTATTGGCACGACTGTACTGTATAGTATAGGTGTTCACAGTACCATTTACTGTTATGAATACTGTACAGTTTGCTGTGTTTATTGTACATGAATACTGTATATGTGTACTGTGTGTACATAATTAAGAGTTAAAGCAGTACAATAATATACTGAGTACATTACACAAACATGCTATAATTAAAATATTTTTATTATAAAGAATAATTATAATTATTCAAGAAACACTGATAAAGTGTCTTTAAACAAACAAACAAACAAATACCCATAGAAGAAGGTTATGTGTTGACTGGTTGATAAAAATGTTTGGATCAGAGGCTCACAGAAGCTAACGCTGTATTTCCCCTAGCAACAATCATTCAGCATTCACTAATTCAGTGTGCACAGAAAATTCACAGAACCTAACTACCACGAGTAACAATTCACTGCATATAAATGTACATGTGTACATGTGCACATGTGTTAAGTATTTCATGACTCAAGCCTTTATATTTCTCACAAAGACACACTCCCTCAAGGGTAGAGATGACAGTTTTGGAACAATGAATACTTTTACTAAATGTTGGCAGAGCTGCCCTCAATGGTCCAACTCTCCTGGCTCTGGACTTAGAGATATATATATGTAAAACACACAAAGGGGATGAGACTTTTTCAATGTCTTATTCCCTGCTCCATCCCCCAACCCGCCAAATGACAAACTGTCATAAACAGGGAAACTGAAAACAAGTTATGCACATCTTTTTCTTTTATCTTCTAGATTGTTTCCTCCATCTCTCATTATTTTAAAATATGCTTGAGATGGATTTATAGTATTAATAAGAGGAAAGTTGTTCCTGACATTTTACCTAAATGCATGTTAACCACCAGGTCTCTCCCCTCGATTATTCTCAGGTACAGTGTAAGGCTCTAAACTGGGTGAATCTTTAATATAATTCTTTGGATGACAAGTGATTACCTGCCATAAAAAGATTTCACAGGGACAATTCTGTTTCTAGTTAGTATAAATTATCAGATACTAAGACATCTCTCTGGCCAAAATATTTCCCTCAATAGTTATACTCAAAAGGAAAGGTATGTCACCACTATGAGTTCACTAAAGACAAACACACTTGTAATAGGCCTTCCTGTATCTTTTAAACTCTGGTATGAATCTTTCGATGGTGAGTGAACGATGAACTGTGGCTGAAGGTCTTTCCACATTCATTGCATTCAAAGGGTTTCTCTCCAGTGTGAGTTCTCATGTGCTGAGTTAAAGCAAAGTTGTCACAGAAGGCTTTCTCACATTCTTTGCATTCAAAAGGTTTTTCTCCAGTGTGGATCCTATTATGCCGAACAAAATTTGCAGGTTGGGTAAAAGCCTTTCCACATTCTCTACAAACATAGGGCTTCTCTCCAGTGTGAATCCTCATGTGTCGAGTGAAGGAAGAGCTATAGTAAAAGGCTTTTGCACATTCTTTGCACTCCAAGGGTTTTTGTCCACTGTGGGTCCTATTATGTCGAATAAAAACAGAGTGGTGTGTAAAAGCCTTTCCACATTCACTGCACTCATAAGGCTTCTCACCAGTGTGAATCCTCATATGTTGAATTAAGGAAGAGCTGTCACAAAAGGCCTTCCCACATTCTTTGCACTCAAAGGGCTTCTCTCCGGTATGGGTCCTCTTATGTCGGATGAAAGTGGAGCGATGAGTAAAGGCCTTTCCACATTCACCGCACTCATAGGGTTTCTCTCCAGTGTGAATCCTCATGTGCTGAGTGAAGGATGAGTTGAGGCAAAAGGTTTTTCCACATTCTTTACATAAAAATGGTTTTTCTCCTGTGTGGGTCACATTGTGCTGGATAAATGTGGAGCGGTGCGTGAAGGCCTTTCCACATTCACCGCACTCATAGAGTTTCTTTCCAGTATGAATCCTCATATGTTGAGCAAATGAGGAGCTGTAGTAAAAAGCTTTCCCACATTCTTTGCATAAAAAGGGTTTTTCTCGAGTGTGAGTCATATTATGCTGGATAAAAGAAGAGCGGTGGGTGAATGCTTTGCCACATTCTTTGCACTCATAGGGCTTATCTCCGGTGTGAATACGCTGGTGCTCCGTGAGGTGAAACCTGCGTTTGAAGGCTTTCCCACACTCAATACACTTGTATGGTTTTTCCCCAGTATGAAGCCTCATATGTCGAATGACATCAGCCATATAACGACAGGCTTTCCCACACTCATTGCACTCATAGGGCTTCACTCCAGCATGAATCTGTTGATGCCGAACAAGGGCCCACTTCTTGCTAAACCCTTTCCCACATTCCGTGCATGTGTAAGGGTTATTCCTTGCATCAGTCATGGGGTCTTTTCCTGGTCCTTGAGAGTCACACTCATGGAGAGCATCTTGTGGAGTGACTCGTTCCTGTAAAACCCTTAAGCCCAGACTATCATCTGGCTCCAAATCATCATGTTTATAACTCAACTTCTCAGGGCATATCTCTTTGTGGGGGTTTGTTCCTGGCCTCAAGTTCCCTTCCTGAATTTTTATTAGCTTTTCCTCATCTCTAGCTTGCCCCAACCTGGAATCTCTTGAGGATCTCTGTGCCAGAAGTTCCTGGAAAGAGGATTCCTCAGAGAAGGCCAGCTGAGAAGCAGTAGGCTCTGTAATCTTGGGTTTTGCTTTTTCACCTGAAGGAAATCCAATATAAAAAAAACTGAACATTAGTGATGTCAACAGAACAAACAAAATCACCACTTTAGCAGAAGAATGAAGGTGAAAACAGTGTCTCTGATGCCTACTGCATTTTTACATCTCTCAAAACCAGGCTTGCAATTTCTTTCCTAATGCTTGGACTCTTGAGATCTTTAAAAGGAAACCCAGAAGGAAAAGCAAGGGCAGGGGGCAAAGAATCTGGAATGGAGACCGCTCCTCACTCTCCCAAATGAGGGAGAGTGGGCAGACTAATAATTACAATGTGTGTGATGAATGTGCTCTGACAGAGGCAGTCTCATGGTGCTATGACAATGTAGGGAGGATACACTTAACATGGCCCAGATGAGAGACAGAGAGGGATCAGAGGATGTCTTGGATCACAGCACCAAGAAAAGGTGAGCTACGTGGGCTTTCTTTAAAAAGGAGAGTAGGAGTTCCCAGACAGAGGAATTAGGAGGGAAACTTCGGCAGATGAAAACAGAATGTACAAGGGCTGAAAGTCTTGAGAGAATGCTGATTGCTGAGTAATGTAAATGGGATGACATGATGGAGATGAGGATGGAAAGGCAGGCAGAGACAGAGAAGAAACAGACTCTCAGGATTCTCACCTGTGTAAAAGTGAGAAGGGTGAGAACCAGCTAGATGAACATAATGAGTCTGCAATGTCTGAATAAAGACTAAGTGAACATACACAAAATAGGTAAGATCTACATGAAGAAAATTGTAAAACTTAAGACACTAAAGATCTATATGAAAAGAGATTAATCAATATAAAGTTATCAGTTCTCCCTAAATTCACTTCTAAATTCAATACAACATCAGATAAAATCTCAATAGGGTTTTTCACAGATATTGACAAGCTGACTGTGGATAGAGATCAGTCAGCTGATATAGAGACCAGGATAACTCTGAAGAATAAAGCAGGGGCCTTACCCTATGAGGACTTAGTATTATGATGAAACTATATGCATTCAGGCAGTGTGATTAGGCATAGATATAAGACAAACGGTGAAAGGGAAAAATGAAATAGAGAACTCAGAAATGTATATATGTAACTTTGATATATGATAGAAGCAGCAGAGAAGGCCATTGGGAAAAGGAGGAACCATTCAATAAATGGATCTAGAAAAATTATTTGCCACATGGAGAAAAATGAAATAATATTCCTACCTCATACCACATACAGAATTACCTCCAGAGTGATTAAGACTCAACTGTCAGAAGCTAAACATTAAACATATTTTGTATATAATAAAAATGAGTATCTTTTGAGA
Organism: Homo sapiens; assembly: GCF_000001405.40. Classification (NCBI taxonomy): domain Eukaryota; kingdom Metazoa; phylum Chordata; class Mammalia; order Primates; family Hominidae; genus Homo; species Homo sapiens. Next base: position 34,761,859 of record NC_000019.10, read on the forward strand.
AAGATTTCCAGAACAAGATATAAAAGCATTAATCATAAATGAAAAGAGTAGTCAATTTGACTAGAGTAAATATAATAAACAAAAAAGCAAACAAATAAAAAACATAACATTAGTATCAGATAGCAAACTATAGACCTAAGCAAATGAGACAAAGAGGGACTTCACAAGATGAAGAGAAGACCATGGCGCCAGGAAGACAAAATCGTCTTAAATCTGTATGTGCCAAACACCAGAGCCTCAAAATACATGAACCAAAAACTGAGTTGAAAGGAGAAATAAACTCAGAATTATGGTTGGGAACTTCACTCTACCCCAAAATGAACATATTATGCACTGATATTTCACAGAAGACATACATTGCCCAGTCAACATAAGAAGTGTTCACCTTTCTTGGTAATAGGGGAAAAACAAATTAGGACCACAATGAGATGCCCCATTTTATACTCGCTAGGTTGAAAAAACTAAAGGACCGGACAACATCAACTATTGAAGAGGAAGTTGTTCTATGAAATCATTCAGATAAGGCAAGGGAAGTGAAATGGGTATAACCATTTTAGGAAACAACAGAGCATTATCTAGTAAAATTCTCCTTTTGCTCATCTTATAATCCAGAAATGCCAGTCCAAGGAACTTTACTAAGAGAAACTCCTATAGATGTGCCTGAGGACACATATATATGAATTATGGCAGCATTGTTTGTGATAACAAAAAACAATAAGCAAACATTTTCAAGCTCTCCCTGAAAATGGATAAATACATTGTGTTATATTCATGCAATTGACTCTAGCAGGAAAAAAAATGAGTGAACTACAGCTATATGCATCATGAATGTTAGTAACTTACTGTTGAATAAAGAGTGAAAATGCCAGAAGACAATATAAACCACAATACACTTTTTATAATGTTCAAAAAAAGCAAAATACACACACACAAGAATACAATGTAACAACCTTTTATTTTTTTGAGGTTTATCAGTTTTAAATGGCATTATAAAAAGATATGTAGATATGTTAAATATATTTTTCTGACTTTTTATTGTGATAAAATACAAAATTTACCATTATGAGATGAAACAATCTTAAAAAGTAATGGGAAGACAAAGATAAAGTAGGCAAATATTTTACATTACTCAAATTACCAAAACGGACAAACAAAAACAGAACATCTGAATAGCCTATATTTATGAAAAAAACCTGAATCTTCCTACAGAATAAGCAATGGAATAACAAATCTTAAAGTGGCCATGTATGCAAGGGAGGCAGCATAGGAATGGGAAAGGAAAGAAACACATCAACAGATGCAGGAAGCAGGTCATGTTCTTGTACTTGGCGAAAGGTTTGTAGGTGTTCATTACAATCTTTTTAAAGGAGGATGAATAAATATATTAATAAAATGCAATGAAAGAAAATAAAACAAAAAACCAGGACACGCATTGACTAATGATGACAATGTGTCATAAATCATTATTTATAATTTTTCTAATTCTGCACACCTAGGGACAATTATGAAAGTCAGAGGGGGGCCAGGCATGGTGGCTCATGCCTGTAATCCCAGCACTTTGGAAGGCCAAGACAGGCGGATCACTGAAGGTCGGGAGTTCAAGACCAGCCTGGCCAACATGGTAAACTTCTTGTAAGAAGTGAAGGCACTGAGGGAAGGCCATGTGAGCACAAAGTGAGAAGGCGGCCATCTGCAAGCTGAGAAGACAGCCCTTATCAGAACCCAACAATGCTGGTACCCTGACCTTAGACTTGCGGCCTCTAGACCTGAGAGAAAACACATTTCTGCTATATAAGCCACGCAGTCTATAGTATTTTATTACAGCAGCCAGAGCAGACTAACACACTTTTCTAAGATTCACTTTCCTCATCTGAAAAACTGGGATACTCTCAGTTCCTGCCTACAAGTTGTTAGGAGAAAAAGCATACAAAATATTGATTTGTGGCTGGGTGTGGGGGCTCACACCTGTAATCCCAGCACTTTGGGAGGCTGAGGCAGGAAGATCACTTGAGGCCAGGAGTTACCAGCCTGGCCAACACAGCAAAACCCTATCTCTACTAAAAATACAAAAAATTCAGCCAGGTGTGGTGGTGCATGCCTGTAATTCCAGTTACTCAGGAGGCTGAGGCACGAGAATCACTTGAACCCAGGAGGCAGAGGCTGCAGTGAGCCGAGATTGTGCCACTGCACACTAGCCTAGGCGACAGAGTGAGATCCTGTCTCAAAAAAAACCCAAAAACCAAACAAAAGTTCATTCGTGTGACAAAGAATAAATGTTTGGTAAACTGTAGACCACTGTCTATTATCATTATAGTTGAATTTAGCAATCAGGATGGCAACAGTGACCTGGGCAAGAACACTTTAAGTGCTGTGGTGCTGAGAAACACCACTACCAGGCATCAAAGAGTAAAGGGAAAGACACCAACTGCTCAGGCGTACATGGAACAATGAAGACTCTCATACGTGGCTAGTGGAAATGTGAAATGGTGTAGTTACTCTGAAACTGGTGGTTTCGATTAAAGCTAATCATATGCCCACACTTGATCTGGCCAGTCCACTTGTATGTATATTCCCAACAGAAATATGGGTTTATATCCAACAAAAAATACAATCAAGAATATTCATAAGAGTAGTCTTCATAATATTCCAAAAATGGAGACCAAGTCAAATGTCCATCAATAGGAAAATGGGTATATGTAGTCTATTCATTCAATGATGGTAATGAACTAACTCCAACTATATGCAACCACATGAATGAATCTGAGTCATAAAGATTATCAAAAGAAGTCAGGACAGAGTATGTACTAGGGGGTTCTATTTATATGCCTTCAAAACTAATGTATGGTGATATAGAGTATAAACACTGACTACTTTTATAGAAGGGGATACTGACAAAGAATGAGCACAAGGAGCCTGTTAAGTGCTGAAAACACTGTATTTCTTGAACTGTGAGATGGTTTCTCTGACTTGTACATATATAAAACTTTATAGAAATGAAACTTTATGATTTGTACACTTATTATGTATAAATTGCACCTCAGTACAAAAATAAGGGAAAAAATAAATAAAGGAAAGTCTTGTGTAGATGTCTCTTCAAAGAATGAGAAGACTTCTCCAACAAGCTTGGCTGTTCAGGTGAAATAGAGTCAACAATATGTAGATGCTGCTGGAGACGTAAGAGCACTAAAAAAAAAAAAGTCTCCCCCAGGTATCAGAAACATCATCATTTTTTTTTAATGTTGAGTAGAGAGGGGATGAAAATATAGAAGAGGTAGGAAGTAAGTGAAGAAGCATGTTCCCTGATGCAGCTGAGAGATTCACGTATGGCTTCTCATGATCCCCAAGTCATAGTGTTCACACCCTTTTGTAGTTCCCCTGTTAAAATGTTGGCAGGACCTCGATTTGCTTCTAAAGTATAGAATATGGCAAAGATGATGGAATGTACATGATAAAATATATGTAATTTTATAAGACTGGAACATCCGTCTTGCTGGAGTCTCACACAGTGGCTTGATTTGAAGAAGTGAGCTGATGGTGATGATGAGCTATGAGCTGCCTATGACACGCCTGAGAGGACCCAGCTAAGCTGTGCCTGGACTCCCAATCCATAGGTGGGAGATAATAAATAAGTGATGTTTTCAGCTGCAGGGTTTGTGGTAATATTGTTACATATTAATAGTAGATGGCTAATACACCTGAGAAGGCAGAAAGTGTAATCTAGATTCTGCTGGAGAAATTAGCCATGGCCAGGATGATAACTCTTCCACAGAAGTGAGAAGGAAGCTGCAGGATAAGTCAGATGAACATGAATCAGTAAGTGTCAAAAAGCAAGAAAATCAAGTGTGTAGGCTTTATTCATAAAGTAGGTCAGATGCTCTGACATCAGTGGCAAGGGAGGCGGTGATACATGGAACATGTGAGTGGATGCAGATATAACACACAGGGCTGACCAGATGCACAGAGCACATGGGGGAAAACAGCGAGGAATCTGGTAGCATTATGCAGGCAAGAGATGATCACTTGGCCTAGAGTACTAATGCTGGAGCTGATGGAAACTAGTGAAGGTGAGGATTCAGGAGACATGAGTGATGTGAAATGGTCAAGATTCGGGGATGGCTGGATATTGGGTATGAGGGAGATGGAGGTGTTGAGGGGTTGTCCACGTTTGTTTTTAGCCTTCTCCACTCATTGAAAGAGGCATTAGCTGAAAATGGGGGTGATCATGAGGTCCTTTTAGGCATGATGAGTGTGAGGTGCCTCTGAGACATTCAAGTGAAGATGTGGAATAGGGGAGAGGGGTGAAGGCTGACTGAGCAGGCAAGAAGGACACTAGAGGGGTGAGATGGTGAATCTACAGTGTCACAAATCCACCTGCTTGATGGCTCCAGCTTCCTCTGGCAGCCCAGATGTGGGACTGACAAAGGCAATCATCACCTTGAGGTTTTTAGAAGACAGGAGGGCCAGAAAACAACAGGGCTAGGGAGTGCTTCTGCGTATCTGATACATAAATGAAAAGATGAATGGATGGATCAATAAATGACGGGCTGGAGAAGGTGAAAAATGGTGGGATGCAGAGTGTAGTTTGAAATAGTAATCTGCAGGAAAAGAAAGGACTGTCTTCTGAATGCAGAAGAATGTCTGAGCTATCACTATTCCTTATGACTAACACTACATTAATATTACTTACAAGTAACTTCTGTTGAGCCACTCCGGGTCAGGCAGTGTGCTAGGCAGTTTCCTGCTATGTGATCACATTCCCAAACAACCCAGTCATGCAGAAACTATCATCACTATCTTTCAAATGTAGGCTAAGTGTATCAGATAAGTATATGTTCACTATACCCATAGGCTCTTCTCCTTGGGTATAAAAAAGCTAAACCACATTTCCCAGCCTGATACAACATGTAGCCTAATACCCAGTTCTTGTGGATGAAATGTTAATGGAAGTGACTACTGCCCTTCTCTCCCATTCCTCTTGGCCGGGGCAACCTTAAAGCTGCATATTGACAACAGAATGCATGTGATCCATAAATAAATACAGGGTACACAGCTTTCCTGCTGACCCACATTGGGCTATGGCATGGATAAAAAAACAAAACAAAACGAAACTTAATCTGTTGAGTCACATGATTTTGGAGTTTATTTTTCAGAGAAGGTCATTAACTCAGCCTAACTTATATACCAAAGGCACAGTGACGTCACACAACCTCTCCAGAGTCATGAGGCTAGTGAGTGGCAAATCATTAAAGCCTAGAATCTGTCTCCTACCTAACATATTCCAACCTGAATAAAGGCAAAGAGTGTGTGACAGAAGTGGGAAGACGGGGGACCATGGGGTCAAGGGCTCCATGACTGCTCAAGACCACAAAATAGCTGCCCATGGCATTTCAGACACAGTGATGCCTGGGTGGTCTGCAGGCTGCCCTGATACCCGCTGCCAGACTCTCAGTCACCAACCTGCGCAGGTGCTTTGGGAGAGGCCTCTCTTCACTGTCCACAGTTCCTGTCCATGTTCCAGTAGATAGATCAGCTCTGGTTTGGGAACAGGATGCCCTGTGCATGGAGAAACAAATGGAGTATGGTGTACAGGGAAAGACAAAAAGAAAAGTCTGAGGTGTAAAGGAGTACATATATTTAACATACTGCAATGAAACCCCAGAAAGGGCCCTCCCCTGCCTCACCAAAAGTATTCCCTAATTAACCTAAGTCAGTAGGATTCAACCACCCTGTGCATCAAAACTACCTAGCAACACCCAGTTCCAAAAACAGAACAAATTAAACCAAATCTCTGAGCAGAAGGACTGAGTGCTGGTAGTTTTTAAAGCTCCCCAGGTGATTTTGGTGCCCATGATGGTTGAAAAACACAGGACTAAATCGCCTGATGAATGGCATCTATTGATAGTCAGTTGTGTGAGGCAGGCCAGTGACTGAAGCTGAACATGGAGGCCTACTGCCCCACAAGGATACTGGCCAGGGCCCTAGACCAAGGAGAGAAAGCAGACAGAGAACTGGGTTAGCATGGATTGGCACTGACCAAGCCAGGAGTCAGCAGCACCTCAGGGCTTCTCATTAGGTAAAGTAAGAAATTATTTTCAGGGTGAAACTGGCAGGAGGTGGTCTTCTTCCACATGCAGCCACACACATTTTGCCAACTGTGAAGGCTAAGACAGAAGACTCTGGAGAGAAGTCAATGACTGAGGCACCAGGACCCAGAAGCATCAACTGGAAAATCTTGTCCTGGCACGCATCCAGCTGTCACTTAGCAAATGTTCACCATAGGATTACGCACACTTACATGCCACATGCACACTCAGCAAATGTTCTGCCATATGCTTGGCACTGAGCTGGGTGATGAGCAGCATTAAAGGGGAATCAGGCCTGCCTTCATCTCTGTTAAGGAATCAAGCACCCTGCTCCCACAGGGATGCTGCTCATGTTGGTCCCTCCTCCTGGAATGCTGTTCCCCATACATCTCCTTTCGACAACTAATCACAGTTGTCATAAAATAACACCACGTTTACTTCATTAATGACTCATCCCTCGTGAGGACGCAGGACTGGGAGAGCCCTGTCGATGGTAACCATTTGAACAACTGGAATAAGTGAGACTTTGGGCCTCCATTCATATCTACTCAGACCAACTTCTGGGCAAACTGTCCATTAAAGGTTTAGGTGGGAGAGCATTTGGTATTTATTAATTTGTTAAATGTAACAAACACATGCAGAACACTTGCTATGTTTCCAGCTCTATTCTAAGCACTTTACACATATTAGTTACCTTGCTGTGACAGGTTACTATAAAAATGGCAAAATCAAAATGATAACAGGTCCCAGCAAGTTCCTGCTGCCTGCTTGAGGCTAGGAGTTTGAGGCTACTCTTTCTACTGAGGAGGAAATTCACCAACAGCTATGGGAGTGTTAAAGATTCAGCCCTAAGCCAACACTCAACATTCAAGAGACAGGAAAGAGAAAAGAAAAAAAGAACAGCTTTCTCAGATAGCATACATCCATGCCATTTGAGAATGTGTCTGTGCTCCCTTTCCATAATCATAATCATCTCCTGTAGCAGCAGAGGAGCAAGGCACAGGCCTTAGGAAGTAAGGGTTAACTGTGCAGGTGCTAGGAGCCAAAGAGACCTTTCAGCTGAGACTGTGTTGCTGAAAAAGATATAAGCAGCACTGATAACAAACACCTTCTTAGTGTCTGTGTCAATCACCCGCTGCTTGTAGAACCTCCCATTATCCACAGGTCCTGCTAACTGGGCTGTGAGGACATTTGACTCAACCAAGCTGGGCCAATTACCTCTTGTGGCAGTCTGGGATAAAGATGTCAGACTGAGGCCAGCTGTGCTAGACAGTGGGATAAAAGTGTTGAGGAGGACTGTGTTTCTTACATAACAATCTTTGATTGAGACACAGGGAAACCCAGCAAGAGGAGGTCAGACCACAACGTGCTGAGGCTGCAGGGATCAGGGAAGGTTGGGTTCTGAGGCTCCTGGACCAGCCATGCCTAGAAAGGGTGGATTCAAAGAGGCTGTGGGTCCCCTACATGGGAGGGTAATGAGGTCTTACCCAGTGAGACCAGGAGCCTGCAGGTCTCCAGCATCACCTCCTGGTACAGGGTCCTCTGGGCCAGGTCCAGGTGCCCCCATTCCTCTCCAGTGAAGGTCACAACCACGTCTTCAAATGATACTAATGCCTGGGAAGTCAAACAGAGGTGACAGGTGGCTGTGGAGCTATTAGGTGAAATTACAGCTCACTTCTTGGTTACTGGCAAAGGGTCCAGAGACCCTGAACCACTGAGCAACTCCTGAGAACCACTGGGCTCTGTGGAGGCAGATGGTGCCGCTGACAGAATACAAAGATGTGGGACAGAAAAGCCTCCTATGTTGGAAACCATTGGAAAATGATACAAGACAATGATAATCCCATCTGACTGTGAGGAGCAGACAGTAATGTCCTAGGACATTACAAGAATGGGGAAAAATAATAATTCAAACAATAATCACAGCAGCAGCAGCTGAGCCTCACTGGTCTGCACTGTTTGCCTGCACCTGAGGGCTTCACATGCTGTGTTCAAGCAACTAAAAGTCTCCAGGTCTGGAATCAGGCTCCTGAAGTTTAAATCCAGCCTCTTGAACCAACCTGCCAGATGTGTGACCTTGGAGAAGTCTCTTAATTTCTTGGAGCTCCAATTTCCACATCAATACATTAATAGTTCCCACTTCACCGAACTGTTGTGAAAATTAATGAGAAAATGTTCATAAAGCAAACACTGCAGTGCCCAGCATGTGTTACAATGTGTGTAAATTTCAATAGTCATCCTATAGCCCATGATGTAAATGTCATCATCTCCATTTCACAATCAGCAAATTGAGGCTCAGAGTCAAGTCACTCAGAGTTGTATGTCTAATGAGCAGAAGCAGGATTTGAACCCACATCCCTCGGGTCCAGGATCTATGGGTGTAACCCCTGTACTCCTCCATCACCACAGTGAATCCACAGTGACAAGGGCTAAAAATACTTCCTACAATTTTTACAGTTAAAACAATTTCAGCCACTCCTGAAAATATTGCCAGAGGTATGGAAGGAAGAGCAGAGCCTTCCTTTGCCTCATAGAAGAGGCACCTGAAGAGGTGCCAACTGCCTAGGGCTTGGGAGAGCTCAAACAAAGTTTCCCTGCCCTCAGGCAGCTGGGACTTGTAGACTCCCTGGAATATCCCACAATGAGCGCCAACCTGTTCTTTTTCTTCCTGAGCCACGGTTAGCACATTTCCCTTAGGTACAGGTAACACAAGTGGCCAAGGGCAATGCAGGCTGTGGCTCTAAGAACCTGGCAGCTGCCTTAAGCACCACGTCTGTCCTGGGTGAGAATGGGATGTTGGCATGATGATCATCAGATGATCACACAAGACACGTCAGCAGGTGACAAGCCTTGGTGTCACTCTATGTCTCCTCATGCCTCTGCCTTTGTCCATGCAGTTCCCTTTGCCGGGAAGGTTCCCCAAAGACCCCTTCATTCCAATGTCCACCTGCTAGAGAGAGGCCTGCACCTTCCCCTTGCAAAGTGTACTTCAGCTGTCGCCCCCAGGGATCTCCAATCCACTGTGGGTGAAATATTGGTTAAAAATGTAAGCTTCTGGCTGGGCACGTCGGCTCATGCCAGTAAGTACTTTGAGAGGCCAAAGTGGGAAGACTGTTTGAGTTCAGGAGTTCGAGGCCAGCCTGGGCAACACAGTGAGCCCATCTCTACAAAAAATAAAAAAAATTAGCTGGGTGTGGTGGCACACACCGATAATCCTAGCTACTCAGGAGGCTCAGTGGGGAGGATTGCTAGTGAGCTGCGATGGGGCCACTGCACTCCAGTGTGAGCAACAGAGCTAGACCCTCTTTCAAAAAAAATAAATAAATAAAAAATGTAGGCTTTTATGCTCGACATACTGGATTGTTTCTGTTACTTATGAGCTATGCAACCTTGGGTAGTTAATCTGAGTCTCCGGTTCCTCTTCTGTAAAGAAAGGAAAATGAAAGAATTTTACTCTGAGAAGAAGGGCGTTAAATAAGGTAATACACAGAAACTGCCTCTCAGCACATTATCAATGCGCTCAGTGAAGACCAGCTACTATTTGTTGCTGTTAGTATTTTTCCTATTTGCTCCTGTCGCACCCTAGGAGAGCTCAATGCAGCACACATCCAGGAGCAGCCTTGCAGAGATCTGGCGACAATGTGACAGAGAAAATCGTCCAATGAGCTTGGCATGTGCAGGAGAGAAGAATGGCAGGGGGAGTGTCCTGGTGGATTGGGCAGTGACTTTGCAGCCATGGTGGGGTATGGGGTGGGGTTGGGTTAGATGAAATCTAAGTAGGATGGGAGCCCCAGAGGATAGAATCTCATTCATTAATCACTTATCGACTAAGTGGTACAGGCCCAGAACAGAATAGTTTTGGGCCTGGGGATGAAAAACAGAACAGAAGCTGACATTCTGGGGTTGGGGGACAGATCCTCAGCAATAAACAATCAAGATAAAGTCAGAAGACTCTAGAAAACAACACAAGAGTGAGAAGACCACAAAGACTGGGAGAGACTTTACATGATGCAACCAGGGAAGCTCTCTCTGAAGAGACCCTGGAACAAGGTTAGATTGAAGTTAGAGAACAGACCAGGTGAGGAAAAATGAATAGACAACTCCTGAAGGTGATCAGAGCTACGAGGAGTAAACAGTGTGACATGCTGGAGAGTAACTTGGGGCCTTATGTGCTCACACTCCAAGAGACATACATTCATGTACACTGTCATTAATGAATATTGTGCTGGATTTGCTTTTCAAATACAAGAGCATGTGTTAAACAGAAGCACGGATTCACTGCTGTTAGGCGGCAAGCCAGATTCATTTGTAATAAACAGACGGCATCTGCAAAGATAAATCCAATGAGCTTCTTGTCTTCTAGCCTCCTGCCAAAAATGCTGCTCCCGCCTCACCTCTTGCCCTCGAGGCTCTCATTCCCTCTCCCAGCTTTTGGTAGGGCCAGACTTCCGCTGGAATGATCCCCTAAAACAACAGCAGGACCTAGAGAGTCCTTCTTCAAAGACGGCACCTAGAGTGATGCTCTCCGAGCAGTGAAAGACAGGACCCACGTCACAAGCGTACCCTCTCCAGCTCCCTCCACAGAGAAAATTACTGAGACTCGCATTTTAGACCCGAGGGAATGGAGGCCGAGGGCAGCGAGGCGACAGCTCCAGGTTAGAGCCAGAGACAGGGACCTCTCCTTACAACTCCTGTCCTGGATTCAGGACCCTGGGTAGGAAGTGATTAGCCCTGCCCTCTCACCTCACCCTCTCCCGGGATCTCCATAACCTAGGGCATCAAAAGGGAGAAGCACAGAGTCCCGGCATCCGCCGTATTACAGCGGATGGGTGCATGCGGGCGGTGACCCGAGCTCGCGCGGGCTGCGGAACCCTCCACTCACCAACGCCGGCGCCGCCATGGGCCCAGGGGGCTGGGTGAGGCCGTGAGAGTCGGCGAGGAAGCCGGTCCTGCGGGCTCGGCCGACCCCGGGCTCCGGCTCTGGGCTGCGAGGGACCTCAGTCCCCGCCGTCGTGTAAAATGCACACAAGGTTCGCGGCGCCGCCTCTGCGCGCCGTGAGGACACAGGGCTGTCGCCAAGGCCCCAGGAAGGGTTTTGCAGACGCTTGTGGGGGTGGGATCGCGGCTGACATAAAAGCGTGTAAGTGGGTCCTATCCTCCTCACTGTCCGTCTCTACTCGGTCTCGAAAAGTGGCCCCTGTCTGGCGTTCTACCCAGTGTAGCGTTGGCAACCACAGCAGCCGCAACCTAACGGCGGACGAAGACTGGACGCCGGAAGTCCCGCCCACGCCGCTACGGGAACGCCCCTCTGCGCCTTCCGTCTATGGCTTGGGGTCGGCTTCCGTCCCTTGTAGCACTGCCTTCTGGGTAATGTAGTTTGACGGAATCCGGGTGGTACCTGGAGCGCACTTTCTGTTCTCGGTGAGGCGGCTTCTCAAGGCTCCCAAGAAAGGGATTGGCTTCACCTCTTCTTAAAGGAGAGGCACACAGAGTTCCGTGGAAATTATCTGAGGCAATGACCCACTCTCAAATGTCTCTACCAGGCAACTCACGCCTTGACTTTCCTCCCTGTGTATCCCTGCGCCAGCAGTTCATCTCTCTGAGCCTTGAGATGGAGATTCCTAAGGAAAATGAAGATAATTATTTAATATGATAATATTAAAATTTCCCCTATCAGTAATTTTCAGATGACATCAGCATTACCTGCGAATTTGTTACCAATGCAAGTTCTTAGTCCCCACCCACTGAATCAGGTACTCTGGGGGGTGGGACCCAGCCCTCTGCTTAACTTGTCCAGGAAAAGTGGATGCTGCAAAACATTTGAGAACCAGACTCTTTAAATTCCAGTAAATAAATGAGACAAAGCCACCTGTTTGGTGGGAAGTAACTAAGAATTGCTTAGCACTGGGCCTGGAACATACCGATAAGAACATAAGAGCTATTGCTGTCATTATTAATATTCTGTATTATTGGCAACATCATCACAATACACTGCTAGGGGAGGGTCTGAGATACTTCTTTGCAGACTCTGATATTTGTCAAAACAAATACGTTGACTGATTCAACAGGAGCCTCATGAATACTGTTTAAATTTTACATAATAATACGTTGCAGCATTTGGCGTATGCATCTTTTTAAAACGGTATATGCAGGAGGGTTTCCTAATATACAGGTAGACCTATTGCCCAAGGGATACTTTCTTACATGATTCAAAACTTAGGATCACTGAGACTAATTACCTGCAGCCCTAAGGGAAGAGTGGAGTTGACATGGTTTCTAGTTTGTGATGTAAGATGGCGTGTCACTGTTCATCTCTAATTCACAGCAACCAGGATCTGACCCCTCCCCATCTGCCCCTCCAGCCCCCAGGGAAGCCAGAACCAGGCACAAACCAGATGGCCCAGCTTATGCCCAGCAACTCAGGGTCACCAGATCTTGTCTCATCAAGACACTTTCAGCCCACCACCCAAACCTGTAGCCCACATGAAGAGGGCAATAATCCTGGACACTGTGAAAAGTAAAAGCATTACATCCAAAGAGGCATCCCCAGGATGGAGCAGAAATAAGAAAACATAATGAAGACACAATTTTGCAATCACTTCTGCCTATATTCCATGGCCTACAAACCACTCAAATAGCTCCACATGTAAGAGAAGCCAGGATGTGCTGTCCTCCAGAGCATCCAGAAAGAGATAATGGGACTGATAAGTCCTTGGCCATTTTCTAGTAAAATCTATTAATTTAGTCATCAGATTTCCATTCTATTATTTATCCTATACATTCTACACTCTCACATGCTTCTTAATGCGAGAAGCCAAAATCTGCATGCAGTCTCTGACCTCATCTGAATGTTAAGATCTCAGGGTGATATGTTATGCATCTAGTCCAGATTTTGGGTGGGGATGCAGCCAAACCATATAATATTATGGGGCCTGTTGGGAGGTGACTGGATCGTGAGGGTAGATTTCTCATGAATGATTTGATGCCATCCCCTTGGTGCTATTCTTGAGATAATGAGTTTTCTCAAGATCTGACTGTTTAAAAGTGTGTGGCATCTTCCCCTCACTCTCTCTTGCTCCTGCTCTCACCATGTGCTACACTGGCTCCCCCTTTGCCTTGCACCATGATTGGAAGCTTCCTGAGGCCTCACCAGAAATTGAGCAGATGCTAGTGCTATGCTTCCTGTACAGCCTGCAGAACTGTGAGCCAAGTAAACCTCTTTTCTTTGTAAATTACCCAGTCTGGGGTATTCCTTCGTAAATTACCCAGTCTCAGGTTTTCCTTTACAGCAAAGCAAGAACAACCTAACACATTTACCAACTTATGAATGGATAAACAAAATGTGATATATCCTTATAACAGATTATTCAGCCATAAGAAAAGACTGCAGTGCTGATATACAATACAGCATGGAGGAACACTGAAAACATGTAAGTGAAAAAATCAGCTACAAAATAACCACACAGTATATAATTCCATGTATATGAAGTGTGCAGGATAGGCAACTCTATAGAGGTTGAAGGTAGATTAGTGATTGCTTAGGGATGGTGGGTAGTGGTGGGACAGCCGATTGATATCTAAGGGATATGGAGTTTCTTTGTGAAGTGATGAAATGTTTTAAGAATAACTGTGGGGGATAGTTGCACATATATTTAAATATGTTAAAACCACTGAATTATGTATTTTGAACGTGTGATTTATATGGTAAGTGAATTATATCTCATGAAGGCTTTTTAAACAAAACAACACTGCTGTAACTTAGACCAAACCAAAGTTTGTGTCAAATCCTGCTATGTAATATTTGTTACATTTTATAGTCTAAAATCTAAGCTTTATTTATGAGGATACTCACTTCATTGCTGAGGTGTGTCAACAAAACATATTAGTAAATTTATACGAACAAAATATTAGACCTATTACTGCGAAAATACAAAACTTGGAAATAGGAAAATTTCTTTAAAAAGAATCCTATTTAGAGTCAAGGGAAGTTATGAAACACATCAAGGAAATGAGTAGTTGCTAAATATTGAGTTAATATGTTATACATTCCTTCTCAGTGATTACAGAATACTTATATCAAATGAAATTAGATGAAATATATATTTGAAAGGTAAACATCCAAAGTAGAATAAATTTATCATTTTGTATCCTAAGTAATAGAATTTCTTTGTTGCATTTACTTTCAATCAACAAAATAGGTAAGTGCTTTATTGCTACTACTTTGATTTATTTCAAAACCTCTTTGTACAATGTACAAAATGTAAATGTAACTTTAATGTAAATTGTTTTTATATAAATTGTGACTCAAAATATTTGGACAGACAAGTTGTGTGAGATGGGCTTTAGGCAATCATGCAATCCTAACTCATATTTCATACAGAATTCATATATTTTATTTACACATATTCACTTCACACAAGACTAGGGCTAAATTTAAGTTAATGGGTTTGATTATTATTTTCCCACATTAAATAACAACACTATTTATATACACCTCAGGGATATTCCCAGAATTTTAAACATGGGCTTGCGATTCTTCAGCTCTTGAATCAAACAAAAATGTTCTGGAGTTTTATAAACTAATTAGCAAGGCAGCGGCTGTTTCTATTGAATAATTCACTGCTATTTCTGTGATTCTAATAAATGATTGCAAAAACAGGAAATCACAACTAACCAAATTCCTCACATTATTAGTGAGGAATTAGTGGAGCCCCAAAGTGGGGCTCAGACTGTGAGGGTTCTTGGCTTCACCCAGGGAAGGATTCAAGGGCAAGCCAGTGGTAGAAGAAAACAGTTTTATTGAATAGGCAGTGTTACAGCTCTGTGACTGCCTCTGCAGAGCAGGGCTACCCCATCGGCAGAGAGTAGCAGCTCAGGGCAGTTTTGCAGTCATATTTATACCCACTTTTAATTACATGCAGATTAAGGGGCGGTTTATGCAGAAATTTCTGTGGAAGGGGTAGTAACTTTTGGGTCATAGGGTCACTGCCATGGAAAGGGGTAGTAACAGCCAGGTGTTGCCATGGCAATGGTAAACTGACATGGCACACTGGTGGGTGTGTCTTATGGAAAGTTGCTTCCACCTCATCCCTGTTTTAGATAGTCCTCAATTTGGTCCAATGTCTGACCATGCCTCTGGAGTTGAGTCTTGCCTCCTATCTTAAAACGATAAAAGCATTATGAGGAAATTGTCAAGCCCAAGGGTGAGGTGAAGAATTCTTAGATATGATACCAAAAGGGACATAAAGGGGACAAAACATGATCAATTTTTAAAATATTTGCTCTGGATATTTAAATATATATTTAAAATATATATTATATATATCCAGAGCAAATATTTTAAAAATTGATCATGTTTTGTATTATGTATATTTATCTATATTATATATTATATATTAATATATTATATATTATATATTAATATATTATATATTATATATTAATTAATATATAATATATATTATATATAATATATATTAATTAATATATAATATATGATATATATTAATTAATATATAATATATTATATATTAATTAATATATAATATATGATATATATTAATATATTATATATTAATATATTATATATAATCTATATATCTATATTATATATAATATTATGTATAAATATATATTTATATATATCATATATATAGGATATATATACTGGATATGTATAAAATGAAATATTATTCAGCCTTTAAAAAATGAGGAAATCCTGCCATGTGCAACAATATGGATGAACCCAGAGAGCATTATGCTCAGTTAAATGAGCCAGTCACAGAAGAACAAATATTGTATGATCCCACTTATATGAGGTATCAAAAAAAGTCAAACTCATAGAGGCAGAGAGCAAAATGGTGGGCACCAGGTCTGGGAGGAGGATAAGTGGGGAGATATTGAACAGGTACAAAGTTTCAGTATGCAAAGTGAATATGTTCTAGAGAGCTGCTGAACAACACAGTGCCTGTAGTTAACGATATTGTATACTTAAAATTTGTTAAGAGAGCAGATGTCAAGTTAAGCGTTCTTACTACAGTAAAAGGGGGGGAGGGGAGAGGTAGGAGGAAACCTTTGGAGATGATGGATGTGTTTATTACCTTGATTATAGTGATGGTTTCACAGGTATACACATATGTTCTAACCAACCAAGTTGTATACAATAAATATGTGCAGGTTTTTTTATATTAGTGACACCTCAATAGAGCTGTTAAAAAATCTCTGGGACACAGCTGAAAGACAATTTGAAGGGAAATCTATAATATTAAACACCTAAGAGAAAAAATGAAGGGTCTCAAATCATGGGTCTTAGTTTCCACATTAAATAACAAACCTGCAGGTTGTGCACATGTACCCTAGAACTTAAAGTATAATAAAAAATATATATATATAAGAAATCAGAAAAAGAAAAGAAACAAAATGATTCAGAAAAAGGATATACTAAAGATCAAAATGGAAATCGATGAAATAAGCAGAAAAAACTTAGAGAAAATCAATGAAACTAGAAGCTTGAGATCAATGAAACTGATAAACGTCTAGCAAAGTTTTATCAAGAAATAGATGTCTCCAGGTTTAGAGACATTTTGTTGCATGACATTGCCAAAGTGAGAATATTTACACCAGGGAAATTGGCAAACACTACAAGTCAGAATTTTGTTGACTGTACAGCCTGAAAAATGTAATGGAGAATATGTTAATAATGCAGATTAAATTTAAAAGTATGTTGTGTCTATAGCTTTACATTGTAAACAGCACAAAATTTGAGAAAATATTCTTCTAGTATCCAAAAATATTTCTCAACTTAGCAAACAAGTCACTAACACCATTCATGAATGACTGAAGTACTAACAAATTTCTTTGTTGTTTCATTGTACTCTTGTTAGTGAAAACAGAAATATCTACCCAACCAACATTCATTTTAAAAAGGCAAAAAATATGAATGGATATCTCACAAAAGTAGATATATGGGTGGCAAAAAAACATACAAAATAATTTCCCAAATCATGAGTCTTTACAGAAATGTAAGATACTACTTGGCACCTCCTATTGGAATGGCAAAAATTAAAAACACTGACAACACCAATTGTTGGTGAGGATGTGGAGAAACTGGAACTCACCAACACTGCTGGTGAGAACAAAAAATGGCACAACCACTTACATTTTTTTCAGTGGTCTTACTCTGTCACCCAGGTTGGAGTGCAATGGCACAATCCTATACTCAAATCCTGAACTCAAGCAATCTTCCCACCACAGCCTCCTGAGTAGCTAGCTGGGACTACAGGTATGTGCCACCATGCCCAGCTTTTTTTTTTTTTTTTTTTTTTTTTTTTCATTTTTTGAAGAGATTGAGGATCTCATTGTGTTGTCCAGGCTGGTCTCAAACTTCCAACCTCAAGCGATCCTACTGCCTTGGCCACCCTAACTGCTGGGATTACAGGTGTGAGCCATCATGCCCAGCCCTGACCTTTTTCCATAGTCACTACACTCATGAAAACTTTCATCAGAGTGAACTCTCTGATGTTTACTGAGGCTGGGGCTTTGGATAATTTCTCACATTTGCTGTACTCATAAGGTTTTTCTCTGGTGTGAACTCTTTGGTGTTGAAAGAGATCAGAGTAGTAGCTGTCAAATTTAACCACTGCTCCAGATGGAAAGGCAGGGTCTCCAACTCACATCTCTTAGGAGATGCACTCATAAGGCCTTTCTCCAATGTGGATTTGCTGATGCTGAGTAAATCTCACTTGCTGTTGAAAGGGTTTAATTTGCTGCACAGACTTTTCTTTAGTGTGAACTCGATGCATATTGAGAGTGGAGGCCTGTCTAAAGAATTCCCCATATTCTCTACACCCATAAGGCCTTTCCCCAGTGTGGACTCTCTGTTGCTAAACAACTGTGAAATTGTGGCTGAAGGCATTTCCAAGTTGACTGCATTGGTAATGCCTTTGCATGATGAGAAAGGCTGCTGCACATGGTATGCTCTTCTGTGGCTCCCCCATGCTAAGAGTGACCTGATGCTGGAGAAAGCCTGCTGTGGCTAGAAAGTCCCCATCCTCCCTGCATTCGAAAGGCTCTTCTGACGTGTGGTTGCTTCAAGTCTTCACAAGCAAGGTCCTCCCCTACTCCTTTCTGATGGACTTCTCTATATTCTCTGCATCTGTTGCTGGGGAAGGTTTACACTCACTCAGAATCTTCTCCACATACCACATGTGTATGATGATTTCTGCCCTGGGTGTGTTATTTGGTATCCAGCCAGGTGCAAAGTGTCTTTCAAGAGTAGACCACATGGCCAGGTGCAGTGGCTCATGCCTGTAATCCCAGCATTTTGGGAGGCTAAGGTGGGAGAATTACTTCAGGCCAGGAGTTTGAGACCAGTCTGGGCAACATGATGAGACCCTGTCTCTACAAAAAAATTAAAAAATAAGCTGGGTGTGGTAGTGTGCACCTATAGTCCCAGCTACTTGGGAGGCTGAGGTGGGAGGATTGCTTGAGCCCAAGAGGTTGAGGCTGCAGCTGTACCACTGCACTCCAGCCTTGGTGACAGAGTGGCACCCTGTGCAAGAAAGAGAAGAGAAGAGAAGAAATTAAGGAAGGAAGGAAAAAAGGAAGGAAGGAGAGAGACAAAGAGAGAAAGAAAGAAAGAGACAGGGAGGAGGGAGGAAGGAAGGGGAAGCAAGGAAGGGAGAGAGAGAAAGGAAAGGAAAGAAAGAGAGAGGGGGAGGGAGGGAAGGAAGGAAGGGGGAGGGAGGAAGGAAGAGAGAAAGCAAGAAAGAGAAAGAAGGAAAGAAAGAGAAAGAGAAAGAAAGCCAGAAAGAAAGAAAAGGAAGGAAGGAAGGGGAAAGAAGGAAGGGAGAGAAAGAGAGGAAAGAAAGAGAAAGAAAGAAAGGAAAAGAAAGAAGAAAAGTCAAAGAAAAGAAAAGAGAAAGAAAAGGAAGGGGCCGGGTGCGGTGGTTCATGCCTGTAATCCCAGCACTTTGGGAGGCCGAGGCAGGTGGATCACGAGGTCAGGAGATCGAGACCATCGTGGCTAACACGATGAAACCCCATCTCTACTAAAAATACAAAAAATTAGCCGGGCGCGGTGGCGGGCACCTGTAGTCCCAGCTACTCAGGAGGCTGAGGCAGGAGAATGGCGTGAACCCGGGAGGCGGAGTTTGCAGTGAGCCGAGATAGCGCCACTGTACTCCAGCCTGGGTGATAGAGCGAGACTCTGTCTCAAAAAAAAATAAAAATAAAAAAAAGAAAAGGAAGGAAGGAGAGAGAGAAAAGGAAGGAAGGAAATGAAAGAAAAGAAATAAAGAGAAAGAAAGAAAGAAGAAACAAAGAAAGAGAGAAGAAAGAACGAAAGAAAGAAGAAAAAGAAAAAATAAAATCACACACATGGCAGGTGTAGGTTCTGGGTGGAAGGACCTGCCTGGGATTCCTGACAGGTGACACTTTTTCAACACTATGTTCACAGAGAGAGCCCTTGCTTACCTTCCAATCTATGCCAAAAAACTGAAAGCAATGAAATGCTGGTAAAATTCTTGTTAGCTTGAGTGGGAGAGAACAGCCCCATCACAAATGTCTGACCCAGGAATGAGCCTGCGGAATTGTTCGTAAGACAAAGGTGCTGAGGAAGTGGAAGGAAGCAACTGCTGCGCAGTAGTAAGACTCTCAAAGTGACAGAATATAGGAGGCTTTAACAGTGCCGTGATCTTGCCAGAGTCAAGAATAGCAGGATGCAGTGCAGAAATGATAGAGGCAGGGTCTCCAGCTCACTTCTCCATAAGCACCCTCCAGCAGGGCTTTGGCTGCTGGTAAAACATGAGCCCTAAGGGTGTGTCCAGGCCCAAGAAAAATGCAATTGCACCTGAGTTGCTGGTGTTCAGGGACTATTAATGGAAATGCACATCTCACAACCCATGAATTGTAGGCTAATGTTGGAGAGCACTCCAGAGTGAGCAGTGGAGAGGGTGAGACATGGAGACCAGGATGTGGGGTGCAGCCTGGGGCCCAGTGTCAGAATAGAAATGACAAGTGGATACAGTTTCAAGAATGGGGAAGGAGTGATATGGATGAGGTATGGCCATTAGCTTTGGAACCCAAACAATGGTGAACAGGGACAGGTTACTGATATGTGAACCTAGTCCTGATGTCACACTCTCGTCTTCCTACTTCCCAAGGCCAAGGCCCCTCTAACCACCTCTTGTAATGGTTGTCATGGTGTCTGCTCTGTTCAGGCACCCAGGCCTATTCCACCATCTCCAGTTGGGCAACTAAATGGTTGCTAAGCACTAAGGGAAGCACCTTGGCAGGTGAGTGGCCAGCATTTGTTCAGAGGAACCACTCCACCACAGACTACAGGAAAGAAAATGGAAAACAAAATGAAACAAAAAGCCTATGAGGAATGTCTTGCAGAAACAAGTCGGCAGTCCCAGCCAAATAGTGATCTTCTTAGTGCCTGTAATTCCTGGCACAGCCAGGCCCCAGGAAATGCCAGCCAAAAAAGGGGACAGAATCTGCACCCAGAATTGCCCCGGAACTGGACAATCATTTGGGAAAGAAATGACTGAGCTGGATGGGATCTACTGGGCTGGCCTCAAAACTTCCCTGCAAGGCCTTGGGGTGGCAGTTGCTGGGGCTCCTTGGGGAGGGTACTGCTCAGAGAAGTGCACAGAGGTTCAGCACCCACAGCACATGTGCCAGGACAGCAGAGAAGTGAGAAGGGCCCATGCTCCAGCTGTGAGGACAGAGCCGCCTCTGGGGCAAGGGGACAGGAAGAAACCAGCTCAGGTCACTAGGGAAGATGTGAAGACCTTACTCAGCAAGGCTATAAATGCAAAGCTGTCCAGCATCACATTATGGTATAGGCGTCTCTGAGCCTCGTCAAACAGCCCCCACCTGCCTCAGGGAAAACTCAATGGCCATATCCTCAAAGGTCACACAGCCCTGCCATGATGGAGGCTATTGACTCCATGACTGTCTTCTCTCCTCAGGACCTCAGTCCATCTTCCCATACATACATCCCAAACCTACTCTCCTCCCCAACTTCCCAATTCAGAGGAGATATCAGGCACTGGTGACACTGGTGTTCACTCCCAGTTTGTACCCTGTTGATCACTGTGTCAGCCCACATTGACAACAGGCAGGCAGGCAGATAGACACCAAATGTACTCTGGGCCTGGCATGTGGGGTCTTTTAAAATGCACCTGGGATTTGTTTTAATTAGGTGTAGTGAGATGATGTACAGACAACTGCCATTGAAAGAAGATTTTCTTAACTTACAGTTCCCAAGATCCCAAGAAGAGGGGCCATGCCACGCCATGCAGGGCTACACAGGGAAGGATCAGGGTCAGAGAGGAGGCAGGAAGAGCAAAGAGGGAAGCAGGGGCAGGAGGTTTTATTGTGGTTTCACAGAAAGGAAGAGGCAAGGCAGGGTAGGTAAACTGAGCAGGCTAAGGATCGAGTAATCTGAATAATTTTAGTAAGCTCTGGGTTATATGGGTGCTCCTTAGTTGTCCAGTACCTGGCCCTGGAGTGATTTAGGGCAGGGGGACAGTGTCCTGGGCTGCAGGAACCTGATAAAAGCAGGCAGGTAGGAGTAGGAACTCAGACTGGTTGGCTATACATGAATGACTTACCCACAGGCAAGTGTTTATTTTCTAGGAATTAGCTGGCCCTGGGAGGGGTGGTCTCACCAGGATGAGCAAGCCCCCAATATGTCAAAGCATCAGAAAATATAGAAAATATTTTTTAAAAAAACATCCCCTTGTGATCAATACAAGGGGCCCAACGCCATCTCCCAGTGTCAGCAAGATCGTACTTACCAGATACAAACAAAAGGGCTCAGTCTTCTTCCTTAACCTCCCAGTACCATGGGCCAGTCATTAACTTCCTTCCCACAGGGGTAGCACTCTTCAGACTGCACCTGCCTCGTAACTCTAGGCCCCACCTGTGAAGCCCCAATTGCCGCTGCTACCCAACTCCTGGCCCACACCATGGCCATGTTCATAGGCTTTCCACAATTCCCTCTGTACATGGCATGCAAAGAGTGCTTGGCAAATGCAACCAGGAGCTCATCCTGCCCAAGACCCCCTGTATTCATCTCCCAGGGTTGCTGAATTGGGTGGTTTCAAACAAAAGAAATTGATTATCTGACAGTCTAGAGCTAGAAGTCTGAAATGAAGACGTTGGTAGGGCCATGCTGTCTTCAGTAGTTCCAGGGGAGAATCCTGCCTTGCTTCTTCCAGCTTCTGGTGGTTGCTGGCAATCCCTGGCATTCCTTGGCTTGTGGATACACCCCTCCGGTCACATGGCCATCTTCTCCCTGGGTGTCTTTATGTCATCTTCTCTCTGTGTGTGTCTGTCTCAGGGTCCACATTTCCCCTTTTTATAAGTATACCAGTCATATTGGATTAAGATGCACCCTCGGGATCTCATTTTAACACGATTACCTCTATAAAGACTCTATTTCCAAATAAGATCGCATTTTAAGGTACTGAGTATTAAGACATTCACATATATTTTGGGGGGAATACAACTCAAAATACCTTTGATGGCTCCCACTGGCAAGGGCAGCGCCCAGTTCCGATTTGAAGGCCTCCCAACATGGTGGTGATCCTGGCTTCAACCTCAGTCATTAACCACACACAGATGTTTGACACTTATTAATAGATCCTCTTTCTCTTCTGTGTTGTGCATTCTATTCCTTCATCACCATGGGTCACCACAAAAGCCTAGTGTGTCCAGAGACTGGTGAATAAACTCCATCCCAGATCTTACTGTAATTCCACCTCCATTCTGGCTAAGCCTCAACATCCATCTCGAATCGATACCCCCTTGGAAAATGTGGCCACTTACCAGATCCTGATCTTCCCCATATGCAATCCTCATGGCCAGTGATTTGCCGAAGCAAGATAACCAGTCCTCAGGCTCCACTCTTTCCTTTCTTTCAACATATTGGCATTGCACCATGACCAGAAAATCTCCTCTCCTAAATCTCCACACAACTCCATAGCCATCCACATACTAGATGCCACAATTTGGATTCTCATAACCCGAATCCCTCCCCAGCACACCACAACTGTATGTCTAGTTGCCTGCTCAGAACCTCTACTCAGGGGCCCCTGGACCGTCAGACTCAACATGGCCAAAACCTAACTTCTGATACTTCTGATACTGCCACTTAAAATCTCCCCTACAACCAACTATTCCATCTCAATTGGTGGCACATCTGTCCTTTCCAGCTGCTAAGCCAAAAACCTGGGGTCACCTAACCTCCTTGTCCTTCTTACCCTTCATGTTAGAAAATCTGGTCAGCTTGACTTAAAAAATAGATGCAGAATCTAATCACTGCTTCCATATCCATTTTGGTTTAGCGAACACCACTTACCTGGACTATTGCAGTAGCCTATTACTTGGTCACTCTGCTCCCACCGTATGCCTCTACAGCCTGCTCTCCTCTCTGCAGCCAGAGGGACCCTGTTAGGATCTCAGTAAGATCACCTCTCTGCTCTGTTCCCAACCTTCAGGGCTCCCAGAACATTCAGAAGAGAGACCCACTCCTCACTCAGGCATTCCAGGGCTGCCTTCTGCCCCCTGCTCTCTGGTAACATCAGTGACTCCCCAGTGATGATGGAAAGGGGAAAAGTCTCAGGGAAATATTATCCTTTGTATCTCAGTGCCAAGAACTTGAGAGTGGAGGTCTGAGCAGCTGAGGACCTAAAGGCCCTTCCACTTACCTGCACTGGATCCATCAATGCCACCATATCCAGTGAGCAACATGAACAGGGTGGGAATGTGAGAAGCGGGAGACTGGGGCAGGTCTGATGGGCTCAACCTGCTCTTCAATTTGGTCTGTGCTGTGGGGGGTGTGCCCTTGTCAGTAAAACATTGGAACAATATTTCCCAGGGCCAACTGGAATGCTGTTTGGCCATTGTCATGGAGAAACAGATACAGGTCACAACTATATTACCCAGTTATAGTTGGGTGCTCCAACTTGGGTGCTCCAAGCCTCAGACTCCACCAGTATAAAATACACGTAAGGCCCAAGATATCATGGGATGGAGTGAGGGTGCAGTGGCTCTGGAGGATCCTGGCAGAACCCCCATTTCAGGAGGATCATAGCTAATGCAAAGGGGTGGAGGTAGGTCCTAACCTCTGCACAGTCCTTCCCTGCTCAGTGCTGACAAAGATCTTCTCAACCAAACTCTAATCAGGCTCCTTTGAACTCTCTCCTCACCTAGGCCCTGATTTGGATTTCCATGTTGTCTCTACATTGTCCATTTTTAGCAAGAATCCTGCTAAGTCAGCTTACCAGAATCCCCCCTTACCTCTGACATTTCCTCTTAGTGCTTTTCCATTTATTGACCCCTCCACACCATTCCTTGGGTATGAATCCCCACTTGTTCTTGCTGCAGTTGGAGTTGAGCCCAATCTCTCTCCCACCCTAGAACACCCCGCTGCAGTGGTCCCTACATCTCTCGCAAGAGTCCCGCTGAATCAAGTCTGCCTTACTATTCTTTAACAAGCGTCATGATTTTTTTAACACCTGGGAATTGACTTGGCCCCTGTGGAGTAACCCAGCACCACCAACTAAACATTCACAATGGTGTCTTGCAAAGCCCACAGCGCCTATGTGGGGTACAGGAAGTGCCCCTTTCCTGGGTGGAGGCACAGAGACTTGTCTGGGTAATATAGTTGTGACCTGTATCTGTTTCTCCATGACAATGGCCAAACAGCATTCCAGTTGGCCCTGGGAAATATTGTTCCAATGTCTTACTGACAAGGCAGGGCTTTTCTTCCTCCTAAAGGAGCCACATCTAGATTTCTGTGGCCACCCAAGCTGATGCTCCACCCTCAGAGGTTGCTAATAGGAGACTCATTCCTTGACCTTCCTGCCTCTGAGGCCCTAGGTGCATCTCTTCAGTTCTAGGCACTCAATAACCTACATTCAAAATGAAAAATGAAGAAAATACCATGCTTTTAGGGTCTTTGTGTACTAACATTAAAGACTGTTCTAATCCAGTAGTTCCCAAACCTTTAACATTGGGACCACCTGATAATTTTTTAAAAATGCATGCTCCCTGGCCCCACCAAAACCTAGTGAATCAGAAACTGTGGGGCTGGGGCCCAGAGGGGAATTTTGATCCTGGCTGCAGTTTGAGAAAGGGAATGCTCATTAAAATCCAGTGAATAAAATAGGTAAAATAACACCACATACCTCATGGGAAGTAATAGAGCTTTGCACAGGACCTGGCACAAAGTCAGTACTCATGAAATGCATTACGGCTATTTTTATCATCATCATCATCATCATCATCATCATCATCATCATCATCATCATCACAAGACACTCACATACAATGGCTGTGAGGGGGCAAACGAAATGTCCCTTTTGCTGGGTCATTTGGGATATCTGTCAAAATATAAAACATCACTCAAATGCATCAAGCAGCCTCAGAGTTAATCACTGAAAGTTTTACAAGATAGTACACCTTTGAATAACACTATTTGGCTCCTTTAAAAGAATTTATTTTTAAAAATAGATCATGCAGGAGGGTTTCATAAACTGTAGGATGAATTCTTATAGGCCACAGGATTCAACGCTTGAGAACATCACAGCTAATTGCCCTCTGGCCAAAGTGGAGAGTGGAGTTGACACAATTTCAAGTATGTGATGGCAGATGACAAGTCATTGTTAATCTCTAATACTCAGGGAATTCACCTCCCTCCAGCCTCTAGGTGCAAATATTTGACTATGAAATGGCACAGCCTGATGTTTACTGACAGAATTATCAGGTACTGCTCTCATCAAGACTTCAACAGCCCATTACTTGAACCTGCAGTCCTCAAGTGAATACCAAATTAATTAAGTCTTAGGAAAGCCACATATCCAGGAAGAGAAAGGGGATTCCTAAGCACCTACTCAGTTTCTAGCACAACCCATCAATTTGGCCACCAGATACATACTCATTACAGTCGGCCCTCTGTATCCACAGGTTCTGCATCCATGGATTCAACCAACTGTGGATTAAAAATACTTGGAAAAAATGGTTGCCTTTGTACTGAATAAGTATACGCCTTTTTTTCTTATTATTCCCTGAACAATACAGCATCACAACTATTTACACAGCACTTACATTGTATTGGGTATTGTAAGTAATCTAGAGATGAGTTAAAATATATGGGAGGAGTCTATGTGTAGGCTATATGCAAATTCTATGGCATTTTATATTAGGGACTTGAGCATCTGTGGATGCAGTATCTGTGCAGGATCCTGGAACCAATGTCCCATGGATCCCAAAGGGCGACTGTGTATGATTTCTCCTCCACACTCAATACTCTTACTTCCTCTTTTCTGTGACAATCCCATCCAGTCACTGTCTCCATCTCAGTGTTAGAATTTCGGTTCATATCCTAACCTAAGATCTGAAGGCTATGATCAAAATGGTAAGATATTTGTCACCACTCACTCCCAAAATATAATTGTGACTCAGGGACACAGTGAAAGGGACCAATTCAAACTGCTGAAGAAGTAACTGCTAACCAAAATTTCTACACATAGCAAAAGTGTTTTTGAAGAAACAGCATAAAGCAAAATGACTTCAGAGCAAAAATAAGAAATTTAATGGAAAATTAACCTGCATAAAATGAAATTCTTAAAGAAAATTCTATTTAAGGATGACAAAAAGTGATACCAGGTGAAAGATCTGTGATGAGAGAAGAAATGTGGATCCAGAGAGAAGGCACATCTGTGGATTAAAAAAATACTCATTATCTGTAGAAAACGTGACAAATATTCCACTGTGAAGTTAAAAAGATGGAATTATCATGTATAGCCTCGATAACATATATACTGAGATGGGATAAAATGATTAATATTCTAAGACTCTTTTTAAAAGTATTAACAGATAAAATTGTATATATTTGCCATGTGCAACATGATGTTTTAACATGTATAGACATTAGAATGACTAATCTAGCTAATTAATATATTCCTACCTCACACAGTTATCATTTTGTAATGAGAACACTTTACACCCACCCTCTTAGCATTTTTTAAGAAGACTATATATTATTAACTATATTCACCATGTTGTATAATAGATTTCTTGACAGTATTCCTGCTAACTGAAATTTTGTATCCTTTGAGCAACTTTTCCACAAAGCTCCCATCCCCTAGTGACCATTCTACCCTTTACTCCTATGACTTTTTTAGATTCCTTATATGAGATCAGGTAAAATTTGCTTTTCTGTGCCTGGCTTATTTCACTTAACACAGTGTCCTCTAGGCTCATCAATATGTGCCACATTTTCTTTACCCAATCATATCTCGATGAACAGTTAGGTTGTTCCCATAGCTTAGCTTTCATGAATAACATTGCAATGAACATCAGATTGCAGCTATGTCTAATGGGTTAATTTAATTTCCTTTGTGTCTATGTCCAGAAGAGGGACTACTGGATCACATGGTAATTCTATGTTTACTTTTTTGAGAAACTTCCATACTGTTTTCCATAACCGCTTTACTAATTTACATTACCACCAACAGTATGGAAGTGTTCCCTCTTATCCACCTCCTCGCCAACACGTGCTCTTTTCTCTTTTTGATAACAGCCATTCTAACAGAGGTGAGGTGATGTCTCATTGTAATTTTTATCTGCATTTCCCTAATTATTAGTGGTGTTGAGCATTTTTTCATATAGTTATTGGTCATTTGTATGTCTTCTTTAGATGCTAAATGTCTATTCAGGTCCTTCCCACATTTTTAATTGAGTTATTTGTTTTCTTGCTATTGTTTCAGTTCATTATATATTTTGGATATTAACTCCTTATCAAATGTATAGCTTGAAAATATTCTCTCTCGATCTGTAGGTTGTCTCTTCACTCTGTTGACTGTTTCCTATGCTGTGCAAAACCTTTTTAGTTTGATGTGGTCCCATTTGACTATTTTTGCTTTTGTTGCTTGTACTTTGGGGGTCATATCCAAAAAGTCGTGGCTCAGATCAAAGTCATGGAGCATGTCCTCTACATTTTCTTCTAGTAGTTTCACAGTTTTGTGTCTTATATTTAAGTCTTTAGTTCATTTTAAGTTTATTTTTGTATATGTTGTGAGATAAGGGTCTAAGTTCATCCCTCTGCATGTGAATAGCCATGTTTTCCAACACCATTTATTGAAGAGACTGTCCTTTTCCCATGGTGTGTTTTCAGTGCCTTTGTTAAAAATCAATTGGCTCTAAATGTGTGGGGTTTATCTCTGAGCTCTCTATTCAATTAACGATAGCTTGTCACAAAAGGCTTTCTGACATGCTTTACATTCAAAGGACTTTCCTCCAGTGTCCTATGATGTACCCGCACTGTCATGATCATTGTAGCATTATTCACAAGCATCAACCTAAGTGTCTGTCAATGGATGAATGAACACAGGAAGTACAAAGAATGAATGAATACAGGAAAAAATGAATACAAAGTGAAATGAATACAGAAAGACAATGAAATATTAATCAGCCTTAAAAAAGGGGGGAAATTCTGTCATTTGAAACAACATAGATGACCCTGGAGAATATTACACCAATTGAAATAAGTTAAGCACAGAAAGACAAACACTGTGTGATCTCATTTATATGTGGAATCAAGAGAAATTGAACTCATAGAAGTAGAGAGCGGAAGGCCTGGGGGGAGGAGGAGAGGAAGATTAGGGAAAGATGTTGATCAATGGTGCAAAATTTCAGTTAGACAGGAGGAATACATTTTAGTAATCTATTGCACAGAACTGTGACTATAACAAACAATGTACTGTATATCTTAAAATTGCTAAAATAGTAGATTTTAAATTTACTACAAAAATTTATATTATATATGAGGTGATAGATTTAATTAGCTTGATGTAATCCATCCACATTGTAAATATGTATCAAAATATTATGCTGTACCCCCATAAATTCATATTATTTGTCAATTAAAAATAAAATTAAAAATAAAGAAGTTGGAGATAAAAAAGAAATGTGTTATTATTATTCATTGCAGTTAATGTTATTACATGCACAATACCAATACAAATAGCTAAGTCTTTTAGAGCCACTGTGTTTCAGGCATTACCTTATACAGTTCCATATATTATCTAACTATACCATCAGACAATCCAATGAGATGAAAAGTATTGAAAAGTCTTATTACCACCATTTACTAAATGTAGGCTAAGTGTACAGAATGAGATAGATGTTGACCAAACCCATTTTCTCTCCTCTTTGGGTACACAGCTATACCACCTCCTGGCTCTGAGAATCCAGGTGCAGCCAAATACCCAGTTTTTGTCAACAGAGTGGCAACAGCAATGTATGGGTGCAAGTGGGCATGACTTCTCTTTCTCATTTTTCCTCTGCTGACAGATAATGCCAAGAAAGCTTTAAATTGAGCCACATGTTGACAATAGAATGTTTCTTATTCCCTGAATAACTGTGTGGTGCAGAGCTCCTTGCTAACCTGTGTGGACCTGTGTGGATCTTGAATGAGGAAAAGAAAAAGACAAAAGCCAAAAACTCTCCTTGTGCTGGGCTGCTGATATTGTAAAGTGTTTCTGTGTTACAATAGCCAGCATTAACTTAGCCAGCTTTTACACTGATGAAATCATGCAACATCTCACAAGGCTGGAGAGTGGCAATGTCAAGTATTAAGCCCAAAGACATGGAACTTAGAGTTTGATTTTAACCTAATACAACCTACTTCTCCCCCAGTAGCAGGGAAGTGTATAAGGGGGTAAGAGGATGGTCAAAGGACTGTATGGATCCCAAGTCCCCAGGGAGGTCACAACAAGAGGCTTCCCCCTTCCCAAAAAGAGGTCCCCAATTGATCTACGGAGTTCAGGGACTCCCACCTGCCCAGCTCTTGGTCACCTACCTGGACAGGAACTTTATGAGAGGCCTCTCTTCACCACACAATAATCTTGCTCATTTTCCATCAGGTAGCTCAGTTCCAATTTTGGAAGAAGATACCCTGATCATGGAGAAATAGGACAGCAATATTTGGGTAAAGATAAGAATGACGCTCTGTATTCAGTATGGTGTTCAAGACAAGAGGAGGAGCCCAGAATGAGGCTGCTCCCTTCCATGCAAAGAAAATGTTGACCTGTAACCTGGAAACCAACAGCACAAAAACTATCCTTGAGCCAAGAGTCTATAGAGGGTTGTGATGACCATCAATGTAACATTCATCCCCCTCAATCTCCATCCTACAGAATCCAACACTGTTCATGGGCAAGCCCTTCCCCCTTTAAATACAGCCATGGGACCCTGGGAAAGTGACATTTCATAACAGAAACTATTTTCTAATTAACTTAAGTCAGTGGGTCTCAACCTCCCTGAACAAAAGAACCACCTGGGGATGCCTTGATTATGGGCCAAATGGAACAAAATCCCGGGATGAAGCATGGACATGAGCAGCTTTAAAAGTTCTCCAGGTGCTCAGGGAGGATTGAAAAGTGTGGGTCTAAATTGACTGATGCCTGACTTTCTGCTCTGTTTCTATGTTTTTGGAAAATGTTGGGAGTTCTGCTATTTTGGAGCTATGATTTTTGAGGGTGCAAGTGAGGTAAAGGGAATCTGTATAAACCAAGGAACAACTGCATCAACAATCTCAAGACTGAAATTAATCCTTGTGAGGGGCCAGGTGCGGTGGCTCACGCCTGTAATCCCAGCACTTTGGGAGGCCAAAGTGGGCAGATCACGAGGTCAGGAGATCGAGACCATCCTGGCTAACACGGTGAAAACCCGTCTCTACTAAAAATACAAAAAATTAGCTGGGCGTGGTGGCGGGTGCCTGTAGTCCCAGCTACTCGGGAGGCTGAGGCAGGAGAATGGCATGAACCCAGGAGACGGAGCTTACCGTGAGCGGAGATCGCACCACTGCACTCCAGCCTGGATGACAGAGCAAGACTCTGTCTCAAAAAAAAAAAAAGATATTAATCCTCGTGCTATGAATCTCACAAACAGGATACCAAGCGAAAGACCCTGGACAAAAAGCCATGCATGCCATGTGAATCCATACACATAACCTTCAAGAAGAAGCCAATCCAATGTATGGGGATGGAAGTCAGCACAGTGACGCCTTTTGGGGGAACTGACTGGGAGATGCAGGGGGAGCCTGCTGGGGATTCAGAATGCCTGATAGCTCGATCTAGTGGAAGTTACTGTAAGTGGGGACACAGATTAAATATGAATTGAAATGAACACTTAGGACTGAACATTTTGCTGAGGTATGCCTTATGGTATACCTCAAATTAACAAGCATATTAAAACAATAAGTCATGCTCAAAAATGTTATTGTTCTCTTTGGGCAGCAGCTTCCTAGAGGGAAGCCAATTGGGTCTAGAGTCAGCAGCTTTGGGGAAAAGCCCACACTTCACCAGGGATGTTGTGAGGGCTAATCAGTGGAGCAGGGAGAGTGCCTGGAACAGGGCCTGGCATAGGGTCAGTGGTCAGGGGACGTTGGCTGTGACCATTAGTATAAACCACTATTCTTTAAGTTGACACACATTTTGTTTACTTGAATTGGTTTCTTCATAAAGGGAATCTTGTATTGCTTATAAATGGGAAAACTAGTTTCACTTTTCACAAATCAGTTTCCATCAAAATACAACAATGAAATAAAAATAATGCTGTAAGTTCTGGTAAGCTTATGTGGCCCACCCTGTGCTTCTGATGTAGGTGAACCCCAGAATTGGGGCTTGGCCCAGGAGGGTTCTTGGTTTTGTGCTGGAAAGAATTCAAGAGCAAGCTGACAGAGCAAAGTGAAAGCAAGTTTATTAGAGCTACAGAGGGCAGGAAAATGGCTGCTCTGTAGCAGAGTAGTAGCAGAAGCCCTCGTGGATTGCTGGCTAGCTATATTTATGGCTATTCCTGCATTATATGCTAAATAAGAGGTGGGTTATTCATGAGTTTTCTGAAAAAGGGGTGGAGGTTCCAGTAACTGAGGGTTCCTCCCTTTTTAAAATCGTATGTATTAGTCAGTTTTCACGCTGCAGATAAAGACATCTCCAAGACTGGGCAATTTACAAAAGAAAGAGGCTTATTGGACTTACAGTTCCACATGGCTAGGGAGGCCTGACAATCATGGCAGAAGGCAAGGAGGGGAAAGTCACATCTCATGTGGATGGCAGCAGGCAAAATGAGAGCTTGTGCTGAGAAACTCCCATTTTTAAAACCATCAGGTCTCGTGAGACCCATTCACTATCACAAGGACAGCATGGGAAAGACCCCTCCCCGCTGCCCCACGATTCAGTCATCTCTTACTGGGTCCCTCCCACAACATGTGGGAATTATAGGAGCTACACGATGAGATTTGGGTGGGGACACAGAGACAAACCATATTACTGTATAAGGTGGCTTCTGGGAGTTGCATGGCATTTGTAAACTGTCACGGCACTGGTGGGAGTTTCTTTTAGTATGTTAATGAGTTATAATTAATGTACAATGAGCAACGAGGGCAACATCTTGGTTTTAGCTGGTTTTGGCCAGTTTCTTTGCTACATCCTGTTTTGCTTAGATACTGTTTTGATCAGCGGGGCCTTGTGACTGGTGCTCAGAAAACAAGTCCCACTGATCTTCGACCTCATTCCCCCCTCAGAGATTATATACTCCTCCTTAATCTTTTTTTTTCTTTTTTTTTTTTGAGACAGAGTCTTGCTCTGTCACCCAGGCTGGAATGCAGTGGTGCAATCTTGGCTCACTGCAACCTCCACCTCCCAGGTTGAAGCAATCCTCCCACCTCAGCCTTCCAAGTAGCTAGGATTACAAGCATGCATCACTATGTTTGGCTAATTTTTCTATTTTTAGTAGAGACAGCGTTTCACCATGTTGGCCAGGTTGGTCTCAAATTCCTGACCTTAAGTGAGCCACTGGCCTCAGCCTCCCAAAGTGCTAGGATTACAAGGGTCAATCACCATGCCTGGCCCTCCTTCTTAATCTTAAGGGGTTGTAGAAGGGTAGAGGTCCATCTTCTGCAACTGCTTCTTGCTGATCTTATGGGCATAGGTCCTGCCTAGCTTTGAAGGAGTAAAAATCTCTGAATACCTGATATAAGGGGCCCAAAGCAGGATGTCTTTATTTTCTGGGTCAGAAGATGGGATGGGTTGGAAGCCTTGTGACATCTTCACATGGAATTTATGTAATCTAGAAGACACAGACTTTACTAAGAGGTTAAACAAGCAAGGGCCAAAGATCAGTGGTAACAGAGCTATTAAAGGCCATAGTAAGAGTAAAAACCATGTCGTACTTGGTAGGTATCCTTTGATGGAGTCTCAGATGGTTTGACTGGTGGGGTTAGTAAAATTATGTAGCCAGGTGGCCTGCTAGTAAATCTTTATTTTTCTTTTTTGAGACAAGGTCTCACTCTGTGACCCAAGCTGGAGTGTAGTGGCATGATCATGCTCACTGCTGCCTCGATCTCTCAGGCTCAAGCAACCCTCCTGCCTCAGCCTTCCAAGTAGCTGGGACCACAGGCGCACACTACCCTGCCCAGCTATTTTTTTAAATTTATTTTTCATAGAGACACAGTCTCACTGTATTGCTCAGGCTGGTCTCAAACTCCTAGGCTCAGGTGATCCTCCTACCTTGGCCTCCCAAAGTACTGGGATTACAGATGTGAGCCACTGTGCTTGGCCTTGGCAGATATTTTGAACTTGCAGTTCAATTATCCCTGAATTGTTAACATAAGAACAACAGGTATGACTTACTACCACACATACTCCTCATTGTTCAGCCAGAAGATAGTCTAGAGCCAATCTGCTGTCTAAGGCAACATTGGCTAGGGAGTACAGGGAGGCCTGGAGTCCACTTACGGCTTTTCCTATACTTCCTGCCTGTGTTTCAAGGGTTTGAGTACTTATCTGTGCATTTTCTTTTCTTTTTCTTTTTCTTTTTGAGATGGAGCTTTGCTCTTGTTGCCCAGGCTGGAGTGCAATGGCACAATCTCAGCTCACCGCAACCTCTGCCTCCCAGGTTCAAGCGATTCTCCTGTCTCAGCCTCCCAAGTAGCTGAGATTACAAGCATGTGCCACCACGCCCAGCTAATTTTGTATTTTTAGTAGAGATGGGGTTTCTCCATGTTGGTCAGGCTGGTCTCGAACTCCCGACCTCAGGTGATCCGCCCGCCTCAGCCTCCCAAAGTGCTGGTTTTACAGGCGTGAGCCACCACACCTGGCAATCTGTGAATTTTCAAAACAATAGCTTTAAGTCTTCTAGGGTTTCACAGTGTAGCTCTTGGTGTCCTCCTCTTGTGCCTGAGGGGACTCATAAGAAACAGGTTTATTTAATCCTGGACAGGTATACCCAACTAGTGATTCTGTGAAGTTTAATAGCAGTGGGGGTGTTCAACAATGCCTAATAGGAGCCCTTCAATTTTTTTTTTTTTTTGAGATGGAGTCTCTCTATTGCCCAAGATGGAGTGCAGAGGTGCAATCTTGACTCACTGCAACCTCCGCCTCCTGGGTTCAAGTGGTCCTCCTACCTCAGTCTTCCGAGAAGCTGGGATTACAGGCGCCTGCCACCATGCCTGGCTAATTTTTATATTTTTAGTAGAGACAGGGTTTCACCATGTTGGCCAGGCTAGTCTCAAACTCCTGATCTCAAGCGATCTGCCTGCTTCAGCCTCCCAAAGTACTGAAATTACAGGTGTGAGCCACCATGCCCAGCCTTTCCAAGTTTTTAAGAGGGCTAAATATCCTGGGTGAACAGGGGAGCCATTCTTTTCCTCTGTGGGAAAGGGCAATGCTTTATTTCCATATTCTTGGAGAGCTTTTTGAACCTGGCCCAAGTTGATAGTATGAGTGAGCATTTTATGTCTCCTCATCAAACAGGAGGTCTGAAGTTAAAAAGGGCCTCCCATAGTTCATTTCAAATGGGCTAAGATTTAAGATTCCCTTTGGAACTATCTTTATGCACAAAACGGCTATGGGTAGGAGAGGCCCCCAGGGTCTCTGGACAAAGTTTTGCTGACGTCCTTTTAAAAACATGGTTGGCATATCTCCAAATGCTATCCCTCCCCCCTCCCTCCACCCCACAACAGGCCCCGGTGTGTGATGCTCCCCTTCCTGTGTCCGTGTGTTCTCATTGTTCAATTCCCACCTATGAGTGAGCACATGCAGTGTTTGGTTTTTTGTCCTTGCGATAGTTTGCTGAGAATGATGATTTCCAGCTTCATCCATGTCCCTACAAAGGACGTGAACTCATCATTTTTTATGGCTGCATAGTATTCCATGGTGTATAGGTGCCACATTTTCTTAATCCAGTCTATCATTGTTGGACATTTGGGTTGGTTCCAAGTCTTTGCTATTGTGAATAGTGCCGCAATAAACATACGTGTGCATGTGTCTTTACAGCAACATGATTTATAATCCTTTGGGTATATACCCAGTAGTGGGATTGCTGGGTCAAATGGTATTTCTATTTCTAGATCCCTGAGGAATCGCCACACTGACTTCCACAATGGTTGAACTAGTTTACAGTCCCACCAACAGTGTAAAAGTGTTCCTATTTCTCCACATCCTCTCCAGCACCTGTTGTTTCCTGACTTTTTAATGATTGCCATTCTAACTGGTGTGAGATGGTATCTCATTGTGGTTTTGATTTGCATTTCTCTGATGGCCAGTGATGATGAGCATTTTTTCATGTGTCTTTTGGCTGCATAAATGTCTTCTTTTGAGAAGTGTCTGGGAACATCTGTATGCAGAAGTACAGTATACAGAGATAAGAATTTACAATATAGTGTGTGCATCAGCAATTTCTAACAGAGCCTTAAAACAGAAACACAGTCTATCCATAACCTATATTTAGTAAGATACTAATCAGTAGTAATAATTGCAGCAAAAGCTGATTGCAAACAATCAATAGAAGCAGGATGTGAAACTAGACAACCAGTTAGACCACAAAATCTCAGAAGGGAGTATGTCTTAACCCTAAAGAGACCTAGAAGAGTCGTGGCAAGATAAGGGTGTTTATAGCCCTATCTTATCCGTATGAACAGGCGCCCCCATGCATCCATTTATAGGCTCTCCACAAGGGTCGCATTCCATTCCCAGAGCTATGAACATCTGCTTTTCTGGGATAGGAATCTTGGTGATGTGAAACCTCCCTGACTCCACGTCGGTTTATAGGCTCTCTGCAGGGGGAAACACATCATGTGCTGTTGGCTCATTCTGGCAGTCCCACCTGGCATTGTCTTTACACAATCCTGCATGCAATTTTGTATTTACAATAATCAGGAGCATTTCATCTTTTATTCCATAGCAATAGTTTCAGGGGGTCTCCCTACAATTGTATTAGATAAATGCGTTACAATCAAGATTTAGGCATCAGATGTGCTCATTGCTACTGGGGTACAATTTCTTTGAGGCCTTCTCAGCGACAGAGCAAAGAAATGTATGTGTATATACTAACCATGCATATGCCATCTGTATCTATATTAACTTAAACATGTATTCTTACTGATAATTCCAACTCTAATCTGGTACCACAGAGATCATTCTAGCATCCTCCCCTTGCTAATCTATAAATTCCTACTCCAACAGTGAAAACCTGGCTCCCACTGTCCAGCATCCATTTATTTAATAGTTCAATTCCAGTATACATGTATAGCAGTATCAGAATTGTTCATCTGTACCCTCATGTGAAAACTTTATCAACTAGTGTACACTGCATATTTGTAGTTCATTTTGCCTTTAGTCTTACAGACTCCATTCATTTCTAAAGTTACTTAGGTCAGCACCTTTCCCTCTACTCCCTCTGTGAAGTTGCCTCATACATTTGTAATACAGATAGATTTGCATGTTACAGCCTAAATTATTTTCTGGGATCCTTCAACCTCTGAATTTATTACATTAATTTGCATACATTAAGGTTCACTCTGTGTTGGACAGGTCTATGAGTTTTGACAAACGCAAACAGTATCATTGTAGCCTCATGGCCATAAAAATCCCTTGCATTTCACCCATTCAACCCTCCCCCAATCTCCTGGCAACTATTGATCTTCTTACTGTATCTGTAGTTTGTCTTTCCCAGAATGTCACATAATTGGAATCGTACTATACACAGCACTTTTTTTTTTGAGACAGGGTCTCATTCTGTCACCCAGGCTGGAGTTGCAGTGGCATGATCTCAGCTCACTGCAACCTCCACCTCCTGGACTCAAGTGATCCTCTGACCTCAACCTCC
Organism: Homo sapiens; assembly: GCF_000001405.40. Taxonomy (NCBI): domain Eukaryota; kingdom Metazoa; phylum Chordata; class Mammalia; order Primates; family Hominidae; genus Homo; species Homo sapiens. The sequence goes on from NC_000019.10 coordinate 34,799,127, forward strand.
GGAGTAGCTGGGACCACAGGCATGCACCACCCCATCCTCCTAATTTTTGTATTTTTTGTAGAGACGGGGTTTTGCCGTGTTGCCCAGGCTGGTCTGGAACTCCATAGCTCAAGTGATCCTCTTGCTTCAGCCTCCCAAAGTGCTGAGTTTACTGGCGTGAACCACCATGCCCAGCCTCATACTATACATAGCATTTTCAGACTGACTTCTTTCACTTAGCAATATGTGTGTAAGAATTCTCTGTCTTTTGGTGTCTTGATAGCCCATTTGGTTTTATCACTGAATAATATTCCGTTGTGTGGATGTACAACTGGTTTTTGTTTCCTTTTTATCCATTCACATACAGAATGACATTTTGGTTGCTTTCAGTTTGGGGAAATTATGAAAAAAATTTGCAATAGTCATCCATATGAAAGTTTTTGTGTGAACTTAAGTTCAAAATATGAAGCCCTAACCCCAGTGTGACTATATTTGGAGAAAGGGCCTTTAAGGACCTAATTAATGTTAAATTAAATAATAAGTGTGGTGCTCTAACCTGCTAGGACTCATGTCCATATAAGAAAAGGAAGAGACACCAGAGATTGAGGCCTCCCCTTTTCCTTTCTCTTCCCTGTCTACCCCACAGAACCATGTGAAGTCACGGCAAGAAGGCAACTATATCTGCAAGCCAGAAAAAGAGGATAGAGGGCCAAGAGAACAGAGCTGCTGTTATCTACTGAACTGGGGGAGACACAATTCAGTTGGTAACAATGGCTACACCACTTTGCATTCCCAGCATCCTTTATAGAGTTCTTCCACTCTACATACTTGTCAGCATTTGGTATTGTCAGTTTTTAAGATTTTAGCCACTTTAATAGATGTGTAGGCTAATGTCTTGTTAATGTCTTCATTATATTCCCGAATGACATATGATGTGCATCTTTACATATTTATTTGCCCTGTGTATGTCTTCTCTGGTAAGGTATTTGTTCAGGTCTTTTGACCATTTTTCAGTTGGGTCGTTTTGTTTTCTCACTGTTGAGTTTTAAGTTGTTCACCTCACATATTTTGATGCTTTGTTATGTACATACACATTAAGGATTATTATATCTTCTTGGAGAATTGACCTCTTTATCATTATGTACTGCCCCTCTTTACCCCTGAAAGTTTCCTTGCTCTGAAGTCTGATATTAATATAGTTACTCCTGCTTTATTTTGATGAATGTTCACATGGCATATCTTTCTCCACCCCTTAACTTTTAACCTACCAGTATCTTTATATTTAAAGTGAATTTCTTGAAGATTGTTGGGTCTTATTTTTTATTCAATCTGACAGTTCAGATCTTTAATTTGTATTAAGTTTCTACTGACATATCTTCAAGCTCATTGATTCTTTTTTCCACTATGTCCAGTCTACTGATGAGCCCTTCGAAGGCATTCATTTGTGTTAACAATGTTTTTTATTTCTAGCATTTCCTTTGTTTTTTTTTTTTTTTTTTTCTTTTTTTGAGACGGAGTGTCGCTCTGTCACCCAGGCTGCAGTGCAGTGGCATGATCTCGGCTCACTGCAACCTCTGCCCCCCGGGTCCAAGCAATTCTCCTGCCTCAGCCTCCAGAGTAGCTGGGATTACAGGCGTGCACCACTACGCCCTACTAATTTTGTGCTTTTAGTAGAGACGGGGTTTCACCATGTTGGCCAGGCTGGTCTTGCACTCCTGACCTCAAGTGATCTGCCTGCCTGAGCCTCCCAAAGTGCTGGGATTACAGGCGTGAGACACCATGCGCCTGGCTTCTAGCATTTCCTTTTGATCTTCTCTTAGCAGTTCTACTTATATTACCCATCTGTTCTTAAATGTTGTTTACGTTTTTCCAATAGAGCCCTTGCTGTATATTCATCAGTTATTTTGACCCAATGTGTTTTTACTACTTTTATCAGTCCTTCCACCTCTGTGTGGTAAACATGAGCACCTTCTCCATATCACAGTCAGTGATCTGAGGAAGTTGTCCAGAGTATCTCAGTCTAGTGAGCAGGGGCAGGATTTGAATGCAGGTCTCTCTGGTCCATGGTTTATGTGGATAAACCTCATACTCTTCCACTATCACAGTAACAAGGATGTGAAGCATTTCTAATATCTGTTGCTCCTAAATTCATTTAATCCATCCCTGAAGATATTTCTGTGTACATGGACAGAGAATTTTCCATTTTTGCTGCATTAATAAGACCTTTCTCCAGCGTGAATTCTTTGTTGTTCAGTAAAACTGGAACTTTGGCTAAAGAATTTCCCATGTTCCCTGCACTAATAAGGTCTTTCTCCAGTGTGAATTCACTGGTGAGGAACAAGTCCATATTTGCAGCTGAAGGTTTTCCCACATTCACAGAACTCATAAGCCCTTTCCCCAATTTGGACTCTTTGGTGTTTGACAAGTAAGGGTTTGTATTTGATAGCTTTCACATATGTGATACACTCATAAAGCCCTTCTCCACTGTGGACTCTTTGGTGCTGAACAAGTGTGTGTTTGCAGTTTATGGCTTTCCTGAGTTCACTGCACTTCTCATCACTTTTTCACTGTAAATGGCTGCCCCACACTCAGTGGTGCTGTATGGCTTTTCCTGTTGTAAGTGGCCTGGTGCTGGAGAAGTCCTGAGTCAACCAGGAAGTACCTTCCAACCTTCTCAAAGGTAAAGGACTTATTTGGCACAAGAAATCTGCAGCCCTTCACGAAAAAGCTCCTATCTACATCCCTTCTGAAGGGTTTCTCTTTACTGAAAGGATCATTTTCCACATGCCCCTAAGTATACAGTTTCTTCCTGGGATATTTTCCCCTGTCCTCAGCAAAAGGCAAAATGTCTTTCAAGATTAAGACATACATATCACAGGGGTGGGCTTTCTGAGGAAAGGGCCTCAGGGGGCTCTGACCTGTGACAATTCTTTTACAGAAAATCTTGGCTGAGAAGATGCTTCCTCATCTTTCACTTCATGCCAATACCCTAAAAGCAAAGACATGCCAGTGAAGTGCACGTGGACTTTGGTGAGAAGGGGCACTGACATCACAAATGTGTATCTGCACACCAATGCATGAGTCTATGTGAGTTCACAGGACTGTTTTCAGGAGGAGAGAGTTTGGGTCAGACTGAGGAAGCAGCTGTTGTGAACTCATAGTTTTCAAAAAGTCACAGCATGGGAGAAGCCTCACCAGGCAAAGGACACAAGGATGAGGTGCAGCACAATGAGGAGGAGTGGGGTCTACAACTCCCTCCTCTGCCAATGGTTTTTGGTACTTGTATTTGCTGATGACACAAGAGGTGTGCAGAAAGGTATGTCCAGGCCCAAGAAAATCCAATGGCAAAAGAGTGGCTCACGTTCAGAGACTACTTAAGAATATGTGTGCATCTCACAACACAGTATGTGTGGGCCAGTGTTGGAGAACACTGTGAGAGGGAGTAGTGGACAGGAGTAGGTAAGATGTGCAATACAGAGAGTTGGGGATTAGCCCTGGGACAAAAGTCTGACTAGAAATGGCAAGCTGCTAGTGTCAAGAATGGGAGAAGAAAGGTAGAAATGAGGTGTGACCACTGGCATTGGCACCAAAATAGTAGTGGGAACAGGACTGGTTCATGGTATGATTTGAACACAGCCCTGATGTCATGCCCTCTCACCTGCCACTTAATAGGGCCAGGACCCCTCTGAGCCGCATGTCCCCACTAAGAAGCACCCATAGCTCTTCCCCCTGCTCCCAGCTGAGAATAGTACCTGGATAATGCAAGAACTAAAGGAAAAACTGAAGAAGGGAGGAGCCAGCACTGGCCCAGGGAAACTTGGAGCAACAGACTACAGGTAAGAAAACCAAATGTTACAAAAACAACCTCAGAGGAGGACATAAATAGTGACCATGTCGGTAACAGCAATTCCTGGTATAGGAAGACATGGGGATATATTAGCTAGAGGAAGGGGGCAGAACCTGGGGCGGAGAGGTCACCTGGCCAGGGAAAGGGAAAAGTGGGCTTATAAAGGCTGACGGCAAGACTCCTGATCCCCTTCCCAGTAAGCCTTTGGGGCAGCAGGTATTGAGGCTGCTTGGGAAGAGGATAGGACAGTGCAATGGCTCAGCCCCACCAACCAGTGAACCTACCCAGGAAACTGAGGAAGGAAGTAGAGTCCATTGTCCTAATGTGAGAAGGATGGATCTGTCCTTGGGGAAAAGGAAAGGCAGAATCTAGTCTAAAGTATCTGGGTGGGTGTGAGGGTCTCACCCATTGAGGCCATCAGTGAAAAGTTCTCAGCATCACACTGCAGTATAGGAGTTTCGGAACATCATCAAGGAGACTCCATTCCCTCCAGGAGAAGTGCATGGCCACTTCCTCAAAGGTCACATTACTCTGTTATGATAGGGACAGATGAAACCATGAAGAGCCTCTCTTGAGGACCCCCAGTACATCTTTCTATAAATCCACCCCATATTCATACTCCTTCCAAGATCCAAAACCCAGAGGATGTATCAGACCTTGGTGTCATTTGTGCCTACTCCCTCCTATCACCCATTAATCGCTGTGTCTGTGCTCAACAATAAGAAGCAGGTGGGCAGACAGACACCATTTAAGTTCCAGGCCTGCCACGCAGGGCCCCACCCCTTCTTGCCAAGAAATTACCAGGAAGTCCCTAGATGGTACCTTCCAAACACAACCAAACTTGGGCTCACTCTTCATCCTTAAGTCCCAAATACCAGAGCCCTAGGACACACTCCCTCTCCATGTGCACATCATTCTTTAGGCTATTCCTCTCTCATATCTCCAGATGTCATAGATATTGCTATCTTCCTATCCCAAACTATAGATCCCTCCCTAGCCTCCCCACATGCTACTCACCACATGGCATCAAGAACATGCCTGACAATTCAGACAGAATCTAGTACTTCCCCAAGACCTCCAATGGCTTTCACTGCCAAGGGCAACCCTTAATCCTGCTAAGAAAGCCTCACCTTCTGGCTGTTTCATCAGTCAATCTCAGCCATCCAGAACAACATGCAGGTTTTAGATACCTCCCCGCAAACTGCTGCCCTCCTAATGCCTCTAGCAGACAACCACATTTGCCCCTGTGCTAATCCACTATCCTGGCGAGTCCGTAGAGCTGTGAAGTAAAGGCCCTGTCCTTGGTGCCATCTTTCTTCAATTACTCCTATGCTTCTGTATCCACATGAATGTCTATTCTTCTCTTAGAAGCCCTGGCCTCCTGCCAGACCCTCTTTTCCCCAGACCCAACCTTCAGGCTCAGTTCTCTCCCTTCAGCTGTGCCTGTGATGCCCACCACACCCAACCAGGTGCCCAAGCAATAGATCCAGTCCTCGGCCCTCACTCTCCCCTTCTTGGCCAGCTGAAAGCTGAAGATCATGACCTGAAGATTTCTTCTTCTAAATGTGATGCACAGCTTCACCTCAAGTCTACAAAGTGGCCACCACCTTCTGGATGTCTCTATTCTGAATGACTCCCTAGAGTTCCAGACCTTTGTGTCTACCAGTCCACTTGATGTCTTCACTCAGTGTTCTCTGAAATATCTCACTCTTCACATGGCCAAAACAAAACTCCCATATACCCACTGAAAATTACTTTTACTACTAACTTCTCCTTCATTTCTGTGGAGTCTTAATTAGGCAAAAGGAATCAGGCTGGCAGGACGAGGAGAAACCGAAAAGAAAAAGCAGATAAGCTCCAAGTCTGCCTTTCTTCATGGTCCAGGACACACAGCCCTCCTGCACAAATAACTCACAATCTTCCTGTGCCCACCTATCACCAGACACCTGCATGCTAGCTCACTGCAACCATAGTGTTATCGGTATTGCACAAAACCCTCTTCAGCACACAGCATAAACACTATCCTATAAAATCTCAAGCAAGCCTTTGTTTCTTGGCAGTCAGCTTCTCTTCTGCTGATCCTGCCTATGGGCAACATATCTTCCTACTTTCTCTAATAAATCTGCCTTTATTTACCTACAATTGTCTTGGTAAGTACTTTTACTGCCACACCACTGGCCCAGACAGTCACTGCTCACCTATGACACTTCCTTCCAAAACTTTGGAGTAATCCCTAAGTGCTACCTTTTTTTTTTTTTTTTTTTGAGACGGAGTCTCACTCTGTTGCCAGGCTGGAGTGCAGTGGCACAATCTCAGCCTGCTGCAACCTCTGCCTCCCAGGTTCAAGCAATTCTCCTGCCTCAGCCTCCCGAGTAGCTGGGACTACAGGCACGTGCCACCACGCCCAGCTAATTTTTGTATGTTTAGTAGAGACGAAGTTTCACCATGTTGGCCAGGATGGTCTCAATCTCTTGACCTCGTGATCCACCCGCCTCGGCCTCCCAAAGTTCTAGGACTACAGGCATGAGCCACCGTGCCCAGCTGCTACCTTTTTTTCTCTCACCCTCAACATTAGAAAATCCAGCATTCAGCCCTATTTTTAAAAAAGGTCTGGAATCCAGCCACTTTCTCCATTTCCAGATACCACCAACACTTACTTAGATTATTGCAGTAGCCCCATCCATGATCTTCCTGCCTCCTCCCTCACTCTCAAAATTTGTTCAGTCTGCAGCCAGAGGGAGCCTATTAAGACCTGAGTCATGTCACCTCATTGCTCCTATGCCATTGCTCCCATCAACTCCAGAAACCACCCAACTTCTCAGACTGCCATTCCAGATCTGACCCCTACTCTCCTGCTAGCAAGAAAGAGAGGAGATCTGTGATTCTCTGAACACTCCCTTCTAAGCCTTACCTTCAAGCATTTGGAGATGGTGGTACCTGTGCTTAGGATAACCTTCCACACCTCATCCTATTGGTTGCTAGATATACATAGGAACTATTATATATACTACCTCTGGCCGAGGACCCTGGGCTTGGGGTTTCTCAAGCAACCCCAGTCTCAAGGGCTAGAAGAGTCACACACAGGCTGAGTCCCAAGGCACCACAATCCTATAGCCACGTGGATGGAAGGTTGGGACCAGTGAGGGCTCACTCACCTGTGTATGATCCATAAGCACTTTTGTGGCCACAGGAACCTGTGGGAAGAGGTAGACCTTGAGAAGCAGGCAACTATGGGAGGACTCCATGGGCTTAGGCCTCTCTTGAACATCTGCCCAGTGGTGGAAACAGGTGACCTTGGACTGACTGTACAATCTCTATATTTCAGTCCTCAATAATGCCTTTTACCTGCTTTGTAACTTTGAACAAGTACTCAATCTCCCTGTACCTCACTGTCCAACTTGCACCTCATCCAGTCTTCTTCCTCCAAGCAGCTTTTGGGAAACTTTAAAACCTTAACTCAGACTGTGTTCCTCCTCAGTTCACAACCCTGCATGGCTCCAAGCACCATCAGAAAGTGAAACCGTGCCCCAGGGGTAGAGAATTTGTTAACTAGCAAAATTTCCTGAACTTGTTTTGCAGAACAGTAGAAAAGTAAATAGTTTCCCACAGTCCCCTCTGTTTGCAACAAAGTTGGCTGATGAGCTGAGACTGCTTGGGACCAATATGGCTGACTGGAGTCTGCACAGAATAGACTTATCAGATGAGTGACCTTTTGATGTTAGAGGGCTGAAAACACCTCCAGATCATGCTAACACCATTTCCTGAACATATGACCCATAAAGCAGCATGTAGGGGCAACAGTCCTTGCCCAAGGGACTCTCCAAACCGCTTTGTCTTCCAGCCAATCACTGTCCAGCCCAAAACCCCACCCTCAAAATCTCTCCCTCAAATCTATGGCGGCCAAGCTGGTACAAGGAGACAGACTGGCCTCCTGCCTCCTTGACTCTTAGTAAACCTTTATTGCTGCAAAAACCCAATGCTTTGGTGTTTGGGTTTCTGGTGTTTGACTTTCCTTTGTATATGGGCAAATGGGCCCAGTTTGGTTCTGTGACAAATGAAGGTACAACACCTTGTCACTGCAGGTGTGACTTCTCTTCACACTCTACTCTGTGTACACACAGCCCCCAGGCCAGCCCAGTTGTGCCTCCAAACCTTTGCACATGCTGATCCCTCAGTCTGTAACAATCTTCTGTGACTCACCACACTGGCTTTCAGAAACGGCTTCATCACCCATGAGCTCTCCCGCTTCCCCCAGCCTAAACACCAGGGCCTAGACTGAAGTGACCTGAACAGGTTCCCACAATGTGGGGCTTAAGATTTGAAAGTAGGAGTCCGGCGGGTGAGGGCCCAAGGGACGCACCACCAACTTGAAGCCACCGTGATGCGAGCCTGTGGGTGAATGGCTCCAGAAACTGCGGTGACTAGGATGGGGACAGCCACATGGCAGCCTCCAGCCCAGCACTGACACGAGATCACAATGGGTGGCACCCTAGCCTAGCGTCAGAGCCTCAGTCTTACCTCTGTGCAGTAGGGACAAGGCTTCCTGTTGCCTTCGCCTCCTTTTCCCTCAGACCTGACCCAGCCCTCTGTAGTTTCTGAACAGGTAAAACAGCTGCAAGGCAGCCAAAATGACCGCCACAAAGTGAGACAGGAAGTCCTGACCATCTTCACCCCTAAACCTGGAATCTCCCATCTTTCTGTGCTTTCATTGGATAAGCACTGCTGCCACTCAGCAGAGAATTCTGGGTAAGGGTCACATAGCTCTCACACCTCCACACAGTGAAGAGCTTTCCCTTGCAGCCACGCTGTCTTGAATAACCCTCATTCTCAGGCTCTGGGATGGGGAAGTAGCTACATCTCTGGACGTGTCCAGCAACGATCACCAAAGTTTTGAGACATTATTTCAGACTCTTGAAGCTCAGCATGTTCCCATGGGCCATATTTCTGATGTTCCCAGAGATTACAAATCCAAATGGAATGATCATTCCATAGTGTTACTGACACCCAAAGTATGGCCACGCATAGCTGGAAACTAATTACCTTATTGATCTTCAACTGACTGTGGCCTGAACAGTTAGAGTCAGTTCTGTGAATTTCTGTATGCCCCTTCAGGGAGAAGAGAAAAAAGCCTCCAGATAGGGCCACAATAGGGAAGACAGAAGAATGATGTTGGGCTGCCCAGAATCAAGTGGACAAGGGTGGCACCAAAATTTTCTGGTTTTCTCTGGAGTTGCCCAGCGAGATCCTCTGCTCTCCAACCTTTAGGGTGAGAATCTGCTGGAGAAGCCACGGGTGGAAATTTCCGAGGCTAGTGAAACCACTCCTATAAACCTTTAAAAATGTATCAGGGAAGAAGGGAGAAATGAAAATAAGCCAAGGTTGCAGCACATTCAACATTAACCATTCCATCAGCTTGCTCTCTGACCCGCTTTTTTATAGTTGTTTTGTGCTGATTGTCTTCAAATAATGGGGGTTCAACTTTTTGGCTCCCTGGGCCACATTGGAAGAAGAATTGTCTTGGGCAATATGTAAAATACACTAACACTAATGATAGCTGATTAGCAAAAAAAAGAAAAGAAAAGAAAAGAAAAAAGGTCCTTGCATGATTTTTGTGATATCTGCCACCACAGATAAGCTAAAAATTCCTTGCATTCAAAGACTCGAACACCTGTGAACCCTGTTACAAGATTATAATTCCCCTTAACTACTCCATAGATAACAACTTGAACATTAGGAAACATTAGGGTTTCCCTTTGAGATATTCCTTGAGATCCGGCATACCAATGAAACTACTGACTCAGCTGGTCTAAAGAATGCCACAGGAGCTGACTCATCAAAGAATGCAATTTCCACATCCTGATGATTTTGTCTCCCTAACCCCAACAAATCAATGGCCCCAATTCTCCAGCCCCTTGCCTTCCATGATCTTAAAAATCCCAGCCAAGAACTTCTAGGGAGGTGGATTTGAGAGTCCCCTTCCATCTCCTTTCCTGGCGCCCTGTAATTGATAAACTCTTTCTCTGCTGCAAACGCTGCTGTCTCAGGGTAATGAGTCTGTTACTGCACAGCAAGCAAATGAAAACCTCTTGGTCCTATAACACTAGTGAGCCTGCAAGTTCATGGGCAGCTGCTTGCAAAGGTTCTCCTTGGCCAAGAGAGTACACAGCCTGTGAAGGGAATAGTGGAAACCCAACCTCTGGAGTGAAAGATCAAGACTAAGTCCTCTGGACTGAGATCCTGAATGACTTCCTGAGTGAATGGTAGGGACTAGACTTTTGGGCAGGAACTGGGGGGCTCAAGTCCAGCCTGGGTCAGCACCAGATCTCTGCAGTGTTGTGGGTAGATGTGCACTGGTGAGGGCATAGGGGCCCCTTGGTTCTACCTGGGCTACCCTGCCCTCACTGTGGGCTGCCATGAGTTGTCTGGGCATGTGTAGTCATCAAGGGTGTTGTATCTCTCCTCGCCACCATTCCTAGCCAGACTCACACTTCCTCTCTTTCTTTCTCTCTCATGGTTCCCTATGAGGTGTGACCACAGATCAGATGTGGATAGAACCTAATGGTCAACACCAGAGTCATATAACTCCCTGTTTTGCATGTGCTTTCTTTAAACTAGCCAATTCACAACCCCCACAGGAAAGCATAAGGGATAATGGACCTGATAGGGTTTGGATTTGTGTCCCTCCCTGACCAAATCTCATGTCAAATTGTAATCCCCATGTTGGAGGAGGGTCCTGGTGGGAGGTGATTGGATCATGTGTTGGGGGGACTTCCCCCTTGCTGTTGTGATAGTGAGTGCTCATGAGACCTGGTTGTTTCAAAGTGTGTGGCACCTTTCCCTTTGCTCTCTTCCTCCTTTTCCAGCAATGTAAGGCATGCCTGCTTCCCCTTCACCTTCTGCCATGATTGTAAGTTTCATGAGGCCTCCCAGCCATGCTTCCTGTACAGCTACAGAACTGTGATTCAATGAAACCTCTTTTCTTTATAAATTACCCAATCTCAGGTAGTTCTTTAAAGCAATGTGAGAATGGACTAATACAGGACCTTAAGGCCCATGGACCTTGGCAAAGGTCTAATCCCACAAGTCCTTCTCCCCTCCACCACCCCCGACCCGCTGCACCTGGTAGTTGAGCTCCTTTTGCCTCCAGACATCCTGTTGCCTCCCCCTCCCCTGCCATTGGCAAGCCTAATGTTTCTGGGACTTGTGCATAATAAATGTATTCTGTTTCATGCGTCTTGGTTTCACTTCCTTATTGTGTCTCACCTGACACACACCTGAATGTAACTTCCACCTGGTCAGAGCTCTCCTAGAGAGTGGCTGTCTTGGCCAATAGCCACTCCAACAGAGGGATCTCAAGACCAAATAGAAATAAACCATAACAAAAATCATAACAGAGGTAAAGATGTTGGGTCTGTGATGTCTACTAGACATCTAAAAATAGGTCACAAATACAATATTCTTTTACTTTAAAATTTTTTTTCTTTTGTTCTACACAAATACAAAGAGAAGACAAGAAGAAATACAATATTAGATATATGACCATGGAGTTTGGAAGACAAGCCTGAGATGGAGATATACACATAATTTTTTGGCTTGTAGTGGTGTACTTGCAGCCACAACCTTGGATGAGATCACCAGTAGAATATGTGTAGATTGAGAAATAGATCAATTTGGAGAGAATTGGTATTTATGCATGGCGTCTACTATTTCTACTAAAAATACAAAAATTAGCCATATGCGGTGGCACACACCTGTAATCCCAGCTCCTCAGGAGGCTGAGGCATGAGAATTGTTTGAGCCAGGAGGCAGAGGTCAGTGAGCCGAGATCACGCCACTACACTCTAGTCTGGGCAACTGTGTCTCAAAAATAAAAAAAAAGGGTTCCATCTCCAAATGCGGTCACATTCTGAGGTGCTGGGGGCTAGGACTTCAACACATACATTTTGGGGAGACACAATTCATTTCATAGCATTGGGAAATATAACATACATATAGAAAATTATTTATTATTTATGTAGATTTTAATAAATTTTTCTTAAGTTGATACTGATGTAACTACCACTGAAGGCAATACAGAGTATTAGTGTGCTCAGAGTCCTGAGTGCTCTGTCTGGGTCACAATGTGCTCCTCCCTCAACACCCAGATGAATTCAACATCCCGATTTTTAAAATCAGTATTATCTGACTTTTTAAATAGTTTTTTCTATTGTGTATGAATCTCCAAAATATAGCTTATATGTGGCTGTTACTGACCTTTACATGAATGGAATAATATGTGCTCTGTTTGGTTTGATATCTTCTGCAAAATAAATGTAAGATTCACTCAGGGTGTTCCATGTATCCATGTATCTCTGTAACATCCATTTTCATTGCCATTGAAGGAACAATTTATCTGTCCAATCTTTTGTTGATGTGCCTTTGTATTGCTTTCAGTTACTTGCGATAATGATGTTGCTGTGAAAGTTTTTGTCCATATATTCTGATGTACATAAGAATGGCTTTGGTTTTTTACACTTTTCTTTAGCATCTCTCTTGGGAAGATATAAATATCTTAAATGTTTATGTTTTAATAGCAGAATTTCAACAGGCAAAAACTGACCAAACCAAAGGATAACAGTCAAATTACAATCACAATTGGAGATATTAACACTTCTTTCTCACTTATTGTTAGAACAAGCAGGCAAAAAACAAGAGTGCAAAAGATTTATCTTGATTTAGTGGCATTTGCATAACACTATATCCAACATTATTTGAACACACATTCTTTTTCTAGTGAATATGGAATGTTCATGAGGGCAAACATACTGGGTCAAAAAATAAGTCTCAAGAAATTTCCAAAGATTGAACACATACAGTGTATTTTCTCTGGCTACAATAAAATTAAATTAGTAATAAATAACTGAGATATCTAGAAAGTCTTCACATATTTAGAAATAAAGCAAAACGTACTTTTATATAACCAATGGGTCAAAGAAGAAATAACAAGGAGCATTAGAAAGTATTTTGAACTGAATGGTGATTAAAACATGACAAATAAAAACTTGTGGAATGCAGTCAAAACAGTGCCCAAGGTAATATTGCAACTTTCATGTTTATATTTAAAAATAAAAATATCTAAAAATAATGATTGAATTTTAAATCCTAAAATTAGACAAATAGAAAAATGGGCTAAATCCAAAGGAGAAATAAAGAAATAGCAATCGTAAGAGTAGAAATAAAAAGTATGTAATAGAGAAAATTAACAAAGCTCAATACAGATTTTTAAAAGAGATTAATAAAATTGATAAATCTCTGCCAAAATTGATCAAGAAATAAGGGAAAATTTAAATTACTAATACCAGAGAAAAAAGCAATGCCACAGATCTGGCAGACAATGAAAGGATAATAAGTGATTATCAACATCTTTCCAGGAGGGAACTTGTAGGTACAAATAATTTTCCTGGTGAATTATGTCAAACATATACAGAAAATATTTTACCAGTGCCACACAAACTCTCAGAAAATACAGAAGGAGGCAACTTTTCCTAATTCATTCTATGAGACTAGCATTACCATAACACCAGAAAATAGTAATAAAAAAATGTACAGATTAATATCCCTCACAGACATAGATATGAAAACCTTTTAACACCACTTCAGGAAATCAAATCTAAACAAATATAAAAGGTTGTTCTAGCATGTCCAAATGGAGTTTGTTCCTGGAATTCAAGGCTGGTTTCATATTTAAAATAAATCAATGTAATTTACCACACTAAGAGAATAAAGAAGAAAAGCCATGTAAGTATCTCAAAGAGGTGGGAAAAGTGATTGACAAGATTTAATTGCTTTTCAAAAAACAATATCTCAGCAAAAGTAGGAATTGAAGGAAATTTCTTTTGTCTCAAGACAAAAGCAGAGCTATGAAGTAATCATAAGGAATTATGCCTTGAGACACACAGCTTTTGTACTAGAGTGGATCCTGCACCCAACTGATGAGCAGCTTGTGTTCTTGAATCTGGGAACAGATAGGTTATAGACAGCTGTGTGGTTTGCTGCAAGGCTCAGTGAGAAGACAAATGCCTGATGGGGTTCTGCTGACAATTGTTGATCTCCGTCCCACATCTTTTAAGGAGACTGGAGCCCAGTGTGGCCTGTGGGTCCCTTATGAGTTGAACCTTTAGACCTCCCAGTAGGCAGTGGCTGTACTTATTACAGATGTGCATGGTGCTAAGTACTCTGAGAACTACAAAAATGATCATACTTGATGCACATATGATGGGGAGGCACCACAGTCAGGTGGTTAATGCATGAGCTCTGGAATCAGACAGAATGGGTTCAAATCCTGGCTTCTCCACTACCTTATGACTGACCTGAGAAAGGTTCTAAAGTTGCAAAAGGAAGTGAAACCAAATTTGCCAAAGGAAGTTAAGAGAAACCTGTCTGCCAGGAAGAGATATTGTGGAGTGTGGCATCTGGGCAGGAGGGCACTCTGCCCCCACCTCAGAACACTTTGTATCCCAGGTGATGCTGGGGACTCAGGCCTTTCCAAGGTGGCCATAAAGAAGGCTCATTTTGCTTCAGGATTTGGACAGGTGATAGACAGATCCTGTTTTGTTTGTTTGTTTGTTTGTTTTAAAGGTATCCCCAGACTATATCTACCAGCATGGAGATGGGGTAGGGTACAGAGGCAAACAGATGTCCTCTGTGGTGGCTGCCTAAAAGGAAGAGGCTAGGGTAAGTTTAGCACATGCCCTGTTGCTGCCATCCTGAGCCTCCTGAGTGCCTCAGTATCTGCAAGACTGAGCAAAACCCTGTTTCTTCCCATCCTTGACTCTCTTACTCTGACCTCCAGTGAGCTGGGCCCTCACTCTGGCACAATCCAGGTTGCTCCAGCCCTCTGACTTTGAGCAGATTCTGCCCTCACGTGACTCACAGAGAAAGGGCTAGTGGATTCCCAGGCACTGGTTGCTGAAGCTGCCTCTCCAGGCCAGGAGTTGAGAAGCCTGCAGTCCTGGTGCCCTGGTGGAGCCAGCTCTGCTGGAACTAAGTACCCACAGTCCTGAACAGTTCCCACGTAGCATGGGGCCCCATCCAGTGGCAAACATCTGCAACTAGCAGGTGGAAGTTCCAAAGGAACAGCCAGAAAGTCTCACTGGGGAAAGGCCCCTGGGTTTCCACCTTTGCCCTGTGGTGACTTTCCTTCACATCCTTTGCAGTGCACCCTCTGTCATGTAGCCCAGGGAGGCATCACAAATATCAGGATGAAGAGTGCATGGTTTGCCTTGGAAGATTAGGTAGCTAGGAAGCATCTCCAAACTGCATTCTACATCCTCAGTATCAGATAGGTATGCCCTGCTTTTCAAGGGCAATGCTTTTAGGAAGCTTCTCCCCCAGCCTCACTGAATGCCAGTCCCCTGACTATCACCCCACTGGTTCATCCAGACCACTGTGCTCCTCCCTCACTTCTACAGATACCTCAGTCTTCACTGACTAACTGATATGGTTTGGCTCTATGTCCCCACCCAAATCTCATTTTGAATTGTAATCTGAATTGTAATTCCCATGTGTGGAGGGAGGGACTTGGTGGGAGGTGACTGGATTGTAGGGGTGGTCTCCCCCATGCTGTTCTCATGATAGTGAGGGAATTCTCATGAGATCTGACGGTTTATAAGTGGCAGTTTCCTCTGCACTCTCTCCTGCCACCAAGTACGACATGCCTTGCTTCCCCTTTGCCTTCTGCCATGATTGTAAGTTTCCTGTGGCCTCCCAGCCATGTGGAACTGTGAGTTAATTAAACCTCTTTTGTTTATAAATTACCCAGCCCCACATAGTTCTTCATAGCAGTGTGAAAACAGATGAATATATCAACCCATCATTAACTGGCCAACCTTATCACTTCCACTGCCCAGTCAGCCCATCTGCAGACTTGACCTCCCAGCCTGCTTTGAACCTTTGAGATGACCGACATGGACACTACTATTCCCTGGGTCTCATCTCCTGGTCCCCCCAGGACCCAGGGTTAGCCTGGAAGACTCAAGCTCTGGGCTAGGTTTCCTCTGGTCTTGGAACTCCCATTTGACTGGCTCATTGCAGTGTGGAGTGGACAGCCCCCTGCAAAAGGCAGTCCCCACTAACCCACCTATGTTTATGGTAAACAGCCCTACCCCACTTTGAACCTTTCCTTTAGCCCAGAAGCCACCTCTCAGTCACATTTGGAGCTCCTAAAGGGCAGCAGCAAAGAGTCAGTCTTCTAGGATACCTGTCTGCACCATCATACTTATCACTACTTCAGCAATTGTCTGTTTTCTAGTAGCTAGGACCTTGACCAACTGGGCAGCCAAGTCTGCCTTTAACTCTGATGAAATCAATATGGTTACCATGTCCTCTTTCTAGCCTCCCCCTGGCAGGATCCCCCAATGTATTTGATAGCATTTACCCTTTGAGAAACGTAAAATCTCAATACAAGCTCTAAACTGAGCCTTTACTGCAGCCCAGACACCCAATGGGAGCATAATGCCATCAGATTTTGCGTACGTGTTACCTCCATATCCATCTTTGATATCTCTGCTAGCACCCACTCAGCCTTGGGTGGCACCTCGGGTCCTTTTCCCATTTGCACAGCCACTACTTCTAGCTCTGGAGCCATCACTGGATGCTCAGCATCAGGCACAGTTCACCTTTTGCTAACCCCTCTCTCGACCCATTTCCATTCATGGACTCTGGGGCTTCTTTGGATAATGACAGCTCTAGGACCAGTGTGTCTGCCCCAGACCCAGCTCCACATCTGAAGCACTCAGCTTTAGAACAGGGCCTAGAGGGGCATGCAGCACCTTAGTTTATGTTGGGGAGGCTTACACATGAGCACCGGGGTTCCTGCAAGCCTACAGCACCTCTGGTACAGTTGGAGAGGGCAGTACTACTGAAAGCAAAAACTCCTGGGAAACACTTTCCTCCCTGCCTACAGTCAGAGCAGCTGGGGCCTGTCCTGCCAAAGCACACCTCTTAGAACATCACTGAGAAGAAACATGTTCCAGAAGGCACCTCTGTTCCTTCTTGTGTTCATAACACCTGGAAACCATCTGGCCAAAGCACGTCTGTTGTGGTTGGAGGAGCCCGCACATACCAGTGCTTGGGACACTTCTGTCTTGCAGACAGACCACCTGGAATGCAGCTGGCCAGAGCACATCTGCATCCCTCAAAGGGAAGGAGAAAGCAGCACATCTATGCTTGGAGGCCTTTATGTTTCCACCACAAGCAGAGCACCCTGTTGCACCTTTCCAAGCACCTATGTTGCAGTAGCAGGGGACAACACACTACCTGTGACTGCAAGTCTTCTCTTCTTGTGTCTGGTCAGAGCGCTTGGGGCCCATATGGCCTGGGCAAACCTGTTACTGCTGGAGAAGCCTGCACAACAGAGAAGAAACATGTGCCCCAAGATACTTCTGTTCATGACTTCTGTCAAACGCCTTTGGACCACTCAGCTTGAGCACATCTGTTTCTGTTGGAGGGGCTGGTGCCATATCTGTGACTGAAGAAACTACTGTTTATGAATACAATCAGAGCATGTGAGGGCCATAAGTCCAGAGTATAGGCAGTGCAATGCCTGCAATGGGAGGAGATGGCACCATACCTGTAATGGGAGGAGATGGCACCATATATGGGTTTGTTTGGGGGGGACACTTCTGTTCATGAACACAGCCAGAACACCTGGGGTCCACAAGTCCTGAATTCAGGTGTACAATGGGAGGAAACAGCACCCCACCTGTGCCTGCAGAAACTTCTGTCCATGAATAGTCAGAGAGCCTGAGGTCCACAAGTCCAGATTAAAGATGGTGCAATGGCAGGACACAGTCCCACACCTATGCTTACTCGCGAATACAGCCAGAGTGCCTGGGTTCCACAAGTGAGGATTCAGATGGCAAGTAGAGGGTACAGTACCATTCAAGTGTTTGGGTACCCTTCTCACCATCATTCAGAGCAACTGGGACACTGGTGGCTGGAGCACACTTGTTGCAGTCAGATGGGAGAACATGTTGAAGAAGATACTTCCATTCTCACCTTCAATCAGAACACCAGGGGCCTAAGCCAGGGTACCTTCCCTCTTTCATTTTGGAGAAAACAACATCACTGAGAAAATATCTGTGCTTCAGGACCTTTTCCACCTGCTTTTGATCAGGTCAAATGTGCTTCTGTGGTGGGCACGGCAAGCACAGCCTCGTCTTTGGGGCACCCTCGGCACCTGCACAGGGATTCTTTGGGGACAGAAGCATGCAGCATCACCCTATTTGTTTTCTTCTCATGTAAGACTTAGGGTCCTCAGTGACCAAAAGCAAAAGCTTCCTCTAGAAATGGCAGGTGACCACTGTTCCCCATGATTTGATCTTGTTCTGCTGGGAGCAGTTTCTGCTCCTTCTAGTTACGGCAAACAAGCTTCACCTGCCCTTTGTCCTTCTAGCACAAACTGGAAGCCCAAGACCCTGGGGTGTTTGTGAATGTGTCCAAGGACTTGGGTTCAGATGAGCCAAGTCAGAAGTCGACACACTAGCCTAAGATGTTCACCTGTGGAGAGAAGAGAGAGATGGGTGAGTATCAGCCGTGCAACACTACACTCTAGTTTCAGTGTTATCCTGGAAGACCTAAGCTTTGGGGGGGTTTCCTCCTGTCTTGGAACTGTCAGGACACCCACTGCTATCTATGTCTGCCATGTTTCCTCTGCTCATGTGTTTTTGCTCTAACTCAATGATGGAGAAAATACTGACTTGTATAAGCCATGATTGTTGAGCCAGGCTTAACTGTGCAAAGTTTCTGTGGCCCAGGGCCCAGGATCTAGAACATGGAGTTTAAATGTCTTTTTTGCTTGTTTAATTTAGTTGTATGCCAGTAATTCACACACATTCACAATTTTTTTTTTGGCTGCAGGGGGTTGTGGGGGAGAGATGGGGATCTCATCATGTTGCCCAGCCTGGTCTCAAACTTGGCTCAAGTGGTCCTCCCGCCTTGGCCTCCCAAAGAGTTGGGATAACAGGTGTGAGCCACCACGTCCAGCAACATTCACACTTTCACCTATGGATGATTGGCTTGGCAATCAGGCTTTTGGGCCTGGAGGAAAAAAGGAAGAAAGAACTCACGCATGACTGCTCCGTAATTTAAAAAAAATTTAAGTCTGTTAGGATGTAATAGATTACATAGATATTGGTATCATGTTGCTTTGACACATTACAAATGATTATCTTTTAAGGTAAATAGCAGGATAGGTTCTATTTGGAAAAATAACTGGTCTATCTCGAGTCCTAACCACAAAAATATCGTCACAAGATTTATAATTTCACACAGACTTGGCTGACCTTGGAGTTGTACTGTGCTGAAAATACAATCTTTTTAAAGTATTTTACAACCCATGAAGGTATCTTAAGATGGTGGAAAGAAAAATAAAGTACAAGCATTTCCTTCAGCTGCTTACAGATTACAGTTGTCCCTTGAACAATGCGTGGGGGTAAGGGGTGCTGCTTCCCCCACGCAGTCCAAAATGTCTGCATGACTTGTGACTTCCCCAAAACTTAACCACTAGTAGCCTACTGTTGACTGGAGGCCTCACTGATAACATGAACAGTTAACACATTCTGTATGTTATATGTATTATATACAGCATACTTACAATAAGCTAGAGAAAAGAAAATGGATGAGTGGATCATCATAAAGGTTTCATCCTTGTCATTTTCATGTTGAGTAGGCTGAGGAGGAGGAGGAGGATGAAAAGGAGGGGTTGGTCTTGCTGTCTCAGGAGAGGCCGCAGTGGAAGAAAATCCACATGTAAGTGGATCTGTGCAGTTCAGACCTGTGTTGTTCAAGAGTCAATGTATTATATTAAACAGTGCTAGGTCTTGGTGATATAGAATTCAAAGATTTATCTCTTGCAGCCCAGCAATTTACAGTATAGCAGAGAGAGACAGATAGATAAACCAAATATTACACCTGGAAAGATAGTGGTGGCGATACGGGAGTAGGTAAGAAGGACATAAAACTAGGTGTGAGAGAGATGGAAAAAATAAAAAATAATAAAAAAAAGAAGAAGGAAGAAGTGTCCAGGCAGAGAAAGGCTATTTGGGGGTCAAAGAAATAGCATGCTAAAAGTCAGGGAAGACTAATCTGTGTAACAAACCTGCACATGTATCCTGGAACTTTAAATTCAATTAAATTAAATTAAAAGTCAAGGAAGAAAGAGATCATGACCCTGTGGGACACCAGGCAAGTAATCAAATGTGGTTGGAGAGTGAAACCCAAGCTGGGAGATGTGGCTGCTGTGTTCAGCAAGTGCAGATCATGGACAAACAGACATACCATCAGGGGGCATTTGTCCATTATCCACAAAGTATGAGGAATCGTGAAAGGATAAGCAAAGAAGTTACATGATATATGTAGATTTTAGAAACACTCTATGCCTCCCTGAAAGGAAGAATTAAATAGATGCCAGAATAGAAGCAGATAGGCTTAGGAAATTTTTTTGCAGTGATCCAATGCAAAAATGAGCCACTGAGCTCCCAGTCTAGAGGAACTGACAGTGGGATGGTTGAAGAGGTAAGGGAAGAGGCAAGGGGAAGTAGGCGATGCCAACAAGACCAGGGCTATTTTAGCCATCTGGTTTAGATAAACGGACATGAGTTGTTTTGGAAAACATACATTAAGTTAACTTTCTAATAGTCTGACATGGCTATGGAAGACGTAGGTGATATTCATAAAGCCATTCATTTACCCATTTAGTCATCAGTTGGGCATATATATTATTATTTGAGACAAAATGAGTAGTCTAAGGAATACTTTAGGTAATAGCATCAATTTTTTAAAAACAAGGATAAAAATCTTATGAAACCTAATTCTAGTTGGAGAAAATAAAATAAACAACAAATGTAATAAATTAGTAAATTATTTGATAGGTTCCAGTAACAACTGCAGGGAGACGAAGGGCAGCCAACGTAGGATTGAGTTTAGGGCTAGAGAGAAGTGTGAGTTTCTATTTAAATAGACTGGAAATGGTAAACCTCATTGGGAAGGTGGAATCTGAGCAAAGTCTAGAAGGCAACAATTAAGCAAACCACACAGTTATCTGAGGGAAAGGCATTCCAATTAGTTGGACTAGCCACTGTAAAGGCTCAGAGGAAGGATGTCTCTTGCCCGCAGGGAGCAGTGAGCAACTCAATAGGGGACCAGGATGAAGTTGGCACTTTGCAGAGTGGGAAGAAGGGGGAATAGAGATGGAGAGGGATGAAGAGACTAAGTGGGGCCTTGGAGGATGTGATAAGAACATTGCCTTTTACTCACAGATGGAAATCATGGAGGGTTTGGAGCAAAGGATGACGTGATCTGACTGAGGCTTAATAGGATCATTCTGGTTTCTGGGGATGAGAGACCATTTAGGTGGCTATGGTCATAATCATGAAAGCTTGGACACAGTGGTGGTGGTGCAGGTGATGAGAAGTAAAATTTGTAGATATTTTGAAGCATTTTCTGTTGGCCTGAATGGCAGGAGTATGTGTGGAAAAGGAAGAAGGAATCCATAGACTTGCTATTTGAGTTTAGAAAAGGTTTTGGCCTCATCAAGGTATACTCGGTCACTGGGCGTGTGAAAAAAGATGGCCGAGGGAGAATTCCTAGAAGGGGAAAATAGGGAGGGAGGACATGGGAGGATAACAGACTCCTAAATACATGTGGTTGAGTTCATTGGTTGTGCATATGGAAATTACCCCTACCTCAAACCATCACACAAATGATGAATTTAAGATATCAGATAACAAAAAACATGAAAAAAACTAAATCCAGGTACATCATAATCAAACTGCTTAGTCTCTAGGAGAAAATCAAAAGACATCCCAAGAAAAAGCACACATTATGTGTTCCAGTAGAACACATGCATTGTTCTAATGAGAAACAAAGAAAAAGTAAGATGTAGCTACAGACGAATGAACAAAACTTGAATATATTATTTTCAAAAGTTCCCCCGAAACAGAATATGGCACACCTCTCATTGGAAATACACAAGCTAGAACTCAATGAGTTAGCATTTTTTAAAACTCGAAAGAAAAAAATACTGTGAACCTATACCCTGTGAACCTGCCAGAATGTGGAGACACAGGTGCTAAAACTACACCCAGTGAAACTCTTTTAAAAGTGAAGGTACACACACACACACACACAACTCAACCTTTTTATACACGTAAATGCTTATCGCTAGCATACCTTTCATTAAAAAAAAAAAACTAAAGGAAGTCCGGGCAAGATAAAAATAGTGCAAGTTAGAAATCTGGATCTACACAAGCGAATGAGTAGCAATGGAAAAAGTAAATATAAAAATATATGCATATACATACATATGTGTTTGTATGGGGGTGTTTGTGTGTGCATGTCAAACACTTTCTGTAAAAGTAAAATGTATGGCACAATGGCACAAATGATAAGAGAGAAATGGAAGTGTACTGTTCTTATTGTATAGTTCTTATACTATATGTGAAACAATATAATATTACTTGGAGGTAGACTATATATGTTACTCTATATAGTTTATACTATAGTATGTAGTATATCCTATATAATATAAAGAATCACTTTAAAAACACTTAAGAATTATATTTAGTAGGTAAACAAAAGAGATAAAATGGAATCATGAAAATAATCCAAAAGAAGGTATACAAAGAGGAAAAAGAAACAAAGACCAGATGGAACAAACAGGAAGCAACAGCAAAATTGTCAGTGTAAACACAACGACATCTAACCATATTAAATTTAATTGTCTAAATGTATGATTTTAAAGGCAGAGATTGTTAGATTGGATTAAAAATACAAAACTATATGCTATGTATAAAAAAAACACTTGAGGCTGGGAGCAGTGGCTCATGCCTGTAATCCCAGCACTTTGGGAGGCCGAGGCGGGCGGATCATGAGGCCAGGAGATAGAGACCATCCTGGCTAACACGGTGAAACCCCGTCTCTACTAAAAATACAAAAAGTTAGCTGGGCATGGTGGTGGGTGACTGTAGTCCCAGCTACTTGGGAGGCTGAGGCAGCAGAATGGCGTGAACCTGGGAGGCGGAGCTTGCATGAGCCGAGATCGCACCACTGCTCTCCAACCTGGGCGACAGAGCAAGACTCCGTCTCAAAACAAAAGCAAAAACAAAACAAAACAAAACAAAACAAACAAACAAAAAAGACTTGAAACACAAAAACGAATATAACTGAAAGGATAAGGATGGAATAACACCAATGTAAAGAAATCTGGAATAGTTATATCAAATGGAGTAGATTTCAGACAAAGAATGTGATAAGGAATAAAAAGAGTTATTTGATAATGATAAAAGGATTAATTCAACAATAGGTCATAACAATGCTAAATGTTTTTGCACCCAGTACTAGAGCTTCACATTATATGAAACAAGGCTGATAAAACTCAAAAGAGAAGTAGCATATGAGTCAAAGAAATCTCAAGAAAAATTTAAAAAATATTTTGAATGAAATTAAAGTGAAAACTCAACTTAGCAAAATTTGTGGCACACAGAGCATATAGTTCTTAGAAGGAAATTTATAGAAATGGATGCATATATTAGAACAGAAGAAATCTAAAATCAATCTCAACCCTTACCTTAGGAAACTACAAAAAGAAGAGCAATTTAGGTCCAAAGTAAGTGAAATGAAAAATAATTAGAGCAGAAATCAGTGAAATCGAAAACAGGAAAACGATAGAAAAAAATCAATAAAACCAAAATTGACTCTGAAAATATCAATAAAACTGATAAATGTCTAAATAAAATAACCAAGAAAAGGTAGAGAAGACACAAAAAGGAGTATCACTATTGAGTCACAGATATTAAAAGCATAACAAAAATATTAGAATGCCACAAATTTGATAACGTAGATTAAATGGCCAATTCCTTGAAAGACACAGTCTGCCAAAAGGATAGAGAATAGAAATAAGCCTGTATCTATCAAAGTAATTGAATCAACAATCAATAACCTTCCAAAACAGAAAGCACTAGGCCCTGGTGCTTTTACTGGTGAATTCTAAATATTTGAGAAAGAAATTAAGTTCTTTACAAGCAGCTCTAGAAAACCGAGGCAGAGGAAAAACTTCCTAACTCATTCTATGAGAACAGCATTATCCTAGTACCAAAATCAGACAAATCCATTGCAGAAAGGAAAACTACAGATCAATATCTTTCATGAATATAAATGGAAAAAGCCTCAATAAAATATTAACAAATCAAAACAAAAAATGTATAAAAAGAATTATACATTATGACCAAGTGGAATTTATTCCAGGTATGCAAGTCTGATTCAACATTTGAAAATCAATTAATGCAATCTATCATATCAACAGGCTAAAGAAAAAAAGTATATAATCATATCAATAGATGCAGAAAAAGCATTGGAGAAAAATCCAACACCTATTTGTGATAAAAAGCTTTCAGCAAACTAAGAATTAAGAGTAGAATATTCTCAACTTGATAAAACATCTACCAAAAAAACCTACATTATATTTAACGGTGATAAACTAGGTGCTTTTCTTCTAATACTGGGAACAAGGCAAGGACTTCTACTCAACATGGTAATGAAGCAAGATAAGCAAAGGACGGAAAATATATACAGACTGGGAAGGAGAAATAAAACTGTCATTTTTGGCAGATACATAATTGTCTATATAGAAAACCCCTAAGAATCAATAACAACAACAAATGACCTCTAACAACTAATAAGTGATTATAGTAAGGTTGCAGGATACAAGATTAATACACAAAAGACAAGTGTTTTCTTATGTAGTAGAAATGAATAATTGGAATTTCAAGTTAAAAACACATAATACCTATAATACCATTTACATTAGCTCCTCCAAATATGAAATATGTAGGTATAAATCTAACAAAATATGCACAAGATTTATATGAGGAGAATTGTAAAACTCTGATGAAAGAGATAAAAAATCTAATCAAACGGAAAGATATTCCATGTTCATTTTTAGAAAGACTCAATATTGTTGAGATGTGATTTATTCTCAAATTTACTGTATTTCAACAAAATCCCAATAGAAATACCAGCAAGTTACTTTGTGGATATTAACAAACTGATTCTAAAGTTCATATGGAGAGTCCAAAGGACCAGAATATCCAGCGCAGTATTAAAGAACAAAGCATATTGACACTACCCAACTTCAAGACTTACTATAAGGCTACAGTAGTCAAGACAGTGTGGTATTGAAGAAAAAGCAGATAAATTCATTAATGGAACAGAATAAAGAGCCCAGAAATAGACCATACAAATATAGTTAACTGATATTTGACCAAGGAGCACAGGCAATTCAATGGAGAAATGATAGCTTTTTCAACAAATGGTGCTGGAACAACTGGACTTACACATGTAAAAAGTTTAACTTGGACACTGACCTTACAACTTTCACAAAAATTAACTCAAAATCTACCATAAACCCAGATGTAAAAATTATAAAACTTTTAGAAGATAACAGGAGAAAAATCTAAGCGATCTAGGGTTTGGCAATAACTTTTTAGATACAACACAAAAAGCTTGATCCATGAAAGAAAAAAAAAGATAAATTGGACCTCATTAATATTAAAAACTACTGCTCGGTAAAGACTATTAAGAGAATGAAAAAATGAGCCACTGACTAGGAGAAAATTATTTGTAAAACACATCTCTGATAAAGGACTGGTAATTGAAATATAAAAAGACCTCTTAAAATTCAATAGTAAGAAAACGAACAATCAATTAAAAAGTGGCCAAAATCTGAACAGACACCTCAACAACAAAAATATACAGATGACAAATAAGATATGAAAATATGCTTAACATCCTGTGCTTAGGTAAGAGCAAATTAAAATAATGAGACACCACTACTTACGTATTAGAATGGCTAAAATCCAAAACACTGACAACACCAAATGCTGGTAAGGATGTAGAGAAATGGTATATCCACTTGGAAGACACTTTGGTGGTTTCTTACAAAACTAATCATACTCTTACCATATGATTCAGCTATTGTGCTCCTAAGTATTTACCCAAATGAGTTGATATCTATGTCCACATAAAAACTTGTACAAAATGGCTGGGTGCAGTGGCTCATGCCTGTGATGGCTTGAGCCTAGACGCTCGAGAACGGCCTACCGCAACATAGCCAGACCTTTACCTCTACAAAAATTAAAAAATTGGCTGGGCATGGTGGCATGTGCCTGTAGTCCCAGCTACTTGGCAGGCTGAGGCAGAAGGATCGCTTGAGCCCAGGAGTTCAAGGGTGCAGGGAGCTGTGATTGTGCTACTGCACTCCAGCCTGGGTGACAGAGCAAGACCTGGTCTTAAGAAAAAAATGGCAACACGGTTTCTCTACGGCCCCCACCGGCCACCAGGACCAGAAGCAGCTGCGAAGCCAGCCTTCCCCAGTTTCTCCCTGACAGCGCTGGGTTCGCCCTTCCCCACCACGAAGAGTGTCCATAAGGAGAGCTCCACCTTCTCTGACTGAGGCCGGAGGTGCACACAAAGGCGCAGATCCTGGAGCTGCTGGTGCTGGAGCAGTTCCTGGCCATCCTCCCAGAAAAGCTGCAGCCCTGGGTGCAGAGGCATCATCCAGAAAATGGAGAGGAAGCTCTGACTATGCTGGAGGATGTGCAGAGAGCGCTTGATGGACCAAAGCAGATCTTCTTTTTTGGACGAAGGAGGGACACGGTTGCAGAGAAGCTAGCACCTTCAGAAATCACTGAGCAATTGCCAACTAGCCAGCGCACGCCCGTGAAGAAGCAGCTCCAGCGAGAATCATGGGAGCTGCAGTCCTTAAGACCACATGATGAAGACATCAAAACTATAAATGTGAAATCCGCTTCAAGGCAAAAGACTTCTTCAGGCATAGAACTGCATTGCGATGTTTCGAACATCCTCGGTATAAATGCCTCCCAGAGTTCCACATATAGAGGAATGTATGAACAAGATGATTCAAAATATGAACATAGGATTGCAGAGTCCCAAAAGAATATGTACTTCAAGACTAGGCTGAAGTGTCCCAGGTCACTGTCAGGAGGCAGATAAATAAAGGGCCTTAATCTCTTATGAAAGCTCACAAGACCCTCCATACTATTGATGATATCAAGTTAATTTCCTGTGTTGGAAAAAAATAATCTCCTTTGCAATGTAATTTGGAAATAACTCAATGGAAACATTAAAATGACTGCATGTCTACAAGCAGTCACCTAAACATAAGGAATGTTTTCATAATGAGCAATATCATTCTATGGGTGCTTCTGTAAGGTGGATGATCACCTTAACATAAAGGAAAAAGGGAGATGAACAAAATTGTCAAACAAGACTGATGTACCACAAGTGTTGGCAAGTGCAGTGTGTGATGGAGAAATGTACCACAGCTTAACTGGAAGAGCAAGCCCTTAACTGCTGATCACAATGCCTCAGTGTCCCCTTCTCCAGCATAAATCAGCATGAATATGTTTCAAGCATCACAAGACAACCTTTTCAGAGTCTCCTGCATTCTTAGTAAGATGAGTTTCTAGACATGCTCTCATGAAATGATACCCTGGATTTTGATGTTCTTGTACATACGAACAAATCACTGAAGTTCAATTTAAAGGGTCCACTGCAGTCCTTTATAAACAATTGTTGAACCTAACCTTTATAGTTAATAAGTTTTAAGACAACATTTTTGGGATATCTTATTTGGCTTATCTATGAGATATGAGCACCTATAAGTTTTACCTGTATTTAATTCAGTCAGATTTCCTGTTTAAAAATAAAATTACTGACTTGTACATTATTAAAGTTATTTTGACAGTATAAACACAGCATAATTATCTCTTTTCCAGAGATTCTTGATAAAATTCTGTAATGTTATTACAAGAATACATGTATTGTGTTTTCCATGGTGCTACAGTTAACCAATATGGAGGCAAACATCAGAAATCAAAGCCCTTGGAAAAAGGGAAGAGGATCTTAGTCAACTTCTTTGGTTGGGTTCCTCATAGAGTGTAAAACATTTCATTCTCAGAAAATCCAACCATATCTTAGAGTAGCTCCAGAAATTGGCTTAGAGGAGCTCCGGAAATGTGGAGTGACCACACTCTGCTTAGTTAGTATGCTAATACATGTAAGATCAGTAGGAGGAGAAATGAATGTGAATTTTATTATAGAATTTTCTGAGAGTGATTATGCTTTATAGCTCCAGTGAATATGAATATGTATTGAGTTGTATTTTCAGTCATTAAAAATGTAGGATACTTTTTATTTGGGCCTCATTCTCTTTGTAATTAAAGAGAGGAACAAGCCCATCTATTGTAACAACAAATGCCTCAGAGATATGTGTATTGTGAATTACTGCTTAATTATGGAAAAAGTTTCTTAGGTTCTATGCCATCAACTTTGTAAGATTGCATTCTCTTTCTTGTGAATAATTTGAATGCCTCCACCAGGAAGTGGTGCGAATCATATCATCTAAGTATATGATGAATCTTTAAGGGGTGTTGCTGTGTAATTTGAATTATTTTGCAGTTATGTAGCTATCCTAATGAGTGAATGGTACTAGTTTACATATAAGGAGAACTACTTGAGCTAACCTTGATTTTAAAAAATTAGCATTAGCACCCCCATTATATTAATTTTCAGAGATAGTAAATACTCCAAAATGAAACAAACAAAAATAACAACAACAACAAACACCTTGCACATGAATGTTTGTAGCGGTTTTAATCATAATTGCCCCAAATTAGAAGCAACCAAAATGTCCTTCAAAAAGTGAATAGATAAACCAACTGTGGTATATCTATGCAATGGAATATTATTCAGCAATATGAAGAAATGAGCTGTTGAACCATGAAAAGAGATGGAAGAACATTAAATTCATGCTGCAAAGTGAAAGAAGCCTGTCTGAATAGGTTAAATACTGTATGATTCCAACTATACGACATTTGGAAAGGCAAAACTAGAGACAGTAAAAAGATCAGTGGTTGCTAGGAGTTTGGGGGAGGAAGGGATTACATGGAGCACAGGAGATTTTTGGGGTAGTGAAACTATTCTGTATGATGCTACAGTATGGGTACATGACATTATGCAATTGTCAAAAACCACAGAACTGTATGACAGGTAGAGTTAACCATAATGTGTACTATAGACTTTAGTTAATATATTAATATTGGATCATTAATTGTAACAAATGTACCACATGAATCCAAGTTGTTAGTAACAGGATAAACTGTGTACGTACGGGTGGAGAAGATACACGAGAACACACTGCACTTTCTCCTCAATTTTTCTGTGAAACTAATACTGTTCTAAAATAAAGTTTGTTAATTTAATAAAAAGTAAGATTACAGAAGTTGTAACTTGACTTTATTGGTATTTGTAAAACATATAACCCAACACCAGCTGAACACATGTTTCTTTTCAAGAGCACATGGAATGTTCATTAAGATTGGGCCAAAAAATAAATCTTAATAATTTTGAGATTAATATGTTTTCTCTGATCACAATAGAATTTTTGTAGATCTATCTACAAAATTGTAGATATCTACAATATGATATCTACAAAATCCTAAAATTTACAGATTAAATATTAAATAAATAAATACTATAATAAATATTAAATTTAAATAGTTAAATATTTAAAATA
This sequence comes from Homo sapiens, assembly GCF_000001405.40. Classification (NCBI taxonomy): domain Eukaryota; kingdom Metazoa; phylum Chordata; class Mammalia; order Primates; family Hominidae; genus Homo; species Homo sapiens. The sequence continues at coordinate 34,828,586 of NC_000019.10, forward strand.
CTCATATTCATATTTAGAATGAAAGCAAGACACACTTTTATATAATCAATATATTAAAAAATAACAAGGAAAAATATAAAATATTTTGGACTGAATAAGCAAAACACAGCAAATCAAAATTTGTGATAGACAGCTAAAGTGTGGCAGCTTTAAGCGTTTATGTTTAAAACAGAAACATTTTAAGAAACAATGATTTAGGTTTCTACCCTGAGTAGAAGAATCAAGGAATAAATTAAATATAAAATGAATGGAAAAGAAGAAATAATAAAAATAGACACGGAAATAGAAATGATAGAGACACATTAATTCTATTAATTTCTATTTATAGACATTTCTATATATAATATAGAAATTATAAAGTGTAATAAAATGGAGAAACCTCTATCAAGATTGAAGAAGAAATAACAAAGAGAAAACTCAAATTACCAATATTAGGAATAAAAAGGGAAGGGCATGAGTCAGATCTGAAAGACATTAAAAGGGTAATGGGGAATTATAAACATCCTCTAAGAAAAAATATGCAGTTCCAGACGGTTTTTCAGGTGAATTCTATCAAATGTGTAAGAACAATATTTTACCTGTGTTACACAAACTCTTTCAGAAAGTGGAGAAAGGGGCAACTTTTCGTAACTCATTCTATAAGGCCAGTATTACTCTAATATCAAAACCTAACAAGAAGAGAAAATTACAGATTAATATCGCTCATAACATAGACACAAAAGTCTTTGGCAACACTTTAGGAAAACCAAATATAAAAAGATGATCTTTTGTGACTAAGTAAGTTTTTCCCCAGGAAGGCAAAGATTCATTTAACACCTAAAAATCAATCAATGTAATTCATCATATTAAGAGAATAAAAGAGAAATGTCCTATGGTGATCTCAATAGCTGTGGGTCTCACACCACTTACCAAAAACATTCTAAGTAAAGCAGGAATTCGAGAGAATTCATTTCTGTGATAAAGCATATCTACAAAAAATCTTCAGTTAATACCATACTGAATACTCTTAACCTATGATTAGGAACTGGGAAAGAATATCCATTGTCTCTTCTTGTATTTGATAGTTTCCTGGATGTTGCAGCAAATGTAGAAGATAAGAAAAATTAATAAAAGGCATAGAGATTAAAAGAGAAGAAAGAAAAGTGCCTTTAAGCACAGAAAACGTTTGTCTATGTAGAACATCTGAAAGAGGGCTGGGCACAGTGGTTCACACTTGTAATCACAGCACTTTGGCAGGCCGAGGTGGGCAGATCACCTGAGGTCAGGAGTTCAAGACCAGCCTGGCCAATATGGTGAAACCTGGTCTCTACTAAAAAAACAAAAATTAGCTGGGCATGGTGGCACATGCCTATAATCCCAGCTACTCAGGAGGCTGAGGCAAGAGAATCGCTTGAACCCAGGAGGCAGAGGATGCAGGGAGCTGAGATTGCACCACTGTACTCCAGCCTAGGGGGGATACAGCAAGACTAAAAAAAAAAAAACACTAAAGAATCTACAAAGAAACTACAAAATGTAAATAGAAAATGAGCAAGGTTTCAATACAAAAGTAAATATATCAAAAGCAGTTGTTTTGTCCATATACTACTATATGCCAATATATGTATATAGTACGTGAGTACACACACACACACACACACACACACACACACACACACACACACACCCCATCATCATCATCATTTTCAGGGGCTAGGGAAGTTGATATTGGTCAATTATCAATCTCACCCAGGGCCCTGACAGCTGGCCTATGGAATTATTGCAAGTGATATTGGTGCCCTTGGGGCATAAAGCTTTTAAGCTAGCATGGATCTTGTATCTACCTGATGTACATCTTATGTCCTCGTTCCTGGGAGAAGACAGCTCACAGACAGCTGAGTTTTTGGCTGCACATCCTACTTAGAAGAGAAATGCCTGATTGTGCCATGCTGACAAGTGTTGGTCCTGGCAAATACAGAAGGAAATAAAGAGAAATAAAAAGCATGTAGATTACAACAGAAGGAAAACTAGCTTTATTCACAGAAACATGATTCCTAGAAACATTATTGTGTATGTAGAAAATCCTATGGAATCTGCAAAGAAACTACCTGAAATCAAAAGCGATTTCAGTGAGGTTCAATATACAAACTCAATATGTATGCATATATACATTTATGTACATACACAGTCATGCACCTCATAACAAGGTTTTGGTCAACAATGAACTGCATATACGACAGTGTTCCCATAAGATAATATGACATTGTTACTGTTTCTTTTCTGTGTTTAGATATATTTAGATACACAAAGACTTAACGTTGTGTTACAATTGCCTCAAATTCAGTATATGCCGTACAGGTTTGTAGCTACAGGCTATACCATATGGCCTAGGAGTATAGTCAATTATACCATCTAGGTTTGTGTAGGTACAGTCTATGATGTTTGCACAATGACGAAAATCACCTAATGATGCATTTCTCAGAAGGTATTCCCATTGTTAAAGCGACACTGGACTGTATTATATGTATTACCTATATTCTACCAATGAACTATCAAAAATTAAAATTTAAAAGATTCCATTTACAATAGCATTTACAAACCCCATAGAATACTTAGAAATAAATTAGCAAAAGCTGTGGAAGATCTATGCACAGACAACTGCAAAACAGTTGCAAATTTTCTCTTAAAAAGCCAGATAGTATGAGGTTGGTACAAAAGTAATTGCGGTTTGAAAGTAATGGCAAAAACCACAATTACTTTTGCACCAGCCTAATAAGTAGCATAGCCTTTGTGGGTCACGTTGTCTGTGACACAGACTCTTTGTGTTTCTGTGTATTCTGCTGCAACTCTTTAAAATTGTTAATAGGATCCTTCACTCACTGGCCTTACATGTAGGCTACAGGCTAAATTTGTTGGCCCATAGGCTGCAGTGCTGACCCTTGCTGCGAAATATTTCTAGGAGAAAATACTCAAGACCTAAATCTATGGAGATATATATCATCCCTGTGGCCTGGAAAAGTTAATATTGGCAAGTTGTCCATCTTGGCCAGGACCCTGAAAGATAGTCTATGTTATTGTAAGAAAGATTGGTGTCCTTGGGGGCATGGGCTTTTAAGCCAGGGTGGAATCTGCAGAAGTCTGAGGTGCCATTTCCTGTCCCTATACCTGGGAGAAAATAGCTCTCAGACAGCTGTGTGGCTTTCTGCAAAGCTCAATTAGAAGAGAAATTATCAGGCGTGGTGGCGCATGCCTGCAGTCTCAGCTACTTGGGAAGCTGAGGTGGGAGGATCTCTTGAGCCCAGGAGTTCGAGGTTGCAGTGAGCTGTGACTCCAGCCTGTGTGACAGAGTGATACGCTGTCTGGAGAAATTCATCATGGAGATATGCTGATAATTGGTGGTCCCTGCCTACATCCTCCCAGGAGACTGAGCCAGACCCGGTGTGGCCAATGGTCCACTTATAAATTGAACCATGTTAGACCTCCTAACAGTGCAAGTACTCATTACAGCTCTGACATGGTGCTAAGCACCCCAAGTATTATAAACAAGTGTAATCCATTATGCACACACGGTGAGGCTACACCAAAGTCTGGTGGTTAAATGCATGATCTGTGGAATCAGACAGCATGGGTTCAAACCCTGGCTGGGGTGAGATGGGGAACTTTCTAAGGCTTAAATGCTGTTTTACCAAATATTTTAAAAGAAGTGAAAATACACTGCCTGTTAGAAAGGGAAGTTTTGGGGTGAAGCATGTGGGCAGTTTAGAATACCTGGTGTCCACCTCAGAAACCATCACAGCCCAGATGTTATAGGTTCAGGCCTTTCCAGGGCGGGCACATAGAATGTCCTCGCCTCCAAGGTTTGGAGAGCTGCGCTATAAAGGTTCTTGCAGGCGGTGTCCTGAGCCCAGAGCTGCCTGCAGGCGGGCAGGAGTTGTGGGGGTGTTGGCATGATCTGGTGTCCTCTGTGGCGGCTGCCTGAAAAGAAGAGGCCGAGGGTTCTTTGTCCTATGTCTCTCCGAATCTTAATACCTGCCCTGCAGCAGACTCCCTGGCTGCCAGGGCACACCGGTCACCCCGGTAGACGGTGCCGCCCCGCCCTCGCCAACCCCTTATCCCAACTCCCATTTCCAGCCTTCCAGGAAGCCCGATCCCCACCCCCGCACCATGTGAGCTGCTCCTCTACTCCGCGTAGGGGAGGCTCTGCCTCCGGTGACCCCGAGGGAAAGAGCTAGAGCACCCACAGGTGCTGACTGCTGCGGCGCTGAGGACGCTGCACACCCGTTCACCGGCTGACCCAGTGCTGCTGACAACCAGCGTCCGCGGCCCCCAACCGTCGAACAGAGCGCGTGGGACCATCTGGTGCCAAACGCCTGCAACGGAGTGCAGAAGGTCACGAGGCGCTAGAGACCGGTTGGGGGCAGGCGGTTGGGCCTTGACGCTCTTTGCTGGGCGTCGTTTTTTCTTCTCGCCCCCTTCGCTCCTGTGCGCTTAGTGCACAAGCCCTGGGCTCACACACCCTTTCTCTGTCACGTGTTCCAACAGCATCTCACCTGCATCGGGCTGAACAGGAGACCTCAATTTTCTCCTCTACTCCAAGGATTCGCCGGCTCACAATTGCTCTTCATATCTTCAGCAAGCTTTGTCTGTGCCCTGCCCCTCTGTCCCCCATTGCCTACCATACCCGCTCCCACCAAGCCTGCATCACCTCGCTGTCTCTGTGCCTCTCCCCGGCCCCCTTCCAGGCCTTTCTCCCACAATTTCTGGTCTTTGCTCCTGGGTGTTCCGTCGACCCTAAGAGGCGGTGTCTGATCTGGCAGGCTCAATGCCTTTCTCTGGCGCTGTCTGCACCTCCAATATATTCAGTGACTCAGGAAGGATCCATCCTGCAGGGCCCAGATAGACTCTCCTGTTTGCCACCTGAGCAGAAAGGCACCTCTGTGAGGTCTTTGCCACCCAGTCACCCTACCAGACCCAATCAGCACGTGGGAGACGTGGATGACAGGAGGACAGAGATGGAGAGGGACCAAAAGACTACATGGGGCCTTGAAGGATGTCATAAGAACGTTGCCTTTTACTGAGAGATGGGAACCATGGAGGGTTTCAAACTGCTGAGACTGGCATGATATGACTTAGGGCTTTTTTGTTTGTTTGTTTGTTTGTTTTTTCTTTTTTGTGACGGAGTCTCAGAGTCTTCCTCTGTCATCCAGGCTGGAGTGCAGTGGTGTGATCTTGGTTCACTAGAACCTCTGTCTCCCGGGTTCAAGACATTCTCCTGCCTCAGCCTCCCGAGTAGCTGGGATTACAGGCACCCACCACCACGCCCGGCTAATTTTTGTCTTTTTAGATGTTTTATCTCAGAGAAAGAGCTTCCATGTTCTCTAACTCTTGTAAACAGGTATTCTTCAAGAAACTTTACAATATAACATTCATACACAGAAGTGTACAAATCATCTGTCTATTCCTCAATACATTTTTGCAGAATGAACAAACCTATGTAATCTAGATCAAGAAGCAAAACACAGGCACCTCAGAATCAACCTCATGCTCATTCCTAGTCACTATGCCCCTCCCAAATTTTTAACATTATAGATTAGTTTTGCCTATTTAAAAACTTTATATAAATGGAACCCTACCATGTGTCCTGTTTGTGGCTGTGTCTTTTCATTCAACACTTCATAAAATTCATCCATGTTGTTGCTTTTAGCAGCACTTTATTCTTTTATATTGCTGTGTGATGTTCCATTGAACAAATATAATTTACCCATTCTATTATTGATGGATGTTTGGCTATTAGAAATAATAATGCTACTGTGGCTAGGTGTAGTGGCTCATGCCTGTAATCCTAGCAGTTTGGGAGACTGAGGAGGGAGGATTGCTTGAGACCAAGAGTTCAAGACCAACCTGGCCAACATAGTGAGACCCCCATCTCTCTTTAAAAAAAAAAAAGAAAGAAATAATGCTGCTGTGAACATTCATGTGTATGTTTTCGACTACTTCTGAGGTAGGACGCAGGACTCGACTCCAGAGCCGGGGCTTGGACACTGGAGCAAATTGAGGACTAGCTAAAACAGGGTCAGGGTGGAAGCAGCTTTCCATCAGACACACCCACCAGTGTGCTATGTCAGTTTACATTTGTCATGGCAACATGCAGGAATTACTGCTCCTTTCCATGGCAATGACCCAATGACCCAGAAGTTACTACCCTTTTCCTAGAAATTTCAGCATAAACCACCCCTTAATCTGCATGCAATTAAAAGTAGATGTAAATATGACTGCAGAACTGCCCTGAGCTGCTGCTCTCTGCGCCCTGCCGATAGAGTAACCGTGCTCTGCAGGAGCAGTCACAGAGCTGTAACACTGCCTCTTCAATAGAGCTGTCTTCTTCCACCACCAGCTCACCCTTGAATCCTTTGCTGGGTGAAGCAAAGAACCCTCCCAAGCTAAGCCCCAATTTGGGCTTGCCTGCCCAGCATCACTTCCAATATCATGGAAATTTTCAGTGATGCCTACTATGAGGTTTATTGCTTAACTTTTCACATTTAGCTCTGGAATTCTCCTGTCGATTTGCATGTCTTTTGTAGATTTATTTCATGTTTATTGATGCTACTATAAATCCTCTGAAGGGATTTACCTTTGGATGTAGAAGGCAGCTAGGATGGGAAAGCACACTTTATTCTGAGATTAATGTAAGTCAGAGCCATGCTTCACTCTTTTTGAAGGCTGGCTCTCTCCTGTTATCCTTATTTCTGGGATACTGGCTTTCAGACGTTTTACATGAAAACCTGAGTATTTTTTGGGGACCCTCTTCATTGGCAGGTCCTGACTCTGAATTTTTTTCTCAGCAGCCGCTGAAATTGCTGAATTTTACCTCCAAAACTTGATTTGAAAAAAACGAAGCAAAGGTAGAAAGAATATCATTCTAAAATCATTGTTTTATAAACAGATTTTGCTACGTAGATGCAATTGGCCATAATAATGGCAGAGAAGGCCAGATTTTCTTTCTAACTGTTATAACAGTTTTTAAACATGAAAAAGGTTCATTTAGAAAACAATGTTAAGGTAGGGGCACGGCAGAGAATGGGAAGATGGTCAGCCGGGAGGAGCAGTGCAAGAAGAGAGCAAAGACACAAGCACTCTTGTGTGCAGAAAAGGCATGGTGAACATAGGGGTAAAAATCACTAGCCCTTCTCGGAGCAATTCCAACATTATCTGAAGGAAAGTCCATGGACCATGAGAACCCCCCACCTTCTGAGACACATATATCTGGACTGTGGGACTTTGACCCATGTTGGATCAGCCAGATCCCCTCTCCCTGGAGCAGTTTGTCGGCACAGGAAGAGAACAGCTCAGCCCTTGGAGAGAGAGTCACTTATGGGTAGGATGCCCTGGCTTCCTATGGCTGGCAAGTGTGAAAGTTGATTATATAAATTGAGCCATTCTTGTTATACCCAACTAAAACAGAATTGGAAGGCCAGGAGGAGAAAACACACTCAGGGCACGCCAAGAATGTAATTCTTTGCAAGCCTAGCTGCTGAAATTGCCTGCTGTAACCCAAAAACGGTTTTATGTAGTAGCTTCTGAAACAACCTGCCGGACTCTATGATTACTTTTACCCACTGCTATCACTTACCAATCAGAACTTGCCAGCTCCCCAAAACTTTACTAGTGCCAATGAGTTGTCTTTGCAAAATAAATTGTCTTTGCTCTTTTAACGAAACCTCTTTCTATTTGTTCTTCTAAAAGGCTGCCCAGTTGTGTGCCCTGAATTGCAATTTTCACTTCCCAAATAAAACAGTTTATATTTATAGAGATTTATCTCTGTATTTTGATTTCGACCCAACGCCCTGATTTGCTCACTGCTGTGATCCAGTTGTACCTCCAGGTTCAGTCAATCCTCTCCAATTCTTCAAGGATTGTCCCAAGATAGGTTAGTTTTGGCTGTCCTAGCTTTTCATATAAATAGGGACATGCAGTATGCATTCCTGTGCAAGGATTCTTTTCACTTAGCAGAATGCTGTGCTTTTGTACTTTTGTTGTCTGTCATCAGGGGTTATTTTCTTTGATAGCTGAGTAATATGAATACTTCATAATTTCTTTTTCTATTCTCATGTGGATTGGTATCAGGGATATTTCCATATTATGCTTATTATGAATAAGGCTTTTATGAATTTTGCCTACTATGCAAGGCTTTTTGTGTCATGCAAGCCTTTTTGTGTACATATGTTTTCATTTCTCTCAAGGAAATAATTCAGAATGGAAGCACTGAGTAAGAATAAGTATATATTTAGTTTTATAGTAAGTTTTATGACATTCTTTCAATGTGATTGTACCATTTCATATTATCATTGCAATGAGAAATCTTCCATGTTTTCATTTCTCTCAAGGAAATAATTCAGAATGGAAGTGCTGAGTAAGAATGTGTATGTTTACTTTTATAATAAGTTTTATGACATTTTCTCAATGTGATTGTACCATTTTATATTATTACTGCAAGTGAGAAGTGTTCCAAGCGCTTTACATCCCTACAGGCATTCTGGTGGATGTGCAATGGCATCTCAGTGTGGTTTTCATTTAAACTTCCCTGATGATTAATAATATTGAGCATTTTTGGTGGGCCTGTTGAACATTTCTGAATCAACTTTTGGAAAGGGATTATTGCTCAAATGTTTTGTCCAGTTTTTTTAATTGGGTGGTTTGCCTTATTGTTATTCTATCATTATTATTGTTAGGTTTTGAAGGGAAGGGGAGAGAGAGAGAGTTGGTGGCTCTACAGCAACACAGGTTTATTGCCAGTACAACTTGCAGAGAGGGGACCAGCTTGGTGCCAGAGCTCACTGCTGCTTACAGGCTGGGGTAATTACAGGTCTGGGCAGGAGGGGTCTGGGCCCGTATGGCTTGCTGCCCAGGAGGATGTTGATAAAGATGTTCCTTGGGCCTTTGCCCAGCAGGATGTGATAAGGAAGTCAGGTGGCTGGGCAGGATGTTTCTCACAGCCCAGGGCCCCATGGAATCTTTCATTCTGACCAGGGTCTGTGAAATGGCAGGGACTTGCAAAATGGTGCAGCTTGGACTAACAATTATTATTAATCCTAAAGGGAGAAGGAGATTCAGCAAGAATGGTGAAAGGAGAATTATAAGTAGGGCTTCTCGTTTCATGATCAATATCTGATGGGGGGGGGTAAGTACAGGGGCAGTCAGGATTGGAGGGTCTGGCAAACAGGTCAGCTGAATCAGTGTCTACTAATGAGGCAGGAGCCAGGATCCACATGATGAAAGTGGCCACAGTCAGGAAGTCTGAAATTTTCTCAGCAGAAAGGGAGAAAGAACAGGCAGGCTGAGTGGCCCTGCTGTCTGAAGGGGCCTCAGTTTTATCCTCCAACGCCTTGGGGCTCCACTGGTGCTCACCTCTCTTCTCCAAGCCTAGGTCTTCAGCAGTGACTATACAGGAAACCTAGGGGGCAGAGGTAGCTCTCCTCCACCCAACAATAGCGGCAGTGGCAGCAGCAGGAGTACTGGAATTTGGAGTTACAGAGCTCACAGCTGTTAGATGTGTTTGGAAAGTTCCTTCTTGAGAGTGTCTGGAAGCTTTTTCTCCCTGTGTCTTGTCTGACTTTAGTGAGGCTGGAGATCTGGGTGAATGGCCTCCATCAACATCTTCCTTCGCCCACCTCTCCAGTAGCAGAGTGCAGATAAGACTGGACGGGACAGCCCTGCTGAACCCACGGCAGACCTCCAAAGAGGTCTGTATAAGCTGGCGATGTCACTGACTTTGGCAAATGGGCTCAGAGAAGATGCTTTCTTACTCAAGGTGTCTTCTGGGTGTTTGGAACAGAGGCTTCCTTTCAGGAGTCCAGGACTGTACTGGAAGGAAGTGACCACAAGATGACACCGTTGATCTTCCAGACACTCCCGCTGTTATGAGGGTGAGGGGGGAGCCCTTCTCTAATTATCCTTCTTTTGCTACTTTTTCCCTCTGCCTTAGCTTTTCCTTTCCTGCACTCTCCTGGGGACTTCAACTCAGTCTTTCTGAGGCAAGTATGGAGGGGAGGACAGGGTGGCCCAGCTTCGTAGAGATCACTACCTGCTCAAACCCCAAACAGAAAGGAGTCATTTGCAGCCTGGAGGAGGACTCTACCATTCCAAGATATTCAGCTGAACACCCTAGTAGTGCTAGCCGGCAGCAGTGGCTCCTGAGACCTCCACACCAGAGTCCCGCACACATTCAAGGTAAGAACCCCAGAGAGGAGCCCAGAGCCTGCGGAATCAGACACCGCCTCCTAGCGGTGATGTCCAACCGAAAAGGCGCGGGACTGCAGTAAACCTGGGCGAGCAAGGTCGAGGAGAGCTCTGTGCCGGGACCGCGAGGCGATCCAGACCAGATGGGGGACGAGGGGCGCGTATGAAGCTTGTAGAAGAGGTTGCCGGTGAAGAGCAGCCTGTGCGCTGCACACCCTGTTACGCAATTGAGCCGCCGTTGGAACGCGTGGAGAGAAAGGGTGCGCGAGGCCAGGGCTCGAAGAAACGCAGCAGAGGGCAAAGGGCGAGGTCCAACGGCCCAGCCCCAGCAGGGGACTCTCGAGCTTCGGGATTCCGCCTACCCGGTAGCGGCTGTTTAGACCCAGACCGGCCCCTGCGCGATATGAGCACCGCTCAGGACTGCAGCTGTTGGGCACCAGCAGCCAGGTCTGCAGGCTCCGCGAAGCCTGGCCCGGACCGTAGCTTCTGCAAGCAGTCCAGGTGTATCCTGGGGTCACTGGAGGGCAGAGCCTGCTCAGAGCGAGTACAGAAGCAGCCCAGGTCTTCCCAGCACCAGGTTCACTGGAAGTGCCAGGTGTGGGAGAGGGAGCTGGGGAGGGAAGAGGGCTATGCTGGTTCCCGAGCTGAATGATGTACCCAAGAGGCCAGGTAGCTGCAGCAGGTGCTAAGATGAGGAGGAGACGCCATCATGGGGTGCAAATATGGAGCACAAAAGGCTGGACCCTCATCCTTTTAGGCAGCTGCTGCTGAAGACATCTGTTTCCCCTCTCCCCTCCTCAGGCCACCACCTCCTTCATGCTCCTCTGTGATCACCTCTCCAAGTCCCGGTGTCAGGAGCCTTCTCTGTGGCCGCCCTGGAGAGACTTGAGCCTGGGACGTGACGTGCTGGGCTGTGAAGCTTTCTGAGAAGGGAAACCTGTGGCCTGACCTGCCTGAATGCTGCACCCAACCTCATCTCTTCCTGGGAGGCAGGCTCTCTTCGCTTGTTTTTACAAATTTGGTAAAACAGCATTTCAGTCCTAGTCCCTGGTAGTGACCCTGCCAGGATTTGACCCAGGCTGTCTGACTCTATTTATGCACAAATCACGTATTACCATTTTTTATTGTCCTTAGTCCATGGCACACATATAATGAGCACTTACGTGGCCCACTAGGAAGTCTTTCCTTTTTGCTTCAAACTCAGATCTTGGCCATTGGCCACAATGGGGCCTTGGTCTCCTCTGAAGATGACCTGGGACTGCTGTTCACAAGCAAATCCCCATTGGGCATTTCTATTCTCATTGAGCTTGCAGCAAACCATGAAGGTCCCTGTGGCCTATCTTCTCCCAAAGCCAAGGATGGGAGATGGTACATCAGGTGGGCACAGGATTCATGCTGATTTAAAAGCTTTATGGCAGGGCACAGTGGCTCCTGCCTATAATCTCAACACTGGGAGGCTGAAGCAGGAGAAATGCTGGAGACCAGGAGTATGCAACCAGCCTGAGCAACACAGTGAGACCCTGTCTCTACAAAAAAATTTTAAAATAAAATTAGCTGGGCATGGTGGCATACGCCTATAGTCCCAGCTACTCAGGAGGCTGAGGTGGGAGGATCACTTGAGCCCAGGAGTATGAGGTTATAGTGATCTATGATCACACAACTGCACTACAGCCTGGACAACAGAGCGAGACCCTGTCTTGTTTGTTTTGTTTTATTTTTGAGATGGAGTCTTACCCTGTCGCACAGGCTGGAGTGCAGTGGTACGATCATTGCAACCTCTGCCTCCTGGGTTCAAGCAATCGTCCTGCCTCAGCCTCCCAAGTAGCTGGGATTACAGGCGCCCACCAGCACGCCCGGCTAATTTTTGTATTTTTAGTAGAGACGGGGTTTCACCATGTTGTCCAGGCTGGTCTTGAACTCCTGACCTCAGGTGATCCACCCACCTCGGCCTCCCAAAATGCTGGGATTACAGGTGTGAGCCACTGCACCTGGGCCTGTCTCATTTTTTAGAAAGACTTTTCAGGATCCTGGTCAATATTGACAATTTATCAATATTGACTTTTCCAGTACAGGAGCATGATATATGTCTCCATATATTTAGGTCTTTTAAGATTTAAGATTTTCTCTCAACAATATTTTGTAGCAAGGTCAACAAGCTAATTGGCCCCTGAACTATTTTTGTAAGGCCAGTGACTAAGTACAGTGTTAACATTTTTGGCCGGGTGCAGTGCCTCATGCCTGTAATCCCAGCACTTTGGGAGGCCGAGGAGGGTGGATCAACTGAGGTCAGGTGTTCAAGACCAGCCTGGCCAACATGATGAAAGCCCATCTCTACTAAAAATACAAAAAATTAGCTGGGTGTGGTGGCAGGCGCCTGTAATTCCAGCTACTCGAGAGGCTGAGGCAGGAGAATTGCTTGAACTGGGAGGCAGAGGTTATAGTGAGCTGAGATCATGCCACTGCACTCCAGCCCGGGCAACAAGAGCGAAACTCTGTCTCAAGGAAAAAGAAAAAATTAAGGGTCTAAAAATATAAGAACGAGACTAAGTGGAAAAGACCATAAGCAACCCATAACGCCATATTTACTATCTGGGTTTTTAAGAGAAAATTTGTAACCACTGTTTTGTAGTTTTCTGTGAGTCTAACTTGCAGAGCTTTTGCTAATTTATTCCTATGTATTTTATGTGAGTTGTAAACACTACTGTAAATGGTATCATTCCAATTTTAGTTTTCAATCATTCATCAATGGTATACAGAAATTTTTAAAAATACACATTGACTTGTATACTGAGACCTTGGTAAATTCACTTTTGACTTCTGGTAGCTTCTTCGTTTTCTATGAATCATGTTTATGTGAATAAAGCTACTTTAACTTCTGTTTTAATCTGCATGCCTTTTTCTTTCTCTTTCTTACCTTTACATTTGCAGAAACCAACAACTGTCAGCATTGACACCATCAGGCCTTTCTCTTCTAATTTAACCTTGCAGCCAACCACACGGCTATCTGTGCGGGATCTCTCCCCAAGCTCAAGGACATGAGATGCGGATCAGGTAGGTGCAAGATCCATGCTGTCTTAAAAAGTCTTATAAGGCCAATATGTCTTGGAGCAATTCCATACACCAGGGGTCCCCAACACCCAGGCCACAGACCAGTACTGGCTGTGGCCTGTTAGGAACTGGGTCACACAGCAGGAGGTGAGTGGCAGGTGAGCGGATATTACCGCCTAAGCTCCGCCTCCTGTCAGATCAGCAGCGGCATTAGATGCTCTTAGGAGTGCGAACCCTATTGTGAACTGCGCATGCAAGGGATCTAGGTTTCACATTCCTTATGAGAATCTAATGTCTGAGAATAGTTTCATTCCAAAACCATCCCCCCGCTACCCATGGAAAAATTTTTTTCCACGAAACCAGTTTCTGGTGCCAAAAAGGTTGGGGACTGCTGCCCTAGACCAGCTTTCTGGATTCTGGCTGAAACGGACAACTTACCAATATTAATTCTTCACTCCACCAGCTGATACACACACACACACACACACACACACACACACACACACACACATTTGTACGTGTATTAGTATACGGCAGTTTACAGAAAAATAATTGTTTTATATATATTGATCTTGTATACTAGCACCTTGCAAAATTCATACCTTACTTTTTATAATTTTTTATAGATGGATTATAGGATTTTCTGCATACACAATCAGGATTTCTGTGCATTGAGTAGTTTACCCTTTCCTTTTAAATCTGTATGATTTTAATTTTTCTTATCCTCCACATTTGCTGCAACCTCCAATACAACATTGAATCCAAGAGAAGTCAATGGACTTCATTTTCTACTTCCTGATCTTGGGGGGAAAATATTCAGTATGCTGTTAACTGAAGTTTTTTTTCGTTCAATGCATGCATTATCACATAAAAGAAATAAGGAAATTCCGTCCACTTCCTACTTTACTGAAAGATTTTTTTTGAAAGGAATATTAGCTTTTTTCGATTAGTTTGTTCACAACTATTGAGATGAATTGTATCGGCTGATTCTTTTCTAATAGCTTTTTTGAGAGACAATTCATGTAAAATACAATCCATGTATTTGAAGTATAGAATTCAATGGCTATTAGTCTATTCACAGAAATGTGCAACCATCAACACAATTTTGTAAAGTATTCATCACCCCAAAAAGAATCTTTGTACACCTTAGCCATCACCTTCTAATACCCCCACACCTCCCAGTTCTAGGCAAGCATTAATCGACTTTCTCTCTTTGAGTTTACCTACTCTGGACATTTCCTGTATGAAACCATAGACTATGTGGTTCTTTCTGGCTGGATTCATTCATGTATTATAATAGTTTTATATGGCATATACATAACACAAAATTTACCATTTTAACAATTTCTAAATGTACAATTCACTGGCATTTAGTACATTTATATTGTTGTATAACCATCGCCACTATTCATCTCCAGAACTTTTTCATCATCCTAAATTGAAACTCTGTACCTATTAAACAATAACTCCCCAGCACACATTCCCCACAGCTCTGGTAACCACTATTCTGTCTCTATGAATTTGCCTATTCCAGGTATATCATATAAGTAGAATGACACCTTTGTCCTTCTATGTCCAGGTTGTTTTACCTGGCATAGTTTTTTTTCAGGTTTTATCCATATTGTAGCATGTATTAGAATTTCCTTCCTTTTGAGGCTGAATAATATGCCATTGTATGTTTTGTTTCCCCATTCCTACATTGCTGGATACCTGGGTTGCTTCCAGCTTTTGGCTATTGTGGATGATTCCACTATGAACATGGGGTACTACTGGGAAATAGAGTAGAATGAACCTGACATTTATTCAACAACACAGACACATCTCAAAACCATTATGCTTATCAAATACCCACACCCAAAACTGCATACTCTGATTCTGTGTATAACAAATTTTAGAAATAGCAAGATTAATATGAAATGTCAGAAAGCGGATAAATGGTTGTTTGTGGTTAGATATGCGGAGGAACTAACAACAAAGGAGCATAAGGGGATTTTTTAGGATGATGGAAATGATCTGTACCTGAATTGTGGTGGGGCCTTGAGTGTACACATTTGTTAAAACTTAGCGAACATAAAACAGGTGCATTTTTCATGTAAATTTTACCTCCAAAAGGTTTATCCGAAAAAAAACATTTGATGCAAAGGCAGTCACAACGTCATGCTAACGTCGTTGATTGTTTTATAGGCAACTGCTATTGCAGTTGACGATATGAAATTGACGATAATTAGGGCAGAGATAGACTATGTGGTTCTTTGTGGCTGGGCTCACTTACGTAGCGTAATGGTTTTATATTGTGTATAAACAACATAAAATTTACCATTTTAACAATTTTTAAATGCACAATTCACTGGCAATAAGTACATTTATATTGATGTACAATTATTGCCACTCTCCATCTCCAAAACTTTTGTTCATAACTGCTATGGTAGTTTGTAATATATTTTAGACAATTCATTTAGAAAAGATTAATGCTAAGGAAGGGGTATGGTGGATAATAGGAAGGCAAGCAGTGGGGGTGCTGGGCAGGGGGTAAGGCAGGAAGAAAGACAAAGCAGCAAGTAAGCTTAGATGCAGAGAAGGCTTGCTGACATGCGGACCTTGTCCGAGCATCTGTTGCAACATACCCTGATGAGAAGTTCATGTGCAATGAAACTCCAACTCCTGGGACCTATGTGTGGAACACTGGGACCCTGACCCCGTCAGATCAGTCAGATCCCCTTTCTCCAGAGCAGATTGGTCAGCACAGGGAGACAACAGCTCAGATCTTCGCCCTGTGAGATCACTTATGGGAGGGGCTGCCCCGACCCCCCACATCTGACTCCCCCATGCTATAGTTTGGTTTGTTTGACCCCTCCAAATCTCATGTTGCAATGTGATCCCCAGCGTTAGAGGTGGAGCCTGATGGTAAGTGTTTGGGTCATGGGGTTGGAGCCCCCATGATGTCTTGGAGCTTTCCTCACAGTGATGAGTGAGTTCTCACTCTATTAAGCCCTGCAAGAGCTGATTGTTAAAAACAGCCTGGCACCTTCCTCCCCTCCTCTCTCGCTTCTTCTCTTGCCTAGTGATCTTTGCACATGCCAGCTCCTCTTTGCCAGCCTAAGGCCCTCACCAGAAGCAGATCCTGGCATCATCCTTCTTATACAGCCTGCAGGACTGTGAGCCAAAGAAACCTCTTTTCTTTATAAATTACCCAGCCTCAGGTATTCTTTTTATAGCAACACAAAAATGAATGAAGGCATCCCTCTCTTCAATGCTGCAGGAATTGTTTTCATTACAGGTTTGGGCTGCTCTATAATTTCATATAAATGGGAGCATACATTATGCACTGTTCTTAAGCCTTAAGGAGTCTTTCATTCAGCATCATGTTTCTGTGATCCATCCATGTTGCCTGTTATCAGGAATTCATTCACTTTGATATCTGAGTATGAATGCACCATGGTTTGTTTTTGCTTTCTATATAAATAGACATCTGAGGTACTTCCAGGTTTTACATATTATGAATAAGGCTGCTGTGAACTTTTCTGGTGCAAGTGATTCTGTGTCCATGTGTTTTTATTTCTCTTGGGTTAATACTTAGGAATGAAATTGCTCAGTCAGACTAGATATATGTGTAGTTTTCTGAGAAACCATATGAACTTTTTTCCAAAGTGGTTTTACAATTTTATATTCTCTCCAGAAATGAAGAAGAGTTCCAGGTACTCCATATGCCTGCCAACATTTGGATACCTGGGTTGGATACCTTTTAAACTTTATCCATTTCGGTGGCTGTGTAGTGGTGTATTGTTGTTTTAAATTTTCATTTCTCTAATGACAAATGATGTTGAATACTTTTACGTGTGCTTGTTTTATGATACTTCTTTATAGGAGAATTGTTCAAATATTTTGCCCATTTATTATGTGGCTGGGCATTTTATAGTTGACCTGTAGGAGTTCTTTATAGATCTTGCACACTTGTCCTTTGCTAGATATATGTTTTGCCAATAATTTCCCCAGTTTATAGCTTATGGCTTGCCTATTTATTTTCTGAATTAAATACTTTTGGGGCAAAAGTTAATCTCGTTTATGGTTTCCAGATAATAAATTTTCTTTTGATGCAATCTCATTTCTCAGTATCTTATTTTATAATCTTTCTATTCTTAAAAACTCCTTTGTAGCCCAAGGGATTAATCAGGGTCTCTTACATTTTGTTCTAAGACGTTTATAATTTTTTGAAAACCTTGTTTTTTGAATCCATCTGGAATTTGTTTTCATAACTGTCTGAGGTGAAGACGTCAGCATTTCTCCCATACACACAGCCAATGGTCTTCGAACTCAACCGCATGTTTGAGGAGGAGAAAGAGGAGGAGGAGTCCATCCATCATTCCTCTGTTTTCTCCCTTCTTATTTTTTTTGAGACAGGGTCTTGCTATCACCCAAGCTGGAGTGCAGTGGCACAATCATGGCTCACTACAACTTCCACCTCCTGGGCTCAATTGATCCTCCTGCCTCAGCCTCCTGAGTAGCTGGAACTATAGGTGCATGCCACCACGCCCGGCTAATTTTTGTATTTTTTTGTAGAGATGGAGTTTTGCCATGTTTCCCAGAATGGTCTTAAACTCCTGGGCTCAAGCAATCCACCCCCCTTGGCCTCCCAAAATGCTGGGATTACAGGCATGAGCCACCGCGCCCAAACTTCCCTTCTTATTTTTGGATGCCATCTGTGTGATTTGTTTCCATAGTCCCTGTGATCAAGTATTCATTAATGAGAAAAAATTTCCCCCTCCCAGAACAGCAAATTCCTGGACCCTTTCTCTCACACACACTCCCATCATTCAATTCCACAACAATACTTTGATACATGTACACAATCCAAAGTGAATGTGCACAATCCACTTCTCATGCCCCCCACTGCTGTTGTGTGTCCAAGCCATCATTACCCTCCACCTTAGGGGCTCAGCCTCCTGACTGGTCTCTCAGCCTCCGTGCTCATCCGAGCAACCAAAATCATCCGCTTAAAATCTACGGCAGATCATGCTGTCCTATGCTTTAAGCCCTCCAGTCATTCCCATCTCTGAGGATGTCATCACTTTATAATGACAACCTACAAGGCCCTCCCTATTTTGTGTGTCCCCATCCCTTTCTGCTCTCCTCGCCCCCACTCTCTCTCGTGCTGACCGCAGCCCCATCAGCTTACTGACTGCCCCACGAGGATGCCAGGCATCCTCCCTTCGATCCTTTGCAGTGGCTACTTCTGCTGTTTCCAGTGTTCTTCCCTCACGTGTCTGTGTGGGTCACTTGATGACCCCCTTCTAGACCTTGCTCAAAACTCACCTTCCTAGTGAGGTTGTCCTCTCTTCCACGTGCACATGGAGACTTCTGCTTCTCCTTACTCCAAGTGTCAAACCTCCACAGGCAATTTTATTCTTCATAACATGTGTTACCAGCTAAACTGCCACATCATTTATGTGTGATTACGATTGTTGTTTATTTTCTCCCCCCGCCAACTCGAATGTAAGCTCTGCTGACATTTTTGCTGCTACTTATAATAGGTCCCAGCTCATCCCAGATGCTCAATAAATATGGCAAATTGACAAATAAATGAGTCAACTGCCTTCTGAATATTACTGATTCATCCACAGGGTTTCACACTATTAAAAACCGAACACTATTGAAAGCTGAACTCACCCTACGAAAACAATGCATGTCCATTTGTCTAAGGCAAGTGGCTACAGTCACCCTGGTCATGTGTGGCAGTTAATCGTCTCACTTCCCTCTTCTGCTACTTCCTCTCCAGCCACTCTCAGCTCCTCTAGAACGGGAGCTCATTGTCTCGTCTTTGCTTTGGCCAAAGAACCCCCGGAGCCCCTTTACCTCTGTTCTAGCACCCATTGGATTCTTCCTTCCAAGGAAGTACAAGAATGTTTCTAAAAGCTACATATCATCATTTCACTTCTTTGCTTTCACTCCTTTCGTGACTTTGCATACTTTCAGGATGACCGACAAGTGCCCATCACGTACATTAATTTGTCCGTTATCTGGCCCCTGCTGATCATTACAGCCGTACACCCCAGGCTTGACTTCATTCTCCAGCTGTACCTGACTACCTTCCTTGTGTCCCACAGGCTCACAGCCTCTCTGGCTTCCTTGACTTTTCACATAATATTTCCTTGATGTGAAAATAGCCCCACTCTACCTAGAGGCTTCCTCCTGCTTCTTGAGGTGCAATTAAAGTTCCTTCTCTCCCGTATTTAATACTATGTCCTTCTTACCTGCTCTCCGATCCCTAGCACAAAGTCCTATTTAAATTTTTGATATGCATCTGTCTCTCCTACTAGAATGTAAGTTCTTGTAGGTCAAGAAATGTCTTTGAACCCTATCTCACCAGTGACTAGCACAGTGTCTAGTGCAGGTTCATCACTAAGTAAATGTTTAATAAAATAATACATAAGAAGCTGGCAGAAATTCTTGGGTTTTCCCTCTTTCCTCCATCTGAAGGTGGTTTTCCTGGGTTATAAAATGCCTTAGAAATTATAGAGTTTTCAACAATGAAGTCTAGTTTAGATTCAGCCTGACTCTATGATCAGCCATGGGTTGGGTGGAGTGTCAACTTTTGCAACTTGAGATTTTAGTGGTTTAAATAGGGACAAACTGTATCTTTTCCCACATAGGCCCAATCCAGGTACTTACTTGAAAATAATTTATTTTTCTTTCATTTTTTTCCTTTTTGAGAGGGAGTTTCGCTCTTGTTGCCCAGACTGTAGTGCGGTGGCGCGATCTCGGCTCTCTGCAACCTCTGCCTCCCGGGTTCAAGCAATTCTCCTGCCTCAGACTCCTGAGTAGGTGGAATTACAGTCACCCACCACCACACCCAGCTAATTTTTTGTATTTTTAGTAGAGATGGGGTTTCACCATGTTGGCCAGGCTGGTCTCAAACTCCTGACCTCAGGTGATACACCCTCCTTGGCCTCCCAAAGTGCTGGGATCACAGGCATGAGCTACTGCGCCCGGCCTCAAAATAATTTTTTGCAGGACTTTTTAAAGGAGTATGATAACAACTTTTGAGTCATATATTTTATCCTAGACTTAAAATGTTTCAGTAATTACCCAGTGGCATGAGCTCTTTCTTTCATTGTTCTTGCAGGCCCAAGAGGCTGGATGCCAAACCTATCCTCTCCATGTGAAGCACCAACTTGGGGGTGTCAACTAAAAATATGAGACCCGTAAACTTGGAAAGGAAGACTTTATTTCTTGAGAAGGGTTGCAAACTGCAGGCTGGGAAGTGGCACCTCCAGCTGAGACCACAAACAGGTACTTTGAGGGAGATAGGGTGGGATAGGAGTTTTATGCCAAACAGGTTGGCTAAACAGACATATTCAACAGGTCACAGGGGGAACTATGAATATTCATGAAAGGGGGTCATATGTGTGCTTGATAAGCAAACATATGTGTTACATACATCCCATGTTCACCTTCGAGTGGAGAATTAACATTAAAATGCAGTAAAATTAGGTTCTGTATGTTAAAAGGTGAAACACAGGACATGAAGACACTTTGTACACAGCCTCGGTGAACCAGCCAGAACCAGCCCATGGTTGAATACTTTGTAGCCTAGTCAGTTTGTCACTTCAAAACTGCAAAAAGGGCTGGGAGTCAGGCCGCATCAGCAGGCAGTTGGTTGAAGTCAGCGGAGGGGTGTTCCATTCTTTGTTTTTCCAGGGCTTGTTTCTGTTTAATTTGGGAAACAAACAAAAAAAAACCCTGGTAACAGTGAGGAAGGGGTATACGGAGGCGCAATTTCCCATCTCCTTACGGCCGGGAAACTTAGTTTTTAGTTTTTTGGGGGTCACCTTGGCCAAGAGGGGTCTGTTCAGTCAGTCAGAGGGCTCAGGGTTTTATTATTTATTTGTTTGTTTATTTTTCTGAGACGGAGTCTCGCTCTGTCACCCAGGCTGGAGTGCAGTGGCACGGTCTTGGCTCACTGCAACCTCCACCTCCAGGGTTCAAGCAATTCTGCCTCAGCCTCACGAGCAGCTGGGATTATAGGCACATGGCACCATGCCCGGCTAATTTTTGTATTTTTGTAGAGATGGGGTTTCACCATGTTGGCCAGACTGGTCTTGAACTCCTGACCTCAGGTGATCCACCCCACCTCGGCCTCCCAAAGTGCTGGGATTACAAGCGTGAGCCACCTCAACCGGCCTCTGGGTTTTATTTGTATTTCACAGTGGAATGCCTGGCCCCAATCTAATTTAAAAAAAAAACACATAGAAAAGATATTCAAACATTTTTAAAAGACGAAAACAGTAAAGTGTGCTTTCCTGTCACACAGCAGGGAGGATCTGACCTTTGGGGAGGTCAGATGGTGTAGGGGAAGCACAGAGGGAGGTGGCAAGGGCATGTCCTGGTCTCTCTTTCTCTGGACCTCTCCTCTTCCTGGGCTGATATCCTCACACTCTCATCAGAGACATCAGAAGTCAGCACAAACAGTCCTAGAGTGTGCTACTTCCATGTCACATTAGCTGAGCCACAGAAAATTTTGAAATGTCAAGTCTGGCTCAACCTGTCACCATTCATAGAAGGCATCCTTCCTTCTAGACTGGCCTAAAAGTGAAGACCCCAGAGCAGAGACTCATGAACATGAAGGAGGCTTTAGATATTTAATCCGGAAAAGCAAGTAAAAGGACCATGGAGACAAATAGGTTAAAAGAAAAGGAACAGCTTGCCCGCAGCGGGGTGGGAGTTGCTGGAGGTGCTACCAGTCCCAAGACTAGAAGGAAAGTGTCCCAGAGCTTGAGTCTTCCAGGCTTACAGACAAAACCAGAGTGGAGCACAGTTGGTACTTACAAGTCTCTCTTTCCTCCCCACAGTGGACTTTCTCAAACTGGGGTATTGACCTCTGATGAACCGCCATGCAAACCCGTGCCTTTCAACATAAAAAGAAGCCCTTCGAGGTGCTCACCTTCAAGCTTGCTAGAGGAGGAGGAAGAGCAGGTTGAGTTTGACATAACTAGAATGGGTTGAGCCTTTCCAGCAGAGTAAGGTTCTTTCATGGTGGACAGTGGCCACCCACTGCCATTTCTACAAGAAGATTTTGCTTCTTAGGCACTGAGTTCCTGGTTCTTTCACTAGAGAAAAATGAGTAGGTTGGCAATCCAGTACTTCCATCTTCTGTGAAGACCTGGGCAGGCAACGGGGGCTTGGGGGCGGGGGCAGGGACCAAAGACAAGGCTGCCATTTGCTGTGCCCACCACAGAGGGACATTTACTCCACCTGAAGCACAAGTATTTTCTCAGTGATGTTGGCTCCTACAAAGTCAAAAGGGGTAGGCTCCCTGGCTTACGCTCCAGGAGTTTGGACTGAAAGGGACACTAAAAGTGTCTTCCTCTAAGTTTATGATGTTGCCCTCCTCTGGCTACAACAGTGCTCTGGCCATAAGCATCCCAGGTTCTCTGAATGATGGTGGGTATGGAAATGTTCCCAAACACAGGTATGGCGGTGTCCCCTCCCACTGTACCAATCTATGCCCAGGGCTGGAAGGTCCGTGGTGCTCTGAACTGGATTCATAAACAGTAGCATCTCCAACCACAAGTGTGGTGTCAGGCCCTCCAACAGTAGCACATGTGCTCCCGTGGGTGCCTGATAGAAAGTGGGAACATGTGTTTATTAGCCAGGTGGGCCCCAAATGCTCTGACGAGGTGCAGAAAGAGGACTCTTTGTCACAGTTGTGCTGTGCCCTCCCATTGCAACACATGTGCTCTGAACAGGTGGAGCCCAGGTGCTTTGCATGTAGGCGGACACAAGAGGGCCTCTAAGCACAAGTGTGGTGTTGGAACCCTCAAGGCTACCGATGCATTCTGGCCAGGTGTGTCCCAGGTGGTCTGACTATAGACAGCAACAGAATTATCTCCAGCACCGTTATAGAGATACCCGTCCAACTGATGTGCTCTAGCGGGATGGGACCCGGGTGATCCGAACACAAGGAGGAACAGAAGTTTATTCTGATATATGCTCCTTCTTAGCGATGTTATCTCCTTCAATAGTAACAGGTATGCTTTGGCTGGGTGGGCCTCAGTCACTCTGTAGCCAGGAAGGAAAGGGCTCCCAAAACAGATTTCTGCTCCGTAGAGCTGATCTTCCCTCATTGCAACAGGGATGCTATAGGCAGGCAGGACCTGGTGCTCAGGTCTAAGCCCTTCCTAGAATAAGTTGTGGTTCTGAGTGTTGTCAGCCCTTCTGCAGATTTCAATGACCCCTGACAAGGAGCCAGGGTTTGGGACAGACACAATGACTGCAAACCTGCCACCACCCAAAGGGGCTTAGATATTGATGGTGCATGGCACTGCTGCAGTGGCCCTTTATCTTGATCCCCTTTTTTTTTGAGACGGAGTTTCGCTCTGTCGCCCAGGCTGGAGTGCAGTGGCGCGATCTTGGCTCACTGCAAGCTCCGCCTCCAGGGTTCATGCCATTCTCCTGCCTCAGGCCTCCACCTCTCAGGTTCAAGCGATTCTCCCGCCTCCGCCTCTGCCTCCTGGGTTCAAGCAAACCTCCGTCTCCTGGATCCAAGTGATTCTCCTGCCTCAGCCTCCCAAGTAGCTGGGACTACAGGTGTGCGCAACCACGCCCAGCTAATTTTTGTATTTTTAGTAGAGATGGGGTTTCACCATGTTGGCCAGGCTGGTCTCGAACTCCTGACCTCAGGTGATCTGCGCGCCTCGGCCTCCCAAAGTGCTGGGATTACAGGCGTGAGACACCATGCCCGGCCCTCAGTCTCTTTTAAGCAAGGATCAGGGGAGTAATCAGATGGCCCATATAGCGCTCCTGCTATTGAAGGAGCGCAGATGTCGCTCAGATAGCGACAGGAAGAGAAGTCAGTTTCCCCCTGCAGGTAGGATCAGTACTTTTCCTAAGTGGCTGCACTTCTTTGAGGTGCAAGCATACAGTGCTGTCTTTCTGAGAGCCCTGGCATGACACCAAGGGGAGGCCCCCTTCTGATGTAAACACTGAGCTTGCTGGGTTGCATAAGGCCTCTCAGGGGTGATATAAACCGAGGGGGTAAAGGTGACCGTGTTGCTCCCAGGAACTGTTTTCAGAAGATGCACAGGTGCAGCAGGAGGATTCCTGCCAGAAGCAGGAACAGAGAGGGCAGGGAGAAAAAGGAGGATGGTGGCCTGGGGGCCAGGCGGGGTGAGGCTTACTGAGGAAGTTGTCCGTGAAGAGCAGTTTGTGTGCTGTCTGACACTGAGAGTCTAGTAAGAAATTTGGAGAGGTCTCCTAGCTGCATGTTCCTCCAAGGCAAACCATGCTGGATGTTTGTGACATGTCATTGGAACACACACCAGAGAAAGTGTGTGCTAGAGCAGAGAGGGAAGACAAGGCACCAAAGGACAAAGGGGAATCCCAGCAGGACTTTTGAGAGCTTGAGACAGCTCATGCTCTTTGCAGGTGCTTGGCACCAGGTGTGCCCGATGACATGGAAAAGCATCCAGGACTGTGTATTATAGGACCCCACATAACTGTCACCCCCAGATCACCAGGTCTGCAGGCTCCTCAGCATCTAACCTAGGGGCAGCAACTAGTGCCTGTGAGTCTCCTAGCCCTTTTCTCTGGGGTTATTGGAGGTCAGAGGTCAGAGCGCCCTAGATCCTGCCAGGAAGGGGCCCTGGCTCACAGGAGGTCAGGGTAGGAGAGGTGGGGGTGTGGCCAGCAGGGATCAACTCTGTCTCATGCCATTACTGGTGCACCCAGGTGGCCCAGCAGGGCTGCAGCTGCAAGACACGTGCTCTGATGGGGAGGAGAGACCAAGCAGTGTGGGGCGTGATTTGCCCTGACCTCTTCCTTTCAGGCAACCTCTGCAGAGGACACTAGTTTACCCCCACAATGTCCCCTTCCCATGTGGTAGCTCAGGGTTACCACACACTGTTTCCTCCAGGGATCCCTCTAGGGCCTCTCAAGTCTTGGAGCAGGCATATCTTCTCTGTGGCCACCCAGGAAGGTGTGGGTCCATGGGCATGAGATGTGAGTCCAGCTGGGCTGTGAAGGTTTCTGAGATGGGTACTTGGCACCCCAATTTTCCCAGGTCCTGCACCCCATACCATCCCTTCCAGGCAAGCAGATCTTCCCTCTTTTAACAAATTTTTCGAATTGCAAACAGCATTTAGGACTTTGCGCCTTCCTCAGGTCACCCATGTGGGCGTAAGGGAGAGTCAGGATTTGAACTCAGACTGTCTGATTCCAGAGTTTATCCATTGACCACCTGACAGTGGTGATGCCTCATCATGTGTGTCACGTATTTACATTTTTAAATAGTCCTTAGGGTACTTAGCACCATGTACACCTGTCATGAGAGTGTTCACTGCCTGCATCAGAAGATGCAGGGTGGAGAGCACCAATTGTCAGCACAACCATATTGGGCATTTCTCTGCTAAATGAGTCTTGCACAAACCACACAGCTGTCTGTGAACTATCTTCTCCCAGGTACAGGACAGGAGACCACTTAGGTGCAAGATACACTCTGTCTTAAGAGCCTTATGCTCCAAGGACACCAACATCTCTTGTGACAATTCCATAGACCTACTTTTTAGGATCCTGGCTGAAATTGGCAATTTACTGATATCAAATAGTGTACTCTATCAGGATGGTAAATAGTTCCTTATATTTAGAACTCTTTTTTTTTTTTGGACAGAGTTTCACTCTTGTTGCCCAGGCTGGAGTGCAATAGTGCAATCTCAGCTCCCTATAGCCTCCACCTCCCGGGTTCAAGTGATTATCCTGCCTCAGCCTCTCGAGTAGCTGGGACTACAGGCATGCACCACTATGCCCAGCTAATTTTGTATTTTTAGTAGACACTGGGTTTCACCACGTTGGTCAGGCTGGTCTCGAACTCCTGACCTCAGGTGATCCACCTACCTCAGCTTCCCAAAAGCGTGAGCCACCGCGCCCGGCCTTTAGAATGCTTTAATTTTCTCTCAGAGACTATTTTGTGGTTGGGAATGACAAATTACAGTTCATGAGCTGAATTCTTTCCAGTCTGTTTCTGTAATGCCAATAACCTTAGAATGGTGATAAGAGTTTTCAAAGTTTGTAGAAAAGAGGAAAGGAAAAAAGGAAGAAAAACAGAGGAAAATATGCAACAGAGACCATATGCAATCTTCAGAGCCTATAATATCTACTATCTGGTCCTTTACAGAAAAATTTGCCTCTTTTGTGATTTTCAGTGTATAAGTCTTGTACAGTATTTACTAATTTATCCTTATGTGTTTTATAAGTTTTTTGTATGCTATCGTAAATGGTATCTTTTACATTTTAGTTTTCAGTATTCACCACTGGAAAATACAGTTGATTTTTATATATTCACCTTGTATGCTAGAACTTTGCTAAATTCACTCTTTACTTTTAATAGTTTCTTTGTGAATTCCTTAGGATATTCTATGTTCACAGTCATGTTTTCTATGAACAAAGAGAGTTTTGCTTCTTCCTTTTTATCCTGTATGCCTTTTATTTTTATTTCTTACCCTTATATTTGCTACAACCTCCAGTAAAATGTTGAGAAAAAGTAGAGATGTAGACATAGTTTGCCAGTCCCTGATCTTAGGGGAAAAGTATTCAACACGGAATTGAGTCAAAGTTTGTGGCATATGCACTTAATCACTCAAAAGACATATCCTCTAATTCCTAGTTTGCTAAAAGATGTAAGATTGTGTTAATTTCTTTGCCCATTTTGTTAATTTCTTTTAGTTCCCACATCTGAGGGAGAACATGTAGTATTTATCTTTCTGTGCCTGACTTATTTCGCTTAACACAATGTTCTCCAGGCTCATCCATTTGCCACAAATGACATGGTTTTATTTTTTTAACGACTGAATAGTATTCCATTGTGTATACATAATGCATTTTCTTTATCCATTATCTGTTGGTGGACATTTAGATTGATTCCATATCTTAGCTATTGTGATAAGTGCTTCAATAAAGATAGGGGTGCTAACCAAGCACACAGGCTTAATTAGCTTGACAATTCTTACACAAAGTAGAGATTTCCGAAAGACACCACATTCATTGAGTAAATTAGGAAAACTAAAACCTGCCTGGCAAGAATGATGAAGAGGCATATCTGTGGAGGCTTTGGATCTTGGTGGAAAAAATTAAAAGGAAAGAAATCTCTCCCTTGAAATTCTTAACCAAAGTCTCTACCTTCTGGAGTTAGACATCATATTATCCAAACAATTCCATATCAATCATTTTGTGTAAAGTAGTACTGAGTTGGTAGTGGCCCCATATATTACATCTATACCCACAAAAGAATTTTTTAAGGACACATGGGTACCTCTGTCACTTGTCATCTGGTTCTCAGTGTTGACATGGAGCAATTTGTAATCTAAAAAACCTGCAGTCTTATCTAACAATACTCAGGTCCTAGGGAAATATTTCTCCATATCTCTTGCAATGAGCCTGGTGTGGTGGTGCACCTGTAGTCCCAGATACAGAGATGAAAGGATCACTTGAGCCCAGGAGTTTGAATCCAGCCTGGGCAACATAGAAAGACCCTATCTCTTAAAAAAAAAAAAAGGCAATGAAAGAAATTGAAAAGGAAACAAACAAGTGTCAAGACATCCCATGCTCATGTATTGGAATAATTAATAATGTTAAAATTAGCATACTACCCAAAGCAATCTATAGAATCAATGCAATCCCTATCAAAATATCAATGACATTTTTCACAGAAACAGAAAAAGAATTCTAAAATTCATATAGAACCAAAATATCCCAAATAGCCAAAGCAATGCTGAGCAAAAATGACAAATGTAGAGGCATCACATTTCCTAACTTCAAAATATACAACAAAGCTATAGAAACCAAAACAGAGTGGCATTGGTATGAAAGGGGAAACATAGACTAATGGAACACAATAGAGAACCCAGACATAAATCCGTATATTTACAACCAACTGATTTTTGACAAAGTGCCAAGAACATACATTGGGGAAAGGACAATGTCCTCAATAAATGGTGCTGGGAAAACTGAATATCCGTATGCAGAAGAATGAAACCAGATGCCTATTTCTCACCACACAAAAAATCAACTAAAAATGGATTAAAGGCTGTAAGACCCAAACTAGAAAACCACTAAAAGAAAACATAGGAGAAATGCTTTAGGACATTAGTTTAGGCAAAGATTTCATGGCTAAGACTTCAAAAGCACAGGCAACAAACATATAGACAAGTGGCAATATATTAAACCGAAAAGTTCCTGCCCAGAAAAGTAAACAATCAGCAGAGTGAGGAGACAGCCTGTAGAATAGGAGAAAATCTTTGCAAACTATTCATCTGACAAGAGACATATCCAGAGTATACAAGGAACACAAACAACTCAACAGCAAAAACTCAAATCATCCAACTAAAAGGTGGTCTATAAATTGAATAGATATTTCTGAAAAGAAGATATACAAATGACCAACAGGTATATGAAAAATGCTCAATATCGCTAATCATCAGGGAAATGAAAATCAAAAGCACAATGAAATGTCATCTCACCCTGGTTAGAATGGCTGAAAGAAAGAAAAAATAAATGCTGGTGATGCTGCAGAGAAAAGAGAAATCTTTTTTTTTGTTTTTTGAGACGGAGTCTCACTCTATTGCCCAGGGTGGAGTACAATGATGTGAACTCAGCTCACAGCAACCCCTGCCTCCTGGGTTCAAGTGATTATCCTGCCTCAGCCTCCTGAGTAGCTGGGATTACAGGTGTCTGCCACCACACCCAGCTATTTTTGTGTGTGTGTATTTTAGTAGAGATGGGGTTTCACCATGTTGGCCAGGCTGGTCTTGAACTCCTGACCTCAAGTGACCTGCCCTAGTCGGCCTCCCAAAGTGCTGGGATTACAGGAGTGAGCCACCATGCCCAGCCAGAGAAAAGGAAACTCTTATACACTGTTGGTGGAATGTAAATTAGTACAGCCATTTACTAATACAGTATGGAGGTTTCTAAAAAAAAAATAAAAATAGAATTACTATATGATCCAGGTATCCCACCACTAGATATTTGTCTAAAGAAATGGAAATCACTGTATAAAAGGGATACCTGGGAGGGGTTCCAAGATGGCCGAATAGGAACAGCTCCAGTCTACAGCTCCCAGGGTGAGCGATGCAGAAGACGGGTGATTTCTGCATTTCCAACTGAGCTTTGAAGAGAGTAGTGGTTCTCCCAGTACGGAGTTTGAGATGTCAGAATGGACAGACTGCCTCCTCAAATGGGTCCTTGACCCCCGAGTAGCCTAACTGGGAGGCACCTCCCAGTAGGGGCTGACTGATACCTCATATGGCCCAGTGCCCCTCTGAGATGAAGCTTCCAGGAGGAACGATCAGACAGCAACATTTGCCGTTCTGCAATATTTGCTGTTCTGCAGCCTCCACTGGTGGACCTGCAGCAAACTCCAACAGACCTGCAGCTGAGGTCCTGACTGTTAGAAGGAAAACTAACAAACAGAAAGGACATCCACACCAAAACCCCATCTGAACGTCACCATCATCAAAGACCAAAGATAGATAAAACCACAAAGATGGGGAGAAACCAGAGCAGAAAAGCTGAAAATTCTAAAAATCAGAGCGCTTCCTCTCCTTCAAAGGAATGCAGCTCCTCGCCAGCGATGGAATGAAGCTGGACGGAGAATGACTTTGACTAGTTGAGAGAGGAAGGCTTCAGACAAGCAGTAATAACAAACTCCTCCGAGCTAAAGGAGGAAGTTTGAACCCATGGCAAAGAAGCTAAAAACCTTCAAAAAAGATTAGATGAATGGCTAACTAGGATAAACAGCGTAGAGAAGACCTTAAATGACCTGATGGAGCTGAAAACTATGGCATGAGAACTACGTGATGCATGCACAAGCTTCACTAGCCGATTTGATCAACTGGAAGAAAGGGTGTCAGTGATTGAAGATCAAATGAATGAAATGAAGCGAGAAGAGAAGTTTAGAGAAAATAGAGTAAAAAGAAATGAACAAAGCCTCCAAGAAATATAGGACTATGTGAAAAGACCAAATCTACGTCTGATTGGTGTACCTGAAAGTGATGGGGAGAATGGAATCAAGTGGAAAACACTCTTCAGGATATTATCAAGGAGAACTTCCCCAACCTAGCAAGGCAGGCCAACATTCAAATTCAGGAAATACAGAGAATGCCACAAAGATACTCCTCAAGAAGAGCAACTCCAAGACACATAATCATCAGATTCACCAAAGATGAAATGAAGGAAAAAATGTTAAGGTCAGCCAGAGAGAAAGGTCGGGTTACTCACAAAGGGAAGCCCATCAGACTAACAGCAGATCTCTTGGCAGAAACTCTACAAGCCAGAAGAGAGTGGGGACCAATATTTGACATTCTTAAAGAAAAGAATTTTCAACCCAGAATTTCATATCCAGCCAAACTAAGCTTCATAAGTGAAGGAGAAATAAAATCCTTTACAGACAAGCAAATGCTGAGAGATTTTGTCACCACCAGGCCTGCCCTACAAGAGCTCCTGAAGGAAGCACTAAACATGGAAAGGAACAACTGATATCAGCCACCGTGAAAACATGTCAAATTGTAAGACCATTGATGCTAGGAAGAAACTGCATCAACTAACGAGCAAAATAACCAGCTAACATCATAATGACAGGATAAAATTCACACATAACAATATTAACCTTAAATGTAAATGGCTACAGACACAGATTGGCAAATTGGATAAAGAGTCAAGACCCATCAGTGTGCTGTATTCAGGAGACCCATCTCAGGTGCAGAGACACACATAGGCTCAAAACAAAGGGATGGAGGAAGATCTACCAAGCAAATGGAAAACAAAAAAAAAGCAGGGGCTGCAATTCTAGTCTCTGATAAAACAGACTTTAAACCAACAAAGATCAAAAGAGACAAAGAAGGCCATTACATAATGGTAAAGGGATCAATTCAACAAGAAGAGCTAACTATCCTAAATATATATATGCACCCAATACAGGAGCACCCAGATTCACAAAGCAAGTCCTTAGAGACCTACAAAGAGACTTAGACTCCCACACAATAATAATGGGAGACTTTAACACCCCACTGTCAACATTAGACAGATCAATGAGACGGAAAGTTAAAAGGATGTCCAGGAATTGAATTCAGCTCTGCACCATGCGGACCTAATAGACATCTACAGAACTCTCCACCCCAAATCAATGATATACATTCTTCTCAGCACCACACCACACCTATTCCAAAACTGACCACACAGTTGGAAGTGAAGCACTCCTCAGCAAATGTAAAAGAACAGAAATTATAACAAACTGTCTCTCAGAACACAGTGCAATCAAACTAGAACTCAGGATTAAGATACTCACTCAAGGAGGAGCCAAGATGCCCGAATAGGAACAGCTCCTGTCTACAGCTCCAGTCTACAGCTCCCAGCGTGAGCGACGCAGAAGACGGGTGATTTCTGCATTTCCAGCTGAGGTACCGGGTTCATCTCACTAGGGAGTGCCAGACAGTGGGCGCAGGTCAGTGGGAGCGAGCACCATGCGCGAGCCGAAGCAGGGCGAGGCATTGCCTCACTTGGGAAGCGCAAGGGGTCAGGGAGTTCCCTTTCTGAGTCAAAGAAAGGGGTGACGGACGGCACCTGGAAAATCGGGTCACTCCTACCCAAATACTGCGCCTTTCCGACGGGCTTAAAAAACGGCGCACCACGAGAATATATCCCGCACCTGGCTCGGAGGGTCCTACGCCCACGGAGTCTCGCTGATTGCTAGCACAGCAGTCTGAGATCAAACTGCAAGGCGGCAGCGAGGCTGGGGGAGGGGCGCCCGCCATTGCCCAGGCTTGATTAGGTAAACAAAGCAGCCAGGAAGCTCGAACTGGGTGGAGCCCACCACAGCTCAAGGAGGCCTGCCTGCCTCAGTAGGCTCCACCTCTGGGGGCAGGGCACAGACAAACAAAAAGACAGCAGTAACCTCTGCAGACTTAAATGTCCCTGTCTGACAGCTTTGAAGAGAGCAGTGGTTCTCCCAGCATGCAGCTGGAGATCTGAGAACGGGCAGACTGCCTCCTCAAGTGGGTCCCTGACCCCTGACCCCCGAGCAGCCTAACTCGGAGGCACCCCCTAGCAGGGGCACACTGACATCTCACACGGCAGGGTATTCCAACAGACCTGCAGCTGAGGGTCCTCTCTGTTAGAAGGAAAACTAACAAACAGAAAGGACATCCACACCAAAAACCCATCTGTACATCACCATCATCAAAGACCAAAAGTAGATAAAACCACAAAGATGGGGAAAAAACAGAACAGAAAAACTGGAAACTCTAAAAAGCAGAGCGCCTCTCCTCCTCCAAAGGAACGCAATTCCTCACCAGCAACGGAACAAAGCTGGATGGAGAATGACTTTGACGAGCTGAGAGAAGAAGGTGTCAGACGATCAAATTACCCTGAGCTAGGGGAAGACATTCAAACCAAAGGCAAAGAAGTTGAAAACTTTGAAAAAAATTTAGAAGAATGTATAACTAGAATAACTAATACAGAGAAGTGCTTAAAGGAGCTGATGGAGCTGAAAACCAAGGCTCAAGAACTACGTGAAGAATGCAGAAGCCTCAGGAGCCGATGCGATCAACTGGAAGAAAGGGTATCAGCAATGGAAGATGAAATGAATGAAATGAAGCGAGAAGGGAAGTTTAGAGAAAAAAGAATAAAAAGAAATGAGCAAAGCCTCCAAGAAATATGGGACTATGTGAAAAGACCAAATCTACGTCTGATTGGTGTACCTGAAAGTGATGGGGAGAATGGAACCAAGTTGGAAAACACTCTGCAGGATATTATCCAGGAGAACTTCCCCAATCTAGCAAGGCAGGCCAACGTTCAGATTCAGGAAATACAGAGAACGCCACAAAGATACTCCTCAAGAAGAGCAACTCCAAGACACATAATTGTCAGATTCACCAAAGTTGAAATGAAGGAAAAAATGTTAAGGGCAGCCAGAGAGAAAGGTCGGGTTACCCTCAAAGGGAAGCCCATCAGACTAACAGCGGATCTCTCAGCAGAAACCCTACAAGCCAGAAGAGAGTGGGGGCCAATATTCAACATTCTTAAAAGAATTTTCAACGCAGAATTTCATATCCAGCCAAACTAGGCTTCATAAGTGAAGGAGAAATAAAATACTTTACAGACACGCAAATGCTGAGAGATTTTGTCACCACCAGGCCTGCCTTACAAGAGCTCCTGAAGGAAGCACTAAACATGGAAAGGAACAACCAGTCCCAGCCGCTGCAAAATCATGCCAAAATGTAAAGACCATCGAGACTAGGAAGAAACTGCATCAACTAACGAGCAAAATAACCAGCTAACATCATAATGACAGGATCAAATTCACACATAATAATATTAACTTTAAATGTCAATGTACTAAATGCTCCAATTAAAAGACACAGACTGGCAAATTGGATAAAGAGTCAAGACCCATCAGTGTGCTGTATTCAGGAAACCCATCTCATGTGCAGAGTCACACATCGGCTCAAAATAAAAGGATGGAGGAAGATCTACCAAGCCAATGGAAAACAAAAAAAGGCAGGGATTGCAATCCTAGTCTCTGATAAAACAGACTTTAAACCAACAAAATTCAAAAGAGACAAAGAAGGCCATTACATAATGGTAAAGGGATCAATTCAACAAGAAGAGCTAACTATCCTAAATATATATGCACCCAGTATAGGAGCACCAAGATTCATAAAGCAAGTCCTGAGTGACCTACAAAGAGACTTAGACTCCCACACATTAATAATGGGAGACTTTAACACCCCACTGTCAACATTAGACAGATCAATGAGACAGAAAGTCAAGAAGGATACCCAGGAATTGAACTCAGCTCTGCACCAAGCAGACCTAATAGACATCTACAGAACTCTCCACCCCAAATCAACAGAATATACATTTTTTTCAGCACCACACCACACCTATTCCAAAATTGACCACATAGTTGGAAGTAAAGCTCTCCTCAGCAAATGTAAAAGAACAGAAATTATAACAAACTATCTCTCAGACCACAGTGCAATCAAACTAGAACTCAGGATTAAGAATCTCACTCAAAACCGCTCAACTACATGGAAACTGAACAACCTGCTCCTGAATGACTACTGGGTACATAATGAAATGAAGGCAGAAATAAAGATGTTCTTTGAAACCAACGAGAACAAAGACACAACATACCAGAATCTCTGGGATGCATTCAAAGCAGTGTGTAGAGGGAAATTTATAGCACTAAATGCCCACAAGAGAAAGCAGGAAAGATCCAAAATTGACACCCTAACATCACAGTTAAAAGAACTAGAAAAGCAAGAGCAAACACATTCAAAAGCTAGCAGAAGGCAAGAAATAACTAAAATCAGAGCAGAACTGAAGGAAATAGAGACACAAAAAACCCTTCAAAAAATTAATGAATCCAGGAGCTGGTTTTTTGAAAGGATGAACAAAAGTGATAGACCACTAGCAAGACTAATAAAGAAAAAAAGAGAGATGAATCAAATAGACGCAATAAAAAATGATAAAGGGGATATCACCACCGATCCCACAGAAATACAAACTACCATCAGAGAATACTACAAACACCTCTACGCAAATAAACTAGAAAATCTAGAAGAAATGGATAAATTCCTCGACACATACACTCTCCCAAGACTAAACCAGGAAGAAGTTGAATCTCTGAATAGACCAATAACAGGAGCTGAAATTGTGGCAATAATCAATAGCTTACCAACCAAAAAGAGTCCGGGACCAGATGGATTCACAGCCGAATTCTACCAGAGGTACAAGGAGGAACTGGTACCATTCCTTCTGAAACTATTCCAATCAATAGAAAAAGAGGAAATCCTCCCTAACTCATTTTATGAGGCCAGCATCATTCTGATACCAAAGCCTGGCAGAGACACAATCAAAAAAGAGAATTTTAGACCAATATCCTTGATGAACACTGATGCAAAAATCCTCAATAAAATACTGGCAAAACGAATCCAGCAGCACATCAAAAAGCTTATCCACCATGATCAAGTGGGCTTCATCCCTGGGATGCAAGGCTGGTTCAATATACGCAAATCAATAAATATAATCCAGCATATAAACAGAGCCAAAGACAAAAACCACATGATTATCTCAATAGATGCAGAAAAAGCCTTTGACAAAATTCAACAACCCTTCATGCTAAAAACTCTCAATAAATTAGGTATTGATGGGACGTATTCCAAAATAATAAGAGCTATCTATGACAAACCCACAGCCAATATCATACTGAATGGGCAAAAACTGGAAGCATTCCCTTTGAAAACTGGCACAAGACAGGGATGCTCTCTCTCACCACTCCTATTCAACATAGTGTTGGAAGTTCTGGCCAGGGCAATTAGGCAGGAGAAGGAAATAAAGGGTATTCAATTAGGAAAAGAGGAAGTCAAATTGTCCCTGTTTGCAGACGACATGATTGTATATCTAGAAAACCCCATTGTCTCAGCCCAAAATCTCCTTAAGCTGATAAGCAACTTCAGTAAAGTCTCAGGATACAAAATCAATGTACAAAAATCACAAGCATTCTTATACACCAACAACAGACAAACAGAGAGCCAAATCATGAGTGAACTCCCATTCACAATTGCTTCAAAGAGAATAAAATACCTAGGAATCCAACTTACAAGGGATGTGAAGGACCTCTTCAAGGAGAACTACAAACCACTGCTCAAGGAAATAAAAGAGGATACAAACAAACGGAAGAACATTCCATGCTCATGGGTAGGAAGAATCAATATCGTGAAAATGGCCATATTGCCCAAGGTAATTTACAGATTCAATGCCATCCCCATCAAGCTACCAATGACTTTCTTCACAGAATTGGAAAAAACTACTTTAAAGTTCATATGGAACCAAAAAAGAGCCCGCATCGCCAAGTCAATCCTAAGCCAAAAGAACAAAGCTGGAGGCATCACACTACCTGACTTCAAACTATACTACAAGGCTACAGTAACCAAAACAGCATGGTACTGGTACCAAAACAGAGATATAGATCAATGGAACAGAACAGAGCCCTCAGAAATAACGCCGCATATCTACAACTACCTGATCTTTGACAAACCTGAGAAAAACAAGCAATGGGGAAAGGATTCCCTATTTAATAAATGGTGCTGGAAAAACTGGCTAGCCATATGTAGAAAGCTGAAACTGGATCCCTTCCTTACACCTTATACAAAAATCAATTCAAGATGGATTAAAGACTTAAACGTTAGACCTAAAACCATAAAAACCCTAGAAGAAAACCTAGGCATTACCATTCAGGACATAGGCATGGGCAAGGACTTCATGTCTAAAACACCAAAAGCAATGGCAACAAAAGCCAAAATTGACAAATGGGATCTAATTAAACTAAAGATCTTCTGCACAGCAAAAGAAACTACCATCACAGTGAACAGGCAACCTACAAAATGGGAGAAAATTTTCGCAACCTACTCATCTGACAAAGGGCTAATATCCAGAATCTACAATGAACTCAAACAAATTTACAAGAAAAAAAACAAACAACCCCATCAAAAAGTGGGCGAAGGACATGAACAGACACTTCTCAAAAGAAGACATTTATGCAGCCAAAAAACCCAGGAAAATATGCTCATCATCACTAGCCATCAGAGAAATGCAAATCAAAACCACAATGAGATACCATCTCACACCAGTTAGAATGGCAATCATTAAAAAGTCAGGAAACAACAGGTGCTGGAGAGGATGTGGAGAAATAGGAACACTTTTACACTGTTGGTGGGACTGTAAACTAGTTCAACCATTGTGGAAGTCAGTGTGGCCATTCCTCAGGGATCTAGAACTAGAAATACCATTTGACCCAGCCATCCCATTACTGGATATATACCCAAAGGACTATAAATCATACTATTATAAAGACACATGCACATGTATGTTTATTGCGGCACTATTCACAATAGCAAAGACTTGGAACCAACCCAAATGTCCAACAATGATAGACTGGATTAAGAAAATGTGGCACATATACACCATGGAATACTATGCAGCCATAAAAAATGATGAGTTCATGTCCTTTGTAGGGACATGGATGAAACTGGAAACCATCATTCTCAGCAAACTATCGCAAGGACAAAACACCAAACACCGCATGTTCTCACTCATAGGTGGGAATTGAACAATGAGAACACATGGACACAGGAAGGGGAACATCACACTCCGGGGACTGTTGTGGGGTAGGGGGAGGGGGGAGGGATAGCATTAGGAGATATACCTAATGCTAAATGACGAGTTAATGGGTGCAGTACACCAACATGTCACATGTATACATATGTAACAAACCTGCACATTGTGCACATGTACCCTAAAACGTAAAGTATAATAACAAAAAAAAAGACAGGTGTAAGAAATTATAAAAGTATTAATTTTGGGAACTGATAAATGTCCATGAAATCTTCACAATTTATGTTCCTCTGCTGCAGTTCCAGCCAGTCCCTCCATTCGGGGTCCCTGACTTCCCACAACAACACACTTCATGGGGGGACATAGGGTGAACTACTACACTTCACCAACCAGCCAGGACACATTCCACACATCAAGCTCTGAGAGGGATGGCAGATGGTCATCCTCCAGGTCCAGAGCTATGCCCACTGGCAGGACATCACCAGGCACCGCATGGAGGTGATCAGCAACTTTTCCCAGCAGCACTTCCTCGGGGAGGTGGATTACCTTGTGTGTGCAGATGTGGACATGAAGTTCAACAACCATGTGGGTGTGGAGATCCTCTCTTCCCTGTTTGCCACCATCCATCCTGGCTTCTATGGGTTCCATCGGGACACCTTTGCCTATGAATGCCAGCCTCAGTCCCAAGCCCATTTTCCTGAGGGTGAAGGGGACTTTTATTATATAGGGGCCTTATTTGGTGGGTCAGTGCTGGAGGTTTACAGGCTGATCATGGCCTGTCACCAGGTGATGATGATTGACCAAGCCAACCACATCGAGGCCCTGTGGCATGACGAAAGCCTCTTAAACAAGTACCTGCTTAACCACAAACCCACTCTCCCTTGAGTACATGTGGGATTAAAAAGTCGATGGAGTATACGTTGGATGAATACCTGGTGGGTTTGTGCACCATGATAAACTGCAAGAGATCTGTGGTCTTGGTAAATAACAATGAGGAAATGTGAACTGATGAGGGAAGCTTCCAGAAAGAGACCAGAGAGGGGGTGATTGCCAGTCAGCCCGTATCTTCCTCCTGAAATGCTACCCTGATTTAAAATCAGCTTTACAATAAAGAGTATGACTCCACCTATTTTCGTCTGGTTATAAAAAATTGCTAATGCCTCTCATCATCTCCTCAAATTTAGGAGGCCCCAGCACAACCCCGCTACCACAACCACCACCCTATACACACATTTAGGCAGGCCTTATTCCACAGCTCATGCACACGTTTTTCAGTTTCACCCCCTTGAGCTTCTCACTGTGTTCTCCTAAAACACTCTTCGGGGTGGAGGAGGTGAGTGGTGTCTGCCCGTCCTGACAGATAAGGGATCTGTGATGAGATCTTTTCCAGAGCAAGGAATCAGGCCCCTTAATAAAGAAGAGTAGGCTGGGTGCAGTGACTCACGCTTGTAATTCCAGCACTTTGGGAGGTCAAGGTGGGTGGATCACCTGAGGTCAGGAGTTTGAGACCAGCGTGGCCAACACGGCAAAACGCTGTCTTTATAAAAATACAAAAATTGGCTGGGTTTGATGGCGGGCACCTGTAATCCCAGCTACTTAGGAGGCTGAGGCTGAAGAATTGCTTGAGCCTGGGAGGCGGACATTGCAGTGAGCCGAGACTGCGCCACTGCACTCCAGCCTGAGCACCAGAGTGACACTCTGGTCTAAAAAATAAAAACATAAAGAAGAGTAGATTTGTGATCTTGGCACAGAATGACTGTGTAATGCAAATCCAATCAGTGAGGCATCCAGAAATGGCTCAGAGAGGAGCGATGTCCCAGCAGCCTGACCCCTCCCCCTAGTGTGGTGTCCTAAATTGGGTTAGTCCATTTGCATTGCTATAAAGAAATGCCTGAGGCTGGGTACTTTACAAAGAAAAGGTTTACTTGGCTCATGATTCTGCAGGCTGTGCAAGCATGGCACCAGAATCTGCTCTGCTTCTGGTGAGGTTTCAAGAAGCTTCCAATCATGGTGGAAGGCAGAAGGGGAGCAGGTGTGTCACATGGCAAGAGAAGGAGTGAGAGAGTGAAGGGGGAGGACCCAGGCTCTTATAAACAACCAGCTCTCTCTCATGTGAACTACGAGTGAGAACTCATTTTTGTCATGGGGAGGGCACCAAGCCATTCATAAAAGATTCACCCCCATGACCCAAACCCTCCCACTAGGCCCAGTTCCAACACTGGGGGCCACATTGCAACATGGATTTGGAGGGAACACACATCCAAACCGTATCATAAAAGCAGTTTTCACAGAAAGCATGTAACTCTGCCTCCTTTTCCTATCTGATTGAGAAAAAAAATTCTGAGGCCTCACACCACCCCCAAATTTAGGCAGGCCTAATACGATGCCATCCTCTAGTCTCCCACCAACACCAAACACACACTTTCACACAAATAAGAAACACACTTTTTTTTTTTTTTGAGATGGAGTCTCGCTCTGTCGCCAAGCTGGAGTGCAGTGGCGCGATCTTGGCTCACTGCAACCTCTGCCTCCTGGGTTCAAGTGATTCTCCTGCCTCAGCCTCCCTCCCGAGTAGCTGGAACTACAGGTGCGTGCTACCATGCCCAGCTAATTTTTGTACTTTTAGTAGAGATGGGGTTTCGCCATGTTGGCCAGGATGGTCTCGATTTCTTGACTTTGTGATCTGCCCGCCTCAGCCTCCCAAAGTGAAGAAACACATTTAGGCAGACCTGACTTCTGGACTCAGGCTCAAGTTCCTGAGTTGCCACCACCTTGAGCTTTTTAATGTGCATTC
Source organism: Homo sapiens (assembly GCF_000001405.40). Classification (NCBI taxonomy): domain Eukaryota; kingdom Metazoa; phylum Chordata; class Mammalia; order Primates; family Hominidae; genus Homo; species Homo sapiens. The sequence continues at coordinate 34,868,799 of NC_000019.10, forward strand.
CCAGCTTCCTTCAGGGTGGATGCAGTGTGTGGTCTCAGCCCAACCTGGGATATAAGGAATCAGAGATGAGATCTATTCCAGAACAAGGAAGAGCCTCCTGGACACAGTCTCCTGCCTCCTGTGACAGTCACACAAGGGCCTGTCTCTGCCCTTGGCCAAACTGATGCACAAAGGTCTTCAGCTCTAAATCAAATTACTTCCTCTTGTTAGAGTCCTTGTAAAAGCTGAAAGGCCGTTTAGTGTGCAGAAGAACGTGATGCCAAATAAAACCCTCTTTCCTGGCACTGAAGTTCTTGTTTATCCCAAAATATTGCCAGCTGTCCACCAGGGGCAAAGCGGGTCTCTCTCACTCTCCCCCCACCCACTGATGGACTCCATGCCACCTCCATTGATCAATTTAGTAACTTATTAAGGACTTGCCAGCTCTTTAAAAACTGAAAAAAAATATATTTCTAGATGCAAATAAGAATCAATTCAAATTATTACAAAAACTTGCCTCTTAAAAAATTTGTTCATTGTCCTTCAGCAAAGGCCTGAAATCCTACATGGCAGGTATCTGAAATCCAGCATTTTCTTGTCTTGCTTTCTTTTGGACATATCAGGACAAACAGTTTGTCCATCTTTCTGTTAGGTTTTGAAGGGAAGGAAAGAGTTAAAGAAAGACGGAGAGGCTGGGTGCGCTGGCTCATGCCTGTAATCCCAGCACTTTGGGAGGCTGAGGTGAGCAGATCACGAGGTCAGGAGTTCAAGACCAGCCTGACCAATATGGTGAAACCCTGTCTCTACTAAAAATACAAAAATTATCAGGACATGGTGGCACGCGCCTGTAGTTCCAGCTACTCAGGAGGCTGAGGCAGGAGAATCGCTTGAACCTGGGAGATGGAGGTTGCAGCGAGCCAAGATTGTGCCACTGCACTCCAGCCTGGCAACAGAGCGAGACTCCATCTCAAGGAAGAAAGAAAGGAAGAAAGAAAGAAAGGAAGAAAGAAAGGAAGAAAGAAAGAAAGAAAGAGGGAGGGAGGGAGGGAGGGAGGGAGGGAGGGAAGGAAGGAAGGAAGAAGAAAGAAAGAAAGAGAAAGAAAAAGAAAGAAAGGAAGAAAGAAAAAGAAAGAGAAAGAAAGAACGAAAGAAAGAAAAGAAAGAACGAAAGAAAGAAAGAATGGCGGGCAGGAAGGAGGGAGGGAAGCAAGGAAGGAAGGAAGGAAGGAGGAGAAAGACACAGAGAGAGAGAGAGATGGTGGCTCTACTGCAATGTAGGTTTTATTTGGAGGTGGGGGACCAGCTTAATGCGAGGGCGCACTGCTGCTTACAGCTAGTGCAATTAGATGCCTGGGTAGGGGTCTGGGGGGGTATGGCTTACTACCCAGGAGGATATTGATAAGATGTTCCCATAATGAGGTGGTTTGGCCCTTTTTCTGGCAGGATGTGATAATGAGGTCCCTTGGACTTTTTTCCCAGCAAGATGTGATAAGAAATTCAGGTGGTTAGGGCGGGGTGCAGTGGCTCACGCCTGTAATCCCAGCACTTTGAGAGGCCGAGGCGGGCGGATCACGAGGTCAGGAGATCGAGGCCATCCTGGCTAACCTGGTGAAACCCCGTCTCTACTAAAAATACAAAAATTAGCCAGGCGTGGTGGCGGGCGCCTGTAGTCTCAGCTACTCAGGAGGCTGAGGCAAGAGAATGGTGTGAACCCGGGAGGCAGAGCTTGCAGTGAGCCGAGATGGCGCCACTGCCCTCCAGCCATTGCTGGAACACGAATTAAAAGAAATTAAAGAATGTGTAAGCAAAAACTCAGCTATATATAAAAAAACCCAATTCCCCCTGAGGAGGAGAAAGAGCTGGAGTCCTTCAAAATTAGCTGCCTGTTTTTCCTTCTGTGGCTAGTGAGCCTTAACTCTCCCTTTCCCAGACATTGTGAAGACCCTGTTTAGCTGTGCAGCTGCAAGGTCACTAGACAGATAATCTTAAGTCTTAATACATGTCGTTCCTTGAAAAGTAAGAAATAATGTAATGCATGTCTCAATTAAATAACTCTCTTTGTTTCTGGCTTCTGTAATATGCTTCCCCCTGCACAGATCTGCCCCCACCCCACGAAATGCTTAAAAGGTAGCTTAACTCTTTGTTCAGGGCTCAGTCCTTTGGATGTTAATCCGACTAGGTCAGTGCACTTAAATAATTAAATAATTCCTCCTCAACCCCTCGGCCTAATTCCTTAATTATCCTGCAGCAGGGTGACAGAGCGAGACTCTGTCTCAAAAAAAAAAAAAAAAAAAGAAAGTCAGGTGGTTGGGCAGAATGTTTCTCACAGCCCGAACCCCTGTGGAATGTTTCACTTTGACCAAGGTCTGTGAAATGGTGGGGGGCTTACAAAATAATGCGGTTTGGACTAATGCTTTCCTTGTTTTTCACGGCCTTGGTAGTCTTCAAGAGGCCTGGCCAGGTGGAATGCCCCCCAGTCTGAGTTTGTCTGGTGCTTCCTTACCATGAGACTGGGGTCTTGGAGTTTTGAGGTTTTGGAAAGACACCTCAGAAGTTAAGTATCTTTCTTGTCACATTGCATTAGGGGGGTACATGGTATCAATATCTCTTTTCTCTGGTGATGTAAAACTTGATCATTTGAATAATGTAGTCTTTCATGGTTTTTTTATCCACTGTAAAGTTGCTATGTGTTCCTCCCTCTACTGTAGTCTTTGGAAAGGAGTCACCAAGTCAGCCCACCCTTAAAGAGGGAGAATATTTAGTCTCCACCTCCCGGAAGAAGGAGCATCCATATGTATTATTTGCAATTTGTCTGTAAGATAGGTTTGTCTACCCCATTAAAAAGTGGGCAAAGGATATGAACATACACTTCTCAAAAAAAGACATACATATGGCCAACAAACATGGGAAAAAGAGCTCAACATTACTATCATTAAAGAATTGCAAATCAAAACCACAATGAGATACCATCTCATGCCAGTCAGAATGGCGATTATTAAAAAGTCAAGAAACAACAAATGCTGGCGAGGTTGCAGAGAAATAGGAATGCTTTTACTCTGTTGGTGGGAATGTAAATTAGTTCAACCATTGTGGAAGACAGTGTGGCAATCCCTGTAAGATTTAGGACCAGAAATACCATTTGACCCAGCAATGCCATTACTGCGTATATACCCAAAGGAATATAAATCATTCTACTGTAAAGATACATGTATGCATACATATGTTCTTTGCAGCACTATTTGCAGTAGCAAAGACATAGAATCAATCTAAATGCTCATCAATAATAGACTGGATAAAGAAAATGTGGTACATATATACCATGGAATACTATGCAGCCATAGAAAGGAATTAGATCATGTCCTTTGCAGGGACATGGATGAAGCTGGAAGCCATTATTCTCGGCAAACTAAGGCAGGAACAGAAAACCAAACACTGTATGTTCTCACTTATAAGTAGCAGCTGAACAACGAGAACATATGGACAGGGGGAGGGGATTAACACACACTGGGCCCTGTCAGGGGAGGGTGTGAGGGGAGAGCATTAGGGAAAAGAGCTAATGCATGCTGGGCTTAATACCTGGATGATGGGTTGATAGGTGCAACAAACCACCCTGGCACACGTTTATTTATGTAACAAACCTCCACATCCTGCACATGTACCCCGGAACTTAAAAAATAAATAAAATAATTATTTTTAAAAAGATATATTTGCCTCTTCTTGGCTGAGTGTGGTGGCTCATGCCTGTAAATCCAGCACTTTGGGAGGCCAAGGCAGGCGGATCACTTGAGTCCAGGAGTTTAAGACCAGCCTGGCCAACATGGTGAAATCCCATTTCTACTAAAAATACAAAAATTAGCCAGGTGTGGTGGCTTGCACCTGTAATCCCAGCTACTTAGGAAGCTGAGGCATGAGAATAGTTTGAACCCAGGAGGTGGAGTTTGCAGTGAGCTGAGATCGCGCCACTGCACTCCAGCCTGGGCGGCAGAGCGAGACTGTCTCAAAAAAAAAAAAAAATTTGTCCTTTCTTTCTTGTTTACTTATTCATTTATTTATTTATATAGTTATGGACTTATGTGTCTTATTTTAAACTTTGGGTATTAATCCAATAACTTTGGGTTATTTTGGTGTGCATATCTTTCCAGCTTGGGCCATTAGGAGCTCTTCAAAGAAGATTTCTTTCTGTCAGAGGATTTTTGTTTTGTTTTGTTTTGTTTGAGACAGGGTCTCACCTTGTTGCCCAGGCTGGAGTACAGTGGCGTGATCTTGGCTCACTGCAACCTCCGCCTCCTGGGTTCAAGCGATTCTCTTGCATAGCCTCTCAAGTAGCTGGGACTACAGGGGCACATCACTACGCCAAGCTAATTTTTGTATTTTTTGTAGATATGGGGTTTCACCATGTTGCCCAGGCTGGTCTCAAACTCCTGGGCTCAAGCAATCCACCTGCCTCGGCCTCCCAAAGTGCTAGGATTACAAGCGCACCTGTCAGAGTTTTCAGGGACGTGGATGAAGCTGGAAGCCATTATTCTATCTTGTTTGTGCCATCACACTCCTCTCCTAGGGTAGAAGGTAAAGTTCCACCCTTGAGAGAGTTTCAACAGAGCCAAGTTTCTGGTCTGTAGGCCCTCAGGTCCCGTAGTGACCTCTGGGAAGTGAGGCGGGGGAGGGCAGCTGATCACAGGGGGTCCCTCAGAGCCTCTGGTGCAGGTCGTGAGTCACACACACTCCGCTCGCTGGCATTTCTGGACAGCCTCTAAAGCTCAAGCCCACTTAGGGTCATGTTCGCCAATGGAAAAAGGCGAGACTGCCAGAAGGGATGAGACTGGCTCCCCTAGGAATCAAGAACTCCCAAGAATTTGTTCCTTTAAGAGTGAGCAGAAAGTTGCTGGCAGAATTTGACAACTGAATTGTGGTAGGTAGAATGGAGCATGACCAGCCCTGGAGTCAACCAATATGGCTGCAAGTCCTGGAACTTCCCTGGCAGTGATGGGCTCAGAGGCCAAAAGATAGCATCCACCTGGCCTTGAGGCCTGATGCGGAGGATGCAGCTGGTAAGATGTTCAGGGGGCCCTGGTCAGGCCCACATCCCCCATACTTTCCTCCAGGACTCAAACTAAGGCCAAAGCCAGTTTTCTCTGACCGGCCTGTTGTGGTGTACACCTGTCCTTGCCTCCCCACTGACTTTTAGCTCCACATTTTGGGTGAGTCTTGCATGGGAAGTTAGTACAGGTGGGAGAAGGATGTGACCAGGATGCAAAGGTGACAGTCGGGGCTGGGAAAACATAACGATTTTAATGTTTCTAAAACGGAGCTGACAGACAATTCACAGGACGAGGAGGTTTCTTCACAGAAACCCAAACTCAGATGCTGCCCCTCTCTGGGTTCAGCCCCAGCATGCCCTCAAGCACCTCGCATCTCCTTCCTGCCCCAGCCCGGGCAGGCGCTCATTCTCCTGTTACTGGGTCATGAGGGAGCCGTCCTCATCCTAATCTGTCTGACATTAGCCCCGTCTCCACACTGGGCTGGTTCTCACTGAGGTCTGCACGGAATGACCAAGGAGAAGATTTCATCCTTGCAGATGAGGAGTGGGTGATCCTGGGGAATGGGAACCCTGCTGTGGGCCCAGGACTTTTGCAGGAGCCCTTTGGTCCTCCTAGTCAGACTTTCTGATTTAGTTTTCACCAGGCTGATTCCAGTAAAACAACTGCAACTCAACTCTCAGAGCCCAGGGACGGTGTCCTGTGTGTGGCGCGTGGGAGGCCCAGCAGGAGATCTTGGGACATGGTGAGGGGTTGTGACACGTGAGGCCATTGAGAACATGTGGACTGGAATTAGGCAGAGCCAGGATAGGTCTAGGCCCTGCCGCTGACTAGCTGTAGGATCATAGGTAAGCCGTTTTATCTTTCTGAAGCTCTGTCCTCATTTGTAAAATGAGGACCCAGCTAAATAACATACATGTCACCCCAGGATTCATCAGCCTTGGGAGGTTACAATGACATCAACAGCCATAGAAAGCCTTTCTCTGGCTCTGCCTTTATTGGAGCTGCAGAGTCTGCAGGCCCTGGAAGGCCTGGTTGAAAAGTGACTCTAGAAATGACCTGCATGAGCTCATCACAAGCCCTTTTAATTTAATCTCTTCGTAGCGTCTGTGATTTTCTGCTATTTTCCTGAGGAGGCTGAAATTTCTGCAAAGACGCTCTCCATAGATGCTGAGCATAGAGGCTTCGGTTGCTTCTGCATTCTACTACTGGGACCAGGACTCCCACCTAGTCTTGGCCCAGGAGGAAGGAAGAAAGAGAGTGGAGGGAGAAGCTAACGTAGAGGGAGTGTTGGTGTCAGGTACTTGTAGGATCTGCCACCTGGGGCAAATTACAAGATGCCACTGAGCCTACTTCCAAATGCATCGAACAGGGCCACTTTATCTCCCAGCAGGCCAGTCATGGGGCTAAGGTGTAGAGACTAGGTTAGGTGAGTTGTGTGTGACTGAAAGACAGAAACCAGGTTTCACCTGCACTTTTACAGAGAGTAGAGCAGTGCCAGGCTCCAGTGAGTATGGCCCACAAAAAAGTGGGAAAATAAGTAGTGTCTCTATTGTCTGAGTCTTGCTGGCATAATTAGGTCTCATGCAGAGAGTTAAACTTGGGACTTGGGGCTAAGAGGCCTGAGGCTTGAGTTCCGGCCCTCGTCTGACCTGCTGGACAAACCCAGGCATTGTGCTTCATTTGTTTACTCATTTTAAAGCTTGATTTTACATCTACCAAGTGCTGGGCACTCTGCTAGACTTAACATTAGATGTACATATTATACTGAAAGGTACAGCATTTTACTGAGAAGTACAACATGAAATTTGAACAGATGAAGAACTAAATTGCGCTCTTGTATGGCGTGAGTCCACCTTGTAGGGATGTTAACTCTTCCCAGCTCATCTTTGTTTCAAAGGAAATTAATCAAGTTTATCCAAAAGAATAAATGCTTGAAATCAGTCAAGAAAACTTAGTGTCTGGGATTTACATGAGGAAGAATTCAAAGGTTGCGTGGATTAGAAAGGGAGGCATCCAGAATGATGAGGAAATCAGGAGTAGATGAAAATATCTATTATTTGGCAACCCTAATAAGGTATAATAAATATTAAAGAAACAAGTGACACAGTTTTTACCTGTCAAATTTGAAAAATAAAAATATATTCTGAGCACATAATTTCATAAAGAAGAGTACATATATCTCCACACTCACATACTCTTGTGGGGATGAAAATAGATGTCGTCATTTAAAGGAATATTAAACTTTAAGAAAGTTTTGGCTGGACATGGTGGCTCACGCCTGTAATCCCAGCACTTTGGGAGGCCAAGACGGGCGGATCATGAGGTCAGGAGATTGAGACTATCCTGGCTAATATGGCGAAACCCCATCTCTACTAAAAATACAAAAAAAAAAAAAAAAAAAAAAAAAAGCTGGGCACGGTGGCGGGCGCCTGTAGTCCCAGCTACTCGGGAGGCTGAAGCAGGAGAATGGCGTGAACCCGGGAGGCGGAGCTTGCAGTGAGCCGAGATCGCCCCACTGCACTCCCGCCTGGGGGACAGAGCAAGACTCCGTCTCAAAAAAAAAAAAAAAAGAAAGAAAAAAGAAAAAAGAAAAGAAAGTTTTTACCTTATCATTAAATAGTTATTTCATAAATACATCATTTCAAAAATTATCTCATAAATAAATCCTAAGAAAATAAACATAGCAAAATTAAAAGAAACCTACTTAAAAGTGAAATAATAAGAATGGTGGGACGTATTTGTAGTCATTGAAAATAATGCTTTTGAAGACCATTTAAAGATGTGAAACATGCTAATGTAAAATAAACATAAAATGTAAAAGACAAAGTATGAAACTTAATATTTATTTTAATTTAAAAATTAGAATACATATGTATTGACAAAGGTAAAACAGATGAAACTGTGAGATCATCTATGGTAGTGGGATTCTGGAAAATTGTTGTTTTCCTTTTTTTTCAACCTTTTTGTATTTTCTCAGTTTTAATTGAGCTTGTGTTACTTTTACAGTTTGAAAAGAAAAAGGGGGCGGGGAGAAAAAACCACCACCGGCAAGACAGTGGGAGGGAAAAAAATCAGTAATCTATTTTTATGCAGACACCAGGCATTTTCTGTTTGAGGTTAATTACCAAGTTTATTTAACTAGAATTCCATTCTAATCAAATGTTCATCTGTGAGAATGTCCTGATATATTTTCTTCTGTTTTAATCTTCTGCTAGTGACATATTATAACAATGTATGTAAGATACTGAACAAGAAAGAGAAAAAGGCAGTCCTTGGGTTTGGTGCACACGAACAAATGACAGTTAACAATTTAAACCAAATAGGCCGGGCGCGGCGACTCACGCCTGTAATCCCAGCACTTTGGGAGGCCGAGGCGGGCGGATCACAAGGTCAGGAGATCGAAACCATCCTGGCTGACACGGTGAAACCCCGTCTCTACTAAAAATACAAAAAAATGGCCGGGTGTGGTGGCGAGCACCTGCCTGTAGTCCCAGCTACTCGGGAGGCTGAGGCAGGAGAATGGCTTGAACCCGGGAGGCGGAGCTTGCAGTGAGCCGAGATCGCGCCACTGCACTCCAGCCTAGGCGACAGAGCAAGACTCCCTCTCAAAAAAAAAAAAAAAAAAAAAATTTAAAAACCAAATTAATTCAATAGGATTTTGTGCTTTGCGCTTCCCCTGGTCTCCACAGAACTGTGACACAGCGTACTGAGGAAACTCTTTGCCTTACACTAAACCTCACAGGTCCTGAACAATCAAGAGCTTTGAGAAGATACACAACTCTGACGGCTTCTGGAGAGAGCATGTCTCTCTTTCCCCTGGGCTCCATGCCAGCTTGCCAGAATTTTTACAATTTGTTTTCCTCATTTTTCTAATTATGTTTCCTCCTGAAAGTGATTATAGATAGAATTCATTTGTATTTGTGGAGACTTCTTTATCAGATCAGCAAGTTTTCCTTTTTTTACGAGTTAATACTTTCATCTTTAGGGTTCTCAGGGAATACACAGCATATGTCAAAACAAAAATGAGATGAAAATTCCTAGGTAATTTTTTTTTTACTTTTATTTTAAGTTCATGGGTACATATGCAGGTTTGTTACATACGTAAACTCGTGTCACGTGGGTCTGTTGTACAGATTATTTTGTCACCCAGGTACCAAGCCTAGTACCCAATTGTTACTTTTTCTAATCCTCTCCCTCCTGCCACCCTCCACCTTCCAATAGGCTCCAGTGTGTGTTATTCCCCTCTTTGTGTCCGTGTGTTCTCATCATTTAGCTACCACTTATAAGTAAGAGCATGCGGTATTTGGTTTTCTGTTCCTGCATTAGTTTGCTAAGGATAATGGCCTCCAGCTCCATCCATGTTCCCATAAAGGACACAATCTTATTCTTTTTTGATGACTGCGTGGTATCCCATATTTTCCATCATATGTATCACATTTTATTTATCCAGTCTGCCATCGATGGACATTTAGGTTGATTCCATTTCTTTACTACTGTGGAGTGCTGCAATGAATACATGTGTGCATGTGTCTTTATGGTAGAATGATTTATATCCCTTTGGGTAGATATCCTTACTGGGTTATTTATGCCTACCACCAGGCAAAAATAAAATAAAGAAAAGGGCTTCAGACGTTAAAGACTTATCAATAGACCTTTTTTATATGAATGTGTATGGCTGTGTGTGTGTCTCAATATACTGTTGCACTGGAGCTGCTGCTGGTTTTTTTAAATTCACAAGCCCCTTTCACATGAAAACAGTGTTATGGTTGGGTTTCCACAAAGATCTATTCATATCTGAAGTATATCTCTCTATTTTAAAAACGTTTTTATTGCTAAATAAGGCACATACGCCAAGAAGAGAAGGTGTTCACGTATATGAACACTTTAAGGAATAATAGACAATGAACACCTGTGAATCCACCATGCAGGTGAGCTCACGGTGCAGAGCCCCCTGGATCCCTCCTCACCTGCATGCAGTCCTGGTCCACCCTCCTGCCTCTATTCTGCACTTTTTATTAGTCATCCTTGCTTTTCAAAATAGTTTAATAATGATTGCATGGCTCCACCTATAATTTACTTTTATTTGCTTTTCACCATTAGAAAAGCAGAATCAGGCAGGGCATGGTGGCTCACATCTGTATTCCCAGCACTTTGGGAGGCTGAGGCGGGTGGATCACTGGAGTCCAGGAGTTCAAGACCAGCCTGGGCAACATGGTGAAATGACGTCTCTACTAAAAATACAAAAATTAGCCGGGCATGGTGGCACACCACCTGTAATCCCAGCTACTTAGGAGTCTGGAGCACGAGAACCGCTTGAACCTGGGAGGTGGAGGTTACAGTGAGCTGAGATCAGGCCACTGCACTCCAGCCTGGGCAACAGAGCGAGACTCCATCTCAAAAAAAAAAAAAAAGATAAGCAGAATCATACTGTATATATTCACCTGGAACCTTTTCTTTTGCTCTACATTATGCATCAATTTGTCAACTTGGAGTTTATTCATTTTAATGTCTGCGTAGTATTTTTTTGTATTTACAATTTATTTATTCATTATACTGTTCCCAAGTTCTTGACATTATAAACAGAACTGTTTGCTGGACACACCCAATTTTTAAAAACTTTTAATATATTTTGTTTAAAAAATGTTTTAACTTTTAAGTTCAGGGATACATGTACAGAATGTACAAGTTTGGGGTTTGTTGTAAAGATTATTTTATCACCCAGGTATTAAGTGATACCCAATAGTTATTTTTCCTGGTCCTTTCCCTCCACCCACCCTCCAAGCTCCAATAGGCCCCAGTGTGTGTTGTTCTACTCTATGTGTCCATGTGTTCTCATCATTTAGCTCTCACTTACAGGTGAGAACATCAGTATTTTGTTTTCTGTTTCTGCATTAGTTTGCTAAAGATATGGCCTCCAGCTCCATCTATGTCCCTTCAAAGGACTTGATCTTGTTCCTTTTTACAGCTGCATAGTATTCCATGGTATATATGTACCACATATGCTTTATCCAGTCTATCATTGATGGGCATTTGGGTTGATTCCATGTCTTTGCTATTGTGAATAGTGATGCAATGAACATACACATGCATGTGTCTTTCTTTATAGTAGGACAACTTACATTCCTTTGGGTATATACCCAGTAATGGGACTGCTGGGTCAAATGGAATCTCCACACCATCTTCCAAAATGGTTGAACTAATTTACACTCTCACCAACAGTGTATAAGTGTTCCTTTTTCTCTACAACCTCACTAGCATCTGTTAGTTTTTGACTTTTTAATAATAGCCATTTTGACTGGTGTGAGATGGCATCTCATTGTGGAGACACCCAGTTTATCCAGGGTTTAGAATTGTAGAAGTTAAATTTTCTCATTGTACAATATGTGCATATTCAGCTTTATTAGGCAATGTTAAATGATTGAATTATCCAGCTTTTAAATTTCTGCCACCTAACAGCTCATTCTGGTTTTAATTTGCTTGACTTGCATTAAATAATAAAGTTAGATATCTTTTTTATATTTAATGGCTGGTGTTGTTTGGCTGTGCCTGACCCAAATCTCATCTTGAATTGTAGCTCCCGTAATCCCCACATATCATGGGAGGGACCTGGTGGGAGGTAATTGAATCATGAAGGTGGGTTTTTCCCATGTTTCTCTTGTGGTAGTGAATAAATCTCATGCGATCTCATGGTTTTATAAAGGGCAGTTCCCCTGCACATGCTCTGTTGCCTGCTGCAATGTAAAGATGTGCCTTTGCTCCTCCTTCAACTTCTGCCATGATTGTGAGGCCTCCCCAGCCATGTTGGAACTGTGAGTCCATTAAACTTCTTTTTCTTTATAAATTACCTAGTCTGTAGTATTTCTTCATAGCAGTATGAAAATGGAGTAATACAATGGCTACTTGAGTTTTCCTTTCTGTGAAATGCCTAATAGCATATATTTCCCCACATTTCTATTGGCCTATGTTTAATTTTCTTATTGAATCATTAGTGTTCTTTACATGAGTCCTTTTCAGTTATATATGATGCAGATATCTTCTTCCAGTTGGGGTGTATGTTTCATGCTCTTTGTGACATCTTTGATTAACAAAGTCCTTGAATTTAGCTGTGTTTTCCTTTGGGGCTTACGCTTATTGCATTGTCTTTAAACATTCTTCTTTACCTTGAAATCATAAACTATTTTCCTATATTTTCTTTTAATTGAATTGTTCTTTTCCTTTTTTTGAGACAAAGTCTCACTGTGTCACCCAGGCTGGAGTGCAGTGATGCGATCTTAGCTCACTGCAACCTCTGCCTCCCGAGTTCAAGCAATTCTCCTTCCTCAGCCTCCTGAGTAGCTGGGATTACAGGTGTGCGTCACCACGCCCAGCTGATTTTTGTATTTTTAGTAGAGACAGGGTTTTACCATGTTGACCAGGCTGGTCTTGAACTCCTGGCCTCAAGTGATTCTAATTGAATTTTTAATATAAGCTGAAGTTAGGGATTTGTTTTCATTTTTTTCAGTATCATAGCCAATCAATTATTCAAGCATGCTTTATTGATTGGGCCATCTTTTCTCAGCTAATCTGTGTTGCCTCCTCAGTCATGTGTCAGATTCCCATACATGAATATATTACTCCCTCACCTTTAGGTTAGCTCCTGCTGGAAGTCTGATAGATGTATATTGAACTTCTTGACCTACCCTCTGATCTCATAAACTTAATACCTTACTTCCAAACTAACCCTATTAGATAAGTACATTTTCTATTATATTCAATAATTCAAGCATGTTCAGTCCAGCTAGTCAGATTGTATATTTTGTGTGTCTGGGCATGTGTGTTTTCTGTTGTATTTCCATCATGATAATTTATTTCCTCATGTGTTTTGTAATTTTTTAAACTGTGAGACCATGATCCTTAATCTTTCAGAAAATAACTGGTTTTCCATTTGCCAGGGACCTAGCCATGCCTGTTCCTGTGTGTAAAAGTACACTGGAGTGTAAAAGTACACTGGAGAACTGTATTCCTGGGTCTAAATTGTAAAAGTAATAAATTGAACAAAAACACAATTCAATGAAATATGTCTTTTCCTCCTACCTTGATAAATATTTTTTCATAATGACAAAATAGAAACAAATTCGAAAATCCATGGATTTTATAGGACTAGAAGTTGTCCAAAAAAAATCAAAGATGAGGAAATTTCATTATTGTTATTATGCATGCCTATGTGTTCTCTTGATAGGCTGGTGAAGTTTGGGTTCATTATTGTGAAAATAAGTAAAAGGGAAACTAACACAGGCCTATTGTAAACTAACACTAGCTCAGGAATGTGTGTATGTGCAAGAGCAGCTATGCTAGTCAAAGATATGTGTTGCAACCTCCCATAGAGAGACACGTGTCAGCTTCAATCCCAAGGCCTATAAACTAAAGTTGACCACTTCCTGTGTACCTAGAGTCTGTTAAATATTTCATTGATGGGTACTGGTTGTAAACTTGTTTATCAGATGTAAAACAAGGTAAGATAATATCAATTATCCTTCCACCAGGCCCTAAGTTGCCTCCATCTCCTACCCACTCAACCACACATTTGCTTTACTTTACGTATAACCTCTCTAAACACCGATCCAAATCACAGGAATGTAATGGTTACTTCACTGCCCACCCTCTGTACCACAGTATCCCCCATTAAAAAAAATATATGTTAATACTGCGCTTTATGTAATTGACTTTGGAACTCAGTTACAGACTGCTGTAATCCTGGCTTCCCCGATGTGCACTCTCAAGCTCCAGGTTAGTAAACCTCATTAGATTGTGATCCCTGTCTCAGTCCCTCATTTGGGTTGACATTACCAAAAATTTATTTTATTAGTCTATATTTACTCTACAAAATTTATTTTTCTTGCCTTCATTTTAACAAAATCAGTAAATATGTTATAATCGTGGTTTTGCACATCATCTGTTCTATTAAAAATAACAAGCTAAAATAGGAAAATGAAATGTAATTAACAGTGATATCAGCAAAATAGTGGAGTAGGCAGCTACAAACTTTCATCCTCCCACGGAAACATAAATAAAAAGCAGGGCCAGGCATGGTGGCTCATGCTTGTAATCCCAGTACTTTGGGAGGCTGAGCTGGGAGGATTGCTTTAGGCCAAGCGTTTGAGATCAGCCTGGGCAACATAGCAGGACCCCATCTCTACAAACAGACAAACAAAAACCAGCAGAAATTATTAGGAACAACTTTGCTAGAACTCTGGAAAACCATCAAAGGTTTACACCAACCAAGAAGATGCTGAATCAAGAAAAAGTTAAGTTAAAGTGGTAGGAAAGCTTTGTGCATTCTTACTGGCCTTTGCCCCACACACTTTTCAGCTCAGTGGCAGTTCTGAAGACTTCAGTTCGCATTCCCACCATAGGATCCTGTTCCCTGGTTCCAGAGGGAGCAGAGCAGACCTTACTCACAAATTATCGTGTATTGCTGTGCTAGCCTGCTTAGGGGACACATGAAGGACCAATGCAAAGTGTTCATTTCCAATTAATCTAACTTCAAGTCACACAGGCTGGAAAAGTGACAGACATTGCTTGAAAATATTGTAATGCAAACAACCTGAAGTCGTGTAGGGCAAAAGTTATGGTTGAAAGAAACAATAGACCACCTAAGCCAGAGAGGAAGAGTAGGAAGAGAGTTGTTCTGGGAAATTACGGCATTAAAAGCACCCTTAAATATGGCTAAATTTAGAAAATTCCATGCATGTTCAAGGCAAGACACATGTTCAGAAAGACCTGAAAAGACAGACCCTTAGCTTTCACCTTGGGCTGGTCCCTAGGCTCAATAAAAGCCTTGCTAAGTGTTGATGAAGGCCATAGCACAGAGCCATCTGAAAATACTGGAAGAGATAGCTTCTTCTTCCCTCATCTGTTTTTTGTTTCTTTGTTTGTTTGTTTATTGCCCTGCCCCAATGCCTTTCTCTCTGACAGCCAGCTGTCAGTCTGGCTGGATTGAGGAATACCTAGAAATTGGGTAAAGCATTATTTTGGGTGTGTCTGTGAGGGTGTTTCCACAGGAGATTACCATGTGAGTCTGAATGGACTAGGTGGGGAAGATTCATCCTCAATGTGGGTGGGCACCATCCAATTTGCTTGGGGTCTGGAGAGAACAAAACCAGAGAAAAGGTGAATGTGTCAATCTATCTGTGCGAACTGGGATACACTCTTCCTCTGCTGTCCCTGGACAACAACTCTAGGCTCCCCAGCCTTTGGACTCCAGGACTTACACCAGTGATTCCTGGGTTCTCAGGTCTTTGGCCTCAAACTGAGAGTTACACCATCAGCTTCCCTGGTTCTGAGACGTTTAGACTTGGACTGGGCCATGCTACAAGCATCCTCGGGTCTCCAGCTTGCAGATGTCCTGTCTCAGGACTTCTCAGCTTCTATAATTACATGAGCCAATCCCCCTAATAAATCCCCTCTCATATGTCTGTGTCTCTATCAATATATCCTATTTATTCTGTCTCCCTGGAGAATCCTAATACACTTTATCTTTCTCTCTTTTTTGCCCCTGGCATTCAAGGAATACTCGGTCAAAACAGTAGCTGAACACAAGCTAAGGAAGAGAGACATCAGTTGTGACACATAACAAGAAAAACAGTCTATGCAAAAGTAGTTGCAGAAAGTCAGTAAACAATTGAACTACTATAGCTTCCAATAATTAAAATAAATCAACAAACCCTGGGTAAGGTGAAAATATGATTTCCAGAATTATCATACTGTCACTTTCAAATGGCCCATTCAAAGGGAAAAAATAAATTGACAGAAACTATTCCTCAGGAAGCTCAGATATTGGACTTATGAGACAAAGACTTTGAAACAACCATTTTAAATATGGTCAAAGAGTGAAAGAAAAACATGGACAAAGAATTAAGGAAATCAGAAAAATGATGTTTGAGTAAGTTGTGAATATCAATAAAGAGATAGAAATTACAAAAAGGAACCAAAAAATTCTGAAGCTGACAAGTACAATAATTACAGTGAAAAACTCACTATTGGGGTTCAACAGTAGATTTGAGCAGGCAGAAGACAGATTCAGTGAACATGAACACAAAACAATGAAAAGTATCTAGTCTGAGGAGCAGGAAAAAAAAATGAAGTGAAAAAAAACATAAGACCTGCAGGACACCATTAGGCACGTTAACATATGCAGTAAGGGATTCCCAGAAGCAAGAGAGAAAAAGAGGAAGAAATAACATTTGAAGAAAGAATGCCTGAAAGCTTCCCAAATTTGATGAAATACATGAATCTACGATCAATGTGTTAGTCCATTCTAACGCTGCTATGAAGAAATACCCAACACTGAGTAATTTATAAAGGATGGAGGTTTAATTGTCTCACAGTTCTGCATGGCTGGGAAGACCTCAGGAAACTTACAATCATGGCGGAAGGGGAAGCAAACACATACTTATTCACAAGGCAGCAGGAGAGAGAAGTGTCAAGCAAAGGGGAAAAAGTCCCTTATAAAACCATCAGATCTGGTGAAAACTTGCTCACTATTTTAAGAACAGCAGCATAAGGGTAACTGCCCCCATAACTCAATTACCTCCCACTGGGTTCCTCCCATGACACATGGGGATAACAGGAATTACAATTCAAGATGAGATTTGGGTGGGGACACACCAATCAACAAACTCCACATAGAATAAACTGAAAGAGATACACATTGAAATACATTACAATCAAACTGTTGAAAGACAAGCACAAATTCTCTTAAAAGCAACAAGAGGGAAGCAACTTATCATGTACAAAGGATACTCGATCTCACTTTTGCCCAGGCTGGAGTGCAGTGGCATGATCATGACTCACTGTATCCTTGACCTCCTGGGCTCAAGCAATCCTCCAACCTCAGCCTCCTGAGTAGTTGGGACTACAGGTGCATGCCACCATGCCTGGCTAATTTTTAAATTATTATTATTATTTCTGCAGAGATGAGTTTCAGTATGCTGCCCAGGCTGGTCTTGAACTCCTGAGCTCAAGCAATCCTCCTGCCTTTGCCTCTCAAAGTGCTGGGATTACAGGCATGGGCCACCATGCCCACCCAACAACCAGTTTCTCATTGGAAACCATAAAAGCCAGAGGTATTAGGTTGCTAAAAGAAAAAGATTAACTGTCAACCAAGAATTCTATATCTGGCAAAACAGTCCTTCAAAAATGAGGCAGAAATTAAGATATTCCCAGGTAAACAAAATCTGAAGGAGTTTGTTCCCTACAGGAGACTCTAAAATGGGCCTTTCAAATTGAAGAGAAAGAGCATTCATTAGACAGTAACACGAGGCCATAGAAAGAAACAAAGATGTCTGGTAATGATAACTACACAAGCAAATATAGGAGCCAGTGTTGCTGTGCGTTTGGCTTGTAAATTCACTTTTTCTTACATAATTTAAGAGATGAGTACATAAAAATTATAAGTGTATATTACTGGACACACAATATATAAGGAGGTAATCTGTGACAAGATAAAGGGGGAGGAGCTGTATAGGATTAGATACTTTATATGCCACTTAAGTTAACTTGCAATAATTTCAAACTACATTGTTATAGGATGTTAAATATAATTCCCATGGAAACCACAAGGAAGTATCTTTAAAAATATACATAAGGTCATAAAGAGGGAATCAAAAACATTTATTATGAAATATCAGTTAAACACAAAAAAGGCAGTAGTGGAGGAAAAGAATAAAAAAGGCATAAGATATACAGAAAACAAATAAAATGGTTGAAGTTCTACCTTATCAGTAATTACTTAAAATGTAAATGAATTAAACTCTCCAATAAACATGTGGATATTGGCATAATAGATGAAAACCAAGACCCAATGATATGCTGTCTAAACAAGACTTGTTTAGATCCAAAGACACATATAGGTTGAAAGTGAAAGGATGGGAAATATTATCCAATAAAAATAATGACCAAACAAGAGCTAAAGTGGCTATACTAATATTGGACTTAAAGTTAAAAACTATTAAAAGGGCCAGGCCTGGTGGCTCATGCCTGTAATCCTAGCACTTTGGGAGGCCGAGGCGAGTGGATCATGAGGTCAGGAGTTCGAGACCATCTTGGCCAACACGGTGAAACCCTGTTTCTACCAAAAATACAAAAATTAGCTGGGCGTGGTGGCATGTGCCTGTAATCCCAGCTACTCGGGAGGCTGAGGCAGGAGAATCACTTGAACCAGGGAGTCAGAGGTTGCAGTGAACCGAGATCACGCCGTTGTACTCCGGCCTGGTGACAGAGTGAGACTCTGTCTCAAGAAAAAAAAAATTACTATTAAAAGGAGAGACATTATATACTGATAAAAGGGTCAGCTTATCAAGAAGATATAACAATTATAAATATGTATGATCTAACATGACCACTTTTGGGTGGGGTTTTTCCCAGAATGCAAGGTTGGTTTAAGATTTAAAAAATAAATGTAATTCACCATATTAAGAGAATAAAGGAGAAAAGCCATAGGCAGTGCCTGTGTTCATTATGGAGGTGTAATTGTACTAAGTACCCTACAGACTGTCAAAACTGGTAATATGTGATGTCTACATGATGGGAAGCCACCATAGTCTGGTGGTTAAATGTATGAGCTCTGGAATCAGACAATCAGGGTTCAAATTCCACCCAGTGTGGAATGTGGGCCACTAGTACACATGTGACACAAGGAAGGTTTTATGGCTTAAATGCTGTCTTACTAAATTTGTAAAAATAAGTGAAGATAAACTGCCTGCCAGGAAAGAATGTGTTGTGGTATCCTTGTTGCCACCTCAGAAAGCCTAGCAGCCCCCTGGAGATGCTTGGGATAGTCGCCTGTCCCGGGTGGCCACAGAAAAGGTGCACCCAGCTCCTGGAACTGAAGAAGAGCTAGGGAAGCCCCTGGAGGAGCTGGTGTTGGAGCCTTGACCTACGAGCCTGGAGGAGTGGGGAAAGGTGGTGAGGGTGAACTGGTGTCATCTGCAGCAGTTGTCTGAAAGGAACAGGCTGAGGTAAATTTGCCCTGTGGCACTGAGGTGCCTGCAGACATGGAAGTGACAGTTATGTAGGCTCCTGGAGTTCAGTCTTGGAGAGTCCCACCTTGCCACCGAGACTGTCTGGTGCCAAACACCTGCAACCCATGATAGGAATGCCAAGAAGTACTAGAGAGTCCTGCTGGGGTTCAGCCTCTGGACCTCTTGCCCTTCGATGTTTTTCCTCATGCATTTTGCTGGCAATATGCCCTTAGCTGGGGCACTTTTTCTCTGTCGCATGTCCCGTGTGTCACATGCATCAAGCTGAACAGTACCTGGTTTGCCATGGAGGTAGCAGGTAGTGAGGAGACCTCTCCAAATGTCATATCCTCCAAGGACCCGGCAGCGCACAAACTGCCCTTCATAGGCAACTTGCTTAGCAAGGTTTGCCCCCATCCTGCTCGCATGCCTGGCCATGCTATCATGCACTCGTTCAACCTGACCCAGCGTGCTCCCCCTTCTGGCTGGGATCACTCCACTTTGGCTTTTTCCCTGGTAGTTCTACCAGGATCCTGGTGTCATATACCCCTAAAGGACAGTATCCCATCAGGAAACCTCAGTGTTCCTCTCTGGCGATCCTAAGGGGACTCTCTGAAAATGACATTGCTGTCTGCTTGTACCACAAAGTGGCCACTCCAGAATGACAAAGATCCCTCCTCCAAGGCACAAATGGACTCTCCTCCCTCGTCACCTCTAAGACCTGGGACAGCCACTCACACCTCCCCCCAGATCCTTGCTTAAAGGAGACCAAGAAGAAGATACCAGGGGCATGAAGGAAATGGATACTGAAGGAGGAAGATCCTCAGTGTGGGAGAAGACGCAGTTAGAGAAAAGGGGCCCCTATAGCAGTGGGAGAGTACCATCAGCATCTAGGTCCCTAGCAACCAGCAGTAGCATCACATATTTGGGAGCAGTCCTGAACCCCTGAAGATAAGCCTCTATTCCAATCACTCAGAAGACAGCTGAGGTTAGATTTTACAGATGTCTTCTATGAGTTCGTTCACAAAAGATCATGCCATCACCAGCCCAGATAGTCCTGCCTGCTAGAGGCTTCCTGCCTCTTCATGGCAGTGAAGGAGGTGCAGCAGCGCTGTATGGCCAGCCACATTCTCCTTCCTGCTGCCAGAGAAAGGAAGAGCTTGATGAAGGCCATTATCAACTCAGCTCTCCAGCCACATTGAAGTCAAAGACAGCAACTCACAGAGGAAAGCTTTCAGATACTCTGTCAATGAGAAATTCTCCACTCACATCTGCCAGTTGTAGTCTCTGTAAACAGAAATTGTCAGTGCCCCTGCTGCTGCCATTGCTGCCCCCATTGCCACTGTTGTGAGAGTGAGGAGAGCTGCCCCCATCTCCTACCTTCCCTGCATAGTTACTGCAGAAGACCTTAGCTTGGAGAACCCTGAACACGAAGGGAACCTCAGGGTGGGAGAATAATTCTCAGGTCCCTTCAGACAGCGTAGCAGCTCAGCCTTCCTGTTCTCCCTACCTGCTGTGGAGGCCACAGATCCTTTGCCATTGGTCACCTTTTCCTTGCAGATTCCAGAAACTACCAAATTAGCAGTCACTGACTTGGCTGGCCTGTTAGGCCACTCATACTCTCTGACCCTGTACCTACACACACATCAGATACTGATCATGAAATGAGATGCACAGTTCCTGACTCTCCTTTTGCTCTTCCTGCTATTTCTCACTTTGGATTCCAACCTATATTTGCTATTCCACTTAATAATGAGAACAGGGGCCCTCTGCATTCCAGTCCCTCGGTCATACTTGCGGGATCCTCTACTTCTGCCTAACCCACACGTCCTAGAACTTTCTCCCTCTCCTTAAAGCTTACCTTCTGCAGAATGGAGTCATATACACCTGTGCAGGTGGATTCTCCTCCCCTTTTCTTACAGACCCCTCCTCAAGTTGCTTGCACCAGTACCCCTGTCTTTACCAGCCAACCCATCACTGCTTCTGCAGTCACTTCTAGCATGCCAGGCAGCCTGTCTGCAGACTGGACTTCCCAGCCTGCCTGGACTGTGTTATAATTGATGTGGATAGTACTCTTCCTTCCAAGCTTTCTTCTTCAGGTCTCCCTCAAGATCCGGGGTGAGCTTCCTCCCATTGGACCAGGCCCATCCCAGTGTGGAGCGGATATCCCCTGCAAAGGCCATCATCCCCACCAGCCCACCTGCTTTTATGGTCAGCAGCCCTACTTGAACTTCTAAGCTTGCTTTTGATTCAGGAAACACTTACCAGCTGAAATCTGGGGGTCCTGATTCAGGGCCTTGCCAGAGAACCACTCCCCCCAGTGCCCTGTCTTTTCTGGCCCACCTACCACTGATTCTGCAGTCACCTCCACTCCAGTATACAACCCGTCTTCAGACTTGGTGTCTCCGCCTGACTTTGCCTCTAAGGAAATCAACATGGGTACCATGCCCATGTCCCCATCTGTTATCATCCTGTCTCTCCCTGCAATGTTAACAGCTGTTTCCCTTTGAGAAACCTGCCAGCCCCTGAAAACCCTTCACACTTAACCTCTACTGCAGCCCTAGAACCCAATGGCAGCACAACTCAGTTGGCTTTTGGGAACTAAACACTCCCGTGTCCACTTTGGCATCAATGTCAGCATTCAGGCAGCCCATGGTGGTGCCTCGGGTGTTTTACCCATTGGTGTGGACACTCTTACTCTTGCCATGAAATGCTACCAGAAAGCACAACACTGAGGACTGTTGCTCATTTCTTGCTGATGCCAATCCAAGCCAATTTGTATTTGTGGGATCTGAAGCCCTTATGGATAGCAAAAGCTTTGGGGTCATTGGGTCTACCACGCAGAGTCTACCACCACATCTAGATCGCTTAGCTTTGGAGCAAAATGGCTGGGGGACAGCCAGTACCACAGCTCATGATGGGGGAGGCTTAGACCTGAGCGCCAGGGTCCTGTCAGCCCTGATGCACTCCTGCTGCAATTGGAGAAGCCGGCACTGCTGAGAGCAAATCAAATCTGCCCTGGGAAACACTTTCCTTCCCACCTGTAGTTAGAGCACCTGGTGCCAGCCCAGCCAAAACACGCCTACTACTACTGGAAGATTTGTGATCACTGAGAAGGAGTGTTTCAGAAGACATGGCTGTTCCCCCTTTTGTTCAGATCACCTGGGACCTGTTTGGCCAGAGCACTTGTGTTCCAGTGGAAGGGACCAGCACCATACCTGTGCTGAGATCCTTCTCTTCCTGCCCCAGTCAAGCCACCTGGGGCACACCTAACTAAAGTACACCTGTTGCAGTCTAAGGGACCAGCACTGCATCTATGCTCGGATGCCTTTATGTTCCTACCTATAGCCAGAACACCTGAATCCCACCTGTCCAGGGCACGTGTGTTGCAATGGAAGGGGCCAACATCATACCTATTTTTAGAGAGTCTTCTCTTCCTGCATATGGTCTAAGTACTGGGGCCCACCTGGCCAGAGCAAACCTGCTGGAGATACCTGCACCACTGAGAAGAAATGCATGCCACGTGATATATCTGTTCATTCCTTCCATCAGACACCTAGGGCCCACCTGTGCTGTTTGAAGGGCTGGCATTTCACCTGTGATTGGAGATGCTACTGGCAGAGGACCTGGGGTACACAGTCTGGAGCACAGGTGATACACTGGGCGGAGGCAGCCCCATTCCTGGGCTCCAGGGTATTTGTATGCTCAGCATCATTGACAGCTGCTGGCGTGGTCTTGCCCAGGGCACATCTGTTACAGTCTCCCAGGAGAACACCATACATACACCTTTAGGAAGACACTTCTATTCCTGCACTCACTCACAATACCTGGGCTCTATCTAGACAAAGTAGCCCTCTGACTTGGTGTAGTGAACACCATTGAGAAAATACCTGGCTATGGGCCAGTTTTCCATTAGTCTTAGACTGGCAGGACCCCTTGCTGCCTATAGATATCCCGTTTTGTCTTGCCCATTTGCCTTAACAAGCCCCGTTCTTTCTTTTCCAGATTGCTATACAAATATGATATAACATAGCCTTGTTCTTATTCATTAATCCTCTGTGCTAAGCTTCAGCACTTTTGCTCCATCTTTCAGGGCAAATGTACCTCCAGCATGAGCATGGAAGCAGCAGTCTCGCTTAGGACACATTTGTCACCTGCCCAGGCTTCCTTTGGAGGCCAAAGTTTGGGATCACCAACTCATTCATTTTCTTCTAGTGAAAGAAACAATATCTCATCAACTTTAAGCAAAAGCTATCCAGAAGTAGCTGATAGTGGTGGGGGACCACAGTTTGCCATAAATGGACCTTGCTCCATTAGGAAGAGGCTCCACCTCTTCTAGTTATGTCAAACAAACTTAACCTGCCCTCTATCATCCTAAAGAAAGCTGGCAGCCCAACCCTTCAGGTGTTTTGTATATATGTTAAAGGGTGTGGGTTCAGATGAGACTGGTCAGAAGTCAACACACTGGCCTTGAGGCAGTCTACTGTGGAAAGAAGAAAAAGATCAGTAAGTATATCCACCACACCATACCCAGTTTCAACTTCTCAGTCTGGTAGAACCAAGCTATGGGCCAGTTTTCCTGCCATCTTACGCTGGCAGGACCCCTTGCTGCCTGTAGCTGCCTCCTTTGGTCCAGCCCATTTGCCTCAGTGGGCCCTTTTCTTTCTTTCCTAGACTGATAAACACACACACACATATATATATACACACACATATATGTTATATGTGTATATATATATACACACACATATAATGTATATGTATGTGTATATATATACATATATACATCACGTGTGTGTATATATATATATATAGAGAGAGAGAGAGAGAATGCCTTCCTTTTGTTCATTGATCCTCTCTGCTTACATGTCTTTTCTATTTTAGTCAACGGTGGAAGAAGAATTGACTTCTTTCTATAAGTGGTGCTGTGTTGAGGCAGATGTAACTTTTCAAAGTTCTATGGCTCAGCAAATAGGAGGTGGCATAGCCACACTTTACAACTGCACAGGCTGACATCTGACATCTCTGTGTTTTGATGTAAAGGATAGCAGCCATGAGGAAGGGAAGCTCAAAGGAGGAAGGGATGGGTGACCCTCCCTTGCCTTTTCCCTCTGTGCTCCTCTTCCATCACTCTGATTTGGTCGTACGCCAGACCACCCCCGATGTGTGTTAGGGAAACAAAATTAACAAATTTGGTTGAAAATAATTAAATGTCTCATTTGTGTCTTTCTCTTTCATTTAGACTTAAGAAAATCATCCCCACATATTCACACCTCGACCAAAGAGGATGGGTATGGTATAGAGGCCCTTATGTCTAGAAGAAAAAAAGGAAGAAAAAGCTCATGGCTCCTTTGTGATTATTGGAAATTTTAAGACTAGGATGTCACATATTATATAGAAGTGTTTTCATGCTCCATGAAAATTCAGAAAAGATCATTTTTTCAAGAAAATACCTAGATAAGGTCTATTTGGAAAAGTAATTGGTCTGGCTCTAGTATAAAACCCTAAAATAGCAAATTACAGTCCTTACCATTTTATCCAAATCTAGCTGGCTGTGGAGTCCTGCTGTGTCTCCAATAGACTTAATTCCTGAAAATACAATCTTTCCTAAGATAATTCAAGGTTCAGGAGAACCAGCTGAAGCTGGGGGAAAAAGAAAAATGTAAGCATTTCCCTTAGCTTAGACATATTATTTTACTAAATACTTATTCAGAGTTGATTCTACACTAGACATTGTGCTTGAGCCTAGTGACATATAGCTGAAAGGCATCTATTGCCTCAAAGGAATTTACAATATAGTAGGAGTGATGGGTGAATATATCAAAAGTAAAATCGGAGGGGTTACTAGTAGGGATATGGGAGCAGTAGGAACACAAAACTAAGAATATCATTTCTTCAGAAACTAACAGAACTAGACTAACAGCAATGAACAAAAAAAAATTGTAAATCCTTCCCTATCGATAATTACTTTAAATATAAATAGATTAAATTTCTCAATCAAAAGACACAGAGTAGCTGGATGGATAAAAAGAATTACCCAACTATATTCTGTTTACAGGAAACTCACTTTAGATTTAAGGACATACATTGTTTGAAAGTGAATGAATGGAAAAAGATATTCCATGCAAATAGTAACCAGAAGTGAGTCAGGTGGCTACACTTATATTAGACAAAATAGACTTTAAGTCAAAAACTACCGTAAGAGACAGCAAAGGACATTATATAATGATACATGGGTTAATTCATCAGGAAAATATAACAATTATAAATATATATGAACCAAACATAAGAACACCTAAATATATAAAGCAAACATTGGCAGGAATAAAGGGAGAAATAGACACTTTATAATAATAATAGGAGACTTCAATTCCTAACTTTCTGTATGGATAGAACATGCAGACAGAAGATCAATTAGTAAAATCAAGACTTAAACAACACTGAAGACCAAATAGGCCTAACAGGCATATACAGAACATCTCACCCAATAGCAACAGAATACACATCATTCTCAAGCCCACATAAAATATTCTCGGGTATAGATCAATTATAATTTTATCTAGATCTGGGTGGCTATAGAGTCCTGCCATGTCTCCAGTAGACTTAATTCCTGGAAAATACAGTCTTTTCTAAGATAATTCACAGTTTAGGAGAGCCAGCTGAAGCTAAGGAAAAAGATCAAATAACAAATTTAAGAAGATCATATCAAGTATCTTTTCTGAGCTAAGTGGAATGAAACTAGAAGTCAACACCAGAAGGAAAACTGGAAAATTCACAAATACGTGGAAATTGAACACTGAAGAGGAGAGTACACTTCCAAACTCATTTTATGAGGCCAGCATTACCCTGACACCAATGCCAAAGACAGCACAAGAAGAAACTATTGGCCAATATCCCTGATGAACATAGATGCGAAAATCCTTAGCAAAGTATTAGCAAATTGAATTTAACAGCACATTAAAATAATCAGACACCATAATCAAGTGGGATTTATCCCTGAGATGCAAGGAGGGATCAATATATGAAAATCAATTAATGTGATTTACTGCATTAACATAATGAAGGATAAAAATCATTTTATGTGGCTCTGAAACCCAATGGCAGCACAACTCAGCTTTTGGAAATTGGAATATGCAGGAAAGGCATTTGATGAAATTTGACACCCTTTCATAAGGAAAAATATCTCAACAAATTAGGTTACATGGAATGTATCTCAACACAGTAAAGGCCAATAGGAAAAGGCCATAGCTAACATACAGTCAACAGTGAAAAACTGAAAGCTTTTCCTCTAAAATTAAGAACAAGGCAAGGATTCCTGCTCTTACTACTTCTACTTAACTTACTACTGGAAGTCCTGGCCAGAGCAATTAAGGAAGTGAAATAAATAAAAGGCATCCAAATTAGAAAGAAAGATGTAGTAAAATTGTCCATGTTTGCAGATGACATGATCGTACATATAGAGAATTCTAAAGAATCCATAAGAAACCTGAGAACTCAGCCTGGGCGTGGTAGCTCACGCCTGTAATTCCAGCACTTTGGAAGGCCGAGGTGGGCAGACGATGGGGTCAGGAGTTTGAGACCATCCTGGCCAACATGGTGAAACTGTCTCTACTAAAAATACAAAAATTAGCTGGGTGTGGTGGCAGGCGCCTGTAATCCCAGCTACTCGGGAGGCTGAGGCAGGAGAATCGTTTGAACCCGGGAGGAGGCAGAGGTTGCAGTGAGCCGAGATTGTGCCATTGCACTCCAGCCTGGGAGACAGGGCAAGACTCTGTCTCAAAACAAAACAGGCTGGGCACGGCTCACCCCTGTAATCCCAGCACTTTGGGAGGCCGAGGCGGGCAGATCACAAGGTCAAAAGATCGAGACCATCCTGGCCAACATGGTGAAATCCTGTCTCTACTAAAAGTACAAAAAAATTAGCTGGGCATGGTGGTGTATGCCTGTAGTCCCAGCTACTCAGGAGGCTGAGGCAGGAGAATCGCTTGAACCTAGGAGGGGGAGGTTGCAGTGAGTGGAGATCGTGCCACTGCACCCTAGCCTGGGCGACAGAGTGAGGCTCCATCTCAAAAAAAAAAAAAAAAAAAAATACTGTTCAAAAAAGGCAGAATTCAAAAAATGAAAAGGTAAACTATAACAAGAAAAAATATTTGCAAAATATGTGTCTAACAAAGGACTGCTACAACTCAATAATAAAATATCAGTCCATTCGATAAAAAATTGGCAAACATTTAGCTATACTGACCAAGATAAAAGGAGAAAAGATTCAAATTACCAAAATCAGAAATGAAAGAGGAAACATTACTATCAACATTATAGAAATTAAAAGAACTATAAAGGAATACTATGAACAATTTTATACCTAGAAATAATATAATTTAGGTGAAATGAACAAATCCCTAGAATCACAGAAACTATGAAAGCTAACTTGAGAAGAAATAGGATAATCTAATAGGCATACAACAAGTGAGGAGTAATTAATTCATAATCAAAAAACCACCCACAAAAAATTCCAGGTCCAGGCCAGGAGGAGTGGTTCACCCCTGTAATCCCAGCACTGTGGGAGGCCAAGCCACCCAGATCACTTGAGGTCAGGAGTTCAAGACCAACCTGGCCAGCATGGTGAAACCCATCTCTACTAAAAATCCAAAAACAAAAAAATTAGCCAGGTGTGGTGGTGCATGCCTGTAGTCCCAGCTACTCAGGAGGCTGAGGCAGGAGAATTGCTTGAACCCAGGATGTGGAGGCTGCAGTGATCCAAGATCACTCCACTGCACTGCACTCCGGCCTGGGCAACAGAGCAAGACTCCATCTGAAAAAAAAAAAAAAATTCCAGGTCCAGATGGCTCTACTGCTGAATTTTGCTAAACATTTAACAAAGAATTAATACCAATTCTTTGTGAACTGTTCATTTTATGGACAGTTAACTCATTTTATGAAGCCAGTATTACCTTGATACCAAAACAAGACAAAGACATCATAAGAAGAGTAAAGTACAGGCCAATATGATTCTTATGAATATGGATGCAAAACTCTCAGCAGAATACTAGTAAACAAAACCCAGCAATATATAAAAAGAATGTATGCTAGCAATGCAAGGTTGGTTTAACATCCAAAAATAAACTATTGTAATACATAATATCAGTAGAACAAAAAACAAATCATATGGTCATTTCAACACATGCAGAAGAAACATATGACAAAATTCAACATCTTTTCATAATAATAATTTTTTAAATTATTTTTATTTTTTAATATAGAGATGGGGTTTTGCCATGTTGCCCAGGCTGTTCTCAAACTGCTGAACTCAAGCAATCTGCTGGCCTTGGCCTTCCAAAATGCTAGGATTGCAGGTGTGAGCCACCATGCCTGGCCATAATAATAATTTTTTAAAAACTCAACAAAGTAGTATAAAAATGAACTTCCTCAACCTGATAAGAGCAAGTACAAAAAACCCACGGCAAACATCATAATGATTAAATTTGGATGCTTTCCCTCTAAGTTTACAAACAAGATTATAGGCTGGGCATAGTGGCTCATGTCTGTAATCCTACCACTTTGGGAGGTTGAGGCAGCCAGATCGCTTGAGCCCAGGAGTTCAAGACCAGCCTAGGTAACATGGCAAAACCCTGTCTCTACAAAAATTACAAAAAAATTAGCCAGGCATGGTGGTGGGCACCTGTAGTCCCAACTACTTGGGAGGCTGAGGTGGGAGGATCACCTGAACCCAGGAGGTCAAGGCTGTGGTAAGCTGTAATCGTGCCACTGCATTCCAGCCTGGGTGACAAAGTGAGACTCTGTCTCAAAAAAACAAACAAACAAAACAAAACAAAAAAACAAGATTATAATGTCTACTCTCATCACTTTTATTTATTATTGTACTTGAGTCTTTAGCTAGAGAAATTTGCAGATTAGAGTTATTTTGTGGGGAATGTCCAAAAGAATCCAATGAAAAATCTATTAGAACTAATAAACTAGTTCAGCAGTATTATAAGATATAAATTAATATACAAAAATCAATTGTATTTCTATACACTTGCAATGAATCATCCAAAACTAAAATTAAGTAAACAATTTCATTTACAGTAACATCATAAAGAGTAAAACATTTACGAATAAATTTAACAAAAACATTTTCAACATATACTCTGAAAACTACAAAACATTGTTTAAAGAGAGTCAAAAATATCTACAGAATAGGAAAAAGAATGCACATTCACGAATAAGAAGGCTTGATATTGTTTAAGATGACAATATTCCCCAAACTGATCTACAGATTCAAAGCAGTCTCTAGCAGAATCCCAGCTGACCACTTTGTAGAAAGTGATAAGGTGATTGTAAAATTCATATGGAATTGCAAGGAATCCTAAGTAGCCAAACATTTTGAAAAAGAAAAACAGCCGGGCGCAGTGGCTCACGCCTGTAATTCTAGCACTTTGGGAGGCCAAGGCGGGCAGATCACCTGAGGTAAGGAGTTCGAGACCAGCCTGACCAACATGGTGAAATCCCGTCTCTACTAAAAATACAAAAACTAGGCCAGGTATGGTGGCTCGTGCCTGTAATCCCAGCACTTTGGGAGGCCAAGGCGGGCGGATCACAAGATCAAGAGATCGAGACCATCCTGGCTAACATGGTGAAACCCCGTCTCTATTAAAAATATAAAAATTAGGCAGGCGTGGTGGCACATGCCTATAATCCCAGCTACTCGAGAGACTGAGGCAGGAGAATTGCCTGAACCAGGGAGTCGGAGGTTGCAGTGAGCCAAGATCATGCCACTGCACTCCAGCCTGGTGACAGAGTGAGACTCCATCTCAAATAAAAATAAAAAATAAAAAAGAAGAAGAAAGAAAGCAAGAAAGAAAGAAAGAAGGAAGGAAGGAAGGAAGGAAGGAAGGAAAGAAGGAAGGAAGGAAGGAGAAGGAAAGAAAGAAAGAGAAAAGAAAGAAAGAAAGAAAGAAAGAAAGAAAGAAAGAAAGAAAGAAAGAAAGAAAGAGAAAAAACAAAGTAGGAGAACTCACACTTACTGATTTCAAAACTTACTGCAATGGCAATGGCCAGGCATGGTGGCTCATGCCTGTAATCCCAGCGCTTTGGGAGGCCAAGGTGGGAGCATTGCTTGAAGCTGGGAGGTCGAGGCTGCAGTGAGCCATGCTCATATCACTGCACTCCAGCCTGGATGACACAGCAAGACCCTGTCTCAAAAACAACAAAAACAAAACAAAAGAAAACAAGAGTTATTGCAATGCAATAGTAATCAAGACTGTGTGGTATTGGCACAAGGATAGACATATAGATCAATAAAATAGAATTGTCTACAATTGCATGAAATAAACCCATAAATCTTGTTTGATTTTTTAATTATTTCAATCATTTTGTTACATTTCTCTGATAAATTTCTGAATTGCTTTTCGGTATTATCTTGGAAATCACTGTGTTGCCTTAAAATTGCTGTTTTGAATTCCTGATCATAGAGTTTGCCTATTGTCATCTTGCTAGGATTGGTCACTGGCTCCTTACTTTGTCCGTTTGGGGAGGTCATGGTTCCCTGTCTGCTGTTGTTTCTTATGGATCTACATCTATGTCTTTGCATTGAAGGATGTGTTAGTTATTCCAGCTTTCTCTGTCTGGTTTGTTTTTGTTTTTCTTAGATATGTTTGCTTAGAGATTCTTTGTAGTTTATCTGTTGAGTATCTTCTTCACTAGGTCACTCTCTCCTTTATGGTGCTAGGTGGCACCTTAAGCCCAGGTGTGTCTTTGCTCTAGTGAACATTTTGAGCTTTGCCCATCCTGAATGAGGGAGGTCCGAAAGGGGCTACCCTGGCAGGGTGGGAAGGCTGACTAGGGGTTTCTGCCCAGGAGACCCTCTCATTTGAGTTCTGGGATATTGCTGGTGATTATCTTTGTGCTGGATATTTGTTTCTGTTTCTGTGGTGAGAGTGAAGCCAGCTTGCTTCTACTCTACCATTTTGGACCTAGTACAAGTACAAAACCCATATATCTTTCGTCAACTGATTTTTTAACAAAGGTGCTAAGACCATTCAATGGGGGAAAAGTAATCTTTCAACAAATAGTGCTGGGGCAACTGGATAGTAACATGCAACAGAATAAAGTTGGACCATTGCCTTGCTCCATATACAAAAATTAACTCAAGGTGAATTGACTACATAAATTAAGAGTTAAAACTATAAAACTCTTAGAAGAAAACATATAGAAAAAGCTTCATGACATTGATTTTGGGAATGGTTTCTTAGATGTGGCAGCAAATAACAAGCAAAAGATAAACTAGATAAATGTTTTGCCACATCAAAATGAATAACTTTTGTGCTTCAAAAGATAGCATCAAGAAATTGAAAGTAAAACCCATAGAATGGGAAAAAATATTTGCAAATCATATACGTGGTAAGAGGCTTGTACTCCTAATGTATAACTCTTACAACTCAATAATAAAAGATAAAAACCTATTTAAAAATAAGCAAAGGATACGAATAGACATTTCTCCAAAGAAGACATAAAAATGGTCAATTTGCAAACAAAAAGATGGTTAGAAACATTAGTCATTAGAGAAATGCAAGTCAAAACCACAATGATGTGCCATTTCATACCCACTAGGATGGCTAGAATCAAAAAGTCAGATAACAAAAAGTGTTGGCAAAAACCTGGGGAAATTGGAACCTGGAACCTCAAACACTGTTGGTGGGAATGTTGAACGGTGTAGCCACTTTGGAAAACAATCTGTCAGTTTCTCAAACTATCAAAAAGAGTTACTGTATTACCTAGTAATTCTACTTCAAAGCATGTACCCAAGATAAATGAAAGCAACCCATGCCCACACAAAAACTTGTATATGAGTGTTTGCAGCATTATTCATAATGGCTAAAAGGTAGAAACAATCCAAATGCCCAGGTGATTAATGGGTAAACAAAAGCGGTACATCCATATAATAGAATGTTATTTGGTCATAAAAACACATATTATTTAGCCATAAAAACACCCATGCTACAACATGGATGAATCTTGAAAACATTATGCCAAGTGAAAAAAGCCAGACACAAAAGACCATATATCATACAGTTCCATTTATATGAAATGTCCAGAACAGGGGATCCATAGAAACAGAAAGCAGATCAGTGGCTTCCAAGGGTTGAAGGATATAGGCTCGTAGCTGAAAAATAGAGGGTTTTCTTGAGATGATAAAAGGTTCTAAAATGGACTCTGGTAATGGTTGTACATATCTATAAATATACTACAAAACACTGAATTATACACTTTGAATGAGTAAATTATATGAATATGTGAACTATATCTCAATAAAGTGTAAAAACAAAACAAAAATTACCAATATAATGAATAAAAATGAGGCATGAATGCAGATCTGAAAGACTATTAAAAGTACAAAAAGGAACTAAAAATATCTTTCCAAAAAGAAAACTGCAGGTCTGAATGATTTTAATGGTTAATTCTATCAAACATATAAGAAAGATGTTTTACCAGCATTAAACATACTCTTTCAGAGAATAAAGAAAGCAATTTTTCCTAACTCATTCTGTGTAACTGACATTACCCTAATATAAAAACCTAGCAAGAAAGGGACACAATAGATTAATAAACCTCATGAACATAGACATAAAATTCTTTTTTTTTTTTCTTCTCGTTCTGTCACCCAGGCTGAAGTGCAGTGGCACAATCTCGGCTCACTGCAACCTCTGCCTGGGAGGTTCAAGCGATTCTCCTGTCTCAGCCTCCCGAGTAGCTGGAACTACAGGCATGCACCACCACGCCCGGTTAATTTTTGTATTTTTAGTAGAGACAGTGTTTCACCACGTTGGTCAGGCTGGTCTCAAACTCCTGACCTCAGGTGATCCACCCGCCTCAGCCTCCCAAAGTGCTGGGATTACAGGCATGAGCCACCGCGCCCTGCTGACATAAAATTCTTTCACAACATCTCTGGGAATTAAATTCAACCAAATAGAAAAGAATGACCTAGCATGACCAAGTAGGGTTTGTCTCAGATATGTAAGGTTGGTCTAACACTCAAAATTTAAAATGTAATTCACCATATTAAGAGAACAAACAAAAAGTCATATGATTATCTCAGCTTTGGACAAAGTAATTGAAAAAAATTTTAATTCTGGATATCAATCCCTTCTCAAATATATGATTTACAAGTATTTTTTCCAATTGCCTGGGTTGTCTTTTCACTCTGTTAGATAGTGTCTTTTGATGCACAAAACTTTTTAACATGTATTTTTTTGTGGCCTGGCATATTTGTTTTTGTAGTTATGGCAAGAGTTCTGAGATTAATTTTAATACACCTTTGACTCCAGACACAATAGTTCACAAGCAATCATTACTTAATTTATAAAAACATCTTTTCTATGACAACATGGGTTTCAAGTAATAGTTTTATTTTTCTTTCCAACTTTTATTTTAGGTTTAGGGGAGTACATATGCAGATTTGTGACATGGGTTGAAAAAATTTAACACCTCTTTGAAAAAATTTCTCAGTATAGAAAGAATTGGAGGGAACAGCCTTTACATGATAAAGCACATCTATAAAAGCCTTAAGTTAATAGCACACTGAGCACTTTCCACCCCCCGATCAGGAGTTGGAAAAGGTTATCTATTGTCTCCACTTGTATTAAACATTTTACTGGAGATCACAGTAACTGTAAAAGGTAAGAAAAATAAAATCATACAGATTAAAAAGAATATGCATAGAAAACATAATTGTATATGTAGAAAACACTACCCGATATACAAAGAAACTACAAGAGATAAGAAAGGAATTTACTGAGGTGCCATATAAAAAAGCAATTATTTTTGCTGTATCCTACTACATACCAATAGACAGATAGATAGACGTAGATATATATGTGCATGTATATATACACATATATGTGAGTATGTGCATATATATACATGCATATATATATATATAAATGTCTATCTATATGTACACACACACATATACACAAAATGCATACCATGATAGTGGACTGGAAAAAGTTAAGTCATCCACTTAAGATGACATTTAAGAAAGGTAAGTCATCCATTTCAACCAGGACCCTGAAAGTTGTCCATGAAATTATTACCAGAGATATTGGTGTCCATGGGGCATAGGCTTTTAAGCCAGGATAGATCCTGCACCCACCTGATGTCATCTCATGTCCTTGCACCCAGGAGGAGATGCCACACACAACTGTGTAGGTAGCTGCAAAGCTCAGTAAGAAAAGAAATGCCCAGTTTTGCTGTGCTGACAATTGTTGGTCTCTGCAAACATAGAAGGTAAGAAAGAGAAATAAAAGGCATGCAGGTGGAAAGAGAAGTAAAACTGACTTTATTCATACATGATGCATGGAAAATACATGTAGAAAACCCAAAGGAATCTGCAAAAAAAAAAAATCTACCAAAAATAAACAATGAATTTAGCAAGATCCCAATAATATAAGGTGTGTGTGTATATATGTATGTGTGTATACAAGTACTATATATACATATATATTTAATGCATTTTCTGTGTTCTACCAATGAACTATTTGAAAATAACATTTGCAAATCCCATAACATACTTAGGGATAAATTAGCAAAAGCTGAGTAAGACCTATACACAGAAAACTACAAAAGAGTAGCTGCAAACTTTCTCTGTAAAGGGTCAGGGAGTAAATAATATAGGTTTTATAGGTCACGTATGATCTCTGTCACATATTCTCTGGAATTTTCTGTTGTTTTTAAAGACCTTTTAAAGACGTTAACATCATTCTTAGCTAACCGGCCTTACAAAAACAGGCTATGAGTGGGGCGTGGTGGCTCACACTCATAATCCCAGCACTTTGGGAGGCCAAAGCAGGTGGATCATTTGAGGTGAGGAGTTCGAGACCAGCCTGACCAACATGGTGAAACCCGTCTCTGCTTTATACAAAAATTAGCCGGGCATGGTGGTGGGCGCCTGTAATCTCAGCTACTCAGAAAGCTGAAACAGGAGAATCGCTTGAACCCGGGGGTGGGTGGAGGTTGCAGTGAGCCAAGATCGTGCCACTGCACTCCAGCCTGGGTGACAGAGCGAGACTCCCTCTCAAAAATAAAAATAAAACAGACTATAGGCCACATTTGGCCCATGGGCTGAAATTTGCTGACCCTTGGTATAAAACATTGCTGAGAAAAAAAATGTAAAAGATTAAAATATATGGAGATATATCCCGTGAGATGGATTAGAAAAGTTAATATTGCTAAGTTTTCCATTTTGGCCAAACTCTGAAATCTGTTCTGTGGAATTATTACAGGAGATCCTGGTCCCTTGGGGCACAAGGATTTTAAGCCAGGGTGAATCTTGCACCCACCTGATGTGCCATCTCCTACGCTTGCTGAGGCAGCTGTGTGGTTGGCTGCTGGGGTCCATTTGAAGAGAAAGGCCCTGTGGGATATGCTAACAAGTGGAACTCCCTGCCCTACATCGTCTGAGGAAACTGGAACCCAGCCAAAGAAGACCTTCCAGTAGGCAGTGCCTGTGATCACTGTAGGTGTGCATGGTGCTCAGTACCCTACAGGCTATAAAAAATAGTAATGCACGATGCACACATGATAAGGAGGCATCACAGTACAGGTGGTTAAATTCAGGAACTCTGGAATCCGAGAGCCTGGGTCAAATCCTGACAGGGCCACTACCACCTGTGTGAGCCAAGGAAGCTTCTAAAGTTTTACAAATGCTGTTTCACCAAATTTGCAAAATGAAGAGAACCTGCCTGCCTGGTAGAGATATTGTGGAAAGCAGCATCCAGGAAGGTCTGAGCACCTGGTCCCCAAGTCAGAAACCTTCACAGCCCAGATGGGGATGCCCTAAGTTCATACCCTTCTAGGCGACCACAGAGAAGTCCCGCCTGGCTCCAGGACTCGGAAAAGCGCTAGAGAGCTTCCTGGAGGAGGCGGCATCCTCCCATGCTACCTGCATAGAGAAGAGAGAAGGGAAACTGGGTCCTCTGTGGCGGCTGCCTGAAAGGAAGCAGCTGGGGGCTCTTGCTCCCTGCCTGTGCTGGTGTCTTCTCCCCACCTTAGCCCAGGCCGGCTGCAGCGGCGGGGCTGCCTGGGCGGAGTCAGGAGACAGCACCGCCCGGCCCCTCCCCAGGCACCTTCCCTGTGAGCCAGCTCCCTACCCTGGGAGGATCTGGGGAGTTCCTGCCTCTGGCTTTGGGCAAGGTCTGCCTCCAGAGTCCCCAGCTGCAAGGGCCGGCGCACCCACGCGCACTGGTTGCCAAATCTCCCGCTTTCAGGCCAGGTGCGGAGCGCGCCTCGACAGTCCTGAACATTCTCCACTTAACGGCTGAGAGCCGCTGGGAGCCTAACGCCTGCAACCGAGTGAGCTCGAGTCCGGCTGGGGTCGGACCGTTGGACCTCCCCGTTGGCCCTTTGTTGTACTTCTTCGCGCCCTGGGCTCGCGCAAGCTTTCTCTGCCACGCGTTCCAACGGCCGCTCACCGGCATCGGGCTGAACACGGTGCGCTTCACCTCGGAGTTCCCACTCCACTCCAAGGATCCAACAGCGCACAAGCTGCTCTTCACGGGCAACTACCTCTGCAAGCTTCACCCCCGGCCCCGCCACGCCCCGCAGGGTTCCCTGTCTGGTCTGGATCACCTCGCTCTCCCTGCGCCTCTCTCCTTGGCCTAGCTAGACAAGTGCTTCTCACGATCCAGCGCGTTTACCGCTCGGTTTCGTCGCCGCTAAGGGGTGGTGGTGTCTGATCCGTCAGGCTCTGCGCTTCTCTCTCGGATCCATCCTCAATGTCCAGGCAGGACTCTCACATGAAGCCGGTGCTGTCTGCTGTTCACTCTAAGATGTCCAGCCACTCAGGACAGTTACGATCTGTCATCCAGGGCCCAAACCGACTCTCCTCTATTGCTATCTGAGGTAGGCAGTCTCCTCTGTGAGGTCGGTCCCATCCATACTGCCTAGATCCCTGCGCAGGAAGACTGAGATGAGGACCCTAGGAGACAGCAGCCAGGGATAGCGAAGGTGGAGGATGAGTATAAATAGCGACCCCAGCGCGATCAGAGAAGCTCCCTTACCCCCACCCATCGCAGTGGGAGTGAGTCTTCAGATCTACCCCCAAGACAACGAAATCCTACCCGGGCCATTGAAGGGAAACCTCCACTCCAACCCCCAGAAGACGCCTTAGATGAGAAAGTGAAGAGATATTGTATGAGCTCATTCATCAAAGGCCATGCCATCACCAGCTCAGGCAGTGCTGCTAGGGGATTCCTGCCTCTCTGGAGGTCCAGTTCTCTCTGAAGACAGAGAAGATGCAGGGAGGAAGGGTTTCAAACAGGAACTCTCAACCCACGTCTGCCAGTTGTAGACTCTGTAAACAAAGTTCCAACTCGCCCGCTGCTGCCACTGCCGCTGCTATTTTTTGAGGTCAAGGTGAGCTGCCCAAACTCTCCTAAGCTTTTTTGTATAGTCGTTGGAGAAGATGTAGGCTTGAAGAAGAAAGCAGAGCCCCAGTCTAACCACATGTTCTTAGAAGATAAAGCCAAGGCCCCTTCAGATAGCAGTGCAGTGCCCCTCAGCCTGCCCCTTCTTTCTTCCTGCTTGTTGCAGAGATGGCAGGCACCCCACCCTTGGCCATTTTCACCTTGTAGTTTGCTGATACTACCATGTTACCAGCCACTGACTTGGCTGTCCTGTCTTCCAGGCCCCCAGTCCCTTCTGCCCCTGTACCAGTCCTCACCCCATATACAGATCATTAAATGAAATGCCCATATCCTAACTCTCCTTTTTTTTTTTTTCCTATTCTTGTTGTTTCTCCCCTTAGGTTCAATATCATTTTGGGAGTTCCCCTTTATGGGAATAAAAGCCATTTCCATTTCAGTCCCTCATCTGCAGATTTTTTTGGGGGGTGGTGGGGCAGGGTCCTGCTCTGTCACCCAGGTTGTAACGTAGTGGTGCAATCATGGCTCACTGCCGCCTAAAACTCCTGGGCTCAAGCAATCCTCCCACCTCGGCCTCCAGAGCAGCTAGGACTACAGGCATTTTTTTCTTCTAGAGATGGAGTCTTGCTATGTTGCCCAGGCTGGTCTGGAACTCCTGCTTTTGAGTGATCCTTCTGCATCAGCCTCTCAAAAGTGCTGGGATTACAGATGTAAGCCACCATACCCAGCCCAGATCTCTACTTTTTTTTTTTTTTTTTTTTTTGAGACGGAGTCTCGCACTGTCACCAGGCTGGAGTGCAGTGGTGCGAACTTGGCTCACTGCAACCTCCACCTCCCGGGTTCAAGTGATTCTCCTGCCTCAGCCTCCAGAGCAGCTGGGACTACAGGCATGTGCCACCATGCCCAGCTAATTTTTGTATTTTTAGTAGAGACGAGGCTTCACCATGTTGGCCAGGATGGTCTCTATCTCCTGACCTCGTTATCTGCCTGCCTCGGCCTCCCAAAGTGCTGAGATTACAGGTGTGAGCCACCACGCCTGGCCTAGATCTCTACTTTTGACCTCACCACATCTCCTAACCCCTTGGCCTTTGCTTCAAGTCTACCTCCTGCAGAATTGAGTCATCTATCAGTTTAGTAATCTAATCAGAATCTATCTAGTCATCTAATCAGAATTGAGTCATTGTGGATTTTTCTCCCTTTTTCTTACAGACTCTTCCACCTGTATGCCCATCTTCATAGACCGGCCCATCACTGGTGCCTCAAGCATTTTCACTATCACAGCCAGTAATCTGCAGACTCAACCTCAAGCCTACTTTGTACTTTGGTATAAACTGCATGGATACCAATCCCTTTTCACAGGTTTTCATCTCCTGGTCTCCCATAGGATCCAGGATGAGTATCCTCCCATTTGACCAGTTCCATCCCAGTATGGAGCAGATATCCCTTGTAAAGAACACAGTCTCCACCAGCCCACCTGCTTTTATGGTCAACAGCCCTACCTGAATTTCCAACATTGCCTTTTGACCCAAGAAACACCTATCACCTGAAATCTAGGGTTCCAGACAGGCATCAACAGGAAACCACTCTCTTCAATGCCCTGTCTTTTCTGGCCCACCTACCACTGCTTCTGCAGTCACCTCCACTATAGTAAGCAGACCCTCTTCAGACTTGGCATCCAAGCCTGCCTTTTACTCTGATGAAATCAACATGGATACCATGCCCATTTCCCCATCTGTTATCTTCCTGTCTCTCCCTGCAATGTTAACAGCTGTTTCCCTTTGAAGAACCTGGCAGCCCCCAGAAATCCTTCCTACTTAACCTCTACTGCAGCCCTGGAACCCAATGACAGCACCACTCAGGCAGCTTTTGGGAATTTGACTCCCCCATGTCCACCTTTGGCATCTGCTATGGTTTGAATGTGTCAACCAAATTTCGTGTATTAAAAACTCAATCCCCAAATTCATATGTAAATATGTTTGAAGGTGGGGGCCTTTGGGAGGTAATGAGGATTAGATAAAGTCATCAGGGTGGACCCCTATGATGGGACTGGTAAAAGGAAGAGACACCTGAGCTGACAGGCTCTTGCTCTTGCCATGTGATGTGCTCCACCATGTAACGACATAGCAAGAAGGTCTTCACCAGATGCCAGCACTGTGCTCTTGATTTGCTATCAGAGAGGATAGTGCCATACCTCTGGTTGGAGACAGATGACTTCAATACAAAGCTTATGACCTCAGTCAGAGTGCCTGGGGTTCAACTGGGTGTAGCACATCTGTTGCAGGTGCAAATGTGTGTTTAAAAGTCCCTGTATTCCTGTCTCCCAATCAGAGCAGTAAGGGCTCACCTGGACAAAGAACAGGGCTATAATGGGTGGAGACCACACCATACCTGTGTTTGTATATATGTCTCTTTCTACAATGATTGAGATAGTTCTGACCGGACCATATTTGTTGTAATCAGAGGGTATAACAGCATATAATATTAGGGAGCCACTCCTATTCTTGCCTTCAGTCAGAATACCCAGAGTCCATCCATTCAGAGTAGCACCTTTGACTTTTTTTTTTTTTTTTTTTTGAGATGGAGTCTTGCTCTGTTTCCCAGGCTGGAGTGCAGTGGCATGATCTTGGCTCACTGCAACCTCCACCTCCCAGGTTCAAGCAATTCTCCCTGCCTCAGCTTCCTGAGTAGCTGGTATTACAGGTGACCACCATCATACCTGGCTAATTTTTGTATTTTTAGTACAAACAAGGTTTCACCATGTTGGCCAGGCTGGTCTTGAACTCCTGACCTCAGGTGATCCGCCCACCTCAGCCTCCCAAAGTGCTGGGATTACAGACGTGAGCCACTGTGCTCAGCCCCCTTTCAGAACCATCGAGAAAATACATGTGCTTGGAAGCATTTGTGTTCCTAGCTTTGGTTACAGCAATTTCCTTTCTGGTGTGGACATGGCAAGCAACAGTCTTGCTTTTGGGGCACTTTTTTTGCATGGTCAGGGCTCACTAGAGACAGAGATTTGGGGTGACCAATTGATTTATTTTATTTGGTGAAAGAATGAGGATCTCATCAACTAAGGAGCAAAAGCTTCCTCTAGAAGCAAAGAGAGGCCACTATCAGTCATGAATAGACCTTACACTTTGGGATGGAGGCTCAGTCCCACCTAGAGATGTCAAACAAACCAAACCTGCTCTCTGTCCTGCTAAACAAGGTGGAAGCCCACACATTGTGAGGCAGATGAGACCAGTCAGAAGTCAACACAGTGGTATCAAGCAGTTCCACTGTGAGGAGTAGAGAAAACTATTTAGGTATCATTGTCATGCATCCCTGGCTTTGACTGTCAGCCTGCCAGACCTAACCCCTGGCCCAATGTTCCTGTCTTGAAACTAGAAGGATGCTCAGTGCTACCTGCAGCTGTCTCATTTCCCATCACCCATTTGCCTTGGTGGGCCCTCACCTTTCTTTCCTAGATTATATATAAGATGGGATGACGTATCCTTTCCTCCTCCCTCTGTGCTTCTCCCCCAACCATCTGACCTCAATGTAGGCCAGATATCCTGGACATGTGTTAGATGACACTTGACAATTTTATCCTTTCAAAATGCTTAACTGGCCGAGGGGTGGTGGCTCAAACCTGTAATCCCAGCCCTTTCGGAGGCCAAGGTGGGTGGATCACCTGAGGTCAGGAGTTCAAGACCAGCCCGGGCAACATGGTAAAACCCCATCTCTACTAAAAATTTAAAAATTAGTCAGGAGAGGTGGTGCATGCCTGTAGTTCTAGCTATTCAGGAGGCTGAGGTAGGAGAATCACTTGAACCCAAGAGGTGGAGGTTGCAGTGAGCCAAGATTGCACCACTGCACTCCAGACTGGGTGACAGAATGAGACTCTGTCTCGAAAAAACTAAAAATGCTTAAACATCTGAAGTGTCTCTTTCACTTTGACCTAGGTCAATCATCCCAAACATTCATACTTCAACCAGAGAGAGTGGATTTGGTATCCAGGCTCTTGGGCCTGTAGAAAAAAAGGAACTAAAAGCTCGTACCTACTCTGTAATTACTGAAAATGTTAAGCCTAGGTGAGCATATTTTTCCATTTCATCTAGGAGAATATGTATATACACATATATATGACAGATATGCACAAATATCCTGTTTTTAGAAGCTGTTAGCATGCTGCTTTAAAAAAAAAAATAAAGTTATTTGGCCGGGCTTGGTGGCTCACGCCTGCAATCCCAGCAGTTTGGGAGGCTGAGGTGGTCAGATCATGAGGTCAGGAGATTGAGACCATACTGGCCAACATGGTGAAACCCCGTCTCTACTAAAAATACAAAAATTAGCCTGGCATGGTGACACATGCCTGTAGTCCTAGCTACTTGGGAGGCTGAGGCAGGAAAATCCCTTGAACCCAGGAGGCGGAGGTTGCAGTGAGCCGAGATCACGTCACTGCACTCCGCCTGGCGACAAAACAAGACTTGCATCTCAAAAAAAAAAAAAAAAAAAAAAAAATTCAAGGAAATGCCCAGATGAGACCTATTTGGAAAACTAACTAGTCTGGCTGTACTCTAAACCCCTAAAATATTACCCCACAAGTGCTACAATTTCATCCAGATCTGGCTGATGGTAGAGCAGTTCTCATCTCTCTAGACTTATGTGCTGAAGTAAAATATTTGCATATGCCAGGAGAACCATCAGAAGCTAGTGAAAGTGACGCATACAAGCATTTCCTCAGCTCCTTACATATTAGTTTATAAAACAGTTATGATTCTACATGAGAGTCTTTCTCAGGCCTTACTCATATTGAGTTGAAAGACATCTCTTAGCCGGGCACAGTGACTCATACCTATAACCCTAGCACTTTGGGAGGCTGAGGCAGGAGGATCACTTGACGTCAGGAGCTGGAGACTAGCCTAGGAAACATAGTAAGACCCCATCTCTACAAAATTAAAAAAATTAACTGGGCTTGGTGGCATGCACCTGTAGTCCCAGACACTCGAGAGGCTAGAGCAGGAGGATCACTTGAGACCAGGAAGTCAAGGCTGCAGTGAGCCGTGATTGCACCAATGCACTCCAATTTGGGTGACAGAGTCAAACCCCGTCTCAAATAAAAAAAAAAAAAGAAGAAGAAGAAGAAGAAGAAGACATCTTTCAGCCCAGCAGAATCTACAATGCAGAGTGGGAGATAAATGAATAACCAGAAATTGCCAACTGGAAAGAATGGTGATAGGGATAAGGGAGCAGGAAAGGAAGGAGGACATAAAACTAAGTCTGGGGGAGATAAAACATGAATTGTGCCTTAAAGAAGGAAGAACAGCCAACTAGGTGGAGAAGGGCTATTTCCAAGGTCAAGAAAATAGCATGTGAAGAGGCAGGGGAGAAAGAGAGCCAGTGGGACACCAGGAAGATAGTCAGGTATGCATAGAAACAGAAACCAAAGTGGAAGATGTGGCTGCGGCATTTGGCAAGGACACATTTTGACAAATATATATACAATGATGGGACATTTGTTCATTATCCTGAGCATATAGGGAGTCACCAAAAGATTGGGAACAAAAAAAAAGTGGCACAATTCTATGTACACTTGAGAAATATACTGTGGCTACCTGAGAGGGAGATTAGATGGGTGTCACTCCAGGGGTGAGGGGCCTAAGGGACTCCTTGCCATGACTAAAGCAAAGTGAGACAATGGCTAAAGCTGTGACTAAAGCAAAGGTGAGGACCTGACAGTGGGGATGGCGAGGAGGAAACAGAAGAGAAAGTGGAGTAGGTGACAGCAAGGCCAGGGCTATTCTAGCCATCTGGCTTGGACAAATGGACATGACTCATTTGGACAAACATATAGTGAGTTCAGTTTTTAGTTGTGAAGTCCAGGTACTACTCAGAAGGCTATTGGTTCATTTATCAATTTAACATACTTATTGAGTATCAAGGATGTACTTGGGACAATTTCAAGTAGCATCAATTGCAAAAAAGGTAAATTCCTGCCTTATTGGTGCCTCTATCTTAATGGGGGGCGGGGGGAGAACATGAACAACACACATAAAAAATATGTGCATTATTTTGTAGATTAGCTAGTTAACGAGTGCTATAGAGAATAAAGCAGTTTGTGGGAAACTAAATTTGGGAGTAGGGAGAATCATGGGTTTCTGTTTTTACACAGGATGCGCAGGATGGGCCCTGC
Source organism: Homo sapiens (assembly GCF_000001405.40). NCBI lineage: Eukaryota > Metazoa > Chordata > Mammalia > Primates > Hominidae > Homo > Homo sapiens. Next base: position 34,912,405 of record NC_000019.10, read on the forward strand.
TAGGAAGGTGAAATTTAAGCAAAATCAAGAAGCAGGCAGTTGAGGGAACCACGCAGATATCTGAGGGAAGAACAACCCAGAGAGTGGGAATAGCCACTGCAAAGGTCCACAGGAAGGCTGCCCGGGGTCCCAGGGAGTAGATATTAAAGACAATGGAGATAGCATGGAGTCAAGCATGAGAGCAAGAGGAGAGCGCAGAGGACAGGGCACAGTCTATGAAGGCCTTGTTAGAAGTCATAAGAAAGGGGCCTTTAACTTAGAGATGGGAATGATTGGAGGATGGCCTGGCCAACTTAGGTTTTTTTTTTTTAATTTTAATTTTTATTCTAAGTTCCATGTACATGTGCAGGTTTGTTACATAGGTAAACATGTGCCATAGTGGTTTGCTGCACCTGTCAACCCATCACCTAGGTATTAAGCCCAGCATGCATTACCTATTTTTCCTAATGCTCTCCCTCCCCCTACCCCACTCCCCAACAAGCCCCAGTGTGTGTTGTTCCCCTCCATGTATCCATGTGTTCTCATTGTTCAGCTCCCACTTACAAGTGAGAACATGTGGTGTTCCTGAGTTAGTTTGCTGGGGATAATGGCTTCCAGCTCCATCCATGTCCCTGAAAAGGACATGTTCTCATTCCTTTTTATAGCTGCATAGTATTCCATGGTATATATGTACCACATTTTCTTTATCCAGTCTACCACTGATGGGCATTTGGGTTGATTCCATGTCTTTGCTAATGTGAATAGTGCTTCAGTGAACATACACATGCGTGTATCTTTGTAACAGGATGATTTATATTCCTTTGCATATATAATTGCTGGGTCAAATGGTATTTCTGGTTCTAGATCTTTGAAGAATTGCCACACCATCTTCCACAATGGTTGAACTAGTTTACATGCCCACAAACCGTGTAAAATATTCCTGTTTCTCTGCAACCCCTCTAGCATCTGTTGACTTTTTAATAATAGCCATTCTGACAGCATTGTTCTGTAGCTGGGCAGGAGCATGGAAGCCAGGAGAACACCAAGAGGCGAAGGCTGTGGTCAGGGCAAGGGACAGTGATGGCTCAGATTTGGCAATAGTGATGGAACATTACCTCTGGCCTGTCTCTATTTCCTTTCCATCTGCTGCTCCCACTAGGTTCATGTTGCTGTGCTTAGAGTTCAACAGAGAAGCCATCCAGTCTGGGCTTTTCTTTGTGTGGGGTTTCTGAAAACTGACTCAGTCTCTTAAAGTTTATTCAGATTTTCTATTTCTTCTTGAGTCAGTTTTGGTAGCTTGTGTGTTTCCAAGACTTGTTCATTTCATCTAGGAGAAAAACATACACACACACACACACACACACACACACACACACACACACACGACATATATGTATATATATCCTGGGTTTTTTTATATGACCATTTTTTACATAGAAATGTGTATTCTTCCCTTTCTGTGTCAGTAACAAACAAAAGATATACTAAGAATTTGAGTACACTAAAGAGTTTCAGATATGGATGAAAGACACCAAGAATAGGAAGAATGAATCTGCTCCCTGGGTTGCACACGATAATCAGGTAGGAGCAGGAAGGTCACAACAACCTTGAAGAATAATGAATTAGCCTTGACAGAACAAGGGGTTGCATAACATTTTTAAAGTAGAAAAAACATTAAGCATTTTATTGTTAATATTTTTAAATTTTTTATTATTATTACTATTTAATAATAAAGCAATGTTTTATTATTAAAGAAAATATAAAATTTAGATTGATTGTTTAAATAATCTTATAAGGCCAGGCATTCATGCCTGTAATCCCAGCACTTTGGGAGGCTGAGGTAGGCAGACTGCTAGAGCCCCAGGAGTTCGAAACCAGCCTGGGCAATACAGCAAGACCCTGTCTCTACAAAAAAAATTTAAAAATTAGCCAGGTGTGGCGGCACATACCTGTGGTATTAGCTACTCAGGAGGCTGAGGCAGGAGGATCGCTTGAGCCCAAGAGATAGAGGCTGCAGTGAGCTGTGATTGCACTACTGCACTCCAGCCTAGGCAACACAGTGAGACCCCGTCTCTAAATAAATAAACAATCTTATAAGTATAAAAATATTAAAAGGTCTAGCTGGGCATGGTGGCACACGCCTATAGTCCCAGCTACTTGGAAGGCAGAGGTGGGAGGATCATTTGAGCCCAGGAGTTTGAGTGTGAACTGTAATCACACCACTGGACTCCAGCCTGGGCAACAAAAGTGAAACTCTATCTCAAAAAAAATAATAATAATGATAACAATAATAATAAAATTAAAAGATTTATCAATTAATAAGTTGAGCATCATTTAAGGACATGGAAATCCTGCATGGCCTCTGTGGTACTGTTTTTCAATCCATCATTTGATTTCATTTGCATCCTGTTTTGTGAGATTTTTCCTATATGTATATCAACACTCAGTTTGGGAAAATACATTTATCCTACATTTCAGAGAGTATATGTCAACTTGCAAACACTCCCTCTCCTTATTCATATCTACTGACCAACTTCTAAAAATAAAAATAAAACTGAAATCACAGATAATGTAGACAGAAAAATGAAAAGACAGAAGGCCAAGACAGAAAGATGAAGCTGGGTGTGGTGGATCACTCCTGTAATCCCAGCATTTTGGAAGGCTTAGGTGGGCTGATCACTTGAGGTCAGGAGCTCAAGACCAGCCTGGCCAACATGGCGAAACCCCATATCTACTGAAAATACAAAAAAAATAGCCACATGTGGTGGCGGGCACCTGCAGTCCCAGCTACTCAGGAGGCTAAGGCAGGAGAATCACTTGAACCTGGGAGGCTGAGGTTGCAGTGAGCTGAGATCGCAGCACTGCACTGCAGCCTGGGCAACAGAGCAAGACGAAAGAAAAGAGAAGAAAAGAAAAAAGAAAAGAAGGAAGGAAGGGAGGGAAAGGAAGGAAGGAAAGAAGGAAGGAAGGGAAGGAAAGAAAAAGAGAGAGAGATAGGGAGGGAGGGAGGGGAAATGTGTTATTTTGAGAAGAGGAAATGGATGGAGAAAAAATGGAAATGGCATCCCTGTAGAGAACTGGCCACTCTGCAGAGGCATGCAGGGGAAGCGCCACTCCACACTGTGTTCTGGGCTACTTCAGCACCTCTTGGGGTGATTCTGAGGACCCAGATCCTGTCCTCAGGTATGGAGACATATCCCACCATGCTCTCTGGGGACCCTTTGAGTGTGTTCTTCAGAACAGGGAAAGAGAGCATTGTGAAGGTGGTGCTAACATGTTCCAGAGGGGAAAGAACAAGTGGCTGACCTTCACAGAAAGCAGCAGAACCTCCAGCCTGACTAGTTGTGTGGGGAAGAGCTGTCCAGAGCAGTCTCTAAGAAGCCTAGTGAGCATGGGTGCCTGCAAGGGTCTTCATGGAACAGAACAGGCTGACTCCAAGTTTGTATCTTTGCAGCTGAAAGGTGCTATGTGAGCTCCATTGGTTGTTCCCAAAGACTACTTCTAGGAGCACTTCAAGGACTGGCCATGTGCCCTGCCATTTTAGCAGGACTCACCACAAGGAATGTCCTTGGAGGTAAGGAGAAGAATATTTGCCGACACCCTGCCATGATCAGAAACTTCCTCTAAAATATTGAGAAATATTTTCACTTTCATAAGCAAACTACAAATAGACTACTTCTATGTATCATGTCATAGAAGCCCAGATGCTAGAAATGAGACATTTGCTTGGAGTACCCATACCTTTAGGATATGCTGGGTTAGTGGTCCTAATTCCAAAAGAGGCCACTGTTGACTGGGACACAGCAGGATCCTTTTGAACTAGCTAGCAGTCATGGCTGCTCCCCCTGGGGACTTTGGAAGAGCTGCTCCATGAACATGCCCAGGAAAGTGGCTCTGTGCAGCACCAGGGGTGGAGTGTGGTGGCCATGGAAGTGCTCCTTTGGAACTCCCTTCATGAGACCTGTTGGGGCGCAGGCACAGCTGATGGACAGCTTCCAGGAGCTGTGCTTTAGATCCACCACAGTGTTTATTCCAGGCCTCCCTTCCCCTAGGCTCCTCCCATCTAATGACCATGTACAACAAAGGTACAAGGGCGCAGGCAACAAGAATCTGGCCTTTCCTGCCCAATGTGATAATCCTCTACAGGGTTTGTGTGGCTCCAGGACTCCCTACTGGCCTGGTCAAAAACTTATCAGAAGTGTGCTGAGATGTGACTCATTTGCTACCTAGTCCTTCCTTCTTTCACTGCTTTCACAGGTAGAGGAAAAACTCTCTCCAACCGTGTTTTTCCTCTGCACTCACACCACCACCACAATCATCAACACAGAATAAGCCTTCTGTGACCAAATGTGGGGGCTTTCCCCACACACCAGGAAGTGGACACCAGTTAGGTGTCTTCCAATTCAATTCCAACGCTACCTACCTGGAGATAGCTCCATATCCCACAGCTGGTGGGCTCAGTCCCCAAGACTGCCCCCTCCATACCCTTAGACACCAATCACAAGTCCAGTCCTCCAAAACTTCTAACCAACAGACTTCAAGTTACAGTTCCCACAGCCCCCTCTTTGGGTTTGATTAATTTGCTGGAGCAGCTCACAGAACTCAGGGAAGCACTTATTTACATTTACTATTATACTTTATTATAAAGGGCATTACAAAGGACACAGATGAAGAGATGGTATGGGGGAAGGAGCACAGAGCTACCATGCCCTCCCCATGCATACCATCCTCCAGGAACCCCCATGTGTTCAGCTATCTGAAAGCTCACCAAAGCCAATCCTCTTGGGTTCTTATTGAAGCATTCCTTCCCCCAGCGTATGAGGCAGGACCTTCTCAAGGGAGGGTCTTAAGACCCACAATCAGAAAGGCAGGGGAATGTTTGAAATGCTTGTTTCCTGGTGCCATAAAGAAATAGCACTTGAACGTAAATTTAATTTTCTCAGCAAGGCCATTTTTATGCTTTCTGCAGAAAGGGTACACTCGCCATTAGTTCTGCCATGAGAGTACACCAAACAAAGGAGACAGGGTCATTTATAACCTGATGCATCCACCCTACTGCTGTGTCCAGTTTCCATTGGCTGGAATGGGACCTCATATTCTGTATTTGTCCTGACTGGCTAGCAACTTAGAACTTTTTAAAAGAGGCAAAGGCAGATGAGAACAAAGGAAGGAGGATGTAACTTGTGGAATGCTGAGAAAGGTAAAAACACCTTCAAATAAGGAAGAGGAACAGGCTATGACCTAATGCTTGCTTGGACCAGCATAAGCATGCCAGGGCAAATATTTAGGCTAAATTGTGGGAGCTAAGAACATAAAGTACATTGATTTCTTTATTATGGTTAGCAGATATTTAAGAATGTTAGCACAGGTCTTTGAATAAATTTTGCTTCTAAGAGAAGTTACTATTTATTCCTAATTAGACAGGGAAGAAAGTCTTTGAAGAGAAACCTCTACTTTACTTTTCACAGGAAGATTACAGTCATGCCCTGGGGCAGGTGAAATGAGGGCAGGAGACAGATTCTGTTTCCTGAGGCCTGCCCTTGGGGCCCAACACACCCAACATTATAACAAAAGACTGTAACAAGAGCTACGAGAGTTAAGAGCCAGGAGCCATGGATGAAAACCAATATATATAAAACTGCCTTTGCAAAAATTGTAAGAGAAAATTCTGACCAACTCCATCTTGCCTTTAACCTCCAAACTGTCCTTGGTCATTCCTGGGCATAAGTCAGACTAACTTTGGGAGACAATAGCTCTTCCCAAAAATGAAACCACCCTTGTAAAACTAATGAAAGGCTACCAGGTTAGGAAAATCAGAGGGGCCTGAATTCTACTAAAATGTAGGTGCAGTTAAACAATTACCAGCCATTATTCCAGAGGTCCCAAGATCTCCAACTTCCCCAGCTCCTCCTATGTTAATTACTATGTTAATGGTAATTAACATCACTATTGTGGAATCTAAGACAGGCCTTTTGAGATATCTTTTCAGGCTTTTGCATTTCTGACAATCAGATGGCCCCACCCAACCTGTGACTCAAACAGTCCTGTTGCCCCCACCCAGAAGCAGACTCAGTGCATGAGGACCATTTTCGTCATCCCTATGATTGCATTCCCCAACCAGTCGGCAGCACCCATTCCCTAGTTCCCTGCCCACCAAAGTATCTTTGAAAAACCCCAGCCTCCAAATTTCAGGGAGATTGATGAGTAATAACTCCATGTCCCTCGTGGCATGGCCAGCCTCTCATCAAACTTTTTCTTTACTGCAAAGCCATGGTCTCAGTGGATTGATTTTTTCTGTGCAGTGGGCAGGAAGAACCGATCAGGTGAATATATATATATATATATATATATATATATATATATATATATATATATATAAAATAACACAACAGGAATCCCACAGGTACTGAGTTCTTTTTTTTTTTTTTTTGAGACAGAGTTTCACTCTTGTCATCCAGGCTGGAGTGCAGTGGTATGATCTCGGCTCACTGCAACCTCTGCCTCCCAGGTTCAAGCAATTCTCCTGCCTCAGCCTCCCAAGTAGCTGGGATTACAGGCATGTGCCACCATGCCTGGCTAATTTTGTATTTTTAGTAGGGATGGGGTTTCACCATGTTGGCCAGGCTGGTCTTGAACTCCTGCCCTCAGGTGATCTGCCAGTCTCAGCCTCCCAAAATGCTGGGATTACAGGCATGAGCTACCGCACCCAGCCAGGGTTCTCAAAGCTCTCTCTCCACACTTCTAGCTTCCCTTTATCCTTTGAAGGTGCTTTGCCCCAACAATTCCCTTGTAAGTCTTATCCTATTGTTGTATCTTCTCTTCAGGGGACACCTGCACTGACAGAACATGTTATATGTTGGTTTGGGGCAAAATATGATTGCTAGTTGTCATGCTTACACATAATTTGCTGTCACCATATGAACTGGAGAAAACTCCTTCCCTATACCTTTAAAATGCTTGTCCACTTCCACTTGGAAACTGAATGGCACCAATGCCAGGCTAGTGGTTTTAGAAAGTGGCTCTCCAGATCTAAAATGTTTTCATGGATAAACCCCCTGTGTCCTTGTATTCCCCTACTAGCTTTTTAAACTCTTCTGATTTCCACCAAATAGAAGTTGCATATGGAAATATGCAGTTAGATGGGCCACCTGACTCCAATTGCAGCCCTCAGTCCACCATCTGAAAAAGCTCAGGAGATCTCAGAATTCTCCTAGTCTAAACTGACCCTTTTATTATAATTATTTTTTCTTGAGATAGGGTCTCACTCTGTCACCCAGGCTGTTAGATCAATGCTTCAAAACATAGCTTCCTCTGAATCTGCAGTACAAAAGATGTTCTGCTATGTCTATTTCTGATAGCCTCTTCCTATACTGATACTTTCTTTACTAGCATATATAGATTGCTTGCTTTAACAATTCAACCGAATATTTGATAACATCAAATTAATTTAACTCTATCACAGGTTGGGTTTGCAGGCAAGCAGACATTGAGATGGAGGTTATCACACAGGGCAATTATTTGGAATGGCTCTTGGCCTCAGTACCTGGGGAAGGTGGAGGAAGTAAACAGGATTGGGCAGAGGGAGTAGACATGTTATGCATTCACAACAAAGGCCTCAGCCAATCCCACAGGAAGCTCTGTATCTGTAAAAGACCTTCAATGTGGTCCCAAGTTGGGAGGGAACCCTAGCTTTTATGCTGTCACATTAACTAGTCAATGAATGTGGGCATCCTCCTGCCAAAAGGGCATTGTTCTGACCACTTCTTCATGGAACATCTTCCTGTGTCTCCAAATTGTGGGGAAAAGAAAGAGAGATCAGACTGTTACTGTGTCTATGTAGAAAGAAGTAGACATAAGAGACTCCATTTTGTTCTGTACTAAGAAAAACCGTTCTGCCTTGAGATGCTGTTAATCTGTAACCCTACCCCCAACCCTGTGCTTGCAGAGACATGTGCTATGTTGACTCAAGGTTTAATGGATTTAGGGCTATGCAGGATGTGCTTTGTTAAACAAGTGCCTGAAGGCAGTATGCTTGTTAAAAGTCATCACCACTCTCTAATCTCAAGTACCCAGGGACACAATACACTGCGAAAGGCCACAGGGACCTCTGCCTAGGAAAGCCAGGTATTGTCCAAAGTTTCTCCCCATGTGATAGTCTGAGATATGGCCTCGTGGGAAGGGAAAGACCTGACCATCCCCCAGCCCAACACCCGTAAAGGGTCTGTGCTGAGGAGGATTAGTAAAAGAGGAAGGCCTCTTTGCAGTTAAGATAAGAGGAAGGCACCTGTCTCCTGCTCGTCCCTGGGCAATGGAATGTGTCAGTGTAAAACCCGATTGTATGTTCCATCTACTGAGATAGGAGAAAACCGCCTTAAGGCTGGAGGTGAGACATGCTGGCGGCAATACTGCTCTTTAATGCACCAGATATGTTTATGTATGTGCACATCAAAGCACAGCACCTTTTCTAACCTTGTTTAGGACACAGAGACATTTGTTCACATGTTTTCCTGCTCACCCTTTCCCCACTATTACCTTATTGTCCTGCCACATTCCCCTCTCCAAGATGGTAGAGATAATGATCAATAAATACTGAGGGAACTCAGAGACTGGTGCCGGCACGGGTCCTCCCTATGCTGAGCGCCGGTCCCCTGGGCCCACTTTTCTTTCTCTATACTTTGTCTCTGTGTCTCTTTCTTTTCTCAGTCTCTTGTCCCACCCGATGAGAAACACCCACACCCAGCTTTAAAATTTCTCCTTTTGTACTCTTTCCCTTTATTTCTCAGACCGGCCAACACTTAGGGAAAATAGAAAAGAACCTACGTGAAATATCGGGCTGAATTTCCCCCGATACAAATCACTTATTCCCTCGCCTCCTTTAAATATTTGCTTAAGTATCATTTCCCTATGAGAGCAACCCTACCCCCTCCATTCCCTACTGGAGTCCCTCCTACTCCACAGGCTTCTCATCACTGGGTTCTGCTCCTCCTGTTTCCTTTCCTATTGCACTTTTCACCTTATAAGTCACTACGTAACTTATAACATAAGTTTTTTTTTTTTTTTTTTTTTAATTGATCATTCTTGCTTGTTTCTCATAGAGGGGGATTTGGCAGGGTCACAGGACAATAGTGGAGGGAAGGTCAGCAGACAAACAAGTGAACAAAGGTCTCTGGTTTTCCTAGGCAGAGGACCCTGCGGCCTTCCGCAGTGTTTGTGTCCCTGGGTACTTGAGATTAGGGAGTGGTGATGACTCTTAACAAGCATGCTGCCTTCAAGCATCTGTTTAACAAAGCACATCTTGCACTGCCCTTAATCCATTCAACCCTGAGTGGACACAGCACATGTTTCAGAGAGCACAGGGTTGGGGGTAAGGTCACAGATCAACAGGATCCCAAGGCAGAAGAATTTCTCTTAGTACAGAACAAAATGAAAAGTCTCCCATATCTACGTCTTTCTACACAGACACGGCAACCATCCGATTTCTCAATCTTTTCCCCACCTTTCCCCTCTCTCTATTCCACAAAACCGCCATTGTCATCATGGCCCGTTCTCAGTGAGCTGTTGGGTACACCTCCCAGACGGGGTGGTGGCCGGGCAGAGGAGCTCCTTACTTCCCAGTAGGGGCGGCCGGGCAGAGGCGCCCCTCACCTCCCGGATGGGGCGGCTGGCCGGGCAGGGGGCTGACCCCCCCACCTCCCTCCCGGACGGGGCGGCTGGCCGGGCGGGGGACTGACCCCCCCCACCTCCCTCCCGGACGGGGTGGCTGCCAGGCGGAGACGCTCCTCACTTCCCAGACGGGGTGGCTGCCGGGCGGAGGGGCTCCTCACTTCTCAGACGGGGCGGCTGCCGGGCGGAGGGGCTCCTCACTTTTCAGACGGGGCGGTTGCCAGGCAGAGGGTCTCCTCACTTCTCAGACGGGGCGGCCGGGCAGAGACGCTCCTCACATCCCGGACGGGGCGGCAGGGCAGAGGCGCTCCCCACATCTCAGACGATGGGCAGCCGGGCAGAGACACTCCTCACTTCCTAGATGGGATGGCGGCCGGGAAGAGGCGCTCCTCACTTCCTAGATGGGATGGCGGCCGGGCAGAGACGCTCCTCACTTTCCAGACTGGGCAGCCGGGCAGAGGGGCTCCTCACATCCCAGATGATGGGCGGCCGGGCAGAGGGGCTCCTCACATCCCAGACGATGGGCGGCCAGGCAGAGACGCTCCTCACTTCCCAGACGGGGTGGCGGCCGGGCAGAGGCTGCAATCTCGGCACTTTGGGAGGCCAAGGCAGGTGGCTGGGAGGTGGAGGTTGTAGCGAGCCGAGATCACGCCACTGCACTCCAGCCTGGGCACCATTGAGCACTGAGTGAACGAGACTCCGTCTGCAATCCCGGCACCTCGGGAGGCCGAGGCTGGCGGATCACTCGCGGTTAGGAGCTGGAGACCAGCCCAGCCAACACAGCGAAACCCCGTCTCCACCAAAAAAATACGAAAACCAGTCAGGCATGGCGGCACGCACCTGCAATCGCAGGCACTCGGCAGGCTGAGGCAGGAGAATCAGGCAGGGAGGTTGCAGTGAGCCGAGATGGCAGCAGTACAGTCCAGCTTCGGCTCGGCATCAGAGGGAGACCGTGGAAAGAGAGGGAGAGGGAGACGGGAGAGGGAGAGGGAGACCTTCTGAGGACTGTCAACATAAGTTATAACATAACATATATAACATAACTTGTTATGTTATATTGTATATAACATAACTTATAACATAACTTATAGCATAAGTTACATATATGTAACATAGGTTACATAACTTATAACACCTTATAAGTCACTATGTAACTTATAACATTTCCTTTATTATTTATTGTCTGCTTCTCTCAATTCAAATTAAGGTAGATAAATTTCTTTGTTCACACATCTAGAAATGCATCTGCAACAGGGCGGGTGCTCAGTTAGTATTTGTTAAAACACACAGGAACCATGGCTTTACACCTGTTTACTCTCTCTAAATCAACCCTCAATGATTCCTTTCCCTCCACATTTATGATTGTTCAATGTTATCAGGAAGAGAAATAAATCATAATTTGAAGAAACAAAAATTTAATGGTAGCCACAATTATAGTAGAACCATTACCTCAACTGAATTCCTCACATCTCAGAACTCAGGATTCTGTACTTACCTCCCACTGGGACGTATCTTTTCCAGGCATCACAGATAATTTTCTTCTCCAGCTATCTTATGATTCTTTTTGTATAATTTCATTAATCAACATTAACAGCCTTCTAGGAATTGCTCACTTCACAAATGTTTTTTGGAGGTAATCTCAGTTCCCTATGAAGACTCTGTCTCTGCACTTCCAGATGAGAGGAAAATCACTCCCAGAAAGAGATGAGACAATGGAATCCCAAGCCTTTATCTCAGCGTTCGGATGACCTCTCTTGACAAATGCACAAGATAATACAACTGCGGCCACTATCCTAGTTGGAAACACAATTTGGTAAGTGGTTATTCTTTTCAGATAAACGTATGGAACTTAGACGAAATATATTTCAGGAAATGCAGTGAGAAACATTATAAGGGGGAAAGTTCTGCTCTCCTAGATTAGAACATCACTGACAGTGGCCAGAGAAAGTTTCCTGAGGGATCAGGGACTGTCATTTTCCACTGGATGCTCAGATTCCAGCTGTAGGGTTTGTGAGTATCCTTCCTCCCTCTTCCATGAGACAGCCTCATCTGAAATCTCCAATTTACCTCTGACGATTAAACACCTAGACCCTCACTATAGTCACACAAGTCTTCACTCAAAACACAAGGGCATAGCAGTAAGATTGCGATCCTTAGCTGTCATCTATGGAGTGATCACTTTTGAGGGGCACTTTTTGAATAAATCATTTCAAAATCATTTCAAAAATTTTCTCAAAAAAAAAACCCTATGATTTAAAAATTTCTTTGACATTCTAAGTATTCTACTAATCTATTTTATTTCTACCCACCATGGAACCCACATTTCCCTCTGCAAAATACAAATTTCTATTGTATTCACCCCTCACCCCTGAACATAAATTTATCCTCCCAAACAAATTTCTGCCCAGATGACATTTTGACGGCTATTTACACATCCCCATCTCAGAGAGCACATTGTACATAATTTGGCCCTTAATGCAGCCTCTATGAAAAGTCCTTTAATCAGGGGACTAGATGAGTCCTTATTTGTCTTGAATGTCTCTAGTTCCTCCAGGACAGAAGTGATCAGTGACCACAGCCAGTTCAGGAATCACAGGATATTGCAAATTTGTCTCCGATTGACATGAATTGGGTGGATTCTCACTCCAGGTCTATCACCTTCTTATTTGTTAATGAAATATTTGTCTTCAGACATTGTAATAGATACCCAATGAGTTTCAGAGGGTTTGAAAATGAACACTTTAGACATGAATAGCCTATATGGTGAACTTACAGAGGCAAAGCGACTGGTCAACAAACAGCTGCTCTACCAAAAAAGCCTGGAGTTACAAAGCAGATGAACATTTTTGCAGAGCTGGAAACTAATTCCAATAAGGCTAAAAACTTGCTACTGCTGGTAGGGAAAATCCTAACTATTGACAGTCAAATGCTTTTGATGCGAGGCTACTTAGGTTGATGTTGATAAGAGAAAAGTTCCCTTGTCCCCCTGGCAGGGCGTGCGATGGGGGTGTGGCTCGCTTCTTCAGTGTCCCGCTGCTCAAACCTCCAGGGGAGTATACAGACGGGCGGGCTGTGGGGCTCTGACCCCATGGCAGTGTCTAGGGGTGAATGTTTATAGCTGAAGCCCCAGTGGGCGTGTTACAGGATGCTCTTTAGCTGTCCGCAGGCGGCTTATGTTAGTCAATTCAATTAGATCCCTGCGTTATCGCAAGGACAGAGGGCTTTCATATCCCGGGGTTCCTGTCTTGGTGTACCAGAAGAATCAGATCACACATGGGCTTGGAGGATGACTGCAGGGTTTTGAGTGGAAGTAGCTCTCAACAGTTGGGGGAGCCAGAAGGGAAATGGTTTTCCCCTGGAATCGGGCTGCTCCGCAGCACCGGCTCTCCTTGGACTGCCCCAGCCAAACTCCGCGTCCTTCTGGTGGGTGGCCTGCCCGCGTGCCAGCGTCTGTCATGTCTTCTTCCGCCAACATGTTCCTCTGGATGTCCAGCGGCTTGTGTGTCTGCTTGCTAGGGTCTCAGAGTATTTATAGGGACAGGATGGGGGCGGGAACAGGATGGGGGCGTGGCAGGCCAGGGTGGTCTTGGGAAACGCAACATTTGGGCAGGAAAACAAAAATGCCTGCCCTCACCTAGGTCAGTTGGCACAGGGCCAGGGGTGGAGCCCTAGCCAGGGACCACACCCTCCTGTACCCAGCACCTCCCTTTCCCCCTTCCATATCATTTAAAGGGACCCCGCCCTTCCCTCCCCAGCACTCCCCTTCCCCACCTCCTTATCAATGTCATCACCCTGGACTGACTCCAGGAATCACTGTAATGTGGGCTTAATAAGAACAGAGCTCGGCTGGCCGCGGTGGCTCACCCTGTCATCCCAGCACTTTGGGAGGCTGAGGCGGGTGGATCGCTTGAGCCCAGGAGTTCGAGACTAGCCTGGGCAAGATGGCAAAACCCCATTTCTACAAAAAATATACAAAAATTAGCCAGGTGTAGTGGCGCGCCCCTGTAGTCTCAGCTACTCTGGAGGCCGAGGTGGGAGAATCACTTGAACCTGGGAGGCAGAGGTTACAGTAAGCCGAGATAGCGCCACTGCATTCCAGTCTGAGCGACAGAGGGAGACCCTGTCTCAAAACAAAACAAAAACAAAACAAACAAAAAGCGGAGCTGACAGTCAAGGTGAATTTCACGTTTGCCTGTATTCAGTTTTAGCATTACATAAACCAAAAGAAGAATGCCATAAAGGCTACAGGCAGCTAATACAGAGAGGTGTTACTGGAAAAGGAACCAGAAAGAGTAAATATCTCCTAAACGTATGATGGGACAGAAAGATAAATGCCTATTACATATAGTTAATATCTGTTTGATTAGCCTTATTTACATTCTCCTTTTAAAAGGTCTTACATTTAGCATCTTAGATAGAACCCACAAAATTTAAATATTTAATAGAAACTTAAAATTCCTGTATCAGAGGACAGAAATATATTTTTCTCACACGTGATTAGTCTAATTGCCACTATTAATCCTATTAATATTCTGTTAAATAATAGCATTTCTGTAGCGAAAAGCAAACAGTACGGAAAGATAATTTCAAACACCTAGTTTTCATATTTTTGTGTTAAAGTAATAACATATTTTGGTATAGATTATCATTTTTTGTTTGTTTTTGTTTTTGCTTTTTCTGACCTGGTGTGTTAATGCCCTGGGTTGGCCCTCTAAGAAGCTGGCCACCTACTTCGGGCCTCAGGTGTCAGACGCCCCAGCTTCGAGGTCTATGGCTCCCAGCAACTCGAGCGCCTGCGCCTGCGCATTCTCAGCCGGACGGGAGCGCCCAGAAGTCTCCGGGCGCCGGTGGGCGGCCTTGTGGACTGCGCCGGGCATGCTCGGCGGTGTGACGGCTCAGGACTGCATTTCCCAGAGGCTGCAGCTATCCGGCCAATGTAGCCTGAAACTACATTTCTCAGCGGCCACTGGAACGACCTCAATCTCTGCCTCCTCGCCAGTTCATTGTGGTCGTTGACCCGGCAGCGAGCTTTGGAGTTCATCGAGGGAGAAGTCAGCGCCCAGCTCCGAGGTTGGAGCAGCCCCGCCGGGCAACTTGAATTTCTGCAAACGAACACAGCACCGGGAGCTCTGCAGACCTGTGTCGGCGCGGAACCCGGACTGAGACATGCGTGAGCGTTGGGTGGACCGGGCGAGGATCCCGGGCCGGCGAGTGCGGGAGCGGCAGGGCAGGGAGGGTGCGTCGGCCGGGGCCGGTGTGCATCCGCGAAGACTGGGTGCATGGCCTCCATGCGAACCTGAGCTATTAATATTTGTTACTATTTTGGATAAAATCACTGTAATTGATTTATGTAAAGGAGCAAAAGACTCTTCAACTCTCAGTTTAAAAAGGAAACGATAGTTATGATACCTTTTGCATGCAGCGGGAAGAAATGGGATTGCCAGGAAGCCTCTTCTTGTTTGGAAAAAACTGTATAAAGTATTTACACCTTTTAAAGATGAGAGCAATGTCATCTGAAAATTATCAGTGCAGGGAAAAGGACTTCAAAGGATCTGTTGTGCAGATTACTTAACTAATGACAAAATTATGTAAGAAAGGAGAGCAAGATGACAGCTGTAAACATTTCCATCAATCTCCATATTGCACAGAAATAGGACCCAGCTTTTTCTTAAGGTTCTTCAATTTTGCATTATCCCACAGCAGTAGCTCTCTCTCTCTAGCTGCTAGGGGACAGAGGAAATTGAAATGTCAGAGAATCTTTTCTGTTGGTTTTTTATTTGTTTGTTTTTAAAGAAGAGTTGCTCTTAATTTTTTAGTTAGAATTAAAAGAAAGCATGCCAGAGAAACTTACGTTTTAAGTAAAAAGTGGAAACAGGTCGGGTGCCATGGCTCATGCCTGTAATCCCAGCACTTTGGGAAGCTGAGGCGGGTGGATTGCCTGAGCTCAGGAGTTCGAGACCACCAACATGGCAACATGGTGAAACCCCGTCTCTACTAAAAATATAAAAATTAGCCAGGCATGGTGGCGTGCGCTTGTAGTCACAGCTACTTGAGAGGCGGAGGTGGGAGAAGTGCTTGAAGCTGGGAGGCGGCGGAGGTTGCAGTGAGTGGAGATGGCACCACCGCAATCCAGCCTGGGCGACAGAGCGAGATCCCTTCTCTAAAAAAAAAAAAATATATATATATATATATATATATATATATATATAGATAGATAGATAGATAGATACATAAATTAAATTAAGTGGAAACAAGTGTTTAATTAAAATGAAATAAAGGATGTATAATGTTTACGTAATAACTCCAATGCAGTAGTGCCCCCTTAATCGGCAGTTTCACTTTCTTCACTTTGTTACCCTCAGTCAACCATGATCTGAAAATAGGTGATTTTGGTACAATAAGATATTTTGAGAGAGAGGGGCCATGTTCACATAACTTTTATTACAGTATGCTATTATAGTTGTTCTATTTTATTATTAGTTATTGCTATTACTCAATTATGGTGGCCGGGTGCGGTGGCTCACGCCTGTAATCCCAGCACTTTGGGATACTGAGATGGGTGGATCAATTGAGGTCAGGAGTTCGAGACCAGCCTGGCCAACATGGTGAAACCCTGTCTCTAGTAAAAATACAAAAATTAGCCAGGCGTGGTGGTGGGCACCTGTAATCCCAGCTACTTGGGAGGCTCCCAGGAGGTGGAGGTTGCAGTGAGCCAAGATCACACCACTGCACTCCAGCCTGGGCAACAGAGTGAGACCCTGTCTCAAACAAACAAACAAACAGAAAAATAAAAATCTCTTATGGTGCCTAATTTATAAATTAAACTTAATCATAGGTGTGTATGTATAAGAAAAAACATAGTATATATGGGGTTCCGTCAGACATCTACTGAGGATCTTAGAGTGTATCTCCCCCCTGTGGATAAGAGGGAGCTACCATAGTAAGAGCTAACTCGGCTGCGCGCGGTGGCTCACGCCTGTAATCCCAGCACTTTGGGAGGCTGAGGCGGGCGGATCACGAAGTCAGGAGATGGAGACCATCCTGGCCAACATGGTGAAATTCCGTCTCTACTAAAAATACAAAACTTAGCTGGGCGTGACTATGCGCCTGTAGTCCTAGCTACTCGGGAGGGAGGCAGAGGCAGGAGAATCACTTGAATCTGGGTGGCGTAGGTTGCCGTGAGCCAAGATGGCGCCACTGCACTCACTCCAGCCTGGGTGACAGGGCGAGACTCCGTCTCAAAAAATAAAACAAAACAAAACAAAACAAAAGAGCCAACTCATGTTAAGCAAGTATTCTATTAACTTTTGGGGTGGGTTTTCTTATTCTTCAGGACAACCACATGTTGGAGCTGATACTCCTATTACTATTTTAGTGATGAGAAAACTGAGCCATATTAGTAACTGCCTGATCATTTTCTCCTATGTTCTCTACCTCCCGTGTCTTGACCAACCTCAGATTTATACTGTCACCATTAAAGAAGCTCTGGATTGGGTGATATGGACTCTTTCTTAGGCTTAGAACGTGGGAATGGAGTGAGGAGAATCTGTTCAAGAGAAGACTGTGCAACCCAATTTGAGACCTAGATCAACATTCCCAAAATGGGGGCCTGGTGGGAAAGCTTGTGTCTGATTCTGCCTTCCTTAAGAAGTGCCACACCTCTGCGATCAACTCTGTACAGCTTAGTTAACTGGGGCTTGAATTCCACTGTTCTCCAAATTTTGTTTGAGGGTGTTTGTAGCACAGTTTGGAAGCTGAAATGAAGGGACAGGAAGGTTTATTAATGTATGTCATTGAGAACACTAAAGCCTCCTTTTCTCCTCTCTGGATTTTCTAGCTTTTGAACTTCTCAGATAGAGGAACCCCAGTGAAGACTGATCAGTTCTTACAATTCTCAAAGCATGGCCCATGTAAGTTGGTGTTTCTTCTTGAAATATGGGGATTTTTATATTACGTGGCTATTTTCCTTAATTGACCTGAAGCATTCTTCATCAGAATGTACCATCTAATTGCCTACTTGATTCCTTCTGTTTGGCGGAATGATGTCAAAGTATCGTTTCCTCCTTACGAGGTCCTCATTTCTAATCGGTGTTCATGAATTCATTGAGCAAGTTACGAAGCAGGTAAATAGTAAGTCTTAGCTGAAAGGCTGTGATAGAGCAGTGGAGGATTGAAGTCCCGTGGCAGAAGTATTTGAGCTTCCTACATCCATCTGTGGTTTGATGAGTTTGATCTGTTGGCTTCATCTGGCCACACATCAGAAGATTTGAAGTTTTCCACAGAGCTGATAAGATGGAATTTTGTATTGATTGGTCTCAATATGATGAGATAACATGCTCTATGAGGCTTTTAAGATTGAGTGGGGATGTGATTATGATGTGAAACATTGATATCATGGTTCTTCTTGGGATGCCTGAGAGTGATACTAAGGTCAATTTTGTTATGGAATGGGACCTGCCAGACTTGGACAACATGCATTTGGTTCTGAGTCATTTTCACCCTAATCCACTAACTCAAGAACAGCCAAATGGCCAGGTGCAGTGGCTCACACCTGTAAACCCAGGACCTTGGGAGCCCCAGGTGGGAGGATCACTTGAGCCCAGGAGTTCAAGACCAGCCTGGGCAGCATGGCAAGACCCTGTCTCTACCAAAAAAAATTTTTTTTAATTAGCCAGGCATGGGGGCACATGCCTGTAGTCCTAACTACTTGGGACCCTCAGACAGAAGGACACTTGGAGCCCAGGAGTTCAAGATTGCAGTGAGCTATGGTCATAGCACTGCACTACAGACTGGGCAACACAGTGAGACTGTGTCTCAAAAAAAAATTTAAAAAAACAGCAGCCAAAGTATTAAGTGAAGGATCTTGTATGACACTATCAGCATATTGTTATCAGTAGTAGATGAACAGATTACCAGAACTGGGGAAAACTGAGGCATTTGTTACAGTCTTCGTTTATAAGTATAAAATCATTACTTTTTTTTTTCTTTTTTTCTTTTTTTTTTTTTTTTGAGACTGAGTCTCGCTCTGTCACCCAGGCTAGAGTACAGTGGCACAATTTTGACTCACTGCAACCTCCACCTCCTGGATTCAAGTGATTCTGCTGCCTCAGCTTCCCAAGTAGCTGGGATTACAGGCACATGCCACAACGCCCAGCTAATTTTTGTATTTTTAGTAGAGATGAGTTTCACCGCATAGGCCAGGCTGGTCTCGAACTCCTGACCTCGTGTGATCCACCCACCTCAGCCTCGCAAAGTTACTAACCTTTAATACAGATCCACAAGATAACTTTTATGTCACTTTGGAAAAAAGTATTTATTAATATAAGGAAAAACACTTATGATCTGACATAATGAACTTGAAGCTTGAGGAGTTATTCAACAAATTTGTGTCATGGCTATTTTCTAAGACAGATTTTATTCTACAGTTGGAGAAAGGAATCATAGCTATTTTCTTCTTAAAGGGAAAGTAATATAGAGACTAATTGTTTTTGAGAATTTGTTTCATTGGATACCTAGCAGGCCATATCTTTGTATGTACTCTTTTACTTAACAGGGAAACTAGGATTCTTTTATCCATTTCACCACAAATCTGGAGTATTATGATAATCCTACAATATATAGGACATTTTGTCCATAGCAGCAGGATTCTTCCAGAACATGCAGATACCATGCTCATCCACTTGCCACATCATAAGCTTCCAGCCTATGTGATTGTTATGTTATTGCTCCCTTACTACACTGAAACGTTTTATTCCCTCTCCTTTCACCTTGAAAGCATTTTCTTTGATTTTACCAGAAATATGTGGGTTTGCAGTATCACGGATCAGTGACATTTGAGGATGTGGCCATAGCCTTCTCCCAGCAGGAGTGGGAGAGTCTGGACTCTTCCCAGAGGGGCTTGTACAGAGATGTGATGTTGGAGAACTACAGGAACTTGGTGTCAATGGGTAAGTGTACTTCTCTCAAATAATTGAGAATCTGCTCCCTGTTATACTTTCTCCTTTGCAGATTTTAGGGCTAGCTTAAGAACTGAACACGATTTCTTCTTGTTGCCAGAGAAATGATTTGAGCTTTGTTAGGTTGGAAATGATCCAGTGGCAGGATTAGAATTCTGGATTGTCTATTGCAAAACATTGACAAAAGAGGCCAGGTTTTCTATTATGTTTTTGCTCTAAATTGCTCTAAATGCTCTGTGAAAATCTGACCCACCTTGCAGGCAGAACAGCTAGACAAAGGGTCTTGATTTGTTCTATCTGAAGACCTATACAACTTATATGCCGGCGGATTGGATAAACAAATCATTTAAAACTGAAGTTACCTCATTTTATTTCATATAAAATAATCTGATTTTGTGGTTAAAATTCATCATCTCTGAACTTTGCATTTAAGAGTAAATGCAAATTAAATCTATATCCTATAGATATAGATGTCTAAGCAGACTTTGTTTTTGTCTTAGCAAAATAACAATAATAATGTTATTAACACACAGCGTGCTTACTGTGTGCTGTTTCACTGTTCTCTGCTCTTTATATTAATATACATTTGTATTAACTGATTTTTAACCTTACAAGCACTCTATAGGTGCTAACCATTTTAGGTGAGAATGCTAAATAAAGCACAGTGTGTTTAAGTGAGTTACGCAAGATCACACAGCCCATAGGTGACGGTAGCAGAAACTTGAACCCAGGCACTTAGGTTCCACAATCCGCGTTCTCAATCACAATGTCATACTTTCTTTTTTTTTTTTTTTTTGAGACATAGTCTCACTCTGTTGCCCAGGCTGGAGTGCAGTGTAATGATCTCAGCTCAGCGCAACCTCCACCTCCCAGGTTCAAGTGATTCTCCTGCCTCAGCCTCCCTAGTAGCTGGGATTATAAGCGTACACCACCACACCCAGCTAATTTTTGTATTTTTGATAGAAACAGGGTTTCACCATGTTGACCAGGCTGGTCTCGAACTCCTGACCTCAAGTAATCTGCCCACCTGGCCTCCAAAAGTGCTGGGATTACAAGCATGAGCCACCGGGCCTGGTTTTTTATCAAGACACAAAGAATAAATGAGTATACACTTATCTATATTTATAATAGTTAGATAGATAGATAGATTTCATTTAAAATAAAACCTTTCGGCTGGGTGTGGTGGTTCATGCCTGTAATCCCAGCACTTTGGGAGGCCAAGGTGGGCGGATCACGAGGTCAAGATATCGAGACCATCCTGGCCAACATGGTGACATCCGTCTCTACTAAAAATACAAAAATTAGCTGGGCGTGGTGGCACATGCCTATAGTCCCAGCTACTCGGGAGGCTGAGGTGGGAGAATTGCTTGAACCCGGGAAGCGGAGGTTGCAGTGAGCTGAGATCGCACACTGCACTGCAGCCTGGCGACAGAGTGAGACTCTGTCTCTACATAAATAAAACCGTTCTCTACCTGTCTGGAATTATGAATCCCCTTGCCCTTCTCGTGTCTGAGATATAAAGGTCAATATCGTTTGACCTTTCATTTATGGCAAATTTAACCAAAGCTGGAAGTATTTTTGAACTCATATTTTATTTCTTTTCTACATTCTTATCTCATAAGCAGGACATTCCCGTTCTAAACCACATGTGATCGCCTTATTGGAACAATGGAAAGAGCCTGAAGTGACAGTGAGGAAAGATGGAAGAAGATGGTGCACAGGTGAGTAAGAGCATGGCAGGTAGGGAGGCCATTGTTGCTGGAAACAGCCCAGCTGTCAGGGAGGAAGTGCATCTCTGCAATGTTTGGAGGTTTCCCTTCAAAGCCCTAGGGCCTGGGTGGAAAAAGGCTGAGACTTGGGTAAGAAATAAATATCTCACCAGCCTCACAAAAGGAACTTCATCTTTACTTATTTTAATACTCACTCACCTCTTGTTTCCCTCTCATTTTATTACGGACTTAAGTCACTTTCCCAGTGCATTATTCCATCTGTGTATTGAATTTCACTTCTTTCACCTCCTCTTTTACATTTGGATTTATTCATATATTCTTAGACAGTAATAGTTGAACAGAGACAGGAAAAATGAGGGTTCAGGCCTTGTAATTATGTAAGACATGCCAAGCAGAGGGAATAGCAGATGTGGATGCTTTGGGTGGGAATGAGTTTTGTGTGCTTCAGGAGCAGTAAGTAGGCTCAGGCAGAATTAATGGGAGGAGTAAGAAGAAAAAAGCTAGAGTGCTAGCAGGAATTTGAATTTGTTTGTTTTGTTTTGTTTTTGAGTGAGACAGTCTTCTTTTGTCACCTAGGCTGGCATACAGTGGTGCAATCATAGCTCACTGCAGCCTCGAACTCCTGGGCTCAAGCCATTTTCCTGCCTCAGCCTCCTGAGTAGCTGGGACTACAGGCACACACCACCACACCTGGCTAATTTTTTTAATCTTCAGTAGAGACAGTGTCTCACTATGTGGCTCAGGCTGGTCTTGAACTCCTGGGCTCAAGTGATCCTCCTGCCTTGGCCTCCCAAAGTACTGAGATTACAGGTATGAGCCATCGTGCCTGGCCAGGAATTTGGATTATTTTCTAATGTAACTAGAAACTATGACCTAATTTACATTTTTCCAATTTTTGAATTTTAGAAAATTCTAATAAATAGGAAACAGATACCAGAAAAACCATATTAAAATGTACAGCTTGATGAGTTATTATGAGGCAGATACCTTTGTAACCATCACTCTGGTCAAAAGATAAAACATTTTTACGGGGGCTGGGGGACAACAAGAGGGCGAGCATTAGGACAAATACATAATGAACACAGGGCTTAAAACCTAGATGACGGATTGATGGGTGCAGCAAACAACCGTGGCACATGTATACCTATGTAACAGACCTGCACATTCTACACACATATCCCAGAACTTAAAGTAAAATAAAAAATTTAAAAAACAGGCCGGGCGCGGTGGCTCACGCCTGTAATCCCAGTACTTTGGGAGGCTGAGGTGGGTGGATCAGGAGGTCAGGAGATCGAGACCATCCTGGCTAACATGGTAAAACCCCGTCTCTACTAAAAAAATACAAAAAATTGGCCAGGCGTGGTGGCGGGCGCCTGTGGTCCCAGCTACTCGGGAGGCTGAGGCAGGAGAATGGCGTGAACCCAGGAGGCGGAGCTTGCAGTGAGCCAAGATTGTGCCACTGCACTCCAGCCTGGGCGACAGAGCGAGACTCCGTCTAAAAAAAAAAAAAATTTTTAAAAACAATTTTTATAAAATAACGTCAGGCTTACAAAAAAGTTGGAAAGTTGTACTAAGAATTTTCATATACCCTTCAACCCAGATTCTCCAAATGAAGAGAGAAAACTCTTCTACCTTCCCTTAAGGCTTTCATGCCCTGTACCTAATCACAGTTACCTTTCTCCCTCCCTGATTAATCACCTCTAGCCACTTCAAACTTTGCCAGGGATCCCATATTCTCACTCCCAGTCTTACCTGCTCTTCTCAAGTCAGCCTGCTATGCTTATGGACACCTGGTTATTTTGAGGTTCTCAGGTCTGTCAGACACCCCACATTGTCCCCCTCTGCCTTTTCCTGCACAGATGCCTAGACCACACAAGTCTTAGCTGTAGTATTTTGTCTTTGTCTCCTAGAATTTTGCCATTTTGAGGGTACCTCTTCATGTAGTTTTGTTGTATATGTTGTCTATAGTTTTTTTTTTTTTTTTTTTTTTTTTACAGTTTTGCTATCCTGTTTGCTCTGTTTTTATGGGGGTATTTGTTTAAATTCAAAAACAATGCTACCACTTCCACCATTGTGGTAGTCCATTTTCACGCTGCTGATAAAACATACCCAAGACTGGGTAATTTATAAAGAAAAAGAGGTTTAATGGACTCACAGTTCCATGTGGCTGAGGAGGCCTCACAATCATGGCGGAAGGTAAAAGGCACGTCTTACATGGCAGCAGACAAGAGAGAATGAGGGCCAAGTGACAGGGGTTTCCCCTTAGAAAGCCAACAGATCTCATGAGACTTATTCACTACCGTGAGAACAGTATGGGGGAAACCGCCCCCATGATTCAATTATCTCCCACCAAGTCCCTCCCACAACACGTGGGAATTATGGGAGCTACAATTCAAGATGAGATTTGGGTGGGGACACAGCCAAACCCTATCAACCATCATCCTAGTTTATGTTTTTAGATAATTACTCCAGGTATTTGTAGTGGGTAGTCTGAATGGGGGCAAGAGCAGTGCAAGCTGGGGGTCTGAGTGGTTTTGATTAGGATGTTAATGGTGGACAGCGGTGAGAAGGCAGAGTGTTCATCATACATTTTAATGTAAAACCCACAACATGTTGGTGGATTGTAAATGGATATGGAGGCAAAGAGGGAAATCAAGAAGGATCAACAGGTTTGGACTTGAGCAGCCGAATGGTGGTACGGTCACGTGAGATGGTAAAGAAGGAAGGGCAAGTTGCAGGGCAGATCTAAAGGTGTCTGCTTTCCATATGTTAAGTTGGAGATGACTCCTGCTCATCCAAGCAAAGATGCCAAGTGGGCTGTGGAATATGCAAGTCTGGAGCTCAGGGAGAGTTTAGGCTTACACATGAGAACTTGGGATGCAGCTGTGCTTGGTGGCTCATGCCTGGAATCCCAACACTTTGGGAGGCCAAGTTGGGAGGATCACTTGAGCCCAGGAATTTGAGACCAGCTTGGGCAACATAGGGATATCCCATCTCTATATAAAATGTACAAATTAGCTATGCATGGTGGTACATACCTGCAGTCCCAGCTACTTGGGAGACTGAGGCAGGAGGATGGCTTGAGCCCAGGAAGTCAAGGCTGCAGTGAGCTATGATCGCACCACTGCACTCTAGCCTGGGCAACAGAGAAAACCCCTGTCTCAAAAAATAAAATAAAATTGGGATTCATTGGCATTTGGCTGCTATTTAAAGCCATGGCACTGGCTGAGGTCCCTTGAGAGTCAGTGCAGGTAGTGACTATTTTTTTGTCTTTGTTTTTGTTTCTGTTTTTGTTTGAGACGGAGTTTCACTCTTGTTGCCCAGGCTGGAGTGCAGTGGTGCGATCTCAGCTCACTGCAACCTCTGCCTCCCTGGTTAAAGTGATTCTCCTGCCTCAGCCTCCTGAGTAGCTGGGATTATAGGCACCTGCCACCATGCCTGACTAATTTTTTATATTTTTAGTAGAGATGGGGTTTCATCATGTTGGCCAGGTCGGTTTCGAACTCCTGACCTTGGGTGATCCACCTGCCTCGGCCTCCCAAAATGCAGGGATTACAGGCGTGAGCTACTGCACCCGGCCAGTAGTGACTACTCTTAACATTTAGAGGTCTTCTAGAGGAGGCTGCAAAAGAGACTGCCTCTTTTAAGGTAGAATTAAAACCAGAAAGTGGTGCCACCAAAGACAAATGAAGAAAGTGTTTCAAGATAGAAGAGTAGGCCAGACACAGTGGCTTATTCCTATAATCCCAACACTTTGGGAAGACAAGGCAGGGGGAATCACTTCAAGCCAGGAGTTCGAGACCAGCCTGGGCAACATAGCAGGACCCCCCATCTCTACAAAAAGTTTAAAAATTAGCCAGGCATAGAGTCATGCCCCTGTAGTCCTAGCTACTCATGAGGCTGATGCAGGAAAACTGCTTGAACCTAGGAGTTCGAGGCTGCAGTGAGTCTGCGCTCCAGCCTGGGTGACAGAGCAAGACCCCATCTCTTAAAAATAAAAAAAAAAAATAGAAGAATGATCACCTGAAAAGTGAACTAAGCTAAGCAGTGATGAGAATTGACCACAATATATATATATTTTTTCAAGACGGAGTCCCACTCTGTCACCCAGGCTAGAGTGCAGTGGTGCAATCTCGGCTCACTGCATCCTCTGCCTCCAAAATACAAATGATTCTGCCTCAGCCTCTTGAGTAGCTGGGACTACAGGCGCCTGCCACCATGCCTGGCTAATTTTTGTATTTTTAGTAGAGGTGGGGTTTCATCATGTTGTCCAGGTTGGTCTCAAACTTCTGACTTCAGGTGATCCACCCACCTCGGCCTCCCAAAGTGCTGGGATTACAGGTGTGAGCCATGGCGCCCAGTCTGACCACAATATTTAGCCTTGCTAAAGGAGGAAATTTTCAGGGGCACCTAGGGGTGAAAGCCTGACTGGTCTGGTAAAAACAGAATGGGAGGCAAGGCAGTGCCAAGAATGAGCACAGCAGTCCTCTTGAGGCATTTGGTTCTGAAGAGATTTTAAAAAATAATAATAAAAAAATAAAAATAAGGTCACATTCTGAAGTATCGGGTGGACAGGAGTTTGGGGGACACTGTTCAAACCAATACACCTTGTATCCTATCAGTCTCCTTATATTACTTTGAGGATTTTCTTTTTTATTTTTTTATAATACCTCTTAATATCTAGAAGTATTATACCATTCTTAAAAGTCTGGATTTGGGAACTTTTTTTGCATTTTGCCAACTGAGTTAAAAACTCCATAATAATCTTCACCTAGATTCACTAGTTCTTAATAATTTACCACTTTGCTCTATATCTATATATATAAAAATTTTTTGCCGTACCATTTAAGTTGTGCAATTGCAAGACTTTATTCCTAAATACTCCAGAAGGTACTAAGAATTAAGGATATGATTCTTGATAGTCAAACACACGAAAACCCATTTCACCTGCAGTGCCCACCGGAGGTTCATCTTAGGCTCAACTGCGCATTCAGACTAAGACTGCCTGTGGTTGTCTTGGCTCTATCTGTTTGGAAAATGCCATAGCAGGAACCCCAGCTTGCCAGCGGGGCAGCCTCACCTGTTTTGTCAGGCTGCATCCTTACAGTAGTTCACGCAGGATACACTCGCATAGCCCTCCAAAAGTAAGGTGCAGAGAGACGAGACACACACCAGGTGAGTTGGCGAGCTGCCGTGACTTAAAGAAGATACAAGCATTTCACAGAACTCAGTACCCTTAGCAATTCCACGGGCATGGTTTCCAGGGTCCCCACAGAAGACGTGCCATTTAAAAGAGATTCTACATTTAGGGAAGCTCAGAGTATGGAGCTGCCATCAGGTACTTAGAGTTCCACTCAGTCCACATGCAACTTACCTATCAGTGTCTTGTCTCCCCTCCCCTCCCCTCCCCTCCCCTCCCCTCCCTCCCCTCCCTCCGCTCCCCTCCCTCCCCTATCCTCTTTTCTTTCAGATGGAGTCTTGCTCTGTCGCCTAGGCTGGAGTGCAGTGGCGCAATCTCAGCTCGCTGCAACCTCCGCCTCCCAGGTTCAAGCAATTCTCCTGCCTTAGCCTCCGGAGTAGCTGGGCTTACAGGCATGCACCACCACACTGGATAATTTTGTATTTTTAGTAGAGATGGGGTTTCACCATGTTGGCCAGGCTGGTCTTGAACTCCTGACTTGGTGATCCACCCGCTTCGGCCTCCCAAAGTGCTAGGATTACAGGCGTGAGCCACCGTGCCCGGCCTAACTTCTGTATCTTTAGTAGAGATGGGGTTTCACCATGTTGGCCAGGCTGGTCTCAAATTCCTGACCTCAATTGATCTACCCTCCTTGGCTTCCCAAAGGGCTGGGATTACAGGTGTAAGCCACCATGCCCAGCCTAAAAGCTAATTTTTTTAAAAAAAGACATGCAGGTGATGTGTCCAGACTTTTTTCAAGCTTTCAAAGGTGTGCAGGTTTTCGAGCAACACAGTAAGGATACGGAAGGATGCCACAGCGTTATTTCACTACTGCATCATCTTTCTAGGCAGTGCCATCATTCATCCACTTTCCTATTTAGTCTTTCTTTTTTCACATGCTTGGGCATAATTGACAAATAATGATGAAATAACTTAGGATGATGAGACGGAAAAATGTTCCCAGGAAATTTATTCTTACACATGATTCTTACTGGAAAAAATAAGATTACTGTCTCGTAGTAGATTGTAGTTTTATAAAAAGGTGTAGTAGAGCCCTAATTGTAAAATTGAATGAAATTTAGTATATTTTGAAAATAAGTAAGTTTTCTCTTTGTTCTTTTGAAGGCCTTTAAGAAAGACTAAATGTCATGAAATACTAATTCTTACAAATAGTTAGAATTGCTTGAAAAAGAAACTCAAAAACTAAAAATTGACCCCATGGGCCCTGATAGAATACTGAAGGTTAAGACAGGTTCGGGGAGGTATGCTGGTCTCAGTTTTCTTTAACACAGAGATAGGGGATTTCGTTGATTTCTGTTCTCAGTGTCCCCTGTCTCCTTTTTGGTCATGCTTCAGCCTTATCTGAAGATAGGCCGTTATCTTCTTGGGACCATGATTATCCAAATGTACACAACTATGTCATTTCAACCTCCAAAAGTTTTTTTTCTGTTCTTTTATTTCAAATATCATTTGGAGCTGGGCACGGTGGCACACACCTGTAATCCCAGCACCTTGGGAGGTCGAGACAGGCAGATCACCTGAGGTGAGGAGTTCGACACCAGCCTGGCCAACATGGTGAAACCCTGTCTTTACTAAAAATACAAAAATTAGCTGGGTATGGTGGTGCACATCTGTAATCCCAGCTACTCAGGAGGCTGAGGCAGGAGAATCACTTGAACCCAAGAGGCAGAGGTTGCAGTGAGCTGTGATCGTACCACAGCACTCCTGCCTGGGCAACAGAGTGAGACTCCGTCTCAAAAAAAAAAAAAAAAAAAAAAAAATAGAATATCATATGGATTATTTGACAAGAAAATGGTTGCACAATAGCATTTATGACTCTAGGCATTTGAACTCTAGAGTATAGACAAATCCTAAGAGAATAGTTACGATCAGAATTTATAGTTCAGTTCTAGGCCAGGATCAAAGACTTGTACACAAATGCAACCACATGAACAGATCCCATCCCTAATCCAAAGAGCCCACAGAACCAGATATGGAAGAATTATCCCAATTATCTAATTTCCTGATTTCTTATGTCTTTCCTAAATCATTTTAGAGTTTTTAAAGATTTCAGAGGTCTTTAGAGATGTGAGTACAACATTCTTCTCATAAGAATAATATTTCTTGCTTGAAAGGCACGGTACTTTTTCTAAACAATGTATTTTGAACCAGTTGCCTATCCAGTTTCATGGACATGAATTTGTGTCTTTGTGACATTGTCCAGATCTGTTATCGGGATTACAATGCTAATATGGTTCTCCCCATTTTGAGGGTCCTCTTGTGTAGCGTGACATTAAAAGGCTTGGAGGTAGAAGGAAACAGTCCAAAGTTCTGTTTCAGTGGTGACTGAAGTTTTGTTTTGTTTTGTTTTGAGATGGAGTCTCACTCTGTTGCCCAGGCTGGAGTGCAATGGCGCGATCTTGGCTTACTGCAGCCTCTGCCTCCCAGGTTCAAGTGATTCTCCTGCCTCAGCCTCCCAAGTAGCTGGGATTACAAGTGCCCGCCACCATGCCCAGCTAATTTTTGTATTTTTAGTAGAGACAGGGTTTTGCCATGTTGGCCAGGCTGGTCTTGAACTCCTGACTTCATGATCTGCCCACTGGTTTCCCAAAGTGCTGGGATTACAGGCGTGAGCCACTGCACCCAGCCTGACTGAAGTTTTTTGACACAAACTCAGGTCCAGTTTCTCTCCTCTTTGAATTAAGTTATCTAAAGGTCTCTTTTTCTGACAAGGGGGATGAATGGGCCACAGTGATCCTAGGAGATAACAGGAACCATCCTAAAGGCAGGTATTGAGTTCAGTGAGTTAACATATCTAATCCAGTTTTGCAGTTGGTTTTTGTGTACAAACCCAGTGCTTTAGTGGCCACCCCAGTGATCTCGTCCTATGGGCTTATCAAATAATATGGCAATATTTTAAAAGGTGGTAAACAGTTTTGTCTCAATATATCAAAGGAGGCAATGTGTATCTTATCAGCAGATATCTAATGTCTGGCCGTGCTCCTCATTAAAAGACTGTTTACTAGATTACAGTGATAATGGTCCAACCCCACATTATTGAGTATGTTTCTCCTTGTGACTAAACAATAATCTGTGTGATCTTAGTTTATTCTCAAGAAGTACACGTTTATTCAGTTTAGCAGTATATCTTGTCATGGTTTTAACAACAAATGATAATTCTCATTGGAATTATAAAATATCATTCTTTGTATGGAGATATTTTATTACGATTATTTCTTTTGTATAGAAGGCCGGACTCATTGGCTCACACCTGTAATCCCAGCACTTTGGGAGGGTGAAGTGGGAGGACGACTTGAGCCTAGGAATTGGAGACCAGCCTGGGCAATGTGGCAAGACCCCATCTCTATAAAAATTACAAAAAAATTAGCTGGACATGGTGGCACACACCTGTAGTCCCAGCTATCCAGGAGGCTGCGGTGGGAGGGAATCACCTGAGCCTGGGAGGTTGAGGCTGCATTGAGCTGTGGTTGTGCCACTGCACTCCAGCCGGGGCAAGAGTGAGATCCTATCCAAAAAAAAAAAGAAAAGAAAAAAAGAAAAAGAAAACCAGTAGGAAACCAAAGAATGAAGTGCTAGAAAGTAAAGACATGGACGTCCTTAGACAAAGTTAGCAGTTTACCATATTCCTGATAAAGTGACATTTTATTTTAAACATGGATAGGATAAGAAAGCTCCAGTCTACAAACAAAACATGCCAGAAGATTTTTAGGCGATGATGCCACCTGCACATGGAACCAAAAGGTGAGAAAATTTGTAAGAACGTCAAGGTGCTAAAAGGGGGAAATTAGGTCAGT
Organism: Homo sapiens; assembly: GCF_000001405.40. Classification (NCBI taxonomy): domain Eukaryota; kingdom Metazoa; phylum Chordata; class Mammalia; order Primates; family Hominidae; genus Homo; species Homo sapiens. The sequence goes on from NC_000019.10 coordinate 34,942,727, forward strand.
ATGGGACAGAGGGAGTTGTGTCTTGATATGAGGTCTGAGAGGTGAGCAGGGACAATATTATCTGTGGAAAGATACATGGATTTTAATGTAAGCGCCACAAGAAACCCCTAGAAGGAACAATAAAATATGGATTATAAAAATTTCATCTGCATCAGAAACATTTGTTAGAAAGGTTGACAGTATTGATGTCCAGGAACTTCCCCTATGTCTGATTCAGAGGGGCGGGATGCTGCTTGAACATCCATTTTTTAACAGGCTCTTCAAAGATTATTATCCACACCTAAATGAAAACTGTTTCACTAATCACCAACCTTACTATTTTACATAAACACTTGTTAATCTCTGCATTCCTTTTTTTTTTTTTGAATTTCATAATGGTGTTTTAATATTACTGAGCTATTTATTTCTAGTTGGTGTTATTTTCAGTTTTTCTCTTTTCTTCCCTAGAATTTTTTTTCAAATAGAAAAATAAGATATTTTTAAAATTTTCTTTCAGATTTGCAGTTGGAAGATGATACAATCGGCTGTAAAGAAATGCCCACCTCTGAAAACTGTCCATCTTTTGCTCTACATCAGAAAATAAGTAGACAGAAACCACGTGAATGTCAGGAATATGGAAAGACCCTTTGTCAAGACTCAAAGCCTGTTCAACATGAAAGAATACATAGTAGTGAAAAACCCAACAGATGTAAAGAATGTGGGAAGAACTTTAGTAATGGACATCAACTCACCATACATCAGAGATTGCATGTTGGTGAGAAACCCTATAAATATGAAAAATGTGGGAAGGCCTTTATCAGTGGCTCAGCCTTTGTTAAGCATGGGAGAATTCACACTGGTGAGAAGCCACTCAAATGTAAGCAATGTGGAAAGACTATTAGTGGTAGCTATCAACTTACAGTACATAAGAGTATTCATACTGGGAAGAAACCATATGAGTGCGGGGAATGTGGGAAAGCTTTTCTAGTATATGGAAAGCTTACCCGGCATCAGAGTACTCACACTGGTGAAAAACCCTTTGGGTGTGAGGAGTGTGGGAAGGCCTTCAGTACCTTTTCATACCTGGTTCAACATCAGCGAATTCATACCAGTGAAAAACCTTACGAATGCAAAGAATGTGGGAAGGCCTTTAGCACTAGCTCACCCCTTGCTAAGCATCAGAGAATTCATACTGGCGAGAAACCCTATGAATGTAAGGAGTGTGGGAAGTCCTTCACTGTGTATGGACAGCTTACTCGACATCAGAGTATTCATACTGGTGAGAAACCTTTTGAATGTAAGGAATGTGGAAAGGCCTTTAGACTTAGTTCCTTCCTTCATGCACATCAGCGAATTCATGCAGAGATAAAGCCCTACGGATGCAAGGAATGCGGGAGAACCTTCAGTCGTGCCTCATATCTTGTTCAACATGGAAGACTTCACACTGGCGAGAAGCCCTATGAATGTAAGGAGTGTGGCAAGGCCTTTAGTACTGGCTCATACCTTGTTCAGCATCAGAGGATCCATACTGGGGAGAAACCCTATGAATGTAAGGAATGTGGCAAAGCCTTTATTAGTCGCCATCAGCTTACCGTACATCAAAGGGTTCATACTGGAGAGAAACCCTATGAGTGTAAGGAATGTGGCAAGGCCTTCAGAGTGCACGTACATCTCACACAGCATCGGAAAATTCATACTGATGTAAAGCCCTATGAATGTAAGGAATGTGGAAAGACTTTTAGTCGAGCCTCGTACCTTGTACAACATAGCAGAATCCATACTGGTAAGAAGCCCTATGAGTGTAAGGAGTGTGGCAAGGCCTTCAGTTCTGGCTCATACCTTGTTCAGCATCAAAGAATTCATACTGGGGAGAAACCCTATGAATGTAACAAATGTGGGAAAGCCTTTACTGTTTATGGACAACTTATTGGACATCAGAGTGTTCACACTGGTGAGAAACCTTTTGAATGTAAGGAATGCGGGAAGGCCTTTAGACTTAATTCATTCCTTACTGAACATCAGCGGGTACACACTGGTGAGAAACCCTTTAAATGCAAAAAATGTGGGAAGACCTTTAGATACAGTTCAGCCCTTAAAGTGCATCTGAGAAAACATATGAGTGTTATACCCTAAGAGTCTGAGGAGTGTGGGAAGTGCTTCGTGTGTGGCTCAAACATTGTTGAACATCGGGGAATTTATGCTGGTAGGAAACTTTCAAATGTGAAGAATATTGGCAGGTCTATTCTCATCTTATAATTCATAATATAACTCAGAAAACATAAGAATATTCCTTTGTCATTTATAGGTTTGTAATACCAATATTTATACTGGTGGACCATTCAGAAAAAGTGGGAAACGTTATTACTTAATGGTTACAGCACTGACAGCATGAACTTTTATATGATGCATTTATTCTAATGTGATTGTATGAACAAGTGAATAAAAAACCTTGGACCTCCTAAACCACTGCTGAACTTCAAATAATTCATTATTTTTTAAAACCAGTTAACAATGTAATGAAAGCCTTTAGCCATGGCACTCACGTTAACTATCATCATTGTTATTCCACTGCCTTGCAGCCAGTTAGATATTAGGCACTACACTTATCACCTTACAGCATTGTTTTAAAATGGTGATAATAGAACCTACATTCTTATTAAAAAAAAAAAAAAAAAGCCAGGCTTGGTGGCTGAAGCCTGTAATCCCAGCACTTTGGGAGGCTGAGGCAGGCGGATCACGAGGTCAGGAGATCAAGACCATCCTGGCTAACACGGTGAAACCCCCATCTCCACTAAAAATACAAAAAAAAATAGCTGGGTGTGGTGGCGGGCACCTGTAGTCCCAGCTACTCAGGAGGCTGAGACAGGAGAAAGGCATAAACCTGGGAGGTGGAGCTTGCAGTGAGCCAAGATCATGCCACTGCACTTCAGCCTGGTGACAGAGCTAGACTCTGTCTCAAAGAAAAAGAGAAAAATTGAGACCTCAATTAAACTGGGCATCTGAGCTGGGCACAGTTCAAATGGGAGGTCGGGAGGCTGAGGTGGGAGGTTCACTTGAGCCCAGGAGCTCGAGATCAGCCTGGGCAATGTAAAGAGACTCTGTCTCCACAAAAAAATAACAAGTAAAATAGAATAAATTGGCTATCTGGCACCTATCAGGGACATGAGAGTTCCATTGGATAGCTTTACCGAGAACCCAGAATTGTGTATTCTGGGAAGGGAAATGTATGCCTTTGTTATTATCAGTAATATCTAACACTGAAGGAAATAAGGAGTTATTTGGCCTTGTATTGTGGCCATAGTATATCTAGAGACATGTGTGATTTACGTTTATATTTTAGGTATCTGTAAGGTAGGAGATTGCTAGAGTTTTTACTCTGAAGTGCACAACTCTTAGGCAATGGCCCAATAGTTTGCAATAAATGTGAAGATGAGGCCATTTGTTGACCAGGTCATCCAGTGCTAAGATGACTGCCTGAAGTTTGGCCAATTGTGTTGACTGCTGGGGACATCCTGTCTAAGATGCAAAGTAGCAAGATTCCACTAATTTAAAAAACAACACACAAAAAATCAATATTTATGATGGTTGGCAGTGTCGTTCATACAGTCTGCAAACTGCTATTGCTGTTTACTTAGTTAATCCCAAGGGTCTCCCCAGGTAGCCAACCAGTCTAGGAGAGGGGGTGACTTCTTCCAGTACCATGGCATGTGGCAAGAGACTGAGGACAAAGGAGACCACCTCTCCTGTAGATGGAATACGCCAGAGGGCCCAGATTTGGCTCTATCCTGTATTAAGGAGGCCTCGGTAGCCATGCCAAGTTTGTAGGTTGCTGTTTCTTGACTCAAAACAAATGGGCAGCTAAGTATTAGGTCTGTGAAAGTCTCTATTTCTAGAAGAGCCTAGTATGTAGCTAGTCAGTTTGTTTTAATGGAGGCATAGCATGATTTTGAGAAGGGCAGTTTCTTGTATCAGAAGCCCTTGGGAAACTTCTGGCCATCAGAGGTGGTCTAGAGACTCAAGGACACATGAGAAGAGGTTGCCAAAGCCTTGACAGTGAAGGGATCTCTTAGGGCGCTAACAAATGTGTCTGTCGATGTCAATGTGGACACATTTTAAAGACTGCTGGGGGGAATCACCCTGTCTGATGTTATGGGTTATTATATAGCTAAGGATACAAGACACTGTGGTACTGGGGAGGGATAAACAACATAGGTCTAAAGAACAGAATAGATAACCCAGAAACGTGCAAAGAAATATAACCAACTGATTTTTGAAAAACAAGTAAAAGCAAATAAATGAAGGCAGATAAGGCTTTTCAGCAAATAATGCTGGAGCAATTGAACGTCCATAGACAAAAGATGTGAACATCAACTTAATCCCATACTTTAAACACAAATTCACTCAAAATGGATCACAGACTAAAATATAAAATATAAAAGTACAAAATGTTCAGAAGAAAATACAGGAGAAAATTGTCAGAACTGAAGGCTAGGTTTACCCTAGGTAAACCCATTAAACAAAAGAAAAAATATCCAAAAATAAGAGTATCAGTTTCCACATTAAAAAACTAACGAAGAGAAATGCAAAATGAGCAGAAGAGAGTATATAATAAAGATTAAAATGGAAGTCAATGAAATAAACAGAATGAACTGTGAAGAAAATCAGTGAAACCAAAAGCCTTAAGAACAATACAACTGATAAACCTCTAGCCAAGGATTATCAAGTTACAAAGAAGCACATAAATTACCCAGATTGGGAATGAGAGACATGACAGATTCTACAGATATTGAAAGGAAAATCATGAACCCATTTATGCCAATAAATCTGGGAAATAAAATAAAATGAACAAACTCTCTTTGAAGACACAAACCACTAAAGTTCACTTAAGAAAAATAAAAATGTATATCCCTATATTTATTTTTAAAATCAGATTTGTAATTAGAAACCTTCCTACAAAGCAAACTGTGGCTTAAATGGCTTCAGTGGTATATTCTACCAAACATTTAGGGAAGAAAACCTAAGAATGCAGAAACTCTTCCAAAAAAGTGGAAGCATAAGGAATGCTTTCCAACTTAATTGGTGAAGCTATTATAGTGATACCAAAACCACACAAAGGCATTACAAGAAAACCGCAGATCAATATCCTTCATGAACATAGGTATAGAAACTTCAACAAAATTTTGGCAAATCAAACCCAACAATACAAAAAAAGGATAACACATCAAGAAAATGTAGATTTACCCTCAAAATATAAAAGTTCACTTGATATTTGAAAATCAATGCAATTTACCATTAAAAGACTTTAAGGCCAGGTGCCCCAGTGGCTCACGCCTGTAATCCCAGCACTTTGGGAGGCTGAGGCAAGCGGATCACTTGAGGTCGGGAGTTTGAGACCAGCCTGACTAACATGGAGAAACCCCATCTCTACTAAAAATACAAAATTAGCCAGGCGTGGTGGCGGATGCCTGTAATCCCAGCTACTCAGGAGGCTGAGGCAGGAGAATCACTTGAACCTGGGAGGCGGAGGTTGCGGTGAGCCAAGACCGTGCCGTTGCACTCCAGCCTGGGCAACAAGACTGAAACTCTGTCTCAAAAAAAAAAAAAAAAAAAAAAAAAAAAAAAAAAAAAAGACTTTAAAACAAGGTAAAACGTGATTGTAGCAGGTAAACTCTAAAAAGAACCCCAAATCTCTACTTCCTGGAATTCTTACCCTTGGGTACCCCTCACACATTTTACAAGGGTTGATCTGTAAAGCCCGTATAAAACAGAAAACATGAGAACATGTAACTTCCAATTTTAGGTTATTGAAGACACTGGTCTCCTTCTTGGGTAGACTCTCCTGCTCTTGGATCACTTTCTCTGTTTGAAAGAATCCCTGTGACGAGCATCCCTATGGAGAGATCCATGTGGCAAGGAACTAAAGCTTCCTGTCAACTGCCATGGAAAAGAGATTAGAATTGAATCTTCCAGCCTCCAGCAAGTTTCCTGAGACTGTAGCTCCAGAGACAGCTTAACTGCAATTTCATGGGGGATTCTCAACCTTGACCTACCTAAGCTGCTTCCAGATTAATGTAATATTCTAAAATATGTAAACAAATGTAGAGTGACAGAAAGCAGATCAGTGGTTTCCTAAAGACGGGTAGGTGGATAAGGAGGAAGAGATTACAAAGAGCCCAAGAAAACCTTTAATTTCATGGCTATAAACATGTACCAAAACTTGTACCTGTGAAATATGTGTAGTTTAGACTTCAATAAAGCTGTTTTTCTAAAAAGAAAAAAAAATACTTAAAAAAATCCTCATTTCCTAATTATTTTACTATTATCTATGCTTTAGAGGTTATTTACGTTTATTGCATCTATTCAGTGGAAACAGAATACAATGGCGTGCTATTGCACATATCTTCCCAACTCCATATTCAGAGACATCATGTTGTAGCTTGAAATTGGCCAAGACAGAAGTATTTACACCTAGGGTATTGGTAAACACTACAAACCAGAACTTGATCTGTTGTTTTATTGACCAGGTAGACTTAAGAAAGCAGAGAATATGTTAATAATTCAGATTAAACTTAAAAGTGTTTCATGTCTCTAGTTTCCCATTGTGAACAGCACAAAATTTTGAGGAAATATTCTTCCAATATTCAAAATTACCCTACAAAACAAATAAGTCACTGGCATTATTAATAAATGACTGCAGTTCCAAAAAATTTCTTTACTATTTCAATATCAACTAATATTTACTTTTAAAATAGGCAAGAGATATCAGTAGACATTTTACCATAGAAGTTATATGGGTGGCAAATAAAAACATGATTTAAAATATGCTCAAAATCATGAAGCCTTAGAGAAATGCAAGTTAAAACTACAATAAGATACTATTACTCCATCCCTAGTAGCATTATAAACATTAAAAACACAGATCATAGCAATTGTTGGTGATTATGTGACGAAACTGGAACTCTTGCTCACAATCAGGGAGGCAGGGGATGTAAAATGGTATAATAACTTTAGAACACAATTTGGCAGTTTCTTAAAATGTAAAATATTCACCTACCCTGCAACAAAGGCATTGCACTTTTAGATAATAACACAAGAGAAGAGAAAGAATATTCCCACACAAAGACCTACACACTAATGATTACAGTAGCTCAATTTGTAACAGACAAAAACCAACATGCAGCTAATAGAAGAAAAGGTGGGAGTTCCAGAGGAAAGAGAGAAACAAGGAGGAAGAGGGACTATTTTTAAGAAATGGCCAAAACTACCCAAATTTGATGAAAGACTTTTTTTTTATTTTAACACACTATACAGATGTAAAAAGACATAAATATAAACACCCAAGAAGCTCAATGAGCTCCAAGAAGGATGAATTCAAAGAGACTCACGCTGAGGCACATTATAATCAAACTGTCAAAAGACAGAGACATAAAGAGAATACTGAAAGCAGCAAAAAAGAAGTGACTCATTACATTCAAGGGATACTCACTAAGATTATCAGATTTCTCATCAGAAACCTTAGAGGGCAGAAGACAGAAGGCAGAAGGCAGTGGGCTGACATGTTCAAAGTGCTAAAAGAAAAGAACGGACAACCAAGACTCCTAAATCTGGCAAAACTATCCACCAAAACTGAGGGAGAAATGAAGACATTCCCAATTGAGGGAATGCGTTACCAAGAGAACTGCTGTGCAAGAAATGCTAAAGGGAGTCCTTCCAGTTGAAATGAAAGGACACTGGACAGTAACTCAGTGCCATGAGAAGAAATAAGGATCTCTAGTAAAGGCAAATACCTGGGAAAATTTTAAAGTTCATATTATTGTAACTTTGGTTTGTACTCCACTTTTTGTTTTTTATGTGATTTAAGAGACGAATGTGTTAAAAAATTATTAATCTATGTTTTTGGACACACAATGTATAAAGAGGTAATTTTGTGACATTACTATCTACAAGTGTTGGGGATGGAGTTGTATAAGATCAGAGTTTTTCTGTGTTATTAACGGTAAGCTGGTAAAAGTTCAAATCAGAGTATTACAAATCTAGGATGTGAAATGTAATCTCCATGGTAACCACAAAGAAAATAGTTATGGAATATACACAAAATGAAACAAGAATGAAATTAAAATGTTTCACATTTGAAAAATCAAACACACAAAAAGAGAGTAATATAGGAAATAAGGGACAAAAAAGCTAAAATCACATAGAAAATAAATAGCAGAATGACAGAAGTAAGTCCCTCCTTATCAGTAATTACTTTAAATATAACTGGATTAAATCCTCAGAGCAAAACACAGAAACTGGCAAAATGAGTTAAAAAACAAACAACAACAACAAAAAAAACACCGATAATCCAACTATATGCTGTCTACAAAGTTTCACTTTAGATCCAAAGACAGAAATAGATTGAAAGTAAAAGAATGGAAAAAGATATTCCATGCAAATAGTAACCAAAAGAAAGCAGGGATGGACATACTGGTATCAAACAAAATAGACCTTAAATCAAAATGTGGTTCCATGAGACAAAGAGAGACGTTACATATTAAGAAAAGATTCAAGACAGCAAGGACATATAACAATTATAAGCATTTATATACCTAATAACAGACCATCAGAATATATGAAGGAAAAATACACAGAATTAACAGAAGAAATAGACAGTTCTACAACAATAGTTAGAGACTTCAATAACCCATTCTCAATAATAAATAAAACAATCAGAAGACCAATAAGGAAATAGAGCACTTGAACAATACAATAAGCCAATTAGATCTAACAGAAAATATATAGAATACACGATAACAATAGAATACACTTGCACATGGGATATTCTCCAAAATAGACCATGTCAGGCCATAAATTAAGGGTCAATAGATTTTAAAAGATATATATCATATAAAATATCTTCCCTGATCACAAGAGGTTAGGAAAACTTGAAAATTCACAAATTTGCAGAGAGCAAATGACACTCTTAAATAATCATTATATCAAAGAAATCACAAAGGAAATTATAAAATAGAGATGAAAGAAAAGGAAAACAATATACAAAAACTTGTAGGATACAACAAAAGCAGTGCCTAAGTAGGAAATTTATAGCTATAAAGATTATATTAAAACAGAAGAAAGATCTCAAATCAAAAATCTAACTTTACAACTTAAAAAAACTTAAGAAAAACTTTATAACTTAAGAAACTTAAGAACAACTGGCCAGGCGCGGTGGCTCATGCCTGTAATCCCAGCACTTTGGAAGGCCAAAGCAGGCAGATCATGAGGTCAGGAGTTCGAGACCAGCCTGACCAACTTGGTGAAACCCTGTCTCTACTAAAGATACAAAAATTAGCCAGGTGTGGTGGTGCACACCTGTAATCCCAGCTACTCAGGAGGCTGAGGCAGGAGAATTGCTTGAACCTGGGAGGCAGAGGTTGCAGTGAGCTAAGATCGTGCCACTGCACTCCAGCCTGGCAACAGAGCAAGGCTCTGTCTCAAAAAAAAAACAAAACAAAAAAAAAACAAAACAAAAAACAAAGAAAACACTAAGCCAAAAATTTAGCAGGAGGAAGGAAATAATAAAGATTAGAGCAGAGATAACTAGAGAATATAAAAGCAATAGAGAAAATCAACAAAATCAAAAGTTGGTTGTTAGGATTAACAAAATTGACGAAATTTTAGTTAGAAATGACAAAAAAAAGAAGATTCAAATTAATAAAATTAGAAATTAAAATGAAGACACTATGATAGAGTCTATATAAATAAAAAAAATTACAAGAGAGCTATGAACAATTGTATGCCAACAAATTGGTTGACCTAGAATGGATATATTCTGTGAGACACAAAATCTACCAAGACTGAATCATGAAAAACTAAAAGGCTGAGTACCATGGCTTATGCCAGTGATCCTAGCACTTTGGGAGACTGAGGCAGGAGAATGCGTAAGCCTAAGAGTTTGAGACTGGCCTGGGCAACATAGAGAGACCCTGTCTCTATAAAAATAAAAATCAGCTGGATATGATGGTGCGTGCCTGTAGTCCCAGCTACTCAGGAAGCTGAAATGGGAGGATTGCTGAGCCCAGCAGGTTGAGGCTGCAGTAAGCCATGATCATGCCACTGCACTCCAGCCTGGGTGACAAAGCGAGACTCTTTCCCTCTCTTTCTCACTCTCTCTCAATGATGAAGAAGAAGAGAAAGAGGAAGGAGAGGAAGAGGAAGAAGAAGAAGAGGAAGAAGAAAAAGAAAAGAAAAAAGAAAAATTTGAATAGGCCTATCAACAGTAAACATAGAGAATCAAAAACCTCTCAACATGAACAACACAAAAGCCCTGACCTGACAGCTTATCTGGTGAATACTACTATACACTTAAAGAACTAACACCAATCCTTCTTAAACTTTTCCAAAAAACTGAAGGATAAAACACTTCCTAACTCATTTTATGAAGCAGAATTGCCCTTATGCCAAAGCCAGCCAAACATAAGAGAACTACAAACCAATATCCCTTATGAACACTGATGCCAAAATCCTCAATCAAATATTAGCAAGCCAAATTAAGCAGCATGTTAAAAGGATTATACACCATGTCCAAGTGGGATTTATTCCTAGAATGCAAGGATGGTTCAATGCATGAAAAACAATCAATATACTATTCCATATTAACAGAATAAAGGAAAAAACCAATCATCTCTTTTGATGCAGAAAAAGCATTTGACAAAAATTCAATACCATTTCATGTAAAAAAAAACTCAAAAAATGAAATAAAAGGAAACTATGTCAATGTAATAAAAGCCATATATAAAAACCCATAGCTAACATCATTCTCAATGGTGAAAAACCAAAAGCTTTCTGATCAGGAACAAGGCAAAGATGTCCTCTTTCTCTGTTTCTGTTCAACATGGTACTGGAAGTCCTAGCCAGAGTAATTATGGAAGAAAAGAAGTAAAAGGCAGCCAAATTGGAAAGGAAGAAGTGAAATTATTTCTGATCCCAGGTGATATTATATGTAGATAATTCTAAAGTTTTCACACACACACACACACAAAGACTTAAAATTAATAAATGAATTCAGCAAACTAGCAGGATAAAAAAAATCAACACAGAAAAATGACTTACATTTCCATACACTAACAATGAACAATCTGAAAAGGAAATCATGAAAACAGTTCCATTTACATTAGCATCAAAAGTAATAGAATGCTTAGGAATTAACCAAGGAGGTGAAAACTTGTACAATGAAAACTACAAAACACTCCTGAAAGAAAGCAAAGACATAAATAATGGAATGAAATTCCATATTCACAGATTGGGTAACTTAATATTATTAAGATGTCAATACCACCCAAAGTGATCAATAGATTTAATGGAATCCCAATAATATCTTGTGCAGAAATATAAAGATCCATTCTAAAATTAATATGGAATCTCAAGGGATCCTGAACAGCCAAAAGAATATTGAAAAAGAACAAAGTTGAAGGTCTCACACTTCCTAATTTTAAAACTTACTACAAAGCTACAGTAATTAAAACAGCATGAAACTGGTGTAAGGACAGACATACACACCAACAGAATTAAAATGGAGCTCAGAAGTAAACCCTCACATATATGCTCAAATGATTTTTGACAGGAGTGCCAAGACCAACCAATGGGGAAAAGACAGTCTTTTGAACAAATGGTGTTAGGAAAATGGGATATCCACATGCAAAACAGTGAAGCTGGACCCTTACCTAACACCATACACAAAAATGAACTCCAAAAAGTGACTCAAAATGAATCAAAGACCTAGATGTAAGAGCTAAAACTATAAAAACTCTTAGAGACATAGGTGGCAATGGTTCCTTATATATGACACCAAAGGCAAAGACACCAAAAGAAAACATAGACAAATTGAACCTCATGAAAATTTAAAATTTTCTGATCAACGGACACTATGAACAGAGTAAAACGGTCCACAGAATGGGAGAAAATATCTGATAAAGGATTAGTACCCAGAATATACAGAAAAGTTGTAAAACTCAACAACAAAACAACCCAATTCAAAAATGGAAATAAGAAGCCGGGCGCAGTGGCTCATGCCTGTAATCCCAGCATTTTGGGAGGCGGAGGCGGGCAGATCACGAGGTCAGGAGATCGAGACCATCCTGGCTAACATGGTGAAACCCCATCTCTACTAAAAATACAAAAAATTAGCTGGGCGTGGTGGCAGGTGCCTGTAGTCCCAGCTACTCGGGAGGCTGAGGCAGGAGGATGGCGTGAACCCGGGAGGCAGAGCTTGCAGTGAGCCGATCGCGCCACTGCACTCCAGCCTGGGCGACAGAGCGAGACTCCATCTCAGAAAAAAAAAAAAAAAATGGAGATAAGGAGGGGTGAGTGAAAAAAAAATGGAGAAAATACTTGAATAGAAATTTCCCCAAAGATATACAAATGGCCAGTAAGCACATGAAATGATACTTAAAGTCACAAATCATTAGGGAAAGCATATCAAATAAGATACTACTTCACACCCATTAGAATGGCTACCACCAAAAAAAACAAAAACAAGTGCTGGTGAGGATGTAGGAAAACAAATTTTTTTTTTTTTTTTTTGAGAGGGAGTCTCACTCTGCTGCCCAGGCTGGAGTGCAGTGGCGTGATCTCGGCTCACTGCAAGCTCCGCCTCCTGGGTTCACACCATTCTCCTGCCTCAGCCTCCCAAGTAGCTGGGACTACAGGCGCCTGCCACCACGCCCAGCTAATTTTTTGTATTTTTAGTAGAGATGGGGTTTCACCGTGTTAGCCAGGATGGTCTCGATCTCCTGACCTCGTGATCCACCTGCCTCAGCCTCCCAAAGTGCTGGGATTACAGGCATGAGCCACCACACCCGGCTCTGAAAAATTTTAAACTTTGTTTATTGTTGGTAAGAATGTGAAAGGGTGCAGTTCTGTGGAAAACAGTGTATGTCAGGTCCTCAAAAAACTAAAAATAGATTTACTATATCATCTAGTAATTCTACTTCTGAGCATATACCCAAAAGAGTTGAAAGTAGGGTCTTGAATAGATATTTGTTGTGCACTCAGGTTCAGAGCAGCATTATTCGAAATAGGCAAAAGGTGGAGGCACCCCAAGTATCCATTGACACATGATAGAGAAGCAAAATGCAGCACATACAAGGAAATACTAATCAGCCCTAAAAAGGAAATTCTGACATATGCTCCAACATTGATGAACCTTGAGAATATTATGCTAAGTGTGAAATAAGCTAGCTACAAAAAGACAAATACTTATTATTCTACTTATATGAGGTACCTAGAGTGGTCAAATTCATACAGACAGGAAGTAGAATGGTGGTTTTGAGGGGCTGGGGAAGGGAAAATGGGAAGTTATTGCTTGACAGGTACAGAATTTCAGTTTTGCAAGATTGAAGAGTTCTGGAGACGAATGGTGGTGATGGTTACATAACAATACGAATCTACTTAATACCATTGAAGTATACACTAAAAATGGTTAGGATAGTAAATTTCATGTTAAGTATATTTCATCAGATTTTTTTAACATTTTTAAATAAACCATAAAAAACTATGGTGCACTCACCCAGTATAGCACTACTCAGTAGTAAAAGGAATGAACTATATATACACACAGCATGGATGATTCTCAAGATAATTATGCTGCATGAAAGAAACCAGACCAAAAGAGAGTATAAATACTTTATGATTCCAATTGTGTTAATTCTAGAAAAGGCAAACAAATCTAAAGTAAAAAATGTAAATCAACGGTTTCCTAGGGAAGGCAAGGAGGGAATGTAAAGGGGCATGAGGTAGCTTTGCAGGTGATGGATACGTTCATTATCATGATTATGGTATTGGTTCCCTGAGTGTACATAATATATGTACAAAACTTACCAAATATGAATAATTATTGCATGACAATCACATATCAACAAAGCATTAAAAGAAACTGTTGCACATAAAAATCCAACTTCCTACTCATTTTAGAAAATCCGATTTGGCAACCCTATATTGACTCTGTCATCTCTTTCTTCTTGCCTTGGGAGCAAAGAATGGCTGGCTACGTCATAGATACTACAGTCCCTATAGTATAGGATCTGCTTTTTCTCAGTCCCTATTTTCCTGCCAGCACAGCACTGGCCTTCAGATGCACAGCACGGAGATGGTAATCCACAAAACCAAAACCTTTAGATTATTTGCTCTGCCAGTAACATTAGTCATAGGACAGAGGTCTGAGGTCCTGAGAATTTCTGCAAACCCTGAATCCTGCACAGCCACATTCAAGGGAGCATTCACGGATGCACATTTAGCAGAGTTCCATTTCTGCTGGTTTGCTATAATCTCGCCTACTCCCTATTAATCACATCCAGTGTTTCTGTACAAATTATGGTCCCAGCTGGGCCTGGTATGTCTTACAGTTAAGAGATACCTGCCTAATGCTGAACTTCAGGGCATATGGCTCCTTGGCAGGTGCTAAACAGCATCTGCTTTACAGTATTGGGGAATATGGGGCACCCCCTGGGAATAAGGGACCCAATTCATGCTGTTCCCACATGCACTGGAGGTTGTCACAACTGCCCCCTCCTCGGGATAAAAATTCACGCCATTCAGACCACAATATTATACCCATAAATTCCTACAATTTTTCCTAGGAGGCCTTGGTGGCAATGCAAATGAGGTCAAATCTGGATTGACAGTTGTTTCTCTGCCATCCTCCTGTCCCCTCCAAGATAATCTGGAGACCCCTTCAGTTTGGTAGATCTTAACTCTGCTCTTGAACCACCCCACACAGTGATCAGAACATGGAAGACTAAAGGCGGCTTTATCATAAGGCCATTATCATCACATGAACCAGGGCAATACACAGGAGATAAGTTGTTGTGTAGAGTAACATGAAGGCTGGACAAATCCTTCACAGGCATAACATGAGACCAACAATGTCCCAGAAAAAGGGAAACCTTCTCTAGAACAAGCTGTTGGCAAAACCCTGCTCAGGTCTTCACAGCCAAAAGCTGGTCATGTCCATGGCTAAACCAGCCATACAGGGCGGGAATGACATCTTCCCAAGGCTTCAGACTACTCCTAATTCCCTTTAGGGATTGGAAAGAGAGAGGAGAGGTCTGCCTTCCCTGAGCACAGTGGAGTGGTGGACACACTCTTTGGAGAGCTGCAGTGTGTGGTGCTGACATGGCTTCTATCACAACCCCAGCAGTGAAAAAACGCTGATAAACTCTACAGTAAGAGAATGTAACTTGTCTCCAGAAAGCTTCCAACACAGCTAGCATTCCTAGGGAACCTCCCCAGGGTGGGTACTTGGATGAACAAGTTTCAACTTGTAGTTGACAGCGCCCTGATAAGGTCTGTTCTCAGAGCTTATCTCTGGTGTGTGCTGTGAACAGGGAAGGAGCACATTCTCCATGCTCCTTTCTCTGATGTGAATCTTCTGATGCCGAATGAGGGTAGGCCTTTGGTTGAAGGCTTTCCCACATTCGCTGCATTCGTAAGGCCTGTCTGGTTTGTGAACTTTCAGGTGCTGCCTCAGATTGGACCTCTGCCTGAAGGTTTTCCCACATTCGCTGCACTCATAAGGCCGCTCGCCGGTGTGAAGTCTCCGGTGGTTATTGAGGCTGGAGCTTTGGTTAAAGAATTTCCCACATTCACTGCACTGGTAAGGCCGTTCACCAGTGTGAAGTCTCCGATGGCTATTGAGGCTGGAGCTCTGGCTAAATAACTTCCCACATTCATTGCATTCATAAGGCCGCTCACCAGTGTGAACTCGCTGATGTTTCATGAGGTCAGAGCTTCGGCTGAAGGCTTTCCCACACTCACCACACCCGTGAGGCCGCTCGCCAGTGTGAACTATCTGATGTTGAATGAGGCTGGCAATGTGGCTGAAGAATTTCCCACATTCGTTACACTTGTAAGGTCTTTCTCCAGTGTGAACTCTCCAATGTTTAATTAGGCTGGAGTTGCAGTTGAAAGATTTCCCACATTCACTGCACTCATGGGCACTTCTGCCCGTATGAACCCTCTTATGATGAATGAGGTTGGAACGCTGGCTGAAGAACTTCCCACAGTCGCTGCACTCATATGGCTTTTCACCAGTGTGAACCCTCTTATGCTGAATGAGGTTGGAGCTTCGGCTGAAGAATTTCCCACAGTCACCACACACGTGAGGGCTTTCACCGGTGTGAACCCTGCGATGTTTAACAAGGCTGGAGTGCTGGCTGAAGAATTTTCCACATTCACAGCACTCATACGGTTTTCCTCTATTGTGAACTTTCTGGTGTTGAGTGAGGTCAGCGGCGTAAGTGAAGAAGATTCCACATTTGCTGCATTCATAAGGCCTTTCTCTGCTGTGGATTCTCTGGTGCTGAACAAGAGTGGATTTGTTATTGAAGGCATCCCCAGATTCACAGCACTTGTTATGCCTTAGTGCAATGTGAAAATCCACCACACCTTCGGTGGCCTCGTGCGGCTCCCCATCGCTGGGAGTGACCTCACACTGCAGAAACCCTGCTGTGGCCACAAAGTCCTTCCCACCCTCCCTGCAGGTGGAAAGCTGATCTGATGTGTGGTCTCTGCAGGTCTTTACAGGGGAAGCCTGGCCCTCCTCCGTTCTGATAGGGTTGTGTACGTTCTGCTGCACCTGTTTCCGGGGAAGGTTTGCACTGAACTCAGAGCCTTTCACATATGCCTCACACACAAATGGTTTCTGCCTGGGATGTGTTGTCTGGTGTTCAGCCAAATGCAAAATGTCTTTCAAACGTAGGCCACATATGTCACAGGGGCAGGTCTTCTGGGGGCACAGAGTTGCCTCGGGACTCCTGTCCTGTGCCACTCCTTCTACAGAAACGTTATGCTCAGAAGGTAAGTCCTTGCCCTCTGTTCCATGGCAAAAATCTGAAAGCAGAGAAATGCTGGTGAAGTTCGTATAAACTTTAATAGAAGGAAAGAGCCCCATCACCTATGCTTGGCTGACCCAAGAATAAGCCCATGGGATTGTTGGCAACACAAGAAGGCTCAGGTCAGGGTAAGGAATAATCTGCTCCGCCATACTGTGCCTGGCCAGGTCACAAAATACAGGAGGCCTTATCAGGACCAGGGACACAAGGATGGGGGACAGTATTGGGCAGAGAGGCAGGGTCTCCCACTCACTTCTCTTTAAAGGCCTTTTGGCAGGGCCTGGGCTGCTGGTAACCTGTGAGGGCTATGCAGTGAGAGCATCTAGACCCAGCAAAACCTGCAACTGAGTAGCTGGTGTTCAAGCACATCAAGGAAAAGCACGTATCTCACAACACATTAAGTGTAGGCCAGTGTTGGAAAGTGCCGCAGAGGAAGCTGAAAGAGAGAAACGGAGGCCAGAAAAGTGGGGCACAGCCAAGGGGCCCAACTCAGAATAATAATGACAAGTAGATAATGTGTCAAGCACGGGGAAGGAAAAGCAGAGACGTGGTCTGGCTACTGGCATTGGTATCAAATGATGATGAATAGGAGAGAAGATGCTGGTATGATGTAAACACAGTGGTGAAGTCACATCCTCCCCTAGCTCCCATCGCTGCTTACCAGAGCCAGGCCTGCCATAAGCCCCTCTGGCCATGGCTGATGTCATATCCACACTGTCAGGCACCCAGGGCTCTTTCCCCATCTCCAACTGGGAAACGATGTGGGACCTGAAAGATATAAGTCCTAAGGGAAAGACAGAGTGGGTCAGTGGCCAGCACCTGCCCAGTTGAACTACCCCATGATAGACTACAAGACAGGAAGCTCCGTATGACACAGGGACATTGGGTGGTCACGGCAAGCAGTAACCACATCAGTGATTGGAATTCCTGGCACAGTCAGGCTTAGGAAATATTAGCAAGAGGAAAGGCACAGAATCTAAACCACAGAACTGTCAGATCTGGATAATCACCCAGGAGGGAATGGCCGAGTCAGAGGTAGTCACACAGCTAACCGCAAGACCCCTCATGCCTGGAGCTTCCCTGCAAGGCTTCAGGCAGCAGGTGTGGGGGCAGCTCAGGGAGAGGAGGGAACAATGCACATAGCTCAGCCCCAGAAGCCACAACACACATACCAGGAAAGTGGGGATGGAAGCAGTGCCAGCGGTCTGGCTGTGGGAAGGAAAGAGCTGTTTCTTGGGCAAAGGGGACAGGCAGAGAGGAGCTCGGGACACCGGGGTAGGGGTGACAGCCTTACCCAGCGAGGCTATAAGTGCAAAGTTTTCCAGCATCACATCGCAGTACAGGAGTCTCTGAGCCTCATCGAGGAGCACCCACTCCTCCTGGGAGAAGTAAATGGTCACGTCCTCAAAGGTCACGCAGCCCTGCCATGATGGGGACAGTTCGTTCCATGATCAGTCTCTGTCCTTGGGACTCCCTATCCATCCCCTGCTCACTCTCCTCCCCAGCTCCACAGCTCCAGGAGGTAGCAGGCCCTGGTTCTGTGGGCGCCTCATGTGACCACTGTGTCAGCCCGCAGCAGCAACAGGCAGGGTGCAGAGAGGCACCCTCTAAGCTCTGGGCCTGAAGTCCAGGGCCCAGCTCGCTCTTCTGCCAGCCTCTTCCCCTAGTGTCACCAATGTCATGCTTCTCAGATACAAATGTGGGCTTCTCCTTTAAACCCCAGTCCAGAGCCCTGGGGTGAACAGCTCATACTCCCTCCCACGTGCGTTTCACTCTTTGGACTGCACCACCCTCACAGCTCCAGACCTTCACCACGGCCTCCCATTGCCACTGCTACCTTCTCCCCATCCTGGCCCCTATCCTAGCCATCTCCATGGGCTCCCACGAGTCACTCTGCACATGGCATCCAGAGAGTGCCTGGCAAACATAAGCACCATCCCAGCCTGCCCCAGACCTTTGATGGCCTCCACTGCCAAGGGCAACACCCAGGTAAGGGGGAGAGGGAGCGCTCCACCCTTGCCTTGGAGCCCCCTAGCTCCCCTGGCCTGGCTTCAACCTAAGCCACCCACGGCACACATGGATGTCACATACACTTGGCCTTCTTTGTTGCACATTCTGACCCTGTCATCACTCACACTCATTTAAAAAAGAAAAAAAAAGCCAACCCCTCTGGCCATCCTACCCCCACCCACCTAAGCCCAGCAACTCTGCCAACTGACTCCTCTTGCCCCAAGCTAATTCCCCAGCCTGAGGACAAACCCCATCAAGGGTCACCACAGAAGCCTGGTGAGAACATAGGTGAGTGTGTAAGCACCAGCCCAGGCCTCACTGCAATATTACCTCCTCTACTGCTAAGCCTCAGCATCCATCTCATTCATGTCTACACTCTTTGGGATGATCTGGCCACCTGCCAGACCCTCTGATACACCCACATAGCCCCTCCATCACCACCATGACCACTACTGTTCCTCACCTGTCTTTATGATGCCAAACAAGCCACAGTCCCCAAGCAAGAACCCTGCTCTCAGTTTTCCAGCCCCACCTTCCTCTTTTTTTTAACATCATTGTCACCATGACCTGAAGTTTCACCTCCTAAATCTCACACACAGCTACACTCCCGTCCACACACCAGATGTCACATTTTGGATGTTTCTAACTGTTGAAATAAACAAAGACCAATGAAATGAGAAAAGCCAAGGCTACTTACTCAAAGCTCACTATAGCAAGAGAGACTCAATGCAAGCCGGGAGTGGGAGAGTTTTATAGCAAAAGAAAAGGAAGGCTTCAGGCGTGCCCTGGTTGGAGGCTCCTGTTCGTAGGTGGGTGAACTAGAAGTGGGCATCCTATGTGATTGGTTAGGGTGCGTATCTGCCTTTCTCTGGTTGTTCTTAAATCAGAAGCAGGAGCAAAAATGAGGAAAGCTGTCTGTTATTAATCAAACCCTGGCCATTTGGGACTGCTCATTACAGAAGTTATTGTTTTTACTTCCTGGATTGTCAGTCCAGATAGCAATCTGGCTTCCTGTGGGTCTGACAGACAGCAGGCTGGCTTCCTGCTGTATGGGTTGTTTATTGTAGATAAGGGGGTTGGTTTCCTGGGCAGGTTCTGGGGCAGAGTTCTATTTGTATACATGATCTGGCCATTGTTCGAATGAATATCCAGTCTCTCATTACCTTAACAACTCCCTCAGAACACCCGAACTGTGTGTTCAGCGGCCCACTCTTCAACTCCATTTGGGGGTCTCTGGGACATCACAGGCTCAACTTGGCCAAAACCTAACTTCTACTGCTTCCATGGAAAATTCCTCCTAAAACCAACTTCTCAGTTCATAAAGCTGGATTCATCAAACCAAAAACCATGGATTCTTCCCTCCTCTTTCTCACCCTCCACATCGGAAAATTTGGTCAGCTTGACTTAAAAGACATCAAGTTCCCAATCACTTCCTCTACCTCCAGTCCTCACTCTGGTCCGGCCAGCCGCAGCACTGGCCTGGGCTATTCCATTAGGCTACTCCTTGGCATCCCTGCTTGCGGCTCACTCCATATTCAGTTCTCCACTGTGCATCCACAGGGAGCCTGTTAAGACCTGAGTCACAGCATCTTCCTCCTCTGCCCTAAACCTTCCATGGCTCCCAACACCCTCAGAACAGAGGCCCAGCTCTGCCGTTCTGAGCTGTCTTCAGCCCACCTGCTCTCTGGTTCCAGCAGACATAATATTAATAACACTGACCTGGGTGGGGTTCCTTGAACACTCCCAACTCAGTCTCCACACCGTGCCCCACCCCACCCCCAAGCTTTTGCGCACGCTGGTTCCTGTGCCTACAAAGCCCTTTCTCCCTCCATCCCATTACATTTCAGCAACGGAAGCCACTTTATATAAACCCTGCCCTGATTCAGGATCCTAGCTGGGAGCAACTCCCTTCCAGGGTCCCCTGACTCAAAAGCAAGGAAATGGGAAAGGCGAAAAGTCCTAGAACAAAGCCATCTTTTGCGTCTCAACACCGAGAACAGAAGCGTGGGGGGCCGACAGCGAAGGGCCTAACGTCCAAGCACTCACCTGCGCGGGGTCCCGCAGCGCCGCCGCTGCCATCGGAGTCTGTGGTCAGAGCAGGGCCCCACGGTGCGGGAAACCACGGGGCGGGGGTAGGGGGTCTCGCAGGCTGAGGCTACCACCCACCTGGCCGTGCCCCAGACGAGGTGTGACCCCGGGCTGAGGGTCGCACTCCTAGCCTCAGTCTCCCCCGTGCAAAATGCGCAAGGGGCCCGGGGCGCAGGCTCCGGGGGCGCCGAGAGCGCGCAGCTCCGCTGGGTACCCCCGTTGCAAGGGGTCACGGCTGGTGCAAAGGCGCGGAGGGGGTCCCGGCCTCACTGTCCCCCTCGCGGTCCGGGAAAGCCGGCGGGGCAGCTTCACGGGCGTAGCCCCAGCCGCCCCGCCCCCAACTCGGGGTCCCCAGCTCCTGGGGACTCAGCCTCCCCGCCGGGAAATGACCTGCGAGGCTGCAGTGCAGGAAGTTCCGGCCCCCACCGTGGCGGCCGGGAGAGTTGCCCTCTCCCGTACTGTCATTGGCCTGGCGCCAGCCGCTGGTGCACAGGCAGGGCCTGGGGATCGCGAGTTTCTGCCCAGCCTCTCGTCAGGCTGAGGGTCCAGGGCGGGAAGGAGAGCGGATCTCGTCGGGTCTCCACCGCCGCCGCCTGCAGCCCTCGGGCCTTCCCCTTAAAGGGGCCGCTCCCGAGCCTGCAGCCGCCCGCGCTAAACCCCGCCCACCCTCCGAGGTCCAGGAGGAGAGCCCCAGTGCTCTTCCTGCGCGTGTGGGCATCGGCCAGCCGCTTCACCCCTAAGGGACCTAAATTCACACTGGAAAATGGGGATAGTACCCAATGGGCGGGGTCTTTGCGTTGTAATATTAAATGTCGCTCTGATTCAGGGCTTCTCAAACCAGCAACATCAGCATCACCTGGGGACTGGCTGAAAATGCAGGTTCTGGGGCAACAACTTAAATCTAAGGACTCAGAAATTCTGGGGATGGGATTCAGCCTTCTCTACTTTTTGCGGGGGGGGCGGGGGGGATGGGTCTCGTTCTGTTGTCCAGGCTGGAGTGCAGTGGCCTGATCATAGCTCACTGCAGCCTCCATCTCGGGCTCAAGCTATCCTCCTGCCTCAGCCTACCAGGTAGATGGGATACAGGCGTGCACCATCATACACAGCTAATTTTAAAATTTTTTGTAGAGACTGGATCTCCCTGTGATGCCTAGGCTGGTCTCAAACTCCTGAGCTCAAGTGATCCTCTCACCTCGGCCTCCCAAAGTGTTGGGAATTGCAGGAGTGAGCCATGGTGCCAGGCCTCCTTCTCTGTTTTAACAAGCCCTCTGGGGACTCCAATGCTGGCTCCAACTTTACAGCAGGGACTCTCATTGAAATCCAGTAAATAAAATGGGAAAAATAACACTACATTGTTGCAGGAAGTCAGGGACCCCGAACGGAGGGACCTGCTGAAGCCGTGACAGAAGAACATTAATTGTGAAGATTTCATGGACATTTATTAGTTCCCCAAATTAATACTTTTATAATTTCTTATGCCTGTCTTTACTGCAATCTCTGAACATAAATTGTGAAGATTTCATGGACATGTATCGCTTCCCCAATCAATACTCTTGTGATTTCCTATGCCTGACTTTACTTTAATCTCTTAATCCTGTCATCTTCGTAAGCTGAGGATGTATGTCATCTCAGGACCCTGTGATGATTGCGTTAACTGCACAGATTGTTTGTAGGGCATGTGTGTTTGAACAATATGAAATCTGGGCACCTTAAGAACAGGATAACAGCGATTTTCAGGGAACAAGGGAGATAACCTTAAAGTCTGGCTGCCTGTGGGACGGGCAGGACAGAGCCATATTTCTCCTATTACCAAAAACGGGTAAGAGAAATATCGCTGAATTCTTTCCCCAGTAAGGAATATTAATAATTAACAGCCCTGGGAAAATAATGCATTCCCAGGGCAGTGCCTCTAAAATGGCTGCCCTGGGAGTGTCTGCCTTATGCACATGTAGATAGGGATGAAACACACCCTAGTCTCCTGCAGCGCCCCCAGGCTTGCTAGGATTAGGAAATTCCAGCCTGGCGAACTCTAGTCAGACCAGTTCTCTGCTCTTGAACCCTGTTAAGATGTTTATAAATGACAATGCGTGCACAGCAGGACATGGAAGCTCATGAGTGATTCTAGTTTTGCCCTGACCTTGTGATCTCGCCCTGACCTTCTGCCTTGTGATCTTTTGTTGCCCTTAAAGCATGTGATCTCTGTGACCCACACCCTATTCGTACACTCCCTCCCCTTTGAAAATTGCCAATAAAAACTTGCTGGTTTTATGGCTCGGGGGCATCACGGAACCTGCTGACATGTGATGTCTCCCCCAGACACCCAGCTTTAAAATTTATCTCTTTTGTACTCTTTCCCTTTATTTCTCAGACCAGCCGACACTTAGGGAAAATAGAAAAGAACCCACATTGAATTATCGGGGGTGGGTTCCCCCGATACTACATGTCATATGGTGAAACCACCTTTGTAAAAATTATAACTGAGAAAATTATGACAGTGAGAGATCTGACCTAACCAACTCCATCTTGCTTCTAACCTCCAAGCTGTCCTTGTTCGTTCCTGAGCATAGGCCTAACTAACTTTGGGAGAAACTCAGTTTACAGTTTAACTTTGAAGCAAAGATAACAGCCCTTTCCCTCTAGGCCGGGCATGGTGGTTCACCCCTGTAATCCCAGCACTTTGGCAGGCCGAGGCAGGCGGATCACGAGTTCAGGAGATCGAGACCATTCTGGCTAACATGGTGAAACCCTGTCTCTACTAAAAATACAAAAAATTAGCCAGGTGTGGTGGCGGGCACCTGTAGTCCCAGCTACTCAGGAGGCTGAGGCAGGAGAATGGCATGAACCCCGGGAGGTAGAGCTTGCAGTGAGCTGAGATCGCCTCCAGCCCGGGCAACAGAGCGAGACTCCATCTCAAAAACAAAAACAAACAAAAAAACCCAGCCCTTTCCTGAAACAAACCCTCTTCTTGTCTGGGGACCAGACTGCCTTTGTAGGATTAACAAAAGCCACAAGATTAGAGAGTATGGTTTAGGAGTCATGCAGCCAGGGGCCAGGGGTCACAAGATTTTAAACCTTCCCAATTGCTACTGGGGATAACATCACTATTGTAAAACCTAAGATTGGTGCTCGAGATATTTTTCAGACCCAGCACTCGATGGATCAGCTAGTGCCACCCAGATTGATAAACTGGGTCATCTGGTCCTGTGGTCCCCACCCTGGAATTTACTCAGTGCAGTTAGTCAACTTTGACTCCCTGTGATTTCATCTCTAACCCAACTAATCAGCACTCCCCACTACCTGGCCCCCCACCCACCAAATTATCCCTGAAAACCTCTGATCACTGAATTTTCAGGGAGATCAAGTTGAGTAATAACTCTGTTTCTCCCATGGCATGGCTGGCCCTGTGTCAGTTAAAGACTTTGTTTACTGCAATGCCGTGGTCTTTTTGTAGCAGGCAAAAAGAACCCATTGGGTGGTTACAATGGTAGATAACAGGGCCCAGGACAGAATTCCTGCTGGGTGCATAAAAGCTATTGTCATTACCAACACCATCATCACAAGAATCTTACAAACACTGCTGTGGGGCGGCAGGGAAGAGACACCTCTGTGCAGTCTTTTGGATGTTTGTCAAAATATACAATGACTCTAACTCAGCAAGTACCGCCTCAGAGGGAATAGTTATGATTTTTACATGAAAGCACACCATAGTAACATTTGCCTACTTGATTTTATTTTATTATTTTCTTATAGCTGCATTTTTTTGTTTTTCTAAATTTATAAAATAATATATAATTATTGTATGCAACATGATGTTTTGAAATATAGATACATTGTGGAATTGATAGGGACAGGAGGTAGGGAAATTCTGGGCAGAAGAGGCCAGGTCCATCAAGCTGAAAATCTTGATACCACGGCCCAAAGTGAGAACTTACATCCCTGTTTTCCCACTCAAATGTTGCCTTTTCCAAAACCACCCGTGGCTCACCCTGCCCCCCATCCTATGCCCATAAAAACCCCAGGCTCAGCCGGCAGAGAGAAGAAAAGCAGCTGGACATTGGAGACTATGGTTGGATGTTGGAGAGAAGCAGGCTGACTTCAAAGGGACAGCTTGACAGCGTAGCTTTGGAGAGGATGGCCAGGGATGGCCAAACTTCAGGGGACGATTACCTTCCTGCTCCATCCCCTTTTCAGCTCCTCTTCCTGCTGAGAGCCACTTTCACCGGCAATAAAATCCCCTGCATTTACCATCTTCAATTTGTTTGTGTGACCTCATTCCTCCTGGATGCCAGACAAAAACTTGGGTGCCATGAGTGTGGGTACAAAAGGCTGTCGCACTGACCCTCCACTGAGCTGTTAACACTTAAGCTATGCATGGATGGCAAAGCTAAAAGGGCACTGTAACACTTCGTCAGGGGCTTCAGGGGTCACAGCACCTTCCCCTAGACACTGCCGTGGGGCTAGTATGGAATTTGCTCTTGCCAGCACCCAAAAGCCCTCACCCTGTCTCCTGCACCCACTCACCTGTGCTCCCCTCCCCATGAGGGGTGGAACAACAAGCGAGTGGAGTTCGTCCCTGACAGCGCCCATGTACTCTAGTTCCCATCCAAGAAGGGGTCAGGGAAATATCCTGCTTCAGAATGACTAAATCAAGCTCATTAACATATGCATCACTTCACATTGTTTTGTTTTGAGACAGGGTCTCATTCTCTCACCCAGGCTGGAGTACGGTGGCACTATCGTGGCTCACAGCAGCCTTGACCTCTTGAGCTCAAGCCATCCTCCCACTTCAGCCTCCCGAGAAGTTGAGACTACAGACGTGCACCACAACACCCAGCTAGTTTTTTGTATCTTCTGCAGAGATGGAGTTTCACCATGTTGTCTAGGCTGGTCTCAAACTCCTGGGCTCAAGCACTCCTCCTTGCCTTGGTCTCCCAAAGTGCTGCGATTACTGGTGTGAGCCATGGCACCAGCCTTAGTTATCTTTTTTGTGTTGAGAAGACTTAAAATCTACTCTTTAAGCATTTGTCAAGAATACACCGTAACTACAGTCACCAGGTTGTACAATAGATCTCTTGAACTTATTCCTCCTAGCTACCTGAAATTTTATATCCTTTGACCAACATTGCCCCACTCCCACCACCTGGCAACCTCAGCCTCTGGTAACCAACATTTCACTCTATTTCTATGAGACAACTTTTTTAGGTTCCATATATGAGTGGGATTATGTAGTATTTGTCCTCTGTGCCTGACTTATTTCACTTAATATAATGTCCTCCGGTTCAACCTTGTTGTCCCAATTGACAGGATTTTCTTCTCTTTTATGACCAAATAGTATTCAGTTGTGTATCTCTACCACATTGTACAAATCCGTTTATCTGTTGATGAGCACTTCAGTCGCTTGACTATTGTGAACATTGCTGCAATGAATATGGCAGTGCAGATATCTTTTTGACATACCAATTTCAATTCCTTGTGATGTATACTCAGTAGTGGGATTCCTGGGTCATATGGTAATTTTATTTTTATTTTTATTGATTTATTTCTTTGGGACAGGGTCTTGCTCTAAAGCCCACTCTGGAGTGCAGTGGCATGATCATAGCTCATTGCCATTTTGACTTCCCAGGCTCAAGTGATCCTCCCGCCTCAGCCCCCTGAGTAGGTGGGACCACAGGAATGTGCCACCACACCCAGCTTATTTATTTATTTATTTTTGAGACAGGGTCTGGCTTTGTTACCAAGCTGGAGTGCAGTGGTGCAGTCTTGGCTCACCGCAATCTCCATCTCCCAGATTCAAGCAATTCTACTGCCTCAGCCTCCCAAGTAGCTGGGACTACAGATGTGCGCCACTATACCTGGCTATTTTTTGTATTTTTAGTAGAGACAGGTTTCACCATGTTGACCAGGCTGGTCTCTAACTCCTGACCTCAAGTGATCTGCCTGCCTCAGCCTCCCAAAGTGCTGGCATTACAGGAGTGAGCCACTGCACCCAGCCACTAATTTATTTTTATCTGGAAAAGAAAAGAGGTTCATTTGGCTCAAGGTTCTACAGGCTGTACAGGAAACATGACATCAGCATCAGCCTCTGATGAGGCCTCAGGAAGCTTCCACTCATGATGGCAGGTGAAGGGGACCTGGTGTGTGGAGATCACATGGCAGGAAGCAAGGGAGAACTATTATTACTGTGGGGTCAGCACCAACACATTCATGAGGGATCCGCTCCCGTGAGCAAAACACCTCCCACTAGGCCCCACCTCCGACACTGGGGATCAGTTTGCAACCTGAGATTTGGAGGGGACAAATATCCAAATTATATCAGGTGGACAGTGTGGCTGAGGCTTTCCCTGCTTCAGACGGAATTGGACACAGGCTCTGGGAGAGAAGATACAAAGTGCCGAGACCAGCTCAGTCAGGGAGACCCTAACCCAGCGGCACTAGAGGAATTAAAGACACACACACAGAAATATAGAGGTGTGGAGTGGGAAATCAGGGTTCTCACTGCCTTCAGAGCTGAGAGCCTCGAACAGAGGTTTACCCACGTATTTATTAACAGCAAGCCAGTGATAAGCATTGTTTCTATAGATTATAGATTAACTAAAAGTATTCCTTATGGGAAACAAAGGGATGGCCAAAACAAAGGGATGGGTATGGCTAGTTATCTGCAGCAGGAGCATGTCCTTAAGGCACAAATCGCTCATGCTATTGTTTGTGGTTTAAGAATGCCTTTAAGCGGTTTTCCGCCCCAGGCGGGCCAGGTGTTCCTTGCTCTCATTCCGGCAAACCCACAACCTTTCAACATGGGCGTCATGGCCATCATGAACATGTCACAGTGCTGTAGAGATTTTGTTTATGGCCAGTTTGGGGGCCAGTTTATGGCCAGATTTTGGGGGTCCTGTTCCCAACACAAAGGGGTGAGGAATGAGGTCGAGTGTTCCAACACAGTTTTAGCAAATGCAGGTACAGACACCCAGGGTGGGTGTAACTGAAACGCATGCTTCATGGAGATGCACTCAGCTGAGATGCCTGATGTGTGTGGGGAGGGTGGGTGCAGGTTAGCCTGAGCATGGTGGCAGCGTGGGATTCGGACACAGAAATGATTTGCAGGAGTCAGAGGAGGGTCGGTGTGCTAGTAACCTACTGCTGCACAACAAATTATCCAAAAACGCAGAGGCTTAAAACAACATCCTTTTATTATCTCTTCGTTTCTGTGGGTCTGGAACCCAGGCACGGCTCTGCTGGGTTCCCTGTTTCATGGTCTCTCCCAAGAATGCCATCAAGGTGCCAGCCAGGACAAATATCTCATCTCATGGCTCAACTGGAAAGGGGTCACTTCCAAGTTCATTCACTTCATACAACCTGTCGGACTGAGGGCCTCAGTTCTTCCCCGGCTTTTGGCCTGAAGCTGCTTTCAATTCCTTCCCTCTTGGGCCTTGCAGAACGGAGAGCTTGCTTCATTAAAGCAAGCAAACCAAGAAGGCAGTTGAGTTTGCCATAAGACAGAAGTCACAATCTTTTGTAATCTCATCATGGAAGCCACCTCCCACCACCTTTGCCATATTCTTTGGGTTAGAAGCAAAGTCATAAAGTCGGGCCCACACTCAAGGGAAGAAAATGACACAAGGGCACCCAAACAGGAGGTGGAGGTTGTTGGAGGCCCTCTTAGAAGTCTGCCTAACACCAGTGGGGAGGTCCCGAGAGAAAAATATCTCAAACTACCCTCCCCCCGGGTCTGGACTCTCCTTGAGAACTATTTAAAGAGAGAATCTTTTAAGGGAATTAAGTGGCAAAGAAAAAAAGTTATAAAAATGCTAATACTCCAAAAACTTTCTGGGGAGTTCCTAATGGTTTATAAGCACTGTGCTTAGTTTCTTACGAGACTGCCTTTTAAAAATAGTAATTAATGGGCTGGGCGCGGTGGCTCGCATCTGTAATCCCAGCACTTTGGGAGGCCAAGGCGGGCGTATCACCTGAGGTCAGGAGTTGCAGACCAGCCTGGCCAATATAGTGAAACCCCATCTCTACTAAAAATCCAAAATATTAGCTGGGCGTGGTGGTGGGCACTTGTACTCCCAGCTACTCAGGAGGCTGAGGCAGCAGAATCACTTGAACTCAGGAGGCAGAGATTGCAGCAAGCCACGATCGTGCCACTGCACTCCAGCCTGGGCAACAGAGTGAGACTCCATCTCAACAAAACAAAACAAAAAATAGTAATTAATGGAAAACAGGTAATTCACCTGTAATTTATCAAAACCAAAGCTTCCTCACCCCAACCCCTACACAGGGTCAAATTCAGTGTTTTGTCCTCGGGAAAAACCTGACAGTGTTCTAGTTGTCTTTTGCTGCACCACAATCATCCCAAAGTTTCACAGCTTAGAGCGATGTGGGGGTTTTTTGGTTTGGGGTTTTTTGTTTGTGTGTTTTTTAAGACAGAGTCTCAGTCTATCACCCAGGCTGGAGTGCAGTGGTGCAATCACTGCTCACTGAAGCTTTGACCTCCCGGGTTCAAGCGATTCTCCCGCCTCAGCCTCCCTAGTAGCTAAGACCACAGGCTCATACCAACACACCTGGTTAATTTTTTAATTTTTTGTAGAGACAGGGTTTTTCCATGTTGTCCAGGCTCGTCTCAAACTCCTGGTCCCAAGCATTCATCCCATCCCAGCCTCCCAAAGTGCTGGGATTGCAGGCACGAGCCACTGCTCCAGAATCAAAGCAATGTTTATTCTGCTCACGAATCTACAACTTGGATAGGACTCACTGGGGCTCATGTCTGCTTCACTCAGCATCAGCTGGGCCACTTGAAGACAGGGGACTGGAACCTTCTGAAAGCTCTCTCACTTACAAGTCTGGCAATTGATGCTGGCTCTCAGATGGGGCTGTGACCAGGATACCTACAGGTGGCTTTTCTGTGCATCTGCTTGGGCTTCCTCACAGCATGGAGACTGGGTTCCGAGGATGAGCACCCTGAGAAAGAGAGAGCCAGGCAGAAGTTATCCCCTTTTATGACTTAGCCTTCAAAGTCACCTGGGGTCACTCCTGCCACAGTCTCAGGCCTGCTAGATTGAAGGGATGGGAACATAAATCCCATATCTCCATGAAGGAGATCAAGTCATCGAGGTCATTGTAAGGAGGGCATGTGGCATAGGATATATCCGTGCATTCACCTTTGGAAAATACAATCAGCCACAGAGAGCAAACAACCCCACCACCATCCCACCCCTGAGCTTTCACGGGTGTCAGTGACAACAAGCATCGTAGGATGAAAAGAAGTCAGCAATCATGAAAAAATAAAGCAGCAAGAAGTACAATCCTTTCCACCTCGTCTCCCATGAGAGCAGGAGGTTGGGAATGAATCCATCTCCCTGAACTAGAGAAGAGACGTGCAAGGTCACTGGGCCGAGCCTGTGGGTTTGGGTTTCTCAGCTGGCCTGTTACGATGAAGCTTGTTCTTGTCTATTGCTGCACACCAAATTACCATAAATTTAGCAGCTTTAAACAACACCCGTTTATTATCTCACAGTTTTGTAGGTCAGGAGTCCAAGCAGGCTTGGCTGGGTTCTGCTCCGGTCATTACAAGGCTGAAATCCAGGTGTCCGCCAGAAATTCTGTTAGCCAGGGCTTCTATCATCAGTTCTTCTCTGCAGGGCGCTGCTAGGGAGGTCCTGACCACCAGAGGGCACTAGAACCACAATCCCGGTCCCAGGGAACTTTGCTTGTGCTCCCGCCCCTTTCTGTCAAAATGCTGTCCGGCCACCAGCGGCAGCAGCGTCTGGGAACTTGTTTGAAAAGCAGAACCTCAGGACTTAAAACCAGACCTGCTGAATCAAAATCTGCATTTTGTCAACTCCCCCACCCAGGCAATTGGTGTGCACCCTTGAGGGCCAGGCTGTAACTCAGTGGTTCTCTACCTTGGCTGCGTGTTAGAACCACCAGAGGAAGTGTGTGTGTGTGTGTGTGTGTGTGTGTGTGTGTGTGTGTGTGTGTGTTTGAGATGGAGTCTCCCTCTGTCGCCCAGGCTGTAGTGCAATGGCGCGATCTCTGTTCACTGCAACCTCCGCCTCCCGGGTTCAAGCGATTCTCCCTCCTCAGCCTCCAGAGTAGCTGGGATTACAGGCTCCCACCATTACGCCCGGCTAATTTTTGTATTTTAGTAGAGACGGGGTTACACCATGTTGACCAGGCTGGTCTCGAACTCCTTACCCCAAGTGATCTGCCCAGCTCGGCCTCCCAAAGTGCTGGGATTACAGGTGTGAGCTACCGCGCCTGGCCCAGAGGAACTTTTAAAATCCCTGATGCAAGGGACTACCCCCAGAGATTTTGATTGCATTGGTCTGGGGTGCAGCCTGCTGCCCGGATTGTTAAAAGTTTCCCTGGGGATTTTACTGTGCAGTTAAGGTTGAGAAGGGCTGCAAGCCTGGGTCATTGCACACTGTAAGAACCTTGTGTATGAATGGAACTGTGCTATGGAACAACTCCACACCACCTGTGTGTGTAGGCATAGGAGAAACACATAAACCCTGACCCTCAAGGGTCTCCTGGAATGCAAGACCTCAGCCCTCAGGGGCCTTCAGATAAAGGTGCGGTCAGGGCAAACATGGAACACCAAGGACGTGTGATATTATTTTCCAGGTGCTTCAAAGACTCAAGTCAAACACCAACTGCTCAGATAGCAAATTCTAGTTCACCCACCCCACCCATGCTCAGTGATGGGGCTCACGGCAGTTTCCTGTAAGTGTTTGCTGGGCTCGCCTTTCTAACTCCACTGTGGGCCCCCTGAGAGAAGTAATGAGTCGGGTCCCCACTCAATGGAGCCCTGTTCGCAGTTGCTTTTGTGACGTAGGAAGAAACCAGCTGGTGGTGGAATTGGTGAGTTGTGCTCCAGGAAAGAAGGTGCCTGGAAGACAGAGATCAGCGATGTTAGGAGGCACTCTAAAAAAATATATTCTTTCCTATTTATATAGAGCTTCATGGTTCCCAAAGCACTCTTAGGTGCACTGTTGCATTTTTGTAACACCCATCTGCATTAGATTAGAGTTTATCTGTACAGATGAGGAAAACTGAGTGACAGAGGCGTAAATAGATATGCGGGAATTTGCATGAGTCAGGCAGAATTAGAACAAGAAATCGCCTTCCTAAATTTCCTAATTTCCTATATGCTGTTTCCAGGATGTAGCAATACCCAGCTTCTGACTTCTCTTTCCTCACCGTTGAGACCATTTCTGGGGGATTTTGTCTTCATTCTTTCTTTTTGTTCTCCTCCCCAAAATTGTGGGTTTGTTTAGTCATTCTGGAATTCTCTGTTAATCTCCCACCAAATGTCCATTGACGTACTTGATTTCTCATTTTTGAAGGAAGATTCACCAGGTGTAAATTCTTAATATATGCTAGCAAAGACAATGATTTCATCACATTATAAACTTCTCGAATGCAAGAAACTTATTTCCCATTTTATCTCTAGCACCTTTGACAAATATTTGTGGAATGAATGAATAATGAATGAAGGGGATTTGCAAAGTTAAATGTGAGTGAGGGAGGAAGCAGACCCAGGAAATTAATCTGGAGCCAGTCTGCAGGTGGTGTGGTGGGCGTGGTTGTAACCTCTGGACCAAGAGCTGTGAACGATGGTGCACAAAGAAATACTGTCAGCACCACAGAGAGTGGGTTTTATCTTCTCAAATAATGGCCAACTTTCCTGCATCTTCTTCCCTTTTCCTGCTCCTCTTGAGGATGTATTCCCTGCTCAAATGAAATGCTGAAACGTGGCTGGGCGCAGTGACTCACACCTGTAATCCCAGCACTTGGGGAGGCCGAGGCGGATGGATCACCTGAGGTCAGGAGTTTGAGACCAGCCTGGCCAACACGGGGAAACCCTATCTCTACTAAAAATACAAACATTAGCCAGGCATGGTGGTGCAGGCCTGTAATCTTAGCTACTCGGGAGGCTGAGGGAGGAGAATTGCTTGAACCCAGGAGGTGGAGGTTGCAGTGAGCCAAGATTGTGCCACTGCACTCCAGCCGGGGTGACAGAGTGAGACTCCGTCGCAAAAAAAAAAAAAAAAAAAGGGCTGAAACGTTCTTTGAAGAATTCAGCGAGCCTTTGGATACTGACTTTCAGTAAAGGCCTCCCCGGCTCCGTGCCTTTTTTTCTATAAAGTGTCCTTACTCTTCTGGGGTCAGAAACCCTTCCCCTTCTGGGGTCCCCAAACAATGCTCCTCCCTGAGACAAATGAGGTGTGGGAAGGATGTGAGTGACATGCCCTTCTTCCACCACCAGTGTTTCTGCTGAAACCATATTCACTTTATTAAATTAATCAGGGAAGAAGGGACGGGGAGAAATGAAAATAACCAAGCTTGCAGCACATTCAGCGGTCATCATGAGGTCATCCTGCTCTCTGACCTGCCCTTTCTCACAGTGGTTTGGTGCCTGTTGTTCTAGAATCACACAGACCTGTTCCAAGATGATAGTTCCCCTTAACTGCTCTAGAGATAAGAACTTGAACATTACGAAATGTTAAGTTTTGGCCGGGTGCAGTGGCTCACGCCTGTAATCCCAGCACTTTGGGAGGCCAAGGTGGGTGGATCTCCTGGTCAGGAGTTCGCGACAAGCCTGGCCAACATGGTGAAACCCCGTCTCTACTGAAAATACAAAAATTAGCCAGGCATGGTGGCAGGTGCCTGTAATCCCAGCTACTCAGGAGGCTGAGGCAGGAGAATCGCTTGAACCCAGGAGGCAGAGGTTGCAGTGAGCCAAGATGGTGCCACTGCACTCCAGCCTAGATGCCAAGAGCAAAACTGCCTCAAACAAACAAACAAACAAACAAAAGAAATGTTAAGTTTTCCATTTGAGATATTTTTTCAGGTTCTGTATACTGATGAAACCACTGATGCCATTTGGTCTGAAGGAACCCACAGGAGCTGCTGACTCACTAAAGAATGCAGTTTTCACACCCTGATTTCATCCCCCTAACCCCAAGCAATCAACCACCCCAATTCTCCAGCTCCTCGTCCTTCCATGATCCCCTTAAAATCGCCAGCCCAGAACTCCTTGGGGAGATGGATTTGAGGGTTTCCTCTCATGTCCTCACTTGGCGCCCTGTGATCATGAAACTCTTTCTCTGCTGCCAACCCTGCTGTCTCAGTGGAATGGTCTGTCACTGCACAGTGGATGTGTGAGCCTGTTGGTCCTATAACACTGCTTCATCAGAATGCTCTGAGGCTCCATACCCCAGGCCCACCCTGCACTGGCCAGCTCCCCCTGCCCTTCTCCCCATTGCTGTACTCCCACCCTCCTCCACTTTCTTCCCTGAGAGCTGGCTCCCAGGGTCTGCAGGGCTCATCCAGGTTGGTTCTGTGGCCAAGGGGCATGGTTCCAGCTCAGCCCCTTCTGCCCCTTGGACTTGAGAACCAGGGTCTGCAGTCCACAGTGGAGTAGGCCTTGTGTATGGGCTCTGGGTCCATACTTAGGACCTTATGAGGGGCAGGTGATGGTAGAGGAAGAGGCTACCCCTAGTGGGCATTTGATTGGCAATGGGAAGGCTTAGAAAGGGGTCACAGGCTGGAGAGCTTCATGGACTGCATCCCACCATGAAGGAAATGGAAACTTGGCTTTTCCATTCTCAGGTTACAAGGGAAGAAACTTTCATGATGGTGTTGATAAAGAATATTCTGACTGAATAAGTTGGGGCCAATTTGGGGTTGGGTCTCAGGGAAATGAAGAGGCTGTAAGAGCCCAAATCTTTCCCTTCACGTGGCCCCCAGAGTCTTTAAACTCTCCTACTTCTTCAAGGCCCAAGCCCCTTCCTTCAACTCATCTTGGATCACACGTGAACAAAGTAACAAACATTTATTAAGAATTTGTATTCACAGCCTGGCACAGTGGCTCACGCCTGTAATCCCAGCACTTCGGGGAGGCCGAGGCTGGTGGATCACCTGAGGTCAGGAGTTCGAGATCAGCCTGGCCAACATGGCGAAACCCCGTCTGTACTAAAAATCCAAAAAATTAGCCGGGCATCGTGGCGGGCACCTGTAATCCCAGCAACTTGGAAGGCTGAGGCAGAGAATCGCTTGAACCCGGGGGGCAGATGTTGCAGTGAGCCGAGATCATGCCATTGCACTCCGACCTGGGCAACAAGAGCAAAACTCTGTCTCAAAAAAAAAAAAAAAAAAAAAAAAGGATTTGTATTCACAAAACT
The DNA here is from genome assembly GCF_000001405.40 of Homo sapiens. Taxonomy (NCBI): domain Eukaryota; kingdom Metazoa; phylum Chordata; class Mammalia; order Primates; family Hominidae; genus Homo; species Homo sapiens. Next base: position 34,977,858 of record NC_000019.10, read on the forward strand.
TCGTGCCAGGCTGGATGCAGTGGCTCATACCTGTAATGCCAGCATTTTGGGAGGCCAAGGCGGGAGGATCGCTTGAGCCCAGGAGGTGGAGGCTGCAGTGAGTTATGATCAAACCACTGCACTCCACTCTGGGTGACAGAGCAAGATCTTATCTCAAAAAAACAAAAAATCACCCAATTCTGTGCCACAGGGAAACTTTTGGGGACTATGAATGCACACATTTGCTAGAAGCCATTGAAGTATACACTCAAAATGAGTACATTGTGTGTGTAAATTATACCTCAATAAGTTGATTTAAAAAAACTGCATCAGAAGATTGGCAAGAATATTGGTAATTGTCAAAGCTGGATGATGGACACGTGGCAGCTCATTATGCTTTTCTCTCTACTTTTGAGAATGTTTAAATTTTTCATAATAAAAAAATAAATTTATTCTGTGCTAATACATTTAGTTCTGGGAAGCAAAGTGTCATTGGGTATGTAAGAGTCACACTTTAATTCTTCCATGTCACAAGCAATTCACTGAGCACCAGCCTTGTGCCAAACATTGGGCTGGTACACTGGAAATCTTATGACAAGGTCACAGCCTGCCCTTGTCCCGATGGTTTGCACAGTGGAGGGAAAGAGAAGGGCGCTTAACAAATAATTGCCCAGGTAAATGGTGACTTTCATAATCCATATAAAGAAGCCAGATGCCATCAGATATGATGGAAGAACCCACCTTGCTCTAGGCAATCAGAAAGGCTTTCTAGAGGAGGTGGTGGTTAGACTGGGTGCTGAAGGATGAATAGGAGAGTGAGAGAAAAATACAGGAGCATTTGTTGTTATTGTTGTTGTTGTTTTGAGACAGGGTCTCATTCTGCTTCCCAGACTGGAGTGCAGTGGCACTCACTATATAGTGGCACTCATAGCTCACCATAAACTCGACCTATTGAGCTCAAGCGATCATCCCGCCTCAGCTTCCCCATTAGCTGAGACCACAGGTGCCCTCCACTATGTCCGGCTAATTTTTTTTCTTTTCTTTTTTGCTAGTGACGGGGTCTTGCTATGTTGCCCAGGCTGGTCTTGAACTCCTGGCCTCAAGTGAGCCTCCCGTCTCAGCCTCCCAAAGTGCTGGGATTACAGGCGTGAGCCACAATGCCAAGCCATACAAAGGAATGTCTTAATTCAGCAAGCTTTTATGGCATCAATGCTATGTGATTAATTCCAAGTACTTTTCCCTGGGGAACTCTTATTCTACCAGGAGATTCCAAATGGTGGTAAACACTTTATTATGATTCAAAGCGTTAATTACTATAATGGAAAAAACCTATCTCATTGGGAACCAAGGAGAGAAAGAATTCTTGGAGAGAATTATTGCTGAAGTATTTACAATGGAAGTTGCTGCTAAACTGGGTGTTAAAACACAGTTGATGTTCGCTAGGTGCACCAAAGGTCTGCATGAAGCAGAAGTGCTCCAGCTGTTCAAAACCTCAAATGAGCACTTTGTTCCAGGAAGAAAGACAAGGGCCTGAAACTGGACTTTGGAAAGCGGGTGGATTTGTAGAGGAAGGAAGAGCATTGCAGGAAGGTGGATCGCACAGGTTTTAAGGGGTACCTTCTGGTGGTGTGTGAGAGACAGAGTGAGTGGAGCTGAGGGAGCACCCTGAAGAGCAGGGGGATATTTGGCTGGGTGTTTAGCTAGGGTAGGGTCAACACGGAACCCTTCGATGCCAAGATGAGGAGGTTGGAAAGGACCCTGACAATGGGACCTCACTCCCAGTTGCATTCCCCTATCACTGCCTCAACTTTAGGTGTGTGGAAGAGCAGACCCTGGTGGCCTTTCAGTACCAAGAGTCATCTTTGGTCAAAATTGCTGAGGATCAGGTCTGACTAGGAGCACCTAGTCTGGCTGGAGGCAGAGGTGGCCAGGAGCCGAGCACCAGGGGAGAGAGAGCTCTCAGCATGATGAGGAGAGCACCATCCAGTTTACATATTTCTTTCTGGAGGAATCTTCAAGTTCTCCCAACTTGATTCAGGACAGGTGACCCCCAAACTGGGGCTTAGCATGTGAGGGTTCTTGGCTTTGCTCAAGAAAGAATTCAAGGGTGAGCAGTATGGGCCAGTGGTAGGGTAGAAGAAAAGAGGCTCATTGAAGAAGCCGTGTTACAGCTCCATGACTGCTCCTGCAGAGCAGGACTACCCGGTCCCGTAGGCAGACAGCAGCAGCTCAGAGCAGTTCTGCAGTCAGATTTATGCTCACATTTAATTGCACGTAGATTAAGGGGCAGTTTATGCAGACATTTCTAGGGAAGGGGTAGTAGCTTTGGGGTCATTATATCATTGCCATGGAAAGGGGTGGTGACTCTCCGGTGTTGCCATGGCAATGGTAAACTGACATGGCGCACTGGTGGGTGTGTCTTATGGAAAACTGCTTCCCTCCCGTCCCTGTTTTAGCTAGTTCTCAGTTTGGTCAGGTGTCTGAGCCTCACCTCTGGAGTTGAGCCCACCTCCTACCTCACGGGTGTACTGCAGCCAGTGAGTGTCATTGAGTCCCTGCATATAACAAACAGACTCCGAGATCTGCCTTCACCCAGTGGCAGTTCATGACCTTTTGGACATGGTGCATAGATAGTGATAGAATAGAAAGGCAGTAACGTCATCCACTATGCATTGTCTTCGTTCTAATCACAAAATAAGTGTTTGAAAAATTAAGCATTATATTTTCAGGTGCCTTTCAAATTCTAGACCCAGCGTACATACATACATACATACATACATATATATATTATGCATAACACATCTATGTGCCGTATTTACTTTTTTTTTTTTTGAGATGAAGTCTCACTCTGTTGCCCAGGCTGGAGTGCAGTGGCGCCATCTCGGCTCATTGCAAGCTCCGCCTCCCAGGTTCAAGTGATTCTCCTGCCTCAGCCACCCGAGTAGCTAGGCATGTGCCACCCTGCCCAGCTAATTTTTGTATTTTTAGTAGAGATGGGGTTTCCCCATGTTGGCCAGGCTGGTCTTGATCTCCTGACCAGCCTCCCAAAGTGCTAGGATTACAGCATGAGCCACTGCGCCCAGCCTTTATTTACTTTATAACTGTACTTACCTTATGTAATGAGTATATATGAAGTAGTGCTAAAATATACATATTTAACATTTAAATATCATGCAGCATTAAAAGACATGGCTGGGTCCAGTGGCTCCCATCTGTAATTCCAGCACTTTGGGAGACCGGCAGGCAGACGGAATGAACCCAGGGTTTTGAGACCAGCCTGGGCAAGATGGTGAGACTCCATGCCTACAAACAATACAAAAATTAGCCAGGCATGGTGGCATGTGCCTGTAGTCCCAGCTACTCAAGAGGCTGGGGTGGGAGGATGGCTTGGGCATGGAAGACCAAGGCTGCAGTGAGCTGGGATGGCATCATTGCACTCCAGCCTGGGTGACAGAGCAAGACCCTGTCACAAAAAATAAATAAATAAACAAACAAACAATAAAAGACATATAAATAAATAACTGTCCTCTACCTTGCATCCACATCCCATAATCAATCATTTTCGTCTTTTGGCTCTTCTATTATTGCTTTATGTTGCTGAATAATTTGCATATTCTAATATCTCTTTTGCATTTTAATCAGTATTATTGAAGGATAGTTTATATACAATAAAATGTGTCTCTTTTTTGTTACTTATCGTTTTGAAACACCTGTATTCCACATGTGTTTATTAGGTGTTTACGATGCTCTAAAAGTGCATTACAAATAAGTCATCAAACCACTAGCTTAGCAAATTCACACAGGCATGTCAGCAGTGGGGAAAATAAAACAATTAATTATAATGTCCCATTAATAATATCCTGTAAATATCAAACACAACGCATTTTTTTTCTTTGTCCTCATTGCAAACTATACTGCCTAGGCCATCCGTAAACAAAAATTTTTGTGTGTATTATAAGTATTTCCATCAGTTTGGGATTCTTAAACTCAAAATTCTTGGCTCTACCAGTTGCAAACTTTTAAAATTTTAATTCTAATCAGTCATATAAATGCACAATAGCAAAAGTCAAAGAATTCAACAAGATTTCTAAACCCAGCAGCTCTCTTCTCTACTCCATGCCGTCCCACCCCATCCCCCTCTCCAGAATTAGCCACTCTCTCTTTTAGTGCATAGTTCTATTTTCATCTCCTTTTTTTTTTTTTTTTGAGTTGGAATTTCACTCTGTTGCCCAGGCTGTAGTGCAGCAGTGCCATCTCCGCTCACTGCAACCTCTGCCGCCCGGGTTCAAGCAATTCTCCAGCCTCAGCCTCTCAAGTAACTGGGATTACAGGCATGCACCGCCACACCAGGCTAATTTTTGTATTTTTAGTAGAGACAGGGTTTCACCGTGTTGGCCAGGCTGGTCTCGAACTCCTGACCTCAAGTGATCCGCCCATCTCAGCCTCCCAAAGTGCTGGAATTGCAGGCATGAGCCACTGTGCCCGGCTCCACGTTTATAAATAGCAGGTTTATATACAGTCTTGAATTTGAATGTTATATATTATCAACTTACTTTTTACTAGAAGATGATGAATTCGCTCTTTTCACTCCTCTCCCACACACATATTTCCTTCCCCCCCCTTCAATCCTCCCAGAATTGTCATGTCATGATTTTTATTAAGTTCACTGATTATGTTATGGAGATCAGGAAAATGTTAGAGATGAGCTATGTCGTGCGCTGTCCTTACATTTCTTTCTCATGCAAACTTTTTGCTTTTCTTTACAACTGTAGTTGAGATTTGTCCTTTTCTCTGCTTTGAATAATTTAAACTCCAATCTCTGTCCTTCTGCTCCAATCTATACTTTCTTCAAGCCAGCTGCATGATTCTCCTGCTGGGACTTCACTTCACCATCTAGTCATGTTGGTCCTCCATTTTCTCTTTCCTGGTTTACTCCCTTGTTTAGGGTGAAAATATCTTCCAGGAGCTTCCTGAGAAAGACTGTTTGGGAGGAAACTTTTTGAGACTTTGTTTGTCTGAAAATGTCTAACCCTGTTTCCACTTGAGTGATAATTTGATAGAAGTCCAGGTTAAACAGCAGTTTTTCCCCAGAGTGTCCAATGTCCTCCCACCTGTGATCCTTTGACTGTGATCTGTTTGGCTTTTTTTTTTTCTCTCTCTGGAAACCTCTAGAACTGATGTTCTGAAATATTATTACCATATTTTAACAATTGTGGAGCACTCTGCAGGCTCTTCAAATTTCTTTCAGTTATGGGGACATTTCTTTAATACTTTCTTCACTACTGGAGTTTCTGTTTTCTCTTTTTTGGAATTTCTGAATTTATCCTCTAATTTTCTTATATTGTCTCTTATTATCCACTTTTGTCTTTTATTCTGCTTTCCAGAAGTTTTCCTTTTAGTTTGTCATTGTTTTTTAGAGACAAATTCTCAGCGGCTGGGCACGGTGGCTCATGCCTGTAATCCCAGCACTTTGGGAGGCCGAGGCGGGCGGATCACAAGGTCAGGAGATCGAGACCATCCTGGCTAACGCGGTGAAACCCCTTCTCTACTAAAAATACAAAAAATTAGCCAGGCGTGGTGGTGGGCACCTGTGGTCCCAGCTACTCGGAAGGCTGAGGCAGGAGAATGGCGTGAACCCGGGAGGCGGAGCTTGCAGTGAGCCGAGATTGAGCCACTGCACTCCAGCCTGGGCGTCACAGAGAGACTCCATCTCAAAAAAAAAAAAAAAAAAAGAGACAAATTCTCGCTCTGTCACTCAGGCTGGAGTGCAGTGGCACTATCATAGCCCACTGCAGCCTCAAACTCCGGGGCTCAAGCAATCCTCCTGCCTCAGCCTCCCAAGTAGCTAGGACTGCAGGCTTGTACCACTTGTACCACCATGCCCTGTTAATTTTTTAATAGAGATAGGGTTTCACTATGTTGCCCAGGCTGATCTCAAACTCCTGGTCTTAAGAGATCCTCCCACTTTGGTCCCCAGTGTGGTGGTGTTGGGTGACGGGACTTTTAAGAGGTGATTTGGTCATTAAGAGAGACTGATGCCATTCTCTCGAGACTGGGTTAATTCTGGAGGCAGTGAGTTCTCACTCTTTTGGGACTGGATTGGTTATTGCAAGGGCAGGCTGTTATAAAGTGAGGTTCCCCTTAAGTTTTGCCCCTTTGACACACACCTGCTTCTCTTCTGCTTTTCCATCATGTTATGATGCAGCACTAGCCCCTCCCCCGAAGCCAACCAGATGCCACCCACTCGGTATTGGACTTTTCAGCCTCCAGAACCATGAGCTAAATAAATTTCTGTTCACTATAAATTACCCAGTCTGTAATTTATAGTGGTATATTCTGTTATACCAACAAAAAATGGACTAAAACAATCACTGTCCGTTTAGATTTACCCACACATTTATCATTTTCATTGCTTGTTATTCCATCTTACAGCTCATATTTTCCCTCTGATATTGCTTTTCTTTCTTCTGACCTAATTTTTTAAGAATTTCCTTTAGGGGGATATGTTCATACAAAATATTTCAGTTTTTCTCTGAAAGTGTATTCAGTTCATCTTCATCCTTGAATGATTCTTGGGCCTGCAGTTCTAGATGGACATGTGTTTTCTCCCAGCACATCAAAGCTATTGTTCCATTGTCTTCTCGTTCCCATTTTTGCTATTGAGAAATCAGTAGAAAGTCTAATTTTGTTTTCATATATGTAATCCATCCTTTATTTCCAGCCACTTTTAAGATTATGTCATTTTCTTTGGTATTCTGTGGTTTCTAGGTATGCTTTTTAAATTATTCTTTAAAAACTGAATCGAGGCTGGGCGTGGTGGCTCACTCCTGTAATCCTAATACTTTGGGAGACCAAGGTAGGTGGATCACCTGAGGTCAGGAGTTTGAGACCAGTCTGGCCAACATGGTGAAACCCTGTCTCTATTAAAAATACAAAAATTAGCCAGGTGTGGTGGCACATGCCTGTAGTCCCAGCTACTCAGGAGGCTGAGACAGGAGAATCGCCTGAACCCAGGAGGCGGAGGCTGCAGTGAGCCGAGATCATGCCACTGCATGGCATTTTCTTCATCTGATTTTTTTTTTTTTTTGAGACAGAGTCTTGCTCTGTCACCCTGGCTGGAGTACAGTGGCATGACCTTGGCTGACTGCAACCTCCACCTCCGGGGTTCAAGCCCTTCTTGTTCTTCAGCCTTCTGAGTAGCTGGGATTACAGGCATGCACCACCACATCTGGCTAATTTTTGTATTTTTAGTAGAGACGGTTTCACATGTTGGCCAGGCTAGTCTCGAACTCCTGACCTCAAGTGATCCACCCGCCCTGGCCTCCCAAAGTGCTGGGATTATAGGTGTGAGCCACTGTGCCTGGCCTCTGAATTTTTTTTAATGTTGCTTTTATCCTTTTTCTTTTGATAACTTTGTTCAGTTTCTTTGAATACCCTTTCTTCTCTATCTTTTTAATGAAACTTTCCAAACACAGAAAAGTCGAAAGAACTATGCAGCAAATAGCTGTATACATACCACCTATGCCCTTAACATTTCACTGTACTTGCTCTATATGACTTTTTTATGTGTCTAAAGTGAGTTGCAGACATCAGGTTCCCACCCCTAAATCTGCCGGTTATGCATTTCTCTTTTAGCTACCTTTGACTTGGGGGGAACTCTTCCTGTGCCAAGTAATTGAAGACATTTGTGCACAGTAGGGGGAAGCTTTTGTTTCTGCCTAGCAGGAAGCATTTCCAGTTTCCAGGAACGTTGCTAATTTAGAGGAATATGTGTATGTGTGAGTTGCTTAAACTTCCTTTGCCCCAGATGGCCAAGAACAGCATCCGGAAAGCCACTTACAGTGCAGCAGCTCAGCCCCACCTCCTCCTGGCAAGCAGGCAGCATCCTGTCCAGACAACTGTGTGTTGATCCCTCCTCCAGCACTGCTTTCCTGGCCCCAGACATCAATGGCAGCAAGTGCCAGGAAGGTTCCAACGGCCAGGCTGTATCTCTCACTCTTTGTGTTCCAAACAGGTGACTGCTGGTTTGCCCATCACAACGAGCCTCTTGTGCCTTGTAGGCTTAGTCTAAGATCAGAACCATGGGCACTCCTTCTTGGCTTCCTCCTCGACTCACTTGACTTTTCCTGTGTTGGTAGCTCTTCCTCCTCTGACCTTTCAGATACCCCCTAGTTATGCCAGAAGTGCAGAGTGCATTTATGTTTCTGAATCCTCCTTGCTGGTCTGGTGTAATTCCTGAAAGAAGGCATACTGCAGTAATTTTACTTATGATTCTTTTTGCAACTAGCAAGATCAACCAGATATTTATTTATTTTCATTTTTTAGAAAATTTTAATATAATTTTAATGTTGTAGGGAGCATGGGGAATATGGAGAAGGGCAGGAAGAGACTTTTGTGGGTGATGTTGGTTAGCTTGATTGTGGTGGTGATTTCATGGATATATACAAATGTCAATATCAAAGATAAAAATTGTATAATTTAAATATGTGCAGTGTATCATATATCAATTATACTTCAATAAGCCTGTTAAAATAGTTTTAACAATGATGATATATTGCAACTTTTATGTATTTTAAACTAATTGAGTTTTTATACATGAAATTGTACATGTAATTGAGTTTAAAATACGTAAAATTTTAATGACAAGTTAAATTTTATAACATACATTCAGTAAAGTGCATAAATCTTAAATGCATAGTATAATTAATTTTTCATATGACTACCACTACCACTCAGATGAAAATATAGAATACTGGCTGGAAGCAAATGGCTCATACCTGTAATCCCAGCATTTTGGGAGACCAAAGCAGGAGGATCCCGTGTGGCCAGGTATTTGAGACCAGCCTAGGCAACATAGCGAGACCCCATCTCCACAAAAAATAAAAAGTAAAAATATTAGCCATATGTGGTGGCACATACCTGCAGTCCCAGCTACTCGGGAGGCTGAAATGAGAAGATCAGTTGAGTCTGGGAGGTTGGGGTTACAGTGAGTTATGATTGTGTCACTTCATTCCAGCCTGGGCTACAGAGCAAGACCCTGTCTCTAAAAGAATAAAAAAAAATATAGAATACTTCCAACACTTCAGAAGATCCCTCGCGCCCTCCTAGTCATTATCCCCTGAGGGTAAGCACTATTCTGACCTCCATCACCATGGATTGGTTTCGCCTGTTCTTGAACTTTATATTAATGGAGATGCATTCACGCTGATACTTGCGGCAATAGTTTGCTCATTTTCGTTGCCATATAGTATTCCACTGTATGAATATATCACAATTTATTTATTCATTCTCTTTTTGATGGACATTAGGGTTGTTTCAAGGTTTTGGCTGTTATGGATAAAGCTGGTATGATCATTCTTATTCAGGACCTTTAATGGACATTTGTGGTCTTTTTACTTGAGTGTTGTAGTAAGTAGTATAATAGCCCCCCAAAAGATATGTCCACATCCCAACCCTCGGAACCTGTGACAGTGACTTTATTTGGAAAAGGAGTCTTTGTACATGTAATTTTTTTTTTTTTTGAGATGGAGTCTCACTCTGTTGCCCAGGCTGGAGTGTGGTGGTGCAATCTCGGCTCACTGCAACCTCTGCCTCCTGAGTTCAAGCAATTCTCCTGCCTTAGCCTCCCAAGTAGCTGGGATTACAGGCATGCACCACCACACCCAGCTAATTTTTTTTTTTTTTTTTTTTTGTAGAGATGGGATTTCACCATGTTGGCCAGCCTTCACCATGTTGGTCAGGCTAGTCTCCAATTCCTGACCTCAGGTGATCTGCCCACCTCGGCTTCCCAAAGTGCTGGGATTGTGGGTGTGAGCCACCGCACACAGCTTGTACATGTAATTAAATTAAGGATCTCAAGATAAGATCAGCTTGTATTATCTGAGTGGGCTGTAAATCCAATGACAAGGGTCCTTGTAAGAGACACAGGGAGTAGGAGAAGGCCATGTGGAGACAGAGGCAAAGATGAGGGTTATGCAGCCCCAAGCTAAGGACTGTTTAGAGCCAACAGAAGCTGGAAGAGGCAGGGAAGGATTAGAGCCTTCAGAGGGAACATGGCGCGGCTGACACCTTGACTTTGGCCTTCTGGTCTCTAGAACACTGAGATAATAATTCTGTTGTTTCAAGCCACAAAGTTTGGGATCATTTGTGACGGCAGCCAAAGGAAATTAATAATACAAAAGTTCACTTTATTAATACTCATTTATATTTGTTTGTGATGTGCACAACACTCCAATGGAAATTTTAAAAAGTGTTTGGAGTACAGACTTTCCCAAGCCTGGCTAACTTTTTCTTCCTTCTCTGGGAATGGATGTTTTGCGCAGTGTACAGAAGTGTGGAGAGTGACCCCAATGTCCTTGTTGATGTGTGTCTGTAAATCTTACCTGTCACAGTGTGGGCACTCTGAGAGCCCTGTGTCCCCACCAGAAGCATCTGTTCCTTATGCAGCCTGAGTGTCCTCTGCTAGGGTGGCCAGTTCCCCTCCTCCTGCCCTGCCTTTTTGCAGGTTCACAGGTGCAAGACTGGCTGTTTCCTGTTAATATTAACTATACTTGAATTTTCAAGGATTTTTTTAAGAAAAAAATATATAATGCCAATACAAAAAAAAACACAGGAAAAAAAATTAACCTTACTAAACTAAACCTGCCCTGATAGGAGGGTTCTTCTCACAAACCTGACTGCAGAGCAAAATGGAATTGCTCCAATTTCTCCCTTTGCAAACAGGCATGCATCAACTTCTCATTTTAACAACTTTCTTTCTTTCTCTTTCTTCTTTCTTTCTTTCTCTCTCTCTCTTTCTTTTTTTCTTTTTTTTTTTTCAGACAGTCTTGCTCTGTCACCCAGGCTGGAAGTGTAGTGGTGCGATCTTGGCTCACTGCAGCCTCCATCTCCTGGGTTCAAGGGATTCTCCTGCCTCAGCCTCCTGAGTAGCTGGGACTACAGGTGCACGCCATCACACCCAGCTAATTTTTTGTATTTTTAGTAGAGAGGGGGTTTCACCATGTGGGCCAGGCTGGTCTTGAACTCCTGGCCTCAAGTGATCCACCCGCCTTAGCCTCCCAAAGTGCTGGGATTACAGGCATGAGCCACTGTGCCCAGCCTTTAACGACTTTCTTAATAAGTGGTGTGGGAAAACACCCAGAGCTAAACAAAACCAACATGGGGAAGTGACAAGCATTTGAGAATTCTTACATTTCTCATAGCTGTATTCCCCCAGAATCTGGTATCCAGCTTTTTTTTTTTTTAGTCTGGAGACAGGTTGGAGTGCAGTGGTGTGATCAGGGCTTACTGCAGCCTTGCCCTCATGGGCTCAAGCAATCTGCCTGCCTCAGCCTCCCAAGTAGATGGGTCCACAGGCATGTGCCATCAGCCTGGTTAAATTTTCTATTTTTTTTGGTGAAGATGAGGTCTTGTTATGTTGTCCAGGCTGGTCTCAAACTCCTGGGCTCAAGCAATCCTCCTGCCTCTGCCTCCCAAAGTGCAGAGACGATAGGCAGGAGCCATTCCAGCATCTCATATGATGTGGTTGTTGAAATCGACTCTCTCGGGAACATTTAACAATAGCTAAAACAGTTGAGTGGGCACTGGGTGTGTGCTTCAGCTCAGGCTCTTACTTATATTGTTAGATTCCCTCAAAATCCCTGGAGGTGGGGAATTTCCTTGAGGTGGGGGTTTTCCACGCTTTCCAGATGAGGGCTGTACGCTCATTGACTAGAGGCACCGTGTCTAAGTGTCTGAGGCTTAATTCCCATTCTCTAGAAGAGCAGCTGACTATGTGTATGTCAGTGGGAAAGGGGAGAGCCCAGAAAATCATTGCAGTTTATCACAGCCACCCCCACCCCCTCCATCACTGCAGAAACTGAGCCTCCACTATCTTGGAGTTTCCTTGAAGAGTTCCCAGTCTTGGTGAAATATGGGATGGACGGCCAGGCACAGTGGCTCACGCCTGTGATCCCAGCACTTTGGGAGGCCAAGGTGGGTGGATCACTTTAGGTCAGGAGTCCGAGACCAGCCTGACCAACATGGTGAAACCCCATCTCTACTAAAAATACAAAAATTAGCCAGGCGTGGTGGCGCATGCCTGTAATCCCAGCTACTCGGGAGACTGACGTAGGAGAATCTCTTGAACCCAGGAGGTGGAGCTTGCAGTGAGCTGAGATTGCGCCACTGCATTCCATCCTGGGCAACAGAGCGAGACTCTGTCTCAAAAATAATAATAATAATAATAATAATAATAAGAAATATGGGATGGAATTTCCATTGGATGTTAAAGATCCTTCCAAAATAGGTATTTTCCACAGAAAATGTTATATTTGGTCTGACAACTCCTTGCAAAAATGAACTCAAATGGTCAGGAATATTTGTTGCTCTAGGTTTTCAGAAGCAGAATGGGCATCCTTTCTTAGAATACATTCTGGGCCCCTCAGGGTGTTCAGGGTGGGAATAAAGTATATAAAATGAGAAGTCAAAACAGGGAAGAGGTACTAGGGGGGAAGCTGGGCAGAGGAAAGGAACCCTTGGGAGGCCCAAACTTTAATGCTCTGGTTCATAAAATGCAAAAAAAAAAAAAAATCCATTCTCATCCCTCCTGTCCTGTTATTGTCAAGATGCTAGCTCCTTGGACAATTCAGGATACACCAAGCTTTCTCCCCGGATAGCCGCAAGTTTAAGGGCAGGAAATGGCCTTGGACTGGGTGCCTTTGCTGAGAGAACAGCAGCACTTTGATCCAAGATGTCCAAAAGACAAAGCAGAAGTTCATGAGAAACAGAGGCCCCAGCATCACTTGGGGTGGCGGGGAGGGACCTGTGCAGCTTGCGCCATGGACACCTCGTTAGTGCATAGGAGTGCATCAGTTTTACAGAAACGGGGCTCCATCTAGCCCAAAGGGAGAACGCCCAGGCTGTGATCAAAGGATTGAGGGTAGGACATCAAAGGTTAGGGACTTTCCCGAGTGGAAAATATGGGAAGGGATTGGGTCAAAACCTTACAGAGAATGTGGGCGAGATTTGGTAAGACGTCAAAACTTAACCAGACCCAAGTGGGCATATTTAGGGGAAAACCAGAAGTCATAGTTCATTGGAAACAGACAGATACGGTCAACAAATCTTCATGTATCTGGGGAGTGCAAATATCACGTTATTCCTTATTGTGTGTCAGAAATACGCAAGCCCACACTGTGTTGAGTACCTGCGTGGGAGTGGGAGATGTTCAGGCCTGCACACGACCTATCTGTGCCTCAGCTCTTCTTGTGGAAAAGTGCTATAGAAACAGCACAAGATCTGGACCATCCAACTCACCAACCCACCCCAGCTGGAATTCAGTAGGCAGTCCCCTGACCCTGTTATTCCTCTGAATATGAGAAAGGCAGAGATAACAGAATAGGAGGGCGATGGTTTCAATCCACAGGGCTCTTTGGATGAGAAAACATGGGGGTGTTGTTAGGTAGCCCTGGTCTGCTTGATATTTCATTTCTGGCCAGGCGCAGTGGCACATGCCTGTAATCCTGGCACTTTGGGAGGCTGAGGCAGGTGGATCACTTGAGGTCAGGAGTTCGAGAGTAGCCTGGCCAACATGGTGAAACCCCACCTCTGCCAAAAATACAAAAATTAGCTATGTATGGTGGTGCACGCCTGTAATCCCAGCTACTTGGGAGGCTGAGACAGGAAAATCACTTGAACCCGCGAGGCAGAGGCTGCAGTGAGCTGAGATTGCGCCACTGTGACAGGCGTGGGCCATAGCACAGAGCCTGGTAACCACCATTCTATTCTCTGTTTCTATGTATTTGAGTTTTTTTCAGGTTCCACATATAAATGAGATCATGCAGTATTTGTCCTTCTGTGTCTGGCTTAGTTCACTTAGCATAACATCCTCCAGATTCATCCAAATGGCAGGGTCTCCTCCTTTTTGAAGGCTGTATAGTATTCTGTTGTATTGTATACCAAGTACCTTTATCTATTCATCACTGATGGACACTTAAGGTGTTTCTATGTCTTGGCTACGGTGAATAATGCCACAATGAACCTAGTCCAAAATGGGAAGTCCTCAAATATCCATCAATGTTAAATCATTAAGTAAATAGTGGTATTTATTCACAATTTATTTCATAGGTGGAATGCTACACAATGGTAAAAATGAACAAAGTTTAGCCATACACAATAAGGCGGATGATTCACAACCACAATGGTAAATCAGAACAGCTGGGCCGGGCACAGTGGCTCACACCAGTAATCTTTGGGAGGCTGAGGTGGGAGGATTGCTTGAGCCCAGGAGTTCGAGACCAGCCTGGGCAACATAGCAAGACCCTGTCTTTTTAAAAAATACAAAAATTAGGCAGATGTAGAAGCACACCAGGTACTTGAGAGGCTTAGGTCGGAGGATTGCTTGAGTGCAGGAGTTCGAGGCTGCAGTGAGCTGTGATGGTGCCACTGCACTCAGGCCTGAGCAACAGGGCAAAACCCTGTTTCAAAAAACAAAAAAGGAAGAAGAAGAACCCTAAACAAAAGAATTCTAAGTGTATCGTTCTATTTGTATGATGTTCAGAAACTGGCAAAACGAGAGCTTTTGGGAATACGCACTCAAGTAGTAAAACTCTAAAGAAAAGCAAAGGGGCTGGGCGTAGTGGCTGATGCCTGTAATCTCAGCACTTTGGGAGGCCAAGGCGGGTGGATCCCTTGAGGCAGGAGTTCGAGACCAGCCTGGCCAACATGGTGAAACCCCGCCTCTACTAAAAATACAAAAATTAGCGGGGCGTGGTGGCACGCACCTGTAATCTCAGCTACTCAGGAGGCTGAGGCAGGAGAATCACTTGAACCTGGGAGATGGAGGTTGCAGTGAGCCGAGATTGTGCCACTGCACTCCAACCTGGGTGACAGAGCTAGACTCTGCCCACCCACTCCCGAAAAAAAGCAAAGGAAGGGAAGAGGGCAGTGCTTGTCTTCAGGAGGAAGAGGGTTTGGTGGGAAGACACTTGTGGTGTCTAGGGGTGCTGACCGCATGCTTTTTCTTGATCTCAGTAGCGGTTGCAAGGTGTATACTTTATAATTACATATTAAGCTGTGCATTCATATTTTAGTCCCTTTTCTGCGTGTATCATCTGTCATAAAAAGGTTTTAAAAAACATGAAGCAACAAAGAAAAAATTGCTGATGGACACTTATGTGTCTTCACACAAGATATGAAAGAACTTTACAAGAAAAACTTAAAAAAAGAAATAGAGATGGGATCTCACCATCTTGCCCAGGCTGGTCTCGAACTCCTGGGCTCAAGCAGTCCTCCGACCTCAGCCTCCCAAAGTCCTAGGATTACAGGTGTGAACCACAGTGACCGGCACCCCCACCAAAAAAAAACAAAAACCCTTTATTTTAAAAAATGCCTAAATGAGGCCGTGCGCGGTGGCTCACGCCTGTAATCCCAGCACTTTGGGAGGCTGAAGCATGCAGATCATGAGGTCAGGAGACCGAGACCATCCTGGCTAACATGGTGAAACCCCATCTCTACTAAAAATACAAAAAATTAGCTGGGTGTGATGGTGGGCGCCTGTAGTCCCAGCTACTCAGGAGGCTGAGGCAGGAGGATTGCTTGAGTCCAGGAGTTGGAGGCTACAATGAGTATGACGGCAGCCTGGGATAGTGCAACCCTGTCTCTAATAAATAATAAAATTAAATAAAAAAATAAAAATGTAAGGGAATGATAACCATCAAACAAAGGGCAACGGAGACTTCTGAAAGGAAGACAAAAGTGGAATGGGGAGGGGCCCAAGGCAGTCACAGGGTACTCCCTGGTAATGTGCTGATTCTCAAACTGAGTTGGTGGATGGAGTTAGGGGGTCGTTTTATTGTTCTACACCCCATATCTTATAACATTTTACTGTTATACATTATAACCCACATCTACGGGTATATGTCAATTCTCATATAATAAAACTGGCACAGTGGCTCATGCCTGCAATCCCACCACTTTTGGAGGCCGAGGTGGGAGGATCACTTGAGGTCAGGAGTTTGGGACCAGCCTGGCCAACATGGTGAAACCCCGTTTCTACTAAAAAAATTAGCCAGGCATGGTGATGCATGCCTGTAATCCCAGCTACTTGGGAGGCTGAAGCCAAAGAATTGCTTGAACCTGGGCAGTAGAGGTTGCAGTGAACTGAGATCGTGACATTGCACTCCAGCCGGGCAACAGAGCGAGAGTCCATCCCAGAAAAAAACAAAACAAAACAAAAAACCAAAAAAAAAACTGGAAAAGTAAGAGAAAAGTTCCCAGACCTCAGCCTTGGGGAATACTACCAGCTTTCACGGACCAGGGAGAGGGGCAGGAGTTGTGCACGAAACGAGATGGAGCTGCATGAGGTGGGAGAAGAGGAAACCGTGACATCGCAGCGGCCAAGGGAGCCTTCCAGGAGGAAGAAGCGTCTCCCAGGGTCAGGGCTTCTAAGAGCAGTTGGGGAAGACGAGGACTGGAATTTGGATTTGGCCACCTGGGGGTGTTTTCTGAACTTGGAGGAGCATTCTTGTGCCCCTACGATGCTTGCAGCAGCTAAGGACTCCAGACCTGCAGAGTCTGTCCTGAGACAGGTCAGACCTCGGCGGTGGGACGGGAAAGGGGAACTCTCTGTCTAGAGACTTGCGCTCCGATGTAGTTGGAGGTGCTACACTGTGGCTGGCCACAGACCAACACGAGCAATGGACCACGAGAGGCCTGGGGTAGTTAGCCTTTCCTTCCTGTGCAGCCAAGAACGGAAGGATGAGAGGGGTTCTTTCTGCCTCCTCCTTGGCATGAGCACCTCCACCTCCATGCCCACTCTGTCCTTTCTCCCAGGAGCAGCTGGCCGGAGAGTAACACGACTCCAGCCGGACATGGTCATGACTATTTCAGCCTGCAAGGTCATGACTCTCTGGCCCACCTAGGACTCCTAGGGGAAAGGAAGTGCCTGGTCTACCGCCCTTCCCCTGCAAGTCTGAATGCTGTGTGGACAGAGGAGGAGGACCCAATAAGGTAGGGGTATTGGAGTACTCGGGTGCCTGGGAAGATCCAAGCCCGGCCTATAGGGTCAAGGTCTTTTCCAAAACAGGGGAAACCCTTTCTGGTTCCCGAAGGTCCTCCCTTCCCTATTCGCTGAACAGGTGGGTGCCAAGAAGCCCCTGTCTTGAGGACAGAGAGACTGCGGTCTGGCCTCCCCAGACCCAGGCAGCCTCTAACATCACAGCCACAGAGCAGAAACTGGCCTGGCTTCCTCCCAGGCCCAGAAGGCCCCAGCTGGCCACCTCCCTTTGTTTGTCTTGGGAGGGGCAACTGCTAAGCAAACAGGGAAGGGGAATCCCGATTCGGCCTCTCTGTCTGTCCGGCTAGCCGTTACCCAGGCCCGGGCTCTGGTGCCCACTGAGGCCTGGCTCCTTCCTGACCCTTTGTGTGGAAGGGACACAGGGCAGGAGTGGGTACAGAGAACACCCAGGGCTTTCCGAAAAAAATAGCCCAGGCCTCCCACAGATGAGAGAGGAGCTATGTGGTTCGGTAAACCTCAGTTCCAGCTACAGGCAAATGGGATTAACTGAGCACTTACTGTGTTGGGGCCCTGGCCTAGCCCCATGCATGCCAGAGCCCTCCAGATACTGCCTGGCCACCCTGCAGGGTCCTATCAGATCTCGAGTCTCCAAAAGAGGAAACAGGCTTGGGGTCATAAGGGAATGAGGTTAGCAGGGGTGGTAATCCCACCCAGATCTCTCTGACTCTCAGATCACGGGTTTTTTTTTTTTTTTTTTTTTTTTTTCTGAGACAGGGTCTCGCTCTGTTGCCCAGGCTGGAGTGCAATGGCACAATCATAGCTCACTGCAGCCTCAAATTCCGGGATTCTCATGTGATCCTACCGCCTCAGCCTCCCGAGTAGCCAGGGCTATAGGGACGTGCCACCATGCCTAGCTAATTTTTAACTTTTTGTAGAGATAAGGTCTTGCTATGCTGCCCAGACTGGTCTCAAACTCCTGGCTTCAAGTGATCCTTCTGCCTCAGCCTCCCAGAGAGCTGGGATTACAAGCATGAGCCACTGCGCCTGGTCCCCAACTGTGCTCTTAATCATAGCTCATTTCTCTTAGTGGAGCCACGGGGGAAGGTGGTAAGGGGGCTTAAGCGGGAGCTCTATCCCTCATCTCTTTTTTCTCTTTCCCAGAGACCACACCGCTGTTCCAGACCCTCTCCATGGATGATGTCCTGCCCCTGATGCCTTGGGAGACCCTGTTGGCACAGGGCAGTCCCCAGGGCTCGCCTGACCTCCCAGCAGGGCAGCGGAAGCAGCAGCCACAGGGTGACAGGGCCCAGGGCCTGGCCTCTGAGTCCTGGAAGCTCCTGGAGGTGCCCATCATTCACATAACGCCATCCAGTGATGGGGAGTCCCCCGCCTGCACCCCAACCCCCCGACGCCGGCAGCAGCAGAGGATGCCAGACCCGCAGAGTCTGTCCCAGGACAGGTCAGACCTGGGCAGTGGGACAGGAAAGAGGGTCTCTCTGTCTAGGGAGGGTTCTCTCTGTCAAGGGTGGGTTCCTTGTGGCTGCGGGTCAGAGCACAACCTTAGCCCCACAGAGGGCTGACTCAAAGCCACGAAACAGATGCACAAACAAAAGGTAAAAACTGAGGGTGTGCGTTGGGACAACCAGCTATGACTGAGCTCAGCTGAGTTCTGCCTAGTAAGAGTGGAGGGGAAGCCGGGCGTGGTGGCTCACGCCTGTAATCCCAGCACTTTGGGAGGCCGAAGCTGGTGGATCACCTGAGGTCGACAGTTCAAGACCAGCCTGGCCAACATGGTAAAACCCCATCTTGACTAAAAACACAAAATTAGCCAGCGATGGTGATGGATGCCTGTAATCCAAGCTATTCAGGAGGCTGGGGCAGGCGGTTTGCTTGAACCTGGTAGGCGGAGGTTGCAGTGAGCCGAGATTGCGCCACTGCTCCAGCCTGGGCGTCAGAGCAAGACTCTGTCTCAAAAAAAAAAAAAAAAAAGAGTGGATGGGTGGAGAGGGACCCCACCCAGTGTTTTTCAAACTGTAGGTCAAGACCCATTTAAGGGCCATAAAACTAATACAGTGAATTGCAATCAGCCCTTGTTTTTTGTTTTTTGTCTTTTTCTTTTTGAGACAGCATCTCTCTGTCACCCAGGCTGAAGTGCAGTGGCATGATCTTGGCTCACTGCAACTTCCATTGCTCCCCCCTCCACCCAGCAGCTGGGACCACAGATGTGCACCACCACACCTGTCTATTTTTTTTGTATTTTTAGTAGAGACGAGGTCTGACCATGTTGCCCAGGCTGGTCTTGAACTCCTGAGCTCAGGTGATGCACCCTCCTCGGCCTCCCAAAGTGCTGGGATTGTGAGATGAGGCACCCGGCCGCAATCAGCACTTCTTTATCCAAATCAAAATAAAATAGAATTGCAAATAACACCATGCGTGAGGCCTAATGAGGGTAAGTGTGGTTTCTTACAACTTCTGTGGCATTATGTGTATTTCTAAGTGCGTGCTGGAAGCCCATGTGAAAGGTATTTCCTGCTGTAGATCACAGGCCAAAAAAACAAAAAAAAAAAAAAAAGAAGAAGAAGAAAAACAAAGAAAAAAAGAAAGTTTAAACAAAACTTCTGAAAAGAAACACTATCTCTGGTACAAGGAGACAGGAAATGGGAGGTTCAGGGCCATAGGGGGAAGAGGAAAGAACTCTACCGACCCTGAATAGAACAAGCAGCCACTGTGGTTTCTTCCAACAAGGGACACTCCATAAGCGTTAAAGTTTAGGAAGCAGAGCTTTGTGCATGGATGTGGAGAAATCGCAGAAACAATGATAATGGGGGACAGCAAGTTGCAAATGAAACAGAGGGAGCCTAATCGTGTATCTTTTTAAAAAGATACTGGATAATAGGTGATAGTGTTGGTGGATGCCTCCTGATGTAGAAAAAGGACAGAAAAGTACACAGGGTCCAGGCGTGCTGGCTCATGCCTGTAATCCCAGCACTTTGGGAGGCCGAGGCGGGCAGATTAACCTGAGATCAGGAGTTCAAGACCATCCTGACCAACACAGTGAAACCCCATCTCTACTAAAAATACAAAAATTAGCCAGGCATGGTGGCGCATGCCTGTAATCCCAGCTATTCAGGAAGTTGGGGCAAGAGAATCGCTTGAACCGAGGAGGTGGAGGCTGCAGTGAGCCAAGATCGAGCCACTGCACCACTCCAGCCTGAGCGACAGAGCAAGACCTTGTCTCAAAAAAAAAAAAAAAAAAAAGCGCAGGAAGGAAACACACCAACTGCATGGCAGGCAGAAGGCTCCTTGGGGGGCACGGGAAGGGAAAGGAGGGATGGGGAGCCAGGCCTTTGGTTGTAAGTGTAATCATTTATTTCTTTTAAAAAAAGGACCTGAAGCAAAATGGCAAAATGTCCACATCTATTCTATATAGGTACAGGGGACATAGAGGACTGTTATATTTTCTTCCTTTTTTTTTTTTTTTTTTTTTTTGAGATGGAGTCTTGCTCTGTTGTCCAGGCTGGAGCGCAGTGGTGCGATCCTGGCTCACTGCAACTTCCACCTCCCGGGTTCAAGCAATTCTCCTGCCTCAGCTTCCTGGGTAGCTGGGATTACAGGTGCAAGCCACTACACCTGGCTAATTTTTTTGTATTTTTGATAGAGATGGGGTTTCACTCTGTTGGCCAGGCTGGTCTCGAACTCCTGATAGGTGATCCACCCTCCTTGGCCTCCCAAAGTGCTGGGATTACAGGCGTGACCCAACGCGCCTGACCTGAAATAAATATTATTTAATTAAAAAACTAAAAGCATTACACTAGAAGAAACAGACCAAAGAGAAATCTAAAGAGATCAGTTGGACAGAGGAAGGTGGTGGGAGGAGGGCCTCTCTTCCATTGGCCGGTGGGAGGCAGCAAATGTCAGATGGTGGATGGGGGTTTTAGAGGTGGGGGTTAGCATGAGAGGTAGGGCACGGCGATAGGGGGGGTGCTGTCCATGCAGAGGGAATAACCAGTGCAAAGGTCTTGGGGTAGGAGGCAGGAAGGTGCCTGGTGAGTTAGAAGAACAGCGGGTAGGCTGGATGGGGGGTGTGAGCCAGGGGGAGATGAGGAGCTGAAGTCAGAGAGCTGACAGGGGCCTTGGGTGCCAAGGTGAGGACTTTGCTTTTACCTGGAGTGAGGTACAGCTGGGGCAGGGCTCTGAGCCAGGAGGGTAGTTAACTGACTCAGGTGGTCCCAGGCTCTCTCTGGCTGCAGGTGAGAACAGACAGTAGGGGCAGGGATGGGAGCAGGGAGATCAGGCAGGAGAGGATGGAGGCTGGGCCAGGGCGTGGGCAGCGGAGGAAGAAGAGTTTAGAATGGAGCGATTGATTTTATACGTGGAGCCCACAGTTTGTGACGGATTGGATGTGGTGTGAAGGAAAAGAGAGGGTCAGAAAAGACTCTGAAGTTCTGGGCCTGCCATTCATCAAAATGGAGAAGTCAGGTGGGCTTCTTTTGCAGGAGGAGGGGAAGGGTTGATGGAGAGGGTTGGGAAGGGAGTTTTTTCAAAAGAGGCGGGGACAGCGTACCCTGGAGAGCGCTGGGGAGCCACAGCCCCGGAGCTGTGAGGTGGGACTCGCATTTCTGTGTGGTTGGGCCAGGAGTCCAGGACACCACCTGACTCTGACCTCTTGCAGACGGGGCGGGGGAGGGGGGACGCAGGTTATGGCGTCAGAGCAGGATCGAATCCAACTCTGCCGCCTACCTACCAGGTGACCCCAACAAGTCACTTCCCATCTTAGAGGCCGGGCTTCTCCTTCCGTAAAAGGACTGATTTTGCCCGTTCCTGCGCTGTCCCCGGGAAAAGCCCTTACCACCGAGTTAGTGGGACTCCCAGCACTGGGGTGATGAGCGCAAGGTCTCAGCACAGATAAGAGCCAGGGAGGCTGGATTCTGACTTGGTACTTGGCCTGGCTGACCAAAACTGGGAAGTCCCTAGAAACGGAGGCACCGGACCTCCTGGGACCAGGAACCCGGGCTCAGAGACTGGGAGAGGGAAGGAGGAGGCGGCCAACCGGCCCCACCCCTTCCCGCCAGCTTCAGGCCCCCTCCCCCATACATACACCTCGGTTTCCCAGCATCTCCAGTCCTCCCCCACCTTCGCCCCGGCTCTCAGGTTCCTCCCTGGGAGGTCCAGGAGCTTCTGGCCAGGGGCATAGTAGTTGCTAGGGACCCTTTTCTAGGTACTAGGGGAGGGGGCTCCCCAACCTGCGGGCAGGCAGCTGCCTCCACGATGTTTGGTTTTAATAAAGTCTCTTTGTTTCCTTCTCTGTCTCTCTGCCCCTCTGCTTTCCCTTCTCTGTCCAGTCCCTCTCTCCCCGGCTTCTCCCTCCTTCTAGGCCTCTGCGGCCCCTCCCCGCCTTCCCTCCCGGGCTGGGGGCGGCGCCGTGACGCGGCGGGGCGGGGGAAGGAAGGGGGTGTCGCTGACGCCGCGGCGGCCTCCGGCGGCTCCGGCCTTTTGTGCGGGCGGTTGGGTCGGGTGGGGGCGGCGGCCGCGGAAGGCCAGGCCGGTGCCCTGCGGGGACGCCCAGCGCAGCCCAGCCCCGCGCAGCCCAGCCCTGCCCTGCCCTGCCCTGCCCTGCGCCCGGGGCGCGCCCACCGCGCCGCATCCATGTTCGAGTAAGGACCGGGCGACTAGAGCTCAGGGACCGGGCGCGCGGGGGAGGCCACCGGAGGGAGGGGGCGCCGCGGGCTTGGGGAGGGGGCGGAGCGGCCGCTGCAGAGGTCGGGGGCCTCTGCACATGGCTCTGGCCGGGGCGATCGGGGTGGGGGCGGGGCAGGGGGCCCCCGGGCGAGGGGTGCAGCTGGGGAGTGGGGCGCGGACGCAGGGCAGGGCCCGGGGTCTGGGTCGCCACTGCCGGCCCGCGACGCACTGGGTTGCGGGGTTTGGCTGGGGGCCCGCGGGTTCATCTGGCGGGGAGGGCCCTCAGGCCTGGCAACCCCCTGCCTGGTAAGCCAGGGGTGAGCGCGAGGCCGAACTGGGGCTCCGGCCTGGGATGGAGACAGGATCGGGACCAGCCCAGGCCCACAGGCCGCGGAGCCCTGGGCGCGCCGGGAGTAGGCAGCCCCCTCCTGCCTGGGCCCCCTCCCACCGTCCTTGGCTGTTGCGGGTCTCGGGGCTGCCGGGGGTGGGGGCTTCCTGCGTCTCTCCAGGACCGCGTGCTTGAGGTCATGGAGGGCGGGGGGTCCTGTGTGCTCGGAATTGACTTCTTACTCCCCTTCCGGTCCAGGTGGGCGCATGTGCTTCCGACTGTGAATTGTCTTGCAAGTGTGTGTACGTGTGTCTGGGGCTGCTAGCCTGCAGCAGCTTTGGGCCTCTGATAGAGTTCCTGCGTGTAACTTAACCACTAATTCTGACCGCGGCTCTGTGTGTCACTGTAAGTTACCTGTGTGTGTCTGGGGCTCCAAATCTGTGGCTGTGAGCAGCTGGTTGTGTGCGTGTTGTGTCTCATTCCATCTGTAGCTCCCTGTGCAAATATAAATTACCCCTGTGTGTCTGAGTGTGACGTTGGAGTGTTTGTACATGTGTCTGGAGTTACCGTGTGTAGCAGCTCTGATCCTTCTTGGGCTGTGTGTGTTTTACCATTAATTCTATCTGTAGCTCCAAGCGTTGCTGTAAGTTACCAGTGTGCGTCCCATTGTGACTTAGTGGTGTGTGTACAAGTGTGCCTGGGGCTCTGGGTTCTACCATGACCCTCTGTGCCTGCATATGCCTGTAATTTAGCTCTGAAACGCTCTTCTTTTTTTTTTTTTCTTTTGAAATAGAGTCTGGCTCTGTCGCCCAGGCTAGAGTGCAGTGGCACGATCTCGGCCCACTGCAACCTCCTCCTGCTGGGTTCAAGCAATTCTCCTGCCTCAGCCTCCTGAGTAGCTGGGATTACAGGCGTGTGCCACCACGCCTGGCTAAGTTTTGTATTTTTAGTAGAGATGGGGTTTCACCATGTTGGCCAGGCTGATCTCGAACTCCTGACCTCAGGTGATCCACCCACCTCGGCCTCCCAAAGTGCTGGGATTACAGGCTTAAGCCATCGCGCCTGGCTTGAAACTCTCATTTAGCTCTGTGTGCCAATGTAAGTTACATTTGTGACATTGTTGTGTGTCTGGGGCTCTGTGAGTGTGGCTGTAACTTAATTTGATTCCATCTTTGTGTGAACATTCCCTTGTGTATTCCTTTGTGACAGTATTGAGTGGTGCCTAGGCCTCTCTGTGTACAGCTGAGACCCTCTGTGGTTTTGTGTGTGTGTGAACAGTGTGAGACCCCTTGTGGCTCTCTGTAGGCTTGGAACCCTCCCTTCTAAGACCCTGGGAGTACCCAGGGCACTTTGGAGGCAATAATGATAACTGACGTTGTCCACCTGTTACAGTTAGTATAGCATGTGCCACGCATTATTCCACTACCTGGCCACTGTGTCCTCGAGATCCACGCCCTGCTCGGCTGCATTATTCCCAAGTCCTGCTTGACTGTGAGCATCAGGGCTCTCCACCAGCTACAGCCACTGACACCTCCACCCCTTGCCACTTTACTTTTTCTTTTCCTTTTTCTCTTTCTTTTAGACGCAGTCTCGCTCTGTCGCCCAGGCTGGACTGCAGTGGCACGATCTCGGCTCACTGCAACCTCTGCCTCCTGGGTTCAAGCGATTCTTCTGCCTCAGCCTCCCTAGTAGCTGGGATTACAGGTGCGTGCCACCACACCTGGCTAATTTTTGTATTTTTAGTAGAGATGGGGTTTCACCATGTTGGCCAGGCTGGTCTCAAACTCCTAACCTCAGGTGATCCACCCGCCTCGGCCTCCCAAAGTGCTGGGATTACAGGCATCAGCCACTGCGCCCAGCCCCTTGCCACTTTAGAAGTAGCCTTTTCTCTGTCTTCCCTGCCAGATGGTGAGCCCAGTGCGGGCACGGGAACAACTCAGTGGGGATGTGTTGGCTGACCGTGGGACCTGATTTACCTGGGACTATGTATGTGTCACCTGGGGTCTTTTGGGACTGGTCTTTCACTGTATGGCTGTCTTTGGCTCTTTGCTGAGACTTCCTCGTGGCTATGTGTGTGAATATAATTTATCCGGGACTTTCTGTGGGTTGCTGTATGTTTCTGTGACCCTCTGCAGCTCTGTGTCTGTGTGCACACATGCATGTGTCTGGATAACTTTTCTGGGAAATTGCCATGTGACTGTAGCAGACTAGCAATGCTGCAGGTGTGTGTGTGTGTGTGTGTGTGTGTGTGTGTAATTACTCTGTGGCTCTCTGTAGCATACCTATGATGCTGTTGCTCTGTGCGTGTGTGTGTGTGTGTGTGTGTGTGTGTGTGTGTGCATATGAGAGAGAGAGAGAGGAAAGAGACTCCTTGCAATTGTAGGGAAATGCAGTTTACCCCTGACACCTACTGTGTGACAATCATTGAGTTTCCCTTTTATGCACACCTGTGGATGCATCCGCCCTTTTCTGACCAGAGGCTGCTCTGGGTCCACTGGGGCCTAGGAAGTTGGAGGTCAGGTGTCTGCGGAAGCAAAACAACATCCCTTCCGAGTCTCCTCGCCCCTATAACAGTCCCCCAGGCTCCTCCCTTCACTCTGCCTTCAGCTATCCTGGTTGGGCAGCCGCAGGGTCCGCCCTTGAGTACTTCCTCTTTGCCCAGCCCTGGAGCAAAAACTGGGGGCGTGGTCCCTGCCCTGTCTGTGTGCCTTGAGCCTCTCTTCAGGATTCCGGCCCCCAGGCCCTGCCCCTAGATCTGTGGCTGCGGGAAAGTAGGGCAGGTCTGTGTTTCAGGCTAGAGGGCTGAGAAAAGCAGGCAGGGGAGGATGTGGTCCTGCTGCTTAGGAGTCTCTCCCTGCTCACCAGTGCTGTCTGGGTGAAGCCAAACTCCTGACTAGGGTCACCAGGCCTGTGCACCTCCGCTACTCCCTCAGCCCCACTGGCCACCTCACTCACACTCAGACCTGCCAGGCTCAGTCCTGTCCCTGAGCTTGATGTTCTCCACCTGGAGTCTTCTCCCAGCCTTTGCCACATGTGTTCTTTGTCCTCAGGTGAACAAGTGGGCTTTGTTCAGGAAGGCTTTTGCTGACTGTTACTAAAGAAATTGGTTGGGCACAGTGGCTCATGCCTGTAATCCCAGCACTTTGGGAGGCCAAGGTGGGAGGATCACTTGAGGTCAGGAGTTTGAGACCAGCCTGGGCAACATAGCAAGACCCCATCACTACAAAAAAACTTTAAAAATCAGCTAGGCATGGTGGTGTGAGACTGTAGTCCCAGCTATCAGGGAAGCTAAGGCTGGAGGATCGCTTGAGCCCAAGAGTTCGGGCCTGGAGTGACCTGGGAGGCTGAGGATTGAGAATTCCTTGAGCCCAGGAGTTCGGAGCTGCCGTTAACCATGATTTTGCCACTGTACTGCAGCCTGGGTGACAGAGTGTGACCGTGTCTCTAAAAAAAATTTAAAAAGCATCTCTGCCCCCCTAGTTGTCCCATCCCTTATCTCTGTGGTCCTCAAACTTGAATGTGCGTCGGAATCTCTGGCCCCACCCCAGTTCTGATTCAGAAGGTTGGGAGTGGGTCCTGGACTCTGCCTTTTGAACACTTTCCAAGTCCTGCCTGCTGCTCTCTGGGGCTCATACTGAGCAGCATTGCTTTATGGCGTTCACCAGTGTCTGAGGTCGCCATCCCTGCTCACTTGTTTTCTTACTGACGGTCTATGTTTCCCTGTTTCAGCGTCAGGTCCTTGCAGGCAGGGGCTTGTATGGGCTTTGCTCACTTCCTTGTGGCGGGTGCAGGGTATTTAGAGGTGAAAGGCTGGAGTTGAGGGTCAGTCATGGAGGCGCCTAACATCAGGCGTAGTGCTTGTGAGGTCCCTGTCAGGGTCAGCAGAGCGTCATGGGCAGTGGTGCACTGGGCTGGCAGCCGCGCTGTACACTCCATCTTAGTCCGCCAGTCCCTGTGGGAGGGAAAGCAGCGTAGTTAAACCAGGTGCCCTCCAGGTACTGGGCTTTGTGGATCTCACCTCACCTCCATCTCTGTGCAACCCTAGGAGGTGGGCACTAATTCCCATCATACCCAAGAGGAAACTGAGGCACAGGAGGGTTCAGACACTAGCTCAGGGTCACACAGAAAGGACGCGGTGGCACTTGACTGGAAGGTCCTTGGACTGTGGGGCCCACACTCCAGGCTGCTGCCCTGGAGACCTGCAGGGTCCAAGGAGTCGTGCACCTGCTGGAACCCAAGTTCTATGGGGGGCGGGGAAGGAGGGCCGATCACCCAGGCCATCCCCAACAGTATGTGCTCACGGAGCACCTCCTGTACGCCAGGCCCTGCTCTAGGTGATGGGGACACTCAACATCGTGGGTGGGGGTTGGGGGTGGGGAGAGAAGGATAAGAACTAGGGGGAAATACTGAAGGTCCCGGGAGGCAGCAGGGAGACTTGCTTTGCAGAAAGAGAGCAGGGAGGGGGATCGGGAGGCGGGGTAGGGGGTGTTAAATAGGGAGGTAGGGAAGGTGTCCACTGAGCAGAGACCTGAGGGAGGTGGGGGAGCCCTGTGGATGTGGATGTGGATGTCTGGGAGGAAGGGCATTTTGAGCAGAGGCACCGACCAAGGCGGGAGCTGGGAGAGGGAGTGCAGGGCTGATGAGGGCAGAGAGGGACCACCCAGGAGGACCCTGATGGACTCAGATGATCCCAGGCTCCCTCCCACTACAGGTATGGGCAGGGATGGGAACAGGGAGACCAGGGAGGAGGCTGCTGGGATGGCCCAGGGGAAAAGCAGTGGCCTGGGCCACTGGCTGTTTAATTATTTTATTCACGTATTTTATTCCACAAATTTATTTTACAAGTGTTACATGAGTGCCTACCCTGCATCCTGTCCCGCATTGTGCTGGGGACAGAGCAGTGACCCACAGACCCGTGAAGGACTTGGACCTGTCATCAGACAGTGACGGCCCAGAGTAGTCCAGGATGGGAGCTGCCCAGGGGACTGTGGGGTCACGCATGAGCCAAAGTCCTGAAGGACAAATAAGGATTTGCTAGGCAAAGAAGAACTACGATCTGGACAGACAGAATGGCATATGTTAAGGCTTGGAGGTAAGAGAGACAACTTTGAGTTGCCCCAGGTGGTGGAGGGAATCCCACCTGCACCCCAGAATACATCAAGGCCCCTAAATGGGAATCCTGCCTTGAAATAAACCAAGCCCATGGCCAGGTGCAGTGGCTCACAGCTGTAATCTCCTAGCACTTTGGGATGCTGAGGCAGGTGGATTGCCTGAGCTCAGGAGTTCGAGACCAGCAACGTGGTGGAACCCTGTCTCTACTAAAATACAAAAAATTAGCTGGGCATGGTGGTGGGTGCCTGTAATCCCAGCTACTGCGGAGGCTGAGGCAGGAGAATCACTTGAACCTGGGAGGCGCAGGTTGCACTGAGCTGAGATAGTGCCACTGCACTCCAGCCTGGGTGACAGCGCGACTCTTTGTCTCCAAAAAATAAAGAAAAAAGAAAGAAACCAGGCCCGTATCCTATGGCAAGTGGTTTGCCGCTTTGAGCTAGTTTCCTCCTCTGTAAAGCAGGGATGGTGAATCATATCAAAGGCACCGGCTTGAGAAATAATACGGTTAATCATACGGAGAGCTTGACATATTTCCTGATAAGGAGTCAACAAAGAATGTCCTTTTAAAGTTCCCAACGCCATCCCCACAGTCCTTATTACAGTTCGTGTTTGCACAGTGAAGTTGGGAGTGTCCTGTTTGTTCAGTGTCTGCCTCCCCACCAGAAGGCTCATTCCCCAAGGGCAGGGGCCATGTCCTGCGGGCTCTACTGATGCCAGCTCCAGCCAGCGTGCAGATTATTCATTTAGCCTCTGGTGGTTATTGAGCATTCACTATGTGCCTAGAGTTTTGGGCTCTAGGGACCCGGTGGTAACCAAGACCTGAAGGTCACAGTCTGGGTAGACAGTAAACAAACAGTAAACAAGCAGGACACTCCAGATAGCCTGGGGTGTGGCGACAGAGGTGCCTGCCTTAGGCTGGATGATGCGGAAGGAGAGCATTTGAGCTGAAGGGGACAGAGCTGGTGATGCCGGGGCCATGGAAGGACATTCAGGCGGAGGGACTACAAATGTGGAGGCCTTGGCGTGGGAATGAGATTGGAGAGCTTAGGGACAAAAGCAGGCTGGGATGGCCAGGGGAGAGGAAGGACAGGGAGAGGGAGGACATGAGGTCAGTGAGGTTCCAGGGCCAAATCACCACACCAAGGTGAGGTCTTTGCTTTTACCTGGAGTGAGGTGCACCCAGGGCAGGGCTCAGACCTGACTCAGATGGTCACAGGTCTCCTCTGGTTGTAGGACACCAGTGAAGAGGCTGCTGGGGTGTCCAGGCTGGAGGTGATGGAGGCTGGAGCAGGGAGAAATGGGTATAATAAAAATAACGGATGCTGGGTGCGGTGGCTCACGCCTGTAATCCCAGAATTTTGGGAGGCCGAGGTGGGCGGATAACCTGAGGTCAGGAAGGAGTTCAAGACCAGCCTGGCCAACATGGTGAAACCCTGTCTCTACAAAAAATGCAAAAATTAGCGGGGCATGATGGCGGGTGCCTATGATCCCAGCTACTGGGGAGGCTGGGGCGGAAGAATCGCTTGAACCTGGGAGGTGGAGGTTGCAGTGAGTCGAGATCATGCCATTGCACTGCAGCCTGGGCGACAGAGAGAGACCCCATCTCAAAAAAATAAAAATAATAGAAATAGAGCTGGGTGCAGTGGCTCACACCTGTAATACCAGCACTTTGGTAGTGCCCAAGGTGGGAGGATCACTTGAGGTCAGGAGTTTGAGAACAGCCTGGGCAACATAGCTAGACCCCATCTGTACAAAAATTTTTTAAAAATAAAAAAGCTGATAACAGTGGTGTGTACCTGCAGTCCCAGCTACCCGGGAGGCTGAGGCAGGAGGATCACTTAAGCCCGGGAGCTCGAGGCTGCAGTGAGCCGTGATTGTGCCACTGCACTCCAGCCTGAGTGACAGAGCGAGACCCTATCTCTAAAAAGAAAATAAAAATAAATAATGGAAATAGATTTTGAAATGAGAGATGAAGAAAATAAAGAAATTAAGAAAGATGCTTAGGGTTTTAGCTCCGACAACTGAGTGGAAAGTCGCTGTTCAATAAATATTTGTTGTATGAATCAGTAAGTTAATTTTAAAAATAGGAGGTATAGGCCAGGCGCGGTGGCTCACACCTGTAATCCCAGCATTTTGGGAGGCTGAGGTGGGCAGATCACTTGAGGTCAGGAGTTCAAGACCAGCCTGGCCAACATAGTGAACCCCCGTCTCTACTAAAAATACAAAAATTAGCCAGGCATGGTAGTGTGATCCTGTAATCCCAGCTACTCAGGAGGTTGAAGCAGGAGAATCTCTTGAACCCAGGAGGCGAAGGTTACAGTGAGCTGAGATCACACCACTGCACTCCAGCCTAGGTGACAGAGTGAGAGATTCCGTCTTAAAATAAAATAAAATAAAACAGCAGGTGTCTTTGAGAGCTCGCTATGTGCCATGCTCTGTTAGAATTACTTTACATGGGCTGGGCACGGTGGTTCATGCCTGTAATCCCAGCATTTTGGGAGGCTGAGGCCAGAGGATCACTTGAGGCCAGGATTTTGAGACCAGCTTGGGCAACTTAGGAAGACCCCGTCTCAAAAAAAATTAAAGTAGGCTGGGCACGGTGGCTCCCACCTGTAATCCCAGCACTTGGGAGGCCAAGGTGGGCAGATCATGAGGTCAAGAGTTTGAGACCAGCCCAGCCAACATGGTTAAACCCCATCTACTAAAAATATAAAAGCTAGCCATGTGTGGTGGCAGGAACCTGTAGTCCCAGCTACTTGGGAGGCTAAGGCAGGAGAATCAGTTGAACCCAGGAGGCAGAGTTTGCAGTGAGCCGAGATCATGCCACTGACTCCAGCCTGGGCAACAGAGCAAGACTCTGTCACAAAAAATAAATAAATAAAATAAAGTAAGATAAAGGAAGTGCTTTACATGTCCTGATTTGTTTAAGCCCCAAAACAACTGGATGAGGACATGTATTTATCATCCCTGGATTACTGATGAAGTAACCGTAGCACAGAGACGTTAAGGAGCATGTTCTGAGTGTCACTGCTGGGAAGAGAAACAGGATGGCTGGGTGGATGGGTGTGTATTCGGGGATCAATGGGTGGGCCTCTGAAAATAGGCCTGTCCCCGAATCCCAGCCTGTTTTTTCCAGTTAACACTTCTCTTCCTCTTCCTGCCCCCAGCACCACACCCCACTCTGGCCGGAGCACGCCAAGCAGCTCCCCATCGCTCCGGAAACGGCTGCAGCTCCTGCCCCCAAGCCGGCCCCCACCTGAGCCAGAACCAGGCACCATGGTGGAGAAGGGATCAGATAGCTCCTCAGAGAAGGGTGGGGTGCCTGGGACCCCCAGCACCCAGAGCCTAGGCAGCCGGAACTTCATCCGCAACAGCAAGGTTGGTGCAAGCCCAGGTGGGGTGGGGAGAGGGCTAGTGGGGGCTGGCCGGTGATCTAGGGGCTCATCCTGACTCCTCTCCTTTTCTTTGCAGAAGATGCAGAGCTGGTACAGTGTAAGTGTCTGGGCAAGGGGCTTGCTGGAGGGCTGGGAGGACCGGGTGCTGGGCCAGGAGCCCCAGGCTGCAACAGTCAAGGAGTGCGTGCTGAGATGGAGTGGGTGCAGACCTAGGGTCACGTTCTATGCTATTATTTATGTGCTGTGTGACCTTGGGTGAGTTACTTAACCTCTCTGGGCCTCTCTCTGTCCTTGAGAAACAGCCCCACCTTACAAGGCTGAAGGGAACATTGAATGAGTCAGTGATGCTGGTGGGTGCTTGGTACGGGGCCCGGCTTACATAAGAAATCTGTAAATGGCAGCTGTCATTGTGGCTACTGGTGTGTTGTGTGCGTTGGAATCTGTCAGGGACTTAAGAGACTGAGGGGGTTCCAGGAGCTTTGTGGGGCAGCATTGGGAGTGTGAACCCCCATCCAGGTTCTCACCTCTCAAACTTCCTCAGATGCTGAGCCCCACTTATAAGCAGCGTAATGAGGACTTCCGGAAACTGTTCAGCAAACTCCCCGAAGCAGAACGCCTCATTGTGGGTGAGTCCCGGACCCCCAGTCCCAGCTCCTAGCCCAGCCCTGTGACTCTCCGCCAGCCCGCGGGCGCCGGCTGAGCCTCGTGACTTGGGTGTCCTCCTGTCTCTCCCCGCCCCTCTCAGATTACTCCTGCGCCCTGCAGCGTGAGATCCTGCTCCAGGGCCGCCTCTACCTCTCTGAGAACTGGATCTGCTTCTACAGCAACATCTTCCGCTGGGAGACCACGGTGAGCCCGCAGCGGGGCAGGGTACAGGGGCGGGGGCCCCCATGGCCAGGCCCCACCCCGCTCCTATTGACCCTCCTGCTGTCCTCAGATCTCCATCCAGCTGAAGGAAGTGACATGTCTGAAGAAGGAAAAGACGGCCAAGCTGATCCCCAACGCCATCCAGATCTGCACGGAGAGCGAGAAGGTGACGGAGGACCCGGTGACGGGACCACGCGGTCCCCCGCTCAGCAGGCCGCCTCCCCCAAACATGCAAAGCCCCATTTGTTCTGCACCCTGAGTTCTCTCCGAGCTGTCCCCTTCTCTCTGTTCTCCCGGCCCAGGCGCCCATCACCCCTGACCTGATCCCCGCACCAGCCTCTCCTCTCTTTCCCTGCAACCTGTTACCTCACACAGCTGCTCAGGAACAGCAGAAATAGTAAAACTCTTCCATGTATGTGGCACCTCAGCCGCCCCTCCCTTCGTAAGTCTCCCCGATGTTGTGTCCTGTCCCTGTCATTGTGGCCTCATGTCCGTTGGTTGCAAGATGGCTTTCTCACCAGCGGTCCAACAAGAAGGGGGACAGGTGTGGGGGACACTTCCCAGCAGACTTCTCTTTGTGTTTTGTTGGTTAAAAGTGGATCTGGCCAGGTGTAGTGGCTCATGCCTGTAACCCTAGCATTTTGGGGAGGCTGAGGCAGGAAGATTGCTTGAGCCCAGGAGGTTGAGGCTAGCCTGGGCAACATAGTGAGACCCTGTCTCTTAAAAAGCAAAAAATTAACCAGGTGTGGTGGCACGCACCTGTAGTCCCAGCTACTCACTCAGGAGGCTGAGACAGGAGGATGGCTTGAGCCCAGGAGGTTGAGGCTGCAGTGAGCCGTGATCATGCCACTGCACTCCAGCCTGGGTGACAAAGCCAGACCCTGTCTCAAAAAAAAAAAAAAAAAAAGGATCAACTGACCATTCTTAGTGGCAAAGGAGGCTGGGCAAGTTCCCTGGGCTCCCCCCATCACATCCCAGCCCCTCTGGGCTGACCCTGTCTAGAGATGCATCTGTCCCCTCCTTGGACTGGGAGCTCCAAGGACAGGGCCAGGGGTCGTCTCCCCATCCCAGTGATTCTGGAATTGTCCAGGGCAGGGCCGGGCGCAGGACAGACGTTTTGTGGAACTAATGCAGGGGTGAATTAGTGGATTCATGGGGCCAAAGATGTGGCGTCAGCGCAGATGAGGGTGGCGCTTCCCCACCTCTGTCCTGGTCGCTCCCCAACCTGCTCACACCTCTCTCTCTCTCTCTCCCTGACAGCATTTCTTCACTTCCTTTGGGGCCCGTGACCGCTGCTTCCTCCTCATCTTCCGCCTCTGGCAGAATGCACTGCTTGAAAAGGTGGGCCTGGGTGAGGCCCGGGTGGGGATGGGGGGTTTCCAGGGGGACCATGGAGCCAGGGACCCCAGAACTTGCGGAGCTGGAGGCAGCCCTGGCTCTTCTCCATGGGCACCAGGCCCAGTGCCCCTGCAGCTCCTCCCTGGGCCCCACCTGACCCCGAAGCTGAGTCTCTGGCAAAGGGACATGAATTGGTGTAAACCGTCGTAATTCTTCCCTGGGGCTGGGAATGATTTTCACCCTGAAGGACATCCAGGTTCCACTGGCAGCGGGGGAGTGTGGATAGAGGCTGGGAGGTCATCACAGGATGCCGGCTATGGCTGGTCCACAGCACCTCAGAGAGCCCCAGCCCCATCCTCCGGCTGAGCGGCACTCACGCGCTGCCTTCTCAGAGGCTCCGATGTCCCTGGAGCAGGCAGGAGTGCTGAGGGTCCCATTCAGCATCCTGAGAGAGGGACAGCGCACAGTCAGGCCCTAAGGAGGACAGGGCAGAGCCCCGGGATTCCAGCCCCATCCCCTGGGGCAAGTGATTGAACCCCATCTGTCAAATGGGGGCCATCCCCACTTCACAGCACCCAGAATTTTGCCCAGAATAAGTACTCAGTCATGTCAGCTCTTATGAGCAGAGTAGCCCAGCGGTTAGCTCCCTCGCCACCCCCTCTGCCCCCCGGCTGTAGACCAGCTCCCCTGGGGTCACATCTCAGCACTGCTACTTCCTGGCTGGACCCCAGCATGTCACCTTGCACTTCTCAGCACCATTGTCTTAAAAGGATGATGAGGTTAGCACCTACTTTCCAGATGGTTTTGAAGATACAGTGAGTTAGTACATCTGTAAAGTGGTTAGAAGAATGCACCTAGTTGACCAGGTGGCAAATGTCTGCTGCTATCATCACTTACTGTTAACTGTCATCACTGTCATTCAGCCACTCTGGCCATGGGTGGCTGAAAGCTCAAGGCTCCCGAGGACACCTGGGAAAAGATTCGGGGGGCCACGATGGCATAGGCATGGGAGACTCAGCCCTGGAGTCTGGCAGGGCTTGACCAAGTCACTTGGTGACCTTGAACACATGACTTTCCCTACATGACTTCCCCTTCCTGGGACTCCGTATGCTCTGTAAAGATGGGAACATTCATGGCTGGGCACGGTGGCTCATGCCTGTAATCCCAGCACTTTGGTAGACGAAGACGGGCGGATCGTGGTGCCCACGAGGTCAGGAGTTCGAGACCAGCCTGGCCAACATGGTGAAACCCCGTCTCTACTAAAATTGCAAAAATTAGCTGGGCGTGGTAGCACGCACCTGTAATCCCAGCTCCTTGGGAAGCTGAGGTAGGAGAATCGCTTGAACCCAGGAGGGAGAGGTTGCAGTGAGCTGAGATCACACCACTGCACTCCAGCCTGAGCGACAGAGCCAGACTCCATCTCCAAAAAACAAACAAAAAAAGATATAAAAAAAATGGGAACATTCTCTGGCCAGAGTATTGTGGGGACTTGGGAAGCAGGAAGTTTGAGTCCTGGGCGCAGGCCCTGGAGGGGCTGTAGCAGGGGATTCCCCGCTTGCTGAGGCCAGGTCTGGTGCGGGAGATCGTGGCTGCCTCCTTGTGGAAGCCAGGGGAACTGCGGAGGCCGAGGGCTGGTGGGGAATCTGGCGGGCCGGGCTCTGGCTGGGGTGAGATGGAGGCCAACCCCAGGTCCCGCCTCCCCAGACGCTGAGTCCCCGCGAGCTCTGGCACCTGGTGCATCAGTGCTACGGCTCAGAGCTGGGCCTCACCAGTGAGGATGAGGACTATGTCTCCCCCTTGCAGCTGAACGGTCTGGGGTGAGTTGGAGGTCAAAGGAGGTTGAAGGGTTCGGGGGAGAACAGGACGGTCGGCGTGCAGAGTTCCTGGAGTGCTGGGGGGCCTGAGATGGTTGTATGACGTCTGGAGGATTCAGGAGGGTGTATGGGGTCTCAAGGACACAGCAGTCCCGCTTCCTCCCCTTTCCCACAGGACCCCCAAGGAAGTGGGAGATGTGATCGCCCTGAGCGACATCACCTCCTCGGGGGCAGCTGACCGCAGCCAGGAGCCAAGCCCAGTGGGTTCGCGCCGTGGCCATGTCACGCCCAACCTTTCCCGAGCCAGCAGCGACGCAGACCATGGGGTGAGCGGTGGGTTGGAAGAGGGGTGGGATACTGATAGGAAGAGAGAGGAGGGCTGGGGGTGCAGTGGGAGAAGAACAGCCTGACAGATTTGGAGGGGAATGGATAGGGGGACAGGGGAGGCCTGGATGGAGGAACAGGACAGGGAGGGGAAGACGGACATGTGACAGGGAAAGAGAGACAGGGAAGAGAGGGGACAGACAGAAAGGATGAGAGACAGAAGGGATGGGAGATGGGTGGATAGATGAAGCAGCAGACAGACAGACGGACAGGACAGGTAAGAAAGCTTATGGCTCAGGCATCTGAGACAAGCCTGGCAGGGGCTGAGAGGGGCCCTCATCTGGGTGGCCCCAGGCTGCTCGCAGCTCAGCCGTGAGCCCTCGGTGCACACACCACCCCGGGTCTGCACAGGCTCTGGAATCCTTGTGGCCAGTGTGGACTTGGGAGCCCTGGGGCTGGGATGGAGGTGGCCAAGGCTGCATCGGGCCTTTCTCCACAGGCAGAGGAGGACAAGGAGGAGCAGGTAGACAGCCAGCCAGACGCCTCCTCCAGCCAGACAGTGACCCCGGTGGCTGAACCCCCGAGCACAGAGCCCACCCAGCCTGACGGGCCCACCACCCTGGGCCCCTTGGATCTGCTGCCCAGTGAGGAGCTATTGACAGACACAAGTAACTCCTCTTCATCCACTGGGGAGGAAGGTGAGGCAGGCGGGCCCAATTCATTCGCCTCCGGTACTTGCAAGCCTCGCTCAGTCTTAAGCAAGAGGGGATGGATTCGCCCGCAGCACTGAGAATCCAGGGGCAGGCGGGATGGCGTTCAGGCGCTGTTGCTAGAAATCTCTGTCTTTACTCTGTTTTGAAGGCAGCATGGCAGGGTGAACACAAGCACAGACTGAAGGCAGCTTGCCGCGGTTCACATCCTGGTCACACCACTTCCTGACCATGTCACGTGGGCAAATTATGTAACTTCTCTGAGCTTGCTTTCCTCCTCTGAAAATGGGGTTAACAATGATAATACCCACTTCATAGGATTGTTGTTAAGAGACTATAAATGAGGCTGGGTGTGATGGCTCACACCTGTAATCCCAGCACTTTGGGAGGCCAAGGTAGGAAGGATTGCTAGAGGCCAAGAGTTGGAGAACAGCCTGGGCAGCAAAGCAAGACCCCGTTTTGTACAAAAAAGAAAAAAAAGAAAAAACTAGGTGTGGTGGTGCACACCTATAGTACCAGCTACTTGGCAGACCAAGGCAAGAGGATCACATGAGGCCAAGAGTTTGAGACAAGCCTGGGCAACATAGTGAGACCCCTGTCTTTACAAAAAATTTAAAAATTAGCCAGGCATGGGGTCATGCACCCTATGTAGTCTCAGCTACTGGGGAGGCTGAGGCAGGAGGATCGCTTGAGCCCAGGAGTTGGAGGCTGCAGTGAGCTATGATTGCACCACTGCACTTCGGCCTGAGCAACAGAGCGAGACCCTGTCTCTAAAACGAACAAAGGGAGAGAATTAAGTGATTTCATACATTTAAAGCACTTGGGCCAGTTAGTAAGCATTGACTATTAGTATTTCTATTATCATTATTGTATTCATTTTCTCTCTCCACTAATTTTCAGCTAGCCTCTATTCTTGTCTCTTATGGGGCAGAGATGGCCTCAGCCCTGCCCCAGACCAGCCCAATGAGAGAGAGCAGCCTATTTTTCCTAGTGTCTACAGCGGACACCCTAGGGTTGGCTCTGATTGGGCCAACTTGAGAGTGTGCCTGCCCCTGAACCAATCACTGTGGTTGATCGGATAGACCTGGGCCACCCACTCACCCCTGAACCAATTGCTGTGCCCCTAGGTTGATGCTCCCAGGAGGCGTGCTATCTGGTAATGAATCCCTGTGATTTAAATCTCAGGGCCTAGGTGTGTTCTCCACCCAGAACCAAGCACAGTGGCTGTCTGTCTGGGCCTGGAGCACGTGCCCACCCTCAACCCATCCCTGAGTCACAGGAGGGCTCTGTGTCAGTGTCCAGCTGTGCTCCAGGAGGTGGGGTCCGCCCATGCACACTACAAGGCCTGGGAGTGGGGAGGCGTGGCCCGCAGAGGGAGGGAGGAGTGGAGGCAGTCATCATCCTCGGCTCTCCTCTGTCTCCAGCGGACTTGGCTGCCCTGCTTCCCGACCTCTCCGGCCGCCTCCTCATCAACTCTGTCTTCCATGTGGGCGCTGAGCGGCTCCAGCAGATGCTCTTCTCGGACTCGCCCTTCCTCCAGGGCTTCCTACAGCAGTGCAAGTTCACAGGTCAGCGGGCGCATGAAGGAGAGGCTGAGGTTACCCAGGTGCAGGGGAGGGGTGAGGAAGGGTAGCCCAGGACAGGGGAAGGCACTGCTAGCCAGTGGGGCAAGGCGAGGTGGTGAAAAGCAATGTCTGTCAGACCAGAAGCAGCTCTGCCACTTACTAGCTGGGTAGGCTTGGGCAGAGTTCTGAGATGCTCTGTGCCTCAGTTTCTCCTTCTGTATAATGGGGGTATGATAATAGTACCTGGCTTATTGGTTATCATGAGAACTAAGTGAGTTCATACTAGAAAAGTTCCTAGAGCAATACCATATAGTAAGCGTTTAATAAATACAAGTTAAGAGGCTGAGGCGGGGCTGGTGCGGTGGTTCACACCTGTAATCCCAGCACTTTGGGAGGCCGAGGTGGGCAGATCACTAGAGGTCAGGAGTGTGAGACCAGCCAGGGCAACATGGTGAAACCTCATCTCTACTAAAAATACAAAAATCAGCTAGGTGTGGTGGCACACACCTATAGTCCCAGCTACTTGGGAGGCTGAAGTGGGAGAATTGCTTGAACCTCGGAGGCGGAGGTTGCAGTGAGCTGAGATCACACTGCACTCCAGCCTGGGTGACACAGCCAAACTCTGTCTCAAAAAAACAGGGGCGGGGGGTGGGGTGCTGGGCACAGTGGCTCACGCTTATAATCCCAGCGCTTTGGGAGGCCGAGGCAGGTGGATCACCTGAGGTCAGGAGTTTGAGACCAGCCTGGCCAACATGGTGAAACCCCATCTCCACTAAAAATACAAAAATATTTTAGCCAGGCATGGTGGCGAGCACCTGTAATCCCAGCTACTCAGGAGGCTAAGGCAGGAGAATCACTTGAACTCGGGAAGCAGAGGTTGCAGTGAGCCAAGATCGTGCCGTTGCGCTCCAGCCTGGGCGACAGAGCGAGACTCTGTCTCAAAAAAAAAAAAAAAAAAGGTGGGAGGAGGGCCAAGGTGGGAAGTTCATGTCAGCCCAGAAGTTGGAGACCAGCCTGGGCAACATAATGAGACTCAGTCTTTACAAAAATAAAAAAAAAAATTAGCTGAGCATGATGCTGCCCACCCGTAATCCCAGCTACTCTGGAGGCTCAGGTGAGAGAATTGCTTGAACCCAGGAGGTGGAGGTTGCAGTGAGCCAAGATCATGCCACTGCACCTCAGCCTGGGTGACAGAGAGAGACTCCATTAAAAAAAAAAATGCTCCTGAGGCCTCCCCAGAAGCCGAGCAGATGTCGGCATCATGCTTCCTATACAGCCTGTGGAACTGTGAACCCATTAAACCTCTTTTCTTTATAAGTTACTGAGCCTCAGGTATTTATAGTAATGTAAGAATGGCCTAATACAGAGCTCCTCAGCCTGACACGCCAGCCCTTTTAGGACATAAGCATAGTTTTGGGGGCCTTGTAGCCCCCCAACACAAGGCACCATCTTCCTGACTGCAGGGGATACTGCATGTCTCATCAATACAGAAAAAGAAACAAAGAGAAACTCCCATCTGACACGCTCCTCCCCTGCTTGAATCTCTTTTGTAGCCTCCCAAGTTCCTTGGCTGGTCCCATGTCAACCCTTCAGCCTCACCCAGAGCTGTGGCTGCCCCTCTCCATACCTGGCTGCCCCATCCCAGCCTCAGGGGACTTCTCTCAATATTGGCCTCCAGCCTCAGGGCCTTTACTGGTATCACGCGGCCTCCTGGGCTCCTCTGCCCCGACCCCTTCCTTCCTCAGTTCCTCCTTCAGGCCTTGGTTTTGATTTCACATCCTCCTGGCAGCCTTCCCTTACCTTCCTCAGATCCCAGATACCCCCAGATACTCACAGCTTCTGCCCTTAACTCACACCATGCCAGTAGTGTGTGGTTTTTATTTATAGATATTTCCTGTTGTTCTCAAGAGATTCTGGGTGCTAAGGACAGGAGTTCATCTATCCTGGTCTCCCACTGGCCTCCAAGCCCTGCATAGGCCTGACAGAGTGGACATTAAATTTGTGATCATTAACACATATTTATTTATTTATTTATTTATTTTTGAGTCAGGTTCTTGCTGTCGCCCCA
The DNA here is from genome assembly GCF_000001405.40 of Homo sapiens. NCBI lineage: Eukaryota > Metazoa > Chordata > Mammalia > Primates > Hominidae > Homo > Homo sapiens. Next base: position 35,018,033 of record NC_000019.10, read on the forward strand.
GCTGGAATGCAGTGGCACAGTCTTGAGTCACTGTAGCCTCTGCCTTCTGGGTTTAAGCCATTCTCCTGCCTCAGCCTCCTGAGTAGCCGGGATTATAGGCGCCCACCGTCACGCCCAGCTAATTTTTGTATTTTTAGTAGAGACGGGGTTTCACCGTGTTGGCCAGGCTGGTTTCAAACTCTTGACCTCAGGTGATCCTCCTGCCTCGGCCTCCCAAATTTCCCGAAGTGCTGGGATTACAGGCGTGAGCCACTGTGCCCGGCTGCCTCAGGGAGCTTTTGATCATGCTGAAAGGCAAAGGGGGAGCAAGTGAGAGAGAGTGGAGGGGAGGTGCCACACACTTAAATGACCAGATCTCGGAAGAACTCACTATCATGAAGACAGCAGCAAACCATGAGGGATCCGCCCCCATGATCCAAACACCTCTCACCAGGCCCTACCTCCGGCATTGGGGATTACAATTCAACATGAGATTTGGGTGGGGACAAATATCCAAACTATACCAAACTCAGACTCTGTTCTAGGGGTACTGGGGAGCCATGGAGTGTTCTAGGCAGAGAAGGGATAGAGTCAGGCTTGGCTTTAACAAGATGCCCCTGGACCAGATGGGGAGACTGAGGCCAGACACTCAAGGGAAGGCTGGCAGGGGCACTGGGCAGGCAAAGATGGGCTGAACCAGGAGTGACGCTCAGGAGGTTTGGTGAACACACAGTGTAGGTAACCATCTAGGGGTTTGAGTAGGGGGTGTCCAGGGCAAGGCCTACCGCTCCAGTGGGAGCCTGGAGGACCCTGGGCCACCCCTGAGTGGGGGCCTGGGAGATGCAGCAGGTTTGGGGAGATGCTGAGGCTGTGTGGAGCTCGGTGGGTTCGAGGGGTCCAGGGACCTTCCAGGGGAAGGTGTTCAAAAGATTACAGGTCCAATGCTCAGGGCAGAAGCCAAGACGGGTGCAGAGGGGGAAACTGAGGCTGCAGCAGTGGAGGAGATGGCCCTGCCCCAACAGCTAAGGTTTTAGGCTCCTGGAAGGAAGGTGGGGACACAGAGGAGTGGTGGGGATTGGGACAGGTCCCCAGAGAGACCTCCCAGAAGGCTGAGTCTCCTGTGGCCTGTGGGCAAAGGACTGGGGTGTGGCCTCCTCATGCTGCTCCTCCCTCCTCTAGACGTGACGCTGAGCCCCTGGAGTGGGGACAGCAAGTGCCACCAGCGCCGGGTGCTGACGTACACCATCCCCATCAGCAACCCACTGGGCCCCAAGAGCGCCTCCGTGGTGGAGACACAGGTGGGCCAGGTGGGGCAGCCGAGTGGGTGGGGCAGCTGGGTGAGTGGGGTGGCCCTGACTTCTCCGGCTCTGTCCCTGCAGACGCTGTTCCGGCGCGGCCCCCAGGCCGGCGGGTGTGTGGTGGACTCCGAGGTGCTGACGCAGGGCATCCCCTACCAGGACTACTTCTACACTGCCCACCGCTACTGCATCCTGGGTCTGGCCCGGAACAAGGCGCGGCTCCGGTGAGTGGTGGCTGGGCCCCTCCACCCGATGCCCTGGTGGCCCCAGGGCCTCCTGTCCACTCCTCAAGTCAGCAGCAGAGCCTTGGTTCCCACCCTGGTGGAGGAACAGAAGCGTGGGGTTCCTGAGGCCCTTGTCCTCCGAATAGTGGAGGGTAGAGGAAGAGTGGCCCTGGGATGGCTCCTCCCATCTACAGAGGGTGTTTGAGCCTCAAGACTCTGAGGATACAGCAAAGCCAGGCAATATCACCTCTCTCAGGGAGCTCATATTCTAGTGGGGAATTGGACAATAGAGAAATGATCAGGAAAATCTGCAGAACATTCACTGGCAGTTAGGCCTATGGAGAAAAATGAGGAAAACACGGCAGGCTAAAGAAGCAGGGTGTGGAGGCTTTTACACCCGACACGCTGGTCAGGGAAGGGCCTACTGGGAAAGAAATGTTTCACCAAGAACCTGAAGGAGCTGAGAGCAACTCATTTGGGACAGCAGGTGCAAAGGCCCTGAGGCAGGGGTGTGGGCAATGGCTGGAGTGGAGTAAGATTGAGTGAGTAGGAGCTGAGATTAAAGTGGTGAACCGGGGCCCGGCACAGTGGCTCACACCTGTAATCCCAGCACTTTGGGAGGCTGAGGCAGGAGTATCACTTGAGCCCAGGAGTTCAAGAGTAGCCTGGGTAACGTACGGAAGCCCTGTCTCTACAAAAACAATTTTTTTTAAATTAGCCAGGGTCCAGGTGCAGTGGCTTACGCCTGTAATCCCAGCAATTTGGGAGGCTGAGGTGGGCGGATCACTTGAGGTCAGGGGTTCGAGACCAGCCTGGCCAACATGGTGAAACCCATCTCTACTAAAAATACAAAAATTAGTCGGGGGTAGTGATGCACGTCTGTAATCCCTACTACTTGGGAGGCTAAGGCACAAGAATCACTTGAACCTAGGAGGTGGAGGTTGCAGTGAGCCGAGATCGGGCCACTGCACTTCAGCCTGGGTGACAGAGTGAAACTCTGTCTCAAACAAACAAACAAACAAACAAAAAACAAGTTAAAAAATTAGCCAGACATGGTGGAGATTTCAGTGAGCCATGATCACACCGTTGCACTTCAGCCTGGGCGACAGAGCAAGACCCTGTCTCAAAAAAAAAAAAAAAAAAAAAAAGGTGAACCAGATGTGGCTCATGGTGAAGACTTGACTTTACCTGGAGTGAGGTGCAACCAGGCCAGGGCTCTGAGCCAGGAGGGCGCTGACCTGACTCAGGTGGTCCCAGGCTCCTTCTGGCTCCCTCTGTTCTGGTGGGAACAGACTGCAAAGACAGGTACAGGAGCAGGGAGGCCAGGGAGGAGGCTGCTGGGACATCCAGGCTGGAGGGGACGGAGGCTGAATCAGGGTGAGGAAATGGAGGGGGAAGAGTTTAGATTCTGGAGAGATTTTGCAGGTTTAGCTGACAGGATTTGCTGAGAGATTGGATGTGGCGGTGAGGGAAAGAGAGCTCAAGGAATATCCCGAGGCATTTGGCCCAAATCACTACAACTTCGGAGCTGCCCTTGACCCAGATGGGGGCGGCAGGGAGGAATGGGTTTGGGGAAAGACCAGGAGGTCAGTTTGGGACTCAGCTGTCTATGTTGAGCTGAGCCCATGTGGAGCTGGGGTGCAGCAGCCGAATGGAAGAGGTTCAGGGGCATGGTCTGGTTAAGACGTCAGTCTGTGAGTAGACAGGGCTCAGGCCGCCGGGAGCGTTGCCCAGGTAGTGGGCATGGGTGGAGAAGGACCGAGGGCTGAGTTGGCTGGCATTTGGGCTGGGCGGGTGGTGTATGGGGTATCCAGGGAAGCCATGGGGGGTAGGGAACCCATCTGTTTTGTCTGTGAGTGACAAGGGGCCCTCTCTGAATTAGGGGAAGGAAAAAACTCAGCTTGTGGGACGGGGCAGCCAGGGCTGGAGTCAGACCCTTACCTCCTTCCCCTGATCTCCCAACCCCAGAGTGTCTTCTGAGATCCGCTACCGAAAGCAGCCGTGGAGCCTGGTGAAGTCGCTCATTGAGAAGAACTCGTGGAGCGGCATTGAAGACTATTTCCACCATCTGGGTAGGGACAGAAGGCCGGCTGGGGCGTGGGTTGGGGGATGGCCTGGCCAGGTATGGACATCCAGAGCCCCCTCTCTTTTACGCAGAGCGAGAGCTCGCCAAGGCTGAGAAGCTGTCTCTGGAGGAAGGCGGGAAGGATGCCCGGGGCTTGCTATCCGGCCTGCGGCGGCGGAAGCGGCCCCTGAGCTGGCGGGCTCACGGGGACGGGCCCCAGCACCCAGATCCTGACCCCTGTGCCCGGGCCGGCATTCACACCTCGGGTACGTTCCGTTGGGGCCGGGTTGGGGTAGGCGGAGGATCGGGGGTCCTGGACTGGGCCATCTGACTCCAAGCTGCTCTCCTGCAGGCTCCCTCAGCTCCCGCTTCTCCGAACCATCTGTGGACCAGGGCCCCGGGGCAGGCATCCCCAGTGCCCTGGTTCTCATCAGCATTGTGTGAGTAAGAGACAGGAGCAGTGGCCACACAGGCCTGAACCTGCCTCCTGGCTGTGTGACCTTGGGCAAGTGTGTGGCCTCTTTGAGCTCTCTGCTTAAGTGGGAGCGTGGGTTTGCTCACAGCAAGGATTAGACAAGGCAATGTTTGGGATGTGCCGGTTTGTCATGGAGAAGCCTTCCCTGCTAGAACAGCAGAGCCGGGGGGGGCTATGGGAGATCAGAGGGGCCTGACCTCACCCAAGGATCAAGGGGGGCTTTCTGGAGGAGCAGGCACACAAAGATTCTGGAATTAGGTGCACAGGGAGAGGTGTGCCTAACAAGTGAGGTCATTTATGGACATTATGTTCTCTGTGCCCACTCCTAAGCTGGGCGATGCTGAGGACACCGCAGTGACCTTGAGGAAAAGATAGACCTCACACCAGACCAGAGTGATCCGGGCTGGGATGGGGGAGGTATGGGCAGAGGGGTTGGGGCTGGGAGTGGGGAAGCCCTGGGAGGCCAGCGGCGGCTTCCTCCCAGGCCAGAGGGGGCAGTCAGGATGGGCGTCCTGAGAGAGTGGAGACCGCGTAGGCTAAGGGCTTGGGCAGGGAGAACCCACACTCCTGCCCAGAAGCCTGCAGGAGTTGGCGGGCAGGACGCTGGGAGGAAACAGAAGCAGGATCCCGGGGTTGAGCAGACCCTGCGAGGTGAGGGTCAGGCCAGCTACATGCTCAGCCTCTGAGCCTCAGCTCTCAGCTCTCATCCAGTGAGGGGGCGTGGTGCTCTCAGCCAAGAGCTGCCCCGGGTGAGGAGGGCTGGGGGTGTCGGGGGCAGGCCAGGCGGCGCTCATCTCTCTGTCTCCCCTCACTGCTGCTGCTGCAGGATCTGTGTGAGGTAGGGTCCCGAGTCCTCCCCCTGCCCTCCCCTCCCTGCACCCCACCCCTGCTGCAGCCTCTTCTCCCCACCCCATGCCCCCCAGCTCCCCCAGGGAGGTGGCCTGGCATGGCAGTCAAGGGTATGGGCATCAGACAGACCTGGGTTTGAACACTGACTTCCCTGCTATGGACTGTGCAACCCTAGGCATGTCTCTCATCCTCTCTGAGCCTAATTCTCCTCCTCTGCAATGGGGGATAGAGGTGTCCCTACAAGATGTAGTTGTTTGGGGGTGTTCAGAGCATCTAGACCCCAGGAATCCTGACCTCTGACCCCTGTCCCCAGCCTTATCATCCTCATCGCCCTCAACGTCCTGCTCTTCTACCGCCTCTGGTCCCTGGAAAGGACAGCCCACACCTTTGAGTCCTGGCACAGCCTGGCCCTGGCCAAGGGGTGAGTGGGTAGCCTGGGGAAATGGGGGGGCTTGGGCACATCGGGGGAGGCCAAGGCCCTGCTCAGGCCTGGCATCCCCACAGCAAGTTCCCCCAGACGGCCACAGAGTGGGCCGAGATCCTGGCGCTGCAGAAGCAATTCCACAGCGTGGAGGTGCACAAGTGGAGGCAGATCCTGCGGGCCTCCGTGGAGCTCCTGGATGAGGTAGGAGGCGCCGCTCGGGCAGGGCTCGGGGCTGCGGGGCTGCAGGGTCCTGTGTTGAAACCCCACCGTGCGGCAGGCACTTCCCCTCTCCGGATCTCAGTGTCCTCCTCTGTAAAATGAGGAAGCCGCTCAGAGTCCCCACCCCACAGCATTGCAGGGGAAAGCATGGAAGCATGGATGGAAGACAGAACTGATTGGCTCACGTCCTGGAGAAAAGTCCAGAGGCGTCTCACATTAGGCACGGCCGGGTTTGGTCACTCAATGGCAGTAAGAGTCAGTCTCTCGTGCCCACTCTGCCCTGTGCCCATCTCCAGGGTTGGCTTCATTGGAGGCCACCCTTTTCCCCCCACAGGGGACCACGGAGCTTACTCTCATTGGCTGCTGGGGTCCCAGGCCTACCCCTGACACATCACAACAGCCAGGGCAGGCCACGTGTGGTCCCTCTACCCGCTACCCCACTCTGGGGTAACTAAGGGGTCACATGGTCTGAAGGGGAGAGACTCTCCAAAGGACCTGAGGTCTCATCTCCAAAACGGAGTGGACCCAGACACCCAGTGTAGTTCAGGGACAATGTCTACTCAGACAACCAGGTTCCAATTCCGGTGTGTGACCTCGTGCAAGTGATTTTGCCATGGTGGCCGTGGACTCCTCTGTGCACAGGATAATGACTGATGCTACCTCAAAGACTGTTGTGAGGATGAGACAAGTTGACATTGGGAGTGGTGCCAGGCCTGCAGGAAACACTGGATGTGGGCTGGCTGTCCTGAGTTTGAGCCTAGTGCCAGGGACAAAGCAGATGCCCAATAAATGTGATGTCATCACACGACAATTCCCTCAGGCCCCAGTAGACTCAGGCCAGCAGTTGCGGTGGGTCAGAGCAAGTGTCAGGCCAGCAGTTGCGGTGGGTCAGAGCAAGTGTCAGGCCAGCAGTTGTGGTGGGTCAGAGCAAGTGTTAGGCACTCGGGGAAGGTGTCGAGGGGGAAAGCGGATGGGAAACAGAGTCTGGCATTGCCTGCATTTCCAAGGCCATCAGAGCTGAAGTTGTGGGTGACGGTGAAAATCTTGTCTCATTGGACCCTTCCATATCAGAAGGCTCATCTTTAGGGGTCTCATTGCCCCCCGAAATCAAGCTTGGGAGAGGCTCACACTGGAAAGGGCGGGGCAGGATGGGGTGGGGAGGAGATGAAGGCTGAGGCCCCATCACTCATAGAGAGGGTAGGCAGGGCCCCCCATCCTGCGTTATTTTATTTTATTCTTTTGAGACAGGATCTCATTCTGTTGCCCAGGCTGGAGTGCAGTGGCACGATCATGGCTCATCGCTGCCTCGAACTCCTGACTCAAGTGATCCTCCTGCCTCAGCATCCTGAGTAGCTGGGACTATAGGCAGGCACCACCACACCTGGCCAATTTTAAAATTTTTTGTAGAGACCAGAGTCTCACCATGTTGCCCAGGCTGGTCTCAAACTCCTGGCCTCAGGCAATCCTCCCGCCTCGGCCTCCCAAAGTCCTGGGATTGCAGGTGTGATCCACCACGCCTGGCCCTGAGTTAAATTTTTATCATTTTCCTCTCTGTCAAACTGCTAAGGGTGCAGAGTTGACGTCACAGATTGGTGCTCACAGTAGATGTAGACTGAGCACTTACCTGCAGCTGGGCTGTTCTAGGTTTTAAGCATGACTGCTTTATCCCCACAGCCAGCCTTTGAGAAGATGCTCTTGTTATCCCAGTTTTTTTGAGACAGTCTCGATCTGTCACCCAGGCTGGCGTGCAGTGGTGCGACCTCTGCCTTCCAGGTTAAAGCGATTCTCGTGCCTCAGCTTCCCAGGTAGCTGGGATTACAGGCACCCGCCACCACGCCTGGCTAATTTTTGTATTTTTAGTAGAGACGGGCTTTCACCATGTTGGCCAGGCTGGTCTTGAACTCCTGACCTTAAGTGATCCACCGGTCTCAGCCTCCCAAAGTGCTGAGATTACACGCATGAGGCACTGTGCCCGGCCGTTATCCCGGTTTTATACATAGGTAGGCGATATGAGGCATCCAGAGGTTCGAGGAGCTCAGGAGCTTGCCCGAGGTCACAGAGTGGGTAATGGTGACAGCTAACATGTGCTGAGCACTTAGTGTACACCAGGTTCTCAGTGCTCTTCAGAACCCTGAAATAATCCTGTGGAGCAGATGTGTTATAGACCCGTATTTCAAATGAGGGGATTTTGGCTCAGGGTGGTTACGGGACTTGCCTGAGGTTAACTGAGGTAACAAGCAGCAGAGCCAGGATTTGAACCTAGGCCATCGGGGTCACAGGCACACACTAAGCCCCTTCCTCTGCTGCCTCTGAGAAGTTAAACTGGGTGCAGCATGGCTGTGCTCTTTTCACCAAGGGACCCTGGGGTGGGGCAGTATGGCCTCTAGACCGTCCTCAGTTTCTCAATGGCAAGGTGGGGGTGGGCGACATCACCCCCCAGCCTCCAGCGTTCACCCCCGACCCTGCTCACCTCCTCCCCGCAGATGAAGTTCTCGCTGGAGAAGCTGCACCAAGGCATCACAGTCTCAGACCCTCCCTTTGACACCCAGCCCCGGCCCGATGACAGCTTTTCCTGAGGACCCCGGCCACGCAGCTGTTCCCCCACATGGACAGATGGACACACAGAGCCTCGGCGGCCACTGCTGGCACGGTGTGAGCGCCAGGCATCTCCCACCCGCCCCTCCCGACGGCCCAACCAGGGGCTGTGCAGACGTGGGGACCACGGAACCGAGATGCACTTTAGACCAGGGAGCTGGCCCGGCCTCTGGCAGGCCCCCCACTAACTTATTTTGCCCGGCTGAGGTTGTGGGGGGCGCCTCCTGGGGTGCACGATTCCCTCAGCTCTGGGTTTAATGTATTATATTTATTTGGGGCCGACAGTGCCCCAATAAAGGGTCAGAAGTGGCTGTGGCTGTGCCTGTGGGGCCCTGGGAGTGGGTGGGAGCCTCCTGTTGCACTCAGATCCTGCCATGGTGGGGAGGGGACCTCTGTCTGTGTTCTGGGGCCATAGTCACTGAAACGATCTGGAATTCCCGCAGCATCTTACACAAGCTTTACATCATCTGAGGTCAACGCAGGAACTCCGGGGACAGACCGTGGTAGCTGGAGTTCAAATCCTGCTTCCTAGCAGTGGTGTAAATGCAGCAGGTCAGCCCCCTGGAGCTCCAGTGAGCTTTCCTGTGCAATGGGTAGAATGGCAGTAGCTGTCTCTCAGGGTTGTTAGAAGGCAGTGGTTCTCAAACTTGAGCTGCATTCGAATCTCCTGGAGAGCTTGATGAAAAACAGACTGTGGGCCCCTCCCTCCAAATTTCTGGTTCAGTAGGTCTGGGGCAGGGCTGGGATTCTGCCTTTATAACGAGTTCCCAGGAGTTGCTCATGGTGCCATCCCAGACGACACTTTGGTTTTTTGTTTGTTTGTTTTAAGTTAGGGTCTCTGTCGCCCAGGCTGGAGTGCAGTGGCACAAACATGGCTCACAGCAGCTTCGACCTCCTGTGCTCAAGCCATCCTCCCACCTCAGCCTTCTGAGTAGCTTGGACTACAGGTGTAAGCCACCACGCCCGGCTAATTTTTTATTTCTTTTTGGAGATGGGATCTCACTGTGTTGCCCAGGCCAGTCTTGAACTCCTGGCCTCAAGCGATCCTCCCGCCTCAGCTTCCCAAAGTGTTGAGATTTCAGGCGTGAGCCACCACGCCCAGCCCCAGACCACACTTTGAGAACCACTATTATAGGTTCAAGGAGTTCATAAATGTGGCTACTTATAACAGGGCCCGGCACAGATGGAATGGAGTAAGTATTCAATAAATGTTACACTTATTGCATAAAAATAGAGGGAAAAAAGTAACTCGCGTAGTGAGTACCAAGTACGTACGTACCCAGCTCTGTGCCAAGATCTGATGTTCATTTTATTCTCACAGTGATTCCATGAGGTGGAGACAAAGATGTACACGCCCGAGGCTACCCAGCAGGGAGGCAGACTCCAGGCCTGACCCCTGGGGTCTCCACATTTACATGCAAGGTCCTAACCCCCTCAGGACCCCACCACAGCCCATTCAGGCTGACGTTGGTTGGATTCCTGTTTTACAGATGAGGAAATGAGCTTGGAGGCAAAGTCCCTGGTCCAGAAAGAACCCAGGTCCACCTCACGCAAACCTTGTCCTGGTTCCAGAGGGAGTATGTGGGGTAGAGACACCTTTGGCATGTCACACCCCCGGCTATAAGAATCATCCTAACTGATGGCTTGGAGCAGGGGACTGGAGGAGGGTTTGGAGAGTGGATCAGGAGTGGCATAGGAGGCAGAGCCAGCCTCTCCTATCCTCTAGTTGTGTGATCATGGCAAGGTACCCATGCTGAGCCTCAGTCTTCTATATCTGTAATATGGGTGTAATAATAATACCACCTATAGGAAAAATTAAATGAGCTAATGTTAGTAAAGTGCTTAGAATGCTTAGAACAGCACCAAGCCCATACATAGTAGGTGCTCACTGAACATAGCTTATAGGGCCGTGAGGTGCCTCCTGTCCAGTGCTGAGGCCTGTCCTCACTGTGCCTTCACCTACCATCCCCCACCAGTGGAAGGGCCCGGAACAGCAAGAGGGTTATTCTCTGCAGGGGAATTTCACAGCTCAGAAGGTGCTGGCGTAAAAGTCTAGACCACAGAGGTGTCGGATGTCCCTGGCTCCCTGCCCCTCTGCCATGGTCCTGCCCCACACCCTGGCTCCTCTTGCCTGGCAGGGCTGGGCCAGGGGGATTCTGAGACCTTACCCCACCCGGAATTGGAGGCTAGGATCTGGGTAGTGACCCTTCAGCCGAGAGTCTCACTCCCACCCTGGTCCTGACAGCCCAGAACTCCCATCTCCATTCTCTCAATTTGGCAGAACCTACTGGTAGGACAGGCCACTCACCACTGCTGGGGCAGGATTCCACATCCATCCTAGGCCAGCTACATGACTCTGGGCAGGGGCACGGCCCTCTCCCAGCCTCAGTTTCTTCATCTGTAAAATGGGGATAATAGAACTTGCTGAAGGTTTGGGGCAGTAGAAGTGGGTTCTGCAAATCCCAAGGACTTAGTGAACATTGGCATTCATTTATTTGTTTGACAAATATTGATTGAGTACCTACAATGTGCCAGGAACAGTTCAAGGTGCAAGAGACACAAGACAATATCCTCACCTGGGAGATTTTTTTTTTTTTTTTTTTTTTTTTTTTTTACATGGAGTCTCACTCTGTCACCAGGCTGGAGTGCAGTGGTGTGATCTCGGCTCATTGCCACCTCTGCCTCCCGGGTTCAAGCGATTCTCCTGCCTCAGCCTCCTGAGTAGCTGGGACTACAGGCATGTGCCCCCACGCCCAGCTAATTTTTGTATTTTTAGTAGAGATGGGGTTTCACCATGTTGGCCAGGATGGTCTCGATCTCTTGACCTCGTGATCCGCCCACCTCGGCCTCCCAGAATGCTGGAATTACAAGCGTGAGCCACTGCGCCCGGCCTTTTTTTTTGAGACGGAGTTTCGCTCTTGTTGCCCAGGCTGGAGTGCAGTGATGCGATCTTGGCTCACTGCAACCTCTGCCTCCCGGGTTCAAGCGATTCTTCCTCAGCCTCCCAAGTAACTGGGATTACAGGTGCCCACCACCACTCCCAGCTAATTTTTTTTGTATTGTTAGTAGAGACGGGGTTTCACCATGCTCGTCAGGCTGGTCTCGAACTCCTGTCCTCAGGTGATCTGCCCCCCTTGGCCTCCCAAAGTGCTGGGATAGCGGGGGGCGGCTCACATCTGTAATCCCAGCATGGTCAACATGGTGAAACCCTGTCTCTACTAAAAAATAAAAAAATTAGCCAGGCATGATGGTGCACACCTGTACTCCCAGCTACTTGGGAGGTTGCGGCAGGATAATCGCTTGAACCCGGGAGGCGGAGGTTGCAGTGAGACGAGATCAGCCACTGCACTCCAGCCTGGGCAACAGAGCCAGACCCTATCTCAAAAAAAAAAAAAAAAAAAAAAAAAAAAAAAGAACATAATGTCAGGTAGTGAGGCTGCTGTGGAAAACACTCAACAAGAGGTAAAGAGTAAAGGAGGTCAGGTTAGGAGCGGGGAAGGCAGTTTACCCTGAAGGGACACAGAAGACCTGACGAAGGTGACATTGGAGCCATGGAGGCCCACGGAGAGGGGCGGGGCAGGGGGGGAGAGCCGGGGCAGAGGGGAGAGCTGGGGCCAAGGCCCTGAGGCAGGAACGGGTTCCCTGTGTTGGGAACAGCAGGAGGGCCTGAACAGCCAGAGTGGAGTGGGAGGAAAGAGGGGTAGAAGGTGACATCAGGGACATAAATGGGTGCAGGGGATCACGAAGGGGTCCTCCTCCTGAAACAGCACCTCCAGATTCCCGGGGCTGCTTCTCTCCAGGGTGCCCCGCCTGCTTGGGTGAGGTCCGGATTGTAGCTGTAGTCCTAGCCTGACGGCCCCCCACCCTCCTCTAATGCCTACTTGGGGTCCCTGCACATTGACCCCCAGGCCTGGATATCAGGGCTCAGGGGAGATAACTTGGAGGTTCGCCCTCTGGAACTCCTGAGGATGACCTCCATCATTTGAAGTCGGAAACCCGGCCCCCAAACTGCGCTCTAAGTCCTCCTGTGACTCTGGGGGTGACCTTTCCAGACTCCCTGGGAAGGTGGGGGGGGGGGGGTGGTCCTCAGAGCCCCAGCGGGGTCGGAGACACACAGACCACCCTCCCCGTTCCCAGAAGTCGCGGTCCCTGCGCCACCCGGAGAGGCCGGTGCAGCGGGCGCCTCCCGGGCCGCTGCGGCAAAGGCTGGGCGGCCGCGCCTTCCCCCCGCGGTGATTCATCCCGCCCCCTCCCTCTCCTCCCTCGTCCCTCCCTAGGCCGCCGCCGCCGCCGCCGCCGCCGCCGCTGCAGTGCGCAGGAGACCGCGGTCCGCGCCCGAGCGCGCCCGAGCCGGAGCGGGACCGGGGTCGGTGCACCTAGCGGATGTGCCCGGCTGCGCGCGCCAGCGCAGCAGCCCGAGCAGCGGCCGCCGCCCGCGCGGCGGGGATGCCCGGACGCCGGGCCCCGGGGCTGGGCCCCCGGCGGTAACCGGAGCGGGGGGGCCGCGCCCCCCCTCCTCCCCCCTCGCCGGTCCCAGAGCCGCAGCTGCTGCGCCCGCGCGCTCCCGGGGACATTCTAACCGCCGCCAGGTCCCGCCGCCTCTCGCCCCGCTATTAATACCGGCGGCCCGGGAGGGGGGCGCAGCACGCGCCGCGCAGCCATGGGGAGGCTGCTGGCCTTAGTGGTCGGCGCGGCACTGGGTGAGTGCGCGGGGGGCGCGCGCGGCCGGGGGGCACCGCGGGGGCACTGGCGGGGCGGCGGGAGTGGCGCTCGGGACACGGGGCAGCCGCGCGAGGGCCACCCCCGGCCCATCCCCGGGCCCCGCCAAGTCAGCTTCAGAAGTTGTGCGCGCGGGAGCCGGGCTTGGGGAGGGCAGTGGAGGTGAGGGTGGGCTCCAGCGGGTGGGGGCCGGGCTGGCACAGCCTGGCGGCTGCAGGCGCCCAGCCGGGGGCGAGGAAACGCGGAGTCAGCTGCTCCCGGAGCCCCGCAGGCTGCAATGTGACACCCACAGCCGCGGGAGGGGGGTGGGGGGAAGGCGGCGCCCGGAGACTGGGACGGGAAAGACGGAGGGACAGGGAGAGATGAAGACGGGAGGAAGGGGGCGAGAGACAGAGAAGGACTCGGAGCGCACCGGAGTGGTCCGCTGGGATGCTGGGGACATGGGGGTCAAGGGGGAGACGGAGACAGAGAGAGGGGTATTGGAGAGAGAGAGAGAGAGAGAGAGTTAAGAGACTGAGCGCGATGGAGAAAGGGAAACTTGAGAAAGGCAGAAGGAGATGGAGAGAAGAGAGAGGGAGATGCGGGTGCCCGTGAACACCGGGAGAGAATCTTGCATGGAGTTTGAAAAGGGATAGACGTAGAAAGGTGGAAAGAGATTAGGAGAGGTCTCCTTCTGAGCCCAGAGAGTGGACAAAAAGTGGAGGGACCTTCAGAGAGACCCCTGAGAGGGACAAAGATAGGAGGGACTGAGACAGAGGCCCTCAGGGAGTCTGAAAGGGACCGCAGGGGAGGCGGATGGATGAGAAGTCCTGAGGATCAGGAAACAAGGACAGCACAGGGCTGCAGCAGAAGAGACACAGCGTTAGCTACAGAGTGCTGGGAGGCAGAAAGGAGGTGCCAGGTAAGAGTGTGAAGGAATTCTAAGACTGGAATTCAGTGGGCTGCAAAAGCCCTGGGGCAGGAGAGAGCTCAGGAAAGCTTTGAGTAGTGGATGGGGTTGGGGTGGGAAGAGCTCTAGAGGCGAGGAGCCTGGGGAAGAGGGGATGATGGAGGCAGGAGAGGCCGGGGAGGGGATGGCTCACACAGGGGCTTGTGGGCTGTGGAGAGGGGCTGAGTGTGGGTCAGCCCCGGTTTCAGTGCCCACCTCCCCACAATCCCCCACCCCCAGACCTTTTCTCCCAACCCATTTCTCCTGGAGCTAGCTGGTTTTACAATTTAATGGTGAAAATGACTGCCACCTTAAACTTCTAACTTAGCTGGAATTCTCATTCTACCACCTAGATGCTTGGGTTCCTCCAGCAAGGGACTTTCTGAGGAAGGGGCACTCGGGTAGCATAAAGTCTGAGTTACCGGCAACGTTGACAGTCCCACTTATGGGGCCTCCCATGTACAAGGCCCTACCTAATGTATGAAAATGGGCCCAGCCATTGCTGGAAGCAAAGGACCATTTCTTTCAACAAGAGAGAGGGAAACTGAGACTCAGGGATGAATGACTTGCTGAGGTCACGCAGTGAGTGACAGGGCTCAGCCTAGCATCCAGTCCTGTCTGCTGGTAATCATTGAGGGGGGAACAGATGGTTTGTGAGGGGTCTGGCATTGCTTAGGGCAATGGGTGCCTCTGCCTGACCTGAGCCTGCTGTCCCCACAGTGTCCTCAGCCTGCGGGGGCTGCGTGGAGGTGGACTCGGAGACCGAGGCCGTGTATGGGATGACCTTCAAAATTCTTTGCATCTCCTGCAAGCGCCGCAGCGAGACCAACGCTGAGACCTTCACCGAGTGGACCTTCCGCCAGAAGGGCACTGAGGAGTTTGTCAAGGTGTGCGGGTGCCGGGAACGGGCATGGGAGGGCAGGGGTCCACGAGTGGGAGGCGGTGGGGCTGGATCTCAGGGAGGGGGCTTATTTGTTTAATAATATGCTGTGATTGCTGACCTGGATTCAGATTCTGGCTCCACCAGTGGCCAGCTGGTGACCTTGGCCAAGTCAGTGAGCCTCTCTGAAAGTCAGTTTCCTCCTCGGTAAAGACGGGGTGGCGGTGGTCTCTAGCCCATAGGTTTGTGTGAGGACTGAATGCATTGACGCACCTGGCACACGGTTGGCATGAAATAAATGTCAGTGGACTTATTTGGCACCAGCAAACAATGTCTCTGATAGTCATTACGGAGGGAAGACAGAACTGTTTTTTTTAACCTCCTTTAAACTATGTGTGTATTTTGCATTATATATCGGTGAGGGAACCATAAAATTCTGTGACGTGCTGGAGAGTTGGGGTCTCCAGCTGCTGGAATCAGGCTGCCCTGTCTCTGCTGGAGGAGTGTGTCTGGTGGCTGGGAAAGAACGGCAGAGAATGATAGCCTAGAGGCCAGATGGGGCTTGGGAGGATGACTGAGGAACGTGTGTGTGCTCGTGTGCATCTTGGCTAGAGGCAAAAGCGGGGTCTGGTTGACTCCAGGCGTGATCCTAGCCCCCCACCCCTGTGCCCTCCCTGCCTGAGGTCAAGGTGTCTGAGCCCATCTGTGTGCCATCTGTGTTTGTGGGTGTCAGGGCAGGGGACAGAATCAGGGTCAGGTAAGGGAAGAGAGGCCCAGGCAGTGACACCTTCCCCTCCCTGGCTACCCCTAGATCCTGCGCTATGAGAATGAGGTGTTGCAGCTGGAGGAGGATGAGCGCTTCGAGGGCCGCGTGGTGTGGAATGGCAGCCGGGGCACCAAAGACCTGCAGGATCTGTCTATCTTCATCACCAATGTCACCTACAACCACTCGGGCGACTACGAGTGCCACGTCTACCGCCTGCTCTTCTTCGAAAACTACGAGCACAACACCAGCGTCGTCAAGAAGATCCACATTGAGGTAGTGGACAAAGGTGAGTCGGGTGCTGCCTGCCCCTTTACCGTCACCCACCGGAGAGCCAGATGGAGGGACAGATGGCAGGCAGTGGACAGGACAGGCTGGCTCTGTGCCTGGCCAGCCAACCGCCCACAGCAGCGGGCTGAGGGGGAGGGGAGCAGCCCCTCCTGCCCACTCCAGCTCTGGCCTCTGTTTCTCTCCAGCCCACGGAGAGGTCAAAGCATGCCTGTCCCCCACAGACGCTCCGGGTACAGAACCCAGCTCTGTCACCTGTGCTGTATGACCTCTGGCAGGTGCCTTCTGTCTCTGAGCCAAAGGGTTGTCCTGGGCTTGCCCGGGATAATAATCCGATGTGTTTCTCGGGGTGTGGTTTGAGCCATTCTTCCATCATGGGGTTCATGAGGATTGAGCAGCTGCAGGCACACGCCTGGCTTCCAGCAGAGCCTTGCAGGTGGTGGCGAGGGTGGCGGTTCTTACTGTTCGAGTAGCTCAGCCCTGCTGCCCTCTGTGGTGATGAGGCAAGAGAGCGTGCCACCTAGAGCAGAGTTCCGCACACCCCTCTGCACTCCTGCCCCGGGGGAGCCGCGCTGGCCTGCAGTCTCACTCAACACCTCTGGGGCGGGCCTAGGGGTCCTTTCTAAAGCTCTCAGGTGAGGCAGTGAAGGGCCACAGGTGCGGGGCCCACCCTCTGAGCAGCAAGGGCCTACAGCGCTTTTGAACGTCTCATCATTTTGCCTCAGCCACCCTGGACCCCTTTTCTGAGGGAGGTCCGCCCCTTCTCTGATCCATCTTCTGCTCAGCATCAATTGCAATTGTCCAGCGCCCTGTGGCCACTGGCTTAGAGTTGGGGAAACAGCCCAGGCCTTGAAGCAGCTACAAGCCGTGGCAGAAAGGTCTCTCAGGGCCACGGCACACACATCCTCATGGGCAACACGCACTGCCCATCTTTTCTGTGAGATGGGTGCCGGCCTCAGTGCCTTACACGGAGTCCCTTAGTGAATCCTCTCCCCACCCTCTGGGGTAGGGGCTCTTCCTATCCCCATTTTACGGATGAGAAAACCAAGGCTCAGGGAGGGAAGGTTATGTGGCCAAGGTCATGTGATTGGGAGCTGGACTTGAATCCAGAGGAGCTTGGGTGACTGTGTTTCTGTTCTTGGCATGATTCACTGTACTCTGTGATCAGCCAGAGCCTGTGGGTTTCTTTTTATAATTAGCATTTTTACGTTTATTGTCAAATTGGTGTAGCAGAATGCAATTCAGCAGGCATGTCTGAGCCACTCTGGTGTTTGTCACGATGCTGGGGGGTGGGGGTCACCCGCAGACATGGATGATGGAGCCCCGCCTGCGGAGTTGCTGTGACAAAGATGCCTGCGGTACTGGGACTTTACAAAACCTGTGTTATTGCTCTTGCAAATCTGCAGAGGTGAGATGGGGAGAGGGTGGGAGGCTCCAGGGCACTGTTCAGCCACCCAGGTTCTTTCCATCTTGTTGTTTGGCAGTTGGCCAGGGTGTTGTGTCCTCTGTACGCCGTGACCCAATAGAGCCTCTTTTTTTTTTTTTTTAAATTTAGATTTTTATTTTTTGAGACGGAGTTTTGCTATTATTGCCCAGGCTGGAGTGCAATGGCGTGATCTCGGCCCACTGCAACCTCTGCCTCCCAGGTTCAAGTGATTCTCCTGCTTCAGCCTCCCGAGTAGCTGGGATTACAGGCATGTGCCACCAAGCCCAGCTAATTTTTGTATTTTTAGTAGATATGGAGTTTCCCCACATTGGCCAGGCTGGTCTCGAACTCCTGACCTTAGGTAATGATCCACCTGCCTTGGCCTCCCAAGGTGCTGGGATTACAGGTGTGAGCCACTGCGCCTGGCCTGAGCCTCTCTTTTTTAGGATTGCCCACTGTATGACACTACATCCCACAGCCTGTGCTATTACCAGCATTTACCATCATATGCAGTTCCTTATGTTGGCCCTGCAGAGTTTGTGTTTTCTGCACTATCCACCCAGTTCTAGTGTTTTTTACCCACCATATGTAGTATTGCCTTTTAAACATTACCCACTATATTATAGTATTTTATATTACCCACTATAGGATATTTTATATTACACAATATATTTTACTATCATAATATTGCCAAACACAACAGTTTTTTGTTTTTTGTTAAAGAGACCAAGTCTTGCTCTGTTGCCCAGGCTGGGATACTGTGGCGTGATCATAGCCCACTGCAGCCTCGAACTCCCGAAATCCAGCGATCCTTCTGCTTGAGCCTCCCACGTAGCTGGGACTACAGGTGTGAGCCACTACGCCCGGCAATTTTTTTTTTTTTTGTAGAGACTGGATCTTGCTATGTTGCCCAGGATGGTCTTGAACTCCTGGCCTCAAATAATCTTCCCTCCTTAGCCGCCGTAAGTGCCGAGATTACAGGAGAGAGCCTCCGCGCCTGGCCTACAGTATTTTTATTATAATCCATCATACTAGCGTATTTTTAACGTTCCCCACCATGGCGGGTATTTTTATTACCCACCATGCTATGCTATAGTATTTCAAAAATTAATCCTATTGTAGCATGTAAAAATATTCCATTCTATACCATACTATATTCATCATTACCTCTGATACTACAGTATTTTTAACATGACTCATTGTGCTATTGTATTTTTTCATTACCCACAATACCACAATATTACTGTATTTGTTAGCACTGCCTGCCATTCCTTATTATTATTATTTTTGCAATGGAGTCTCGCTCTGTCACCCAGGCAGGCTGGAGTGCAGCAGTACAATGTCGGCTCACTGCACCTCCCGGGCTCAAGCGATTCTTCTGCCTCAGCCTCCCAAGTAGGTGGGATTACAGGTGCACGCCACCATGCCCAACTAATTTTTGTACTTGTAGTACAGACGGGGTTTTACCATGTTGGCCAGGCTGGTCTCGAACTCCTGACCTCAGGTGATCCACCCACCTCAGCCTCCCAAAGTGCTGTGATTACAGGCGTAAGTTACCATGCCCAGCCTATTATTATTATTATTATTATTATTATTATTATTTCAAGTTAGAGTCTCACTCTGTCACCCAGGCTGGAGTGCAGTGGCACGATCTTGGCTCACTGCAGCCTCCATCCACCTCCCGGGTTCAAGCGATTCTCCTGCCTCAGCCTCCGAAGTAGCTGGGATTACAGGCACGCGCCACCACGCCCGGCTAATTCTTTTGTATTTTTAGTAGAGACAGGGTTTCGCTATGTAGACCAGGCTGGTCTCGCACTCCTGGCCTCCAGTGATTCACCCACCTTGGCCTCCCAGAGTGCTGGAATGACACGTATGAGCCACCACACTGACCTTTTTATTATTTTTATCCACCATCTCGCTGCAATTTCAGTATTGCCCATCGACCTATATTGCCTCCTGGTAATGACCCCTGAGGAATGAGCCATGCCATTTCCATAGGTGGAGGCGACGGGTCATGGTGGTGAGAACTTCACTGACCTGGAAGAGGTGGAGAAGATGCTGGGAAGCTGCTGAGGGCTGCCCACCTGTGTTAGGAGAAGGCAGATGGGGACCCATGGGGACAGTAATACTATTTTGGATCCACACAACGGGAGTGGAAAATGCCTTGAGGCACAGCAGCGTCTGAGGCGGGTGAGAAATCCGGCCTGCAGAGTCGCGGCTGGCCTTCAGATCTGCGGGCTGCCTGTGAGATGCCGTGTTACCTAAATCCATTTGGGCACTGAGTTCCAGGAGTGGGGGCAAGAATTCCGATGACGGGGCTTTATCCGGTGCGCATCCAGCTCAGAGTGGTTCCTGAGACCAGCCACCATGGGCAGCCAGGATGTGCTCATCCTTGAGGCTTTCCGAGGCATCAAGGAGATGGTTGGATAAAGAATTTAGCACAGAGCTTGACTGATGGCAGGCGCCCACAACATGAGACACATTAATAATGTGTGTGGAGGCCAGGTGTAGTGGTTCATGCCTGTCACCCCAGCACTTTGGGAGGCAGAGGTGGGAAGATTTCTTGAGGCCAGGAATTCAAGACCAGCCTGGGCAACACAGCGAGACCTCATCTCTACCAAAAAAAAAAAAAAAAAAGGAAAAAATTCACCTGGCCTAGTGGTGCACACTTGTAGTCTCCGCTACTCAGGAGGCTGAGGCAGGAGGATTGCTTGAGCTCAGGAGTTCCAGGCTGCAGTGGGCTATGATTGCATCACTGCACTCCAGTCTGGGCAATAGAGCAAGACCCTGTCTCTTAAAAAAATAAAGTCTGTTGAAAAGAATGAATGAAGGAAGGAAGGAATGAGAGGGAAACCCTGTCTCAGCTCCTCCCGCAGGGAAGCTGGGGCAGGGCAGGCAGGGGGGGCATCCGGCCCCGCTCCCTCCCTTACTCTGGCCCAGAAAGCACTGGTGCCATCTGCACAGGGTGGAGCCAAAGAAAGTGCCCCACTCACAGCAGAGGGAGGCCATTTGAGGACAGCAGGGAAAATGGGATCTCAGCCATCTAGGAGGGGGCCAGAGATGTGGGATGGACACCTAGGAAATCCAGCCGAGGACACCAGAGTGGCTTTTGACTCTGGTCCCCTGGCTGAACGCGTTCCCTTTACAGTTTAAATTTAGGCTCAAGGAGAAGAAGCTGGCAATCGGCAGGGCCAGTGCTGTAGAGAGGATGTAGGGTTTCCGGAAAATAGCCAACACTTCAGCAGTGCTGGCTGCGAGCTCATCCAAGCATGTTACGGGTGTTAACTCATTTCCTCTCCAGCAACCCTGTGAGAGGGTCTGAGTGTTCCCATCTCCATTTTACAGAGGCTCAGAGAGGTGCAGTCCTTTGCCTGAGGTCACACAGCTAGTAAGAGGCAGAGCCGGGATTTGAACCCTGGCAGTCTGGCCCTAGAGCCCCAGCTGTTAACCATTAGGCTTTATAGCCCCAGTTATAACAACAATAATAATACTAATACAAGTGAACCTTCACTGAGTGCCATTTATAGATCAAGCACTATTCTAAGGATTTTAAAGCATATTTAATTCTCACAGCACTCTGATGAAGGAGGTATTCATTTTACAATTGAAGAAACAGAGGCCTAGAGACATTGAGTCACTTGCGCAAGGTCACACAGCTGGCCAGTGGCAGAGCCAGCCTTTGAACCTGAGCCTTCTGGTTGCAGAGCTACGGCTTTTAGGCACCGTGCTGAGGGCCTCCAGAATGACACAGATGTGGCCTCGAGTTACACAGGGAGGCAGGTTGAGGGTGACCCCCACCAGGCCTACCCAAGGCTGGGTATTAATAATCACAGTGCATACACCAGGCCCAGGGAGGTTGAGCCACTCATCCAAGCTCACACAGCAAGCTCACAGCACACTCAGGCTGTCATGCAGCCTGGGCTACCCCCTTAACCCTGCCTGGCCCCTGCAGCCAACAGAGACATGGCATCCATCGTGTCTGAGATCATGATGTATGTGCTCATTGTGGTGTTGACCATATGGCTCGTGGCAGAGATGATTTACTGCTACAAGAAGATCGCTGCCGCCACGGAGACTGCTGCACAGGAGAATGCGTGAGTAGGGTGGCTGGGAGGTGGGAGGGCACCCAGGGCACCGTCACACTTGCCAGAGAGGAACTCCGGAGCCCGGGCAGGGAGGAGGCAGCGGAGCGGCCCAGGGCGCCATCTCTCAGTACTACCCAGAGGGGAGTGCTCCCTGTCAGACACAGGATAGGGGTCGTCAGACCCAGCCCCTTCCTCCCTCCAACTCAGGAGCCCAGGCTCCCAGCCAGATTCCTCAAAGACCCTGAGGAGTCCACCCATAGACTCCTTCTCTCTCTAACTAAGGAGCCCTGTGTACCTGGGGTGGAGACCGCTACCTTCCCCCATCCCCCGGGGGTTGGGTCGGTCTGATGATGGGGTCACTGTATACCTGGCCTTTCCCCCACAGCTCGGAATACCTGGCCATCACCTCTGAAAGCAAAGAGAACTGCACGGGCGTCCAGGTGGCCGAATAGCCCTGGTAAGGCGGATGGGCTGGCAGAGGGGAAGGGGATTGGGAGGGGCCGAAGTCCCCCAGGTCCCTAATTCCCCCTCTCTTGCTCCCCTTCAGGCCCTGGGCCCCGCCTCAAGGAAGAGCCAGCCGTAATGGGGACTCTCCAGGCACCGCCTGCCCCCAGCGTGGGGGTGGCCACTCCTGGGCCCCAGAAAGCCTCAGAGTCCTGCCGACGGAGCCACTGGGGTGGGAGGGGGCAGGGGGCTTGGCTCGCACCCCCACTTTCGCCTCCTCCAGCTCCTGCCCCGCCGGCCGCGCACCGCCATGCATGATGGGTAAAGCAATACTGCCGCTGCCCCCACCCTGCTTCTGCTGCCTGTTTGGGGAGGGGGGCGGTGAGGTGGGGGCAGCGGCCCCGCACCCCTCCTCCTTGCTGATTTGCACACATTGGCCGCTTCAGACACGCACTTCTGGGGCCAGCCCCTCCCCGCCTCCTCCCTGCCTGGCGGCAGGGGTCGCGATGATGGGCTGGAGCAGTTTGGGGCAGGGGGTTCTGGGACCCACTCCGACTCCCCCTCCCCGGCATCATTTCCCCTCCCGCTTCCTCCGGCTGGACCTGGGGTCCCCCCTCCCTGTAATGCACTCCTGCCCCGGCCCAACCTCGCCCTCTCTCACCAGCCTTGAACTGTGGCCACCTAGAAAGGGGCCCATTCAGCCTCGTCTCTTTACAGAAGTAGTTTTGTTCATGAAATAAAGACTCTTGGACTTGATGCATAGTTTCGATTGTGAGCCCCGTCACCTTCCCCCCATTCCCGTCCCCGAATCTTCGAGCCCGCTTTCCAGGGACCCTACCTGAGGGCCCACAGGTGAAGCCACTTAGTGCCTGATCTGTGTCGGGGTTGGGGGAGCCATGGGCTCAGGGGTGAGGGAGAGTGGAACGGAGCCAGGAAGGGAGGGGGTGCCGTGGAGGGAAGAGAATCGAGGCTGATGCTGGGGTGCAGGGGTGGCATGGGGTGTGTGGTGTGCCCAGCAGTGTGAGTCTCTGGAGAGGTGGGCGCTGGGGAGAAGGAGAGGGAAGGAGAGACGGGTATGGATGGAAAGGCAGAGGAAGCCAGGCTAAACCAGCGTGTCCCAATGAGGGGCCCTGGGCTGAGTGGAGGAAATGGGTGCGGTGGAGGTGGGTTTGGCTGGGCACAGCGGGCACGTGTGGGTAAGCGGGTGGGGCCGGTTGTGCGGGTGGCCTATCTGGGGCAAGCAGCCGAGGCCGACTGTGTCCGGCGTGTGGTTGAGCACGGGCAGGTGTCTGGCGGTGACCCTGCACGTCTGGTGTTTACCTGGCCCTGGGTCTGACGTGGGCCGCGCCTGGCTGCTGGCGGGACAGTGTGTTATCTGCCTGCGGACGCTTCCGGCCACTTGGCCTGGGCCTCTGCCCTTAGCGCTGTGTTTTCCCGGCCAAGCCCCCCATCCCCCCTATCTAGTGCTAGGACTTTCTGGCTCCAGAGGTCACCGCGGCCGGGCGGAGGCTGCCAAAGCAAACCAGCCCCGTGACTTGTAGGAAGCCAGCGGGGGAGGGGCCGGGGCAGGATGAGCAGGGCAGGCGGGAGAGGCTGGGGCTGGGGTTGGGGCCCAGGAATTGGGCAGGGAATTAGGCAGAGGTGCAGCAAGTGGCGGGCACAGCCAGGACCTGGGGCTGGAGGACGCAGAAAGGGCGGGGGGAAGGGTTCGCTGGGTGAGGGTGGAGTGGGCTTAGGGCAGCTGGGGCCCTCCATCTGATCTCTTCTGGTCAGACCCCCACCCTTCAGCCTGCACTTTCTCCCTAAACCCCCAGCCTCCGGCCAGGCCTGTCCCTGTTCCCACATCCCCGCAGACAGGCACACCTGGGTCCCCCTGGAGGTCCAAGGCAAGCCCCGTAGCTGGGCCCGCCTGGTCCAGCCCCCACAAGCCCGGCCCCATCAGCCAGGTGGCCTCCAGTGCTGCCAATCGAATGGTCCGGCCCCTCCCCGCCCCTTCACCCGCCCCTCGCCCAGCCCCCTCCTCCTCAGGTGAGGCAGCCTGGCCTAGCAGGCCCCACGCCACCGCCTCTGCCTCCAGGCCGCCCGCTGCTGCGGGGCCACCATGCTCCTGCCCAGGCCTGGAGACTGACCCGACCCCGGCACTACCTCGAGGCTCCGCCCCCACCTGCTGGACCCCAGGGTAAGGACAAGGGCCCCCAGACTCACAGTTCCAGCCCTGAGGACAGGGGTTCCCTCATCCCCCCACCCAGCCTAATGCCCACCTCCTAATAGAGGGGTTCCTGGGGACCTGAAGAGGGGGCACTATGACGTCCCCCCAAGCACCTAGGTGTTCTGTCCTGCTCTTCCTTCAGACTCAGCCGTTGGACCCCAGTCCTTTCCTCCCCAGACCCAGGAGTTCCAGCCCTCAGGCCCCTCCTCCCTCATACTAGGGAGTCCTGGCCCCCAAATTCCTCCTTTCCCAAGACTTATGATTTCAGGTCCTCAGCTGTCTCCTCCCTCAAACCGGGATCCTCAGTCCCCTGCTCCACCAGGCTCAGGCATGGGGGTCCCCATCCCTGCAAATCCAGGCGTCCCCCCGCTGCTGGTCAGACACTGACCCCATCCTTGAACCCAGCCCAATCTGCGTCCGTGATCACGGCGTGCTCTGGCCAAGGCCCAGTCCCTACAGCCTGCCTGGATGGACGCCTGGGACTGGGGGCGCCAGGACTGGGCTGGGCTGGGCTCCCCCAGGCCCTGCCTCCCCGTCCATCTCCTCACAGGTCCCACCCTGGCCCAGGAGGTCAGCCAGGGAATCATTAACAAGAGGCAGTGACATGGCGCAGAAGGAGGGTGAGTCCCCTTCCCTGAGCCCCAGCTTTGGCTCTGCCTGGCGCCCCGCCCTCTGTGCTCTTTTCTCTACCCTCTACTCTTCGGAGCCCCCTCTCTCTGGGCACCCCTCCCAGATGCATCCCCACCCCTGTTAGTCCTCCTCCACCTGATTAACTATTAACCACATTTTCTGTGCAGCTGTGCCACCACCAGCCTCCCTTCTACCCTATGTGACCTTCCTGGCGTGCTGCCTCAGTTTCCCCTCATCCCCCAGTGATTTCTCAGCTAACTCTGGACTTGTCCTCTGCTGGGGCTGAGGCGGGGAAGCTGTAGCTGTCATGGTTAAGGACACAGATTTGGAGTGAAACACACAGGCTTGCATTTGAATTTGCTCTTGCCATCTTTTTTGCTGTGTGATCTGGTGCAAGTGACATTATTCTTAGGGCTTTGGTCTCCCTCTGGGTCAAGCATGGATACCAGTCCTCCCTCTGTGAGGTTGCTGAGTGCATGACACACACCAGGCACTGGTCTGGGGCTCTGCATATAAGACGCATGCCATCAAGCAGAGCTGTCATGACAGAGGTTGGCAAACTCGGAGTCCCAGAGACCCAGGACCCCCACCGATCCCAGACATTCCTCCACCTCCTGGCTCTGTGGGCAAAAGAGCAGAGGGAGGACTTTGGACTGGGCCTGGATGGATGGAGAGGGGAGAGACGGCAGAGAAACCACCATAAGGATGAGAGAGAGAGACTGCGTCATGGAGTTGCTGGCCCTTGGGAGTCTCTGGGCAGCCCCCAGCTAGCCTGGCTTCCTTTCTACCTCTCACACATGGGACCCAGCTGGAGGGGCGCATGGAGGGGCGTCCTGTTCTTTCTGCCTTCCCCTAGCTGGGGCTGACTCCCTCTCTTCTTCCGCAACCAGGATAGCCGGGCTCAGTCCTGGGCAGTAGCACTTTCTAGCTGTGTGGCCCTGGGCAGACGGCGTGTTCTCCCTGGGCCTCCATTCTCTCATCTGTGAAATGGAGAGGGTGACAGTGCATGTCCAACAGCGTGGGGCGAGGCCTGAAATGCCAGGATGGGCAGGAAGCACTGAGCGTGTTGGCTGAAATGATTAGTTCAGATCTCTGGCCTCCTCGGGTCTCGGCACAGCTGGCAATTCAGACCCCAAACCAATCAGCTGCAGTCCAGAGGGAACCCAGGCTCCCAGTTACTCAGGAGAAGGCATTGCACCCTAGCCGAGCAGGTGGATGACAGAATCCAGCTCCTTGGGGACAATCTCTTTCCTGGAGCTGCCGGAAGGACAGCCCCAGGGCTTGGGCCCATGGGTGAATGAGCCAGGGAAGAAAAGCAGAAAATGCCCGAATGGACAGAGATGGCCTGGGTACAAAGAGAAACAGACACAAAGTGGGCTCTGGTGCCTCCCTGGCAGCTCCGGGCTGGTCTTGGAGGGGAGTCCTGCTGTCAGGGCTAGGGGTGTGGAGGTCGAACCTGGACACAGATGCTGAAGGGTTCCGATTCTGCACTTACTTGCCGGGTGACCCGGGTTTGGTGGCTGCCGGACTTTGGGCCTCCTTTTCTCATCTGTAAACTGGGGGTGATGGCAATGGCGCCTTCCTCGTGAACAGCTGCAAGGATTTAAGTAAGGATGCTGTGCAGGACTGGACGGGGTTAGGGTAGGGCGGTGCGTCCGTGTGTGATTCAGAGAGCCGTTGTGGCTGCAGCGGCTGCTGTTGTTGGTGTCACTGTTATTGCTGCTGGCTTCTTGGTGCTGCCTGGAAACTTGGAATTGGAGGAGGTGATACTGGAGTTGCAATTCCAAGGATGCCAGGCAGAGGGAAGAGCAAGGCTCTTGCTCTTCTCTGGGAAGCTGGGAGGTGACACAGCACTGGTGTGCACGTAGCCAATTGTGGTATTTCTGGAGGTGAAGCTGGAAGTTGAGCTGGGTGGGAGAAGAGGTGTGCAAGCTGGACCAGGCAGGGGTGGGACTGTTTTGGGGAAGAGCTGGCCAATTCCTTGCAGTACCAGGTCTCTCCACAAGGTGGCGCCAGTGGTTAGTCCCTGCTTCTCTTGTCTAACTTGTATTTTACAAGTTCTACTGTTTGGGTTGCTTTTTGGAAGCTCTCTCTGGTACCTGATAGTGACCCACATGGTTGTCTGAGAATTGGGGGAAACATACTCCCAAATCTCTGAAAGCCATGCTTATACCCTAGTGGGGCTGGAAATGCCAGGCTGAGGGACTTAAGCTGTCTGGGGGGTACTAGGGAGTCACAGAGGGTTCTATAGGTAAAGAGGGGACAGGTTGGATTTGGTGTCTCAGTAGGTTCCCCAAGCCTCCGTGTGGAGGGTGCGCTAGAAGGGAGACTGAGCCCAGCGGTTGGATGGGGCCGGAGCAAGGTGCAGATGGAGAGAAAGAAGGAAACGGGGGAAGGAGAGTCACTCAGGAGGATTGGCAGGCTGTCGGGGGAGGGGAATGTTATGCAGATGGGGATGGTCCTAGGAGTGAGGGCCTCTGAGACAGGACCGGGAGGAAGAATATACTTGGGGAGACATTGGGGAGACATTCTGGGACCTGGTAGGGGCAAAGGGACTAGGAGGTCCCAGGGAAAGGTATTTAAAAGGTATTTAAAGGACTGCAGGAGCCCTGACCTGGGACCTGGAAGAGGGTCTAGGGCTGGGGACAGAGGGGAAACTGAGTCCACAGAGGTGGGTGAGACAGACTTAGGGGCAAGGAGGAGCAGGGGGAGGCTGCGGCCAGCCCTACAAACTCTGGATTTTACGGAGTAGGTAGAGGGTGGGTGAAGACAGCAGCCTCAGAGGCGGGAAGGAAAATCAGGTGCGCCTGGTGTCCCAGAAGTCCAAAGAGGAGAGCATTTATACAGGAAGCTGCAGTCATGTAAGATGAGGCCCGAGACACGGAGCCACCAGTTGAGTGGATTTTCAGAGCCAGAGAGCCAAAGGTGTTACGCGTGGGGGTCTTTGCAGCCAAATGGTGGAGGCGGAAGAACTGACCTATGAGAAGACCCAAGGCATCCAGAGGGGCCTGGAGAAGCAGGGGCAGAGAGTCTCAGGGAGATGTAGGGGTGGGGGAGGTCTGGCTTACCAAGGGAAATAGCCCTGCTGCTGGGATCAAAGAATTGATGTTGACGTGCCGCCTGTCCCAGTAGAGACACGCAGGGAGGATGAGGATGCGTCCCACACCCTGGGCCAGATGAGGATGCTGCCTGTCCCAGTAGAGACACGCAGGGAGGATGAGGATGCGTCCCACACCGTGGGCCAGATGAGGATGCTGCCTGTCCCAGTAGAGACATGCAGGGAGGATGCCTCTCATACTGGGGGAACCCCAGGATGCAGATGCTTCCTGTCCCACTGGAGGCGCTGAAGTCCTCTGAACCACACAGCATGGAAGGAGGTTCTTCCTCTCACCCTAGGAGACACATACATAGTGGCATTGCTTCCTGTCCCACCAGATGTGCCAAGGCCTCTAGGCTGCATTCTGCATGGCCTAGAGCCCTGGCAGGCACAGCTGAAAACAAAGCAAGCAAGACCAGCCCAGTGGCTGTCGGGAGCCAAGACCTCCTGCTGGAACCTGGAGAGTGGTCCTGGGCAGAGTTGGGGGGCAGGCCTGAGAACCCCTCGCAGGACAGGCAGGGGTCAGCCGGCAGTAGTTGGGCTGGTCTGGCCCACTGGGGCCTCTTTTGGGGAAGAGAGTGTTTCCTCATGCCTTGATGGGAGCCACTGAGCTTTCAATTTTTTTTTTTTTTTAATACAGAGTCTCGCTCTGTTGCCCAGGCTAGAGTACAGTGGCGCAATCTTGATTCACTGCAACCTCCACCTCCCGGGTTCAAGCGATTCTCCTGCCTCAGCTTCCCGAGTAGCTGGGACTATAGGCGCCCGCCACCACACCCAGCTAATTTTTGTATTTTTAGTAGAGGCGGGGTTTCACCATGTTGGCCAGGCTGGTCTTGAGCTCCTGACCTCAAGTGATCCACCTGCCTCAGCCTCCCAAAGGACCGGGATTACAGGCATGAGCCACCATGCCCAGCCTGAGCTCTCAAATTCTTAAGACACCCAGATAATGGCCACACCAGGAAGGTCCTAGACCACTCCCTGCTCTGTTCCAGGTGCTGGCCTGGTGCCGGGTTCACCAGCCACATCACCATGGGTGCAGATGGGCGAGCTGGGAGCTCCTGCCACCTTGGGGTGCTTTGCGGCTGCCAAGGGCAGTTGAACCCAAGCCAGGCCCAGCTGAAGGCTTTCAGCAGCCTTTACTCTTTGGCCTTCTTATAATCCCTAGTGAAGGGGTTGGCTTTTATTTATTTATGTATTTATTTATTTATTTATTTTTTGAGACAGAGTCTCGCTCTGTCGCCCAAGCTGAAGTGCAGTGGCGCGATCTCGGCTCACTGCAAGCTCTGCCTCCCGGGTTCAAGCCATTCTCCTGCCTCAGCCTCCCGAGTAGCTGGGATTACAGGTGCCTGCCACTGCGCCCGGCTAATTTTTTGTATTCTTAGTAGAGACGGGGTTTCACCGTGTTAGCCAGGATGGTCTCGATCTCCTGACCTCGTGATCTGCCCACCTCGGCCTCCCAAAGTGCTGGGATTACAGGCGTGAGCCACCGAGCCCGGCTAGGAGTTGGCTTTTAATCTCCAGGACCTCTTTGCCCTGGGAATAAAATCCCTTTTCCTGTGCCACCAGGCCTCCCCAGCTGGCCCCAGCCTTGGTTCCCACTACCTTCCCCAAGCTCTGGCCATCTGGCCATCTCGATGGCCTCTCCAGCCTCTGACATAAGAGAGCCTGCTTATTCTTGCCTCAAGGCCTTTGCCTGTGCTGTTCCCTCTGCCCACAGTGCCCTTCCTTGTGGTCTGTGTGTGGCTGGCACCTCACCTTTCAGAGCTTAGCTCAGAAGTCTCCTCTAGGGGAGGCCCTGTGATCCCTGATCCCCTGCAGAAGCCCACCTGCTGCCCCAGCCTGCACGGTTTTCTTCACAGCCTCTGCCACAATCTGGAAATTATTGGGTTCATTTACTTGTTTCCTTGTTAATGTCTCCCACTCCCCACCTACACGCATGAGAACGTGAACCCCTGAGAGTCGTAACCTTATCTGTCTTCTTTGGGTTATGTTCCCGGAACCTAGAAAGGTGCCAGGCACACAGCGGATGTTCAGTAGGATGGTAAACAAATAAAGCTTCTTTAGGCTGATGAAAAAACTGAGGGTCAGGCGCGGTGGCTCACGCCTGCAATTCCAACACTTTGTTTGGGAGGCTGAGACAAGCAGATAACTTGAGTCTGGGAGTTCACGACCAGCCTGGTCAACATGGCAAACCCCGTCAATACAAAAAATACAAAAATTAGCCATGTGTGGTGGTGTGCGCCTATAATCCCAGCTACTCGGGAGGCTCAGAATTACCTGAGCCTGAGCGCTTGAGACTGCAGTGTGCCATGATCGCGCCGCTGCACTCCAGCCTGGGCAGCACAGTGAAACCCTGTCTCAAAAAAAAAAAAAAGAAAAAGAAAGAGAGAGAGAGAGAAAAAGAAAGAAAGAAAGAAAGAAAGAAAGAAAGAAAGAAAGAAAGAAAGAAAGAAAAGGAAGGAAGGAAGGAAAAGAAAAAAACTGAGGCTGAGGCTCAGAGAGGGGAGGGGAGTTGCTCAGGCCCACACATCTCTGATGATTTATAAAGCATTTATAGAGAACTTGCTATGTGCCAGGCACTTCCGCACAGTGAGAGCCAGGATGGCTTCGTGGCTGTACACAGGGGACCTGGCATCAAACCTGCCCAGGGTTCTGGACGCTGCTCTGCCTCTTCCAGGCTGTCACTGTGGGCACGTGACCCCACTTCTCTGAGCTATCTCAAAAACAGGAATCATAGTTGTGGGATTGAAATAAGGACTAAATGAGCTGATGTATTTAGAACGGTGCTTAGCACCTGGAGGCATCAATACAATTTGAGCTATTCTTCTTCTTCTTGAAAATAACTTTAAATTATTATTTTTAGAAGTAGGTGCTCAGTGGATGCCCATTTAATAGATAAGAAAGTTGAGGCTCAAAGATATGATGGCACCTGCCTTAGGTTCCAGCTAGGAAGGGGTAGGGTCAATATTTTTAAATGAGGCTGGCCAGACGCAGTGGCTCACTCCTGTAATCTCAGCATTTTGGGAGGCTGAGGAAGGAAGATCGCTTCAGCCCAGGAGTTTGAGACCAGCCTGGGCAACATAGCAAGACCACGTCGCTAAAAAAATTAATACATAAAATAAAATGAGGCTGGCAGATTTTCAAGTGGAGGGGCAAATTTGATCTTGCAACTGGGTACCATGAGAGAGGTCTGATTTAGGGGGTATCTAGGGGCAAAGCATCTAGAACAGCAGAAACGACTGAGGCAGCGAGGAAATGCCAGCGGCAGGGAAGAGAGCTACCAAGAGGGCAAAGGTTGGGGGTCACAGTCCCAAGAAGAGATGGCCCAAAGCAAAGACAGAAATACAAAAGCACAGTGTCACTGGGGAGGAGACATTCCCTAAGTGCCAGGAAAGTGCAGGGCGGAGGTGGAGACCGTGGCAGGTGGCCCGGCCATGCCCCCCTCCCAGCTGGAACCCTGGGGGAGCTGGGCACCTGGTTGTTCACACGGCAGGGGAGGAACAGCCCTGTCAACTGCTGGCCCCGGGAAACTGGGCCTGGGGAGGACATGCTTGGGCATAATAAGTTAGCCCTGGGGGCAGGGCAGAGCTGGCCTCGGGCCCAGACCCTGCCGCAATGAGGACAGGCCTGGCTGTGGCCCCAGCATGGTGTCTGTTGCAGGTGGCCGGACTGTGCCATGCTGCTCCAGACCCAAGGTGGCAGCTCTCACTGCGGGGACCCTGCTACTTCTGACAGCCATCGGGGCGGCATCCTGGGCCATTGGTGAGAGCGGTTCCTGTGCCTCTGACCTCCCCTGGCCCCTGCAGCCTCCAGCCTGCCTGCCCTCACCCCTCCCTTCTCTGCAGTGGCTGTTCTCCTCAGGAGTGACCAGGAGCCGCTGTACCCAGGTGAGTGGAGCAGGCTGGGACCCTCTGGGGGAGCCCTGGAGGACACGTGTATCTGGCGGGAGCTCAACAAGCGTATTTGTTGAATAAATGCACAAATGCATGCAGAAATGCTAATCATAATAGTGCATTTGTATTGAGTGCCTGCTATGTACCAGGCACTATTCTAAGCACCCCACATGTCTAACCCAGACTTTTTCAGACACCAGTGTATTACTCATGAGTGCCTCATAAAATTAAATTAGTGAGTTGGAAAACCATGTTTTTTTTTTAAGTATGAAATAGATTCGATTACAGACTATCACAGTACATCTCTCAGTAAGTAAAGGTTATGCTAATTTTTGTTTGTTTTTTTTTTTTTTTGCATCCATATACATGTAATCCCACTGCATCCCCACACTCTGAGGGTGGGACTGTTATTCTCCCTGTTTTACAGATGGGGAAACTGAGGCTTTGAGCAATGCAGCAGTTTGCCCCAGACTACAGAGCTATGGGCTACATCAGGATGTAAAAATGTGTTTCTTACTGCGTGGCATGGTGAAAACATGTTGGGGAGGCATGATATAAATTCAGTGGACCCTTCTAACTCTCCTAGGAGGTAGTTTTTTTGTTTGTTTGTTTTAAAAAAGAAAAAAGTCTTGCTCTGTCACCCAGGCTAGAGTGCAATGGTGCAGTCTCAGCTCACCGCAACCTCTGCCTCCCAGGTTCAAGCGATTCTCCTGCTTCAGCCTCCCAAGTACCTGGGAATACAGGCGTGTGCCACCATGCCCAGTTAATTTTTTGTATTTTTAGTAGAGATGAGATTTCACCATGTTGGCCAGGACGGTCTCTATCTCCTGACCTTGTGATCCACCCGCCTCGGCCTCCCAAAGTGCTGGGATTACAGGCATGAGCCACTGCGCCTGTCCCTGGTAATTAGCTCCATTTTACAGATGTGCAAAATGAGGACCAGAGAGGACATGCAGCTGGGGAACGAGGGGCCAGGAACAGCTCTTAGACTTATCCACTGTAAGTGTGTCTGCAGGCATGTGGAATGAATGGCCACACAAATAAATAGATAAAGAAACTAACTGTGGGATGAATGAATGAATCTTCCCAAATGCCAACTTCAAGCTGCCATTCCCTGATGCAGGACAGCAGGAAAAAAGGGGAAGTTGGGTGGTGGGATGTATTTTTCATGTCTGTGAGCCTCATCTAATTCCATAAAGGATTCAGTTCACACTAAAATCAGAAATGAAAATCCAGACAAGAAAAGCCAACATCAACATTAATCATCATTACCAGCACTTAGCATTTGTATGCACCAGCCAAGGCCTTGGGACCTTATGATATCAACTCATTAAGTCTTCCCAACAACCTGTTGTTTTTCTTTTCTTTTTTTTTTCTTTCTTTCTTTCTTTCTTTTTTTTTTTTTTTTTTTTGAGATGGGGTCTTGCTCTGTCGCCCAGGCTGGAGTGCAGTGACACGATCTTAGCTCATTGTAACCTACATCTCCTGGGCTCAAGCAATCCTCCCATCTCAGCCTTCTGAGTAGCTGGGACTATAGGCTAATGCCACCATG
Source organism: Homo sapiens (assembly GCF_000001405.40). Classification (NCBI taxonomy): domain Eukaryota; kingdom Metazoa; phylum Chordata; class Mammalia; order Primates; family Hominidae; genus Homo; species Homo sapiens. The sequence goes on from NC_000019.10 coordinate 35,051,075, forward strand.
CCTACACAAAATTATTTTGTCAATAACAAATTATTGTTATTTTTATCTTTTTGAGCCAGAGTCTCGCTGTGTCGCCCAGGCAGGAGTGCTGTGGCGCGATCTTGGCTCACTGCAATCTCCATCTCCCAGGTTCAAGTGATTCTCCTGCCTCAGCCTCCTGAGTAGCTAGGACTACAGGCACGTGCCACCACACCCAGCTAATTTTTGTATTTTTAGTAGAGGCGGGGTTTCACCATGTTGGCCAGGATGGTCTCAAACTCCTGACCTCAGGTGATCCACCCGTCTCGGCCTCCCAAAGTGCTGGGACTACAGGCATGAGCCACCACACCCAACCTCATTTTTTAAATTTTTAGTAGAGATGGGATCTTGCTACATTGCCCAGTCTGATCTTGAACTCCTGAGCTCAAAGCAGTCCTCTCAGATCAGCCTCCCAAAGTGCAGGGATTACAGGTGTGCACCACCACAACCCATTTTCCTATGGGGATGCTGAGGCACAGAAAGGCTGAGTGACTTGCCCCAGGTCATGGAGCTAGTCAGTGTCAGGGCTGGGATTTGAACCCAGGCAGCCTGCGTAGTAACTGTATATAGTGTCTACACTTGATTGCTTGTTAAAAAAAAAAAAAAAGAACAGCTGAATTCATTGCCATAGTAAAGACTGACATATGCCAGGCCCTGGCGGCAGCCTTTACCCAGCAGGCCTATGAAGTTAGGGCTGTTACATCCCAACATTTTGCATTTGGGGGAAATTGAGTCCCAGTGAAGCAAACTGACTTGCCCGAGGCTGACCACACATCAGAGACAGAGCGAAGGGATCACGCCCCTGTCAAAAGCCCCTCCGTGACAACACGTGGCATTGAGATAAAATCCCAACCCATCACAGGCTCCAAGCCTCCTAGTGTGGAGGCCCCTCTCCACCCCCACCTCACACTGGCTTCTAGCACCCTCAGGGCCCAGTCCCTTGCTCAAATGACCTGCTCACACAGAAGTCTCTACTCACCCACTTCTTTCTAGCTCACACCCAGAGGCAGATTTCAGTTCTGCACAGTTCCTTCTGAGCTGTGGGGCCTCCCACCAGTCCCTACTCTCTCCAAGACTCAATTTCCTCATCTGTGAGATGGGGGTAAGAAGAATCAGTGGGAATAAGAGGAGATAAAAATCTGTGTAGTACTTGGGCGGGGTGCGGTGGCTCACCCCTGTAATCCCAGCACTTTGGGAGGCCGAGGCAGGCAGATCACCTGAGGTCAGGAGTTCGAGACCAGCCTGGCCAACGTGGTGAAACCTCATCTGTACTAAAAACACAAAAATTGGCCAGGCGTGGTGGCGGGCGCCTGTAATCCCAGCTACTCAGGAGGCTGAGGCAGGAGAACTGTTTGAACCTGGGAGGCGCGGGTTGCAGGTTGCAGTGAACTGAGATCACGCCACTGCACTCCAGCCTGGGTGACAGAGCAAGAGTCTGTCTCAAAAAAAAAAAAAAAAAAAAAGGCTGTGCAGTACTTGCCTCTTAGCCAGCACAGTGGACATTGGCTTTTGTATCTCACTCCTGAAATTCTTTCTTGAAATTTCTTGAGCAAGATCTTCCTGGACTTCCAGACTCTATGGCCTCTCACCCTATGGTGTGTCCCTGCCACCCCGGTAAAACCCTCCTCACTCATTGTGAATTATTTACTCCTGGCGAACTCCAGGAAGGCAGGGACCTTTTGTGGTCAGACGGTGCCTGGCACATAGTAGGTTCTCAGGAAATCCTTGAGTTATGAGTGCACCCAAAGCCAAAACACTGGGATGAACTAGAGAGTCATGGGCCTCCAGCTGGAAAGGAGCGAGGCCACCACTCACACCCGGCTCTGGCCAGCACCACGCCGCCACCCTGCAGAGGTATTTGGGTTTTTCAACAACTCAGGGAAATGATGAAACAAACAAACAAACAAAAACAACCCCAAGCTTGTATCCCCACCTCGCTTTTTTTTTCCTGGGATTTTCACACTTCTAAATATATCCAACAACTTGGCAGGCACACCAGGTGACCCAGAACATCCTTTTTGTGTTGCCTGAAATGATAGGAACAAGAATAAAGAATTTAAAAGTGAGAAACAGCAGCAGAGAGTGTGACTTTAAAAATAGCCAGAGGGGACATTTGATGTTCTCTCCCCACTCCCATCTCCCCCAACACACATCTATAAAGTGATTTTCCCCCCTAAAACCTCACACTTTCTGGAAATCACATTTCCAGAGCAGTTAACAGTCATTTTAAAATAAGAATCCACCCCTCTTCCTGCCCCAGCTGGTGTTTCAAACTCCAAGCCTTGGCTTTCATGGGGTGATGAGGACCCCCCAGCTAGAGGTGCCAGGCATTCCCTGCCCCAACCCCAGAGCAGGAGACCGTAATTAAGGCAGGCCAGGCCGGTGCGGTGGCTCACGCCTGTAATCCCAGCACTTTGGGAGGCCCAAATGGGCAGATCACTTGAGGTCAGGAGACCAGCCTGGCCAACATGGCAAAACCCCATCTCTACTAAAAATACAAAAATTAGCCGGGCGTGGTGGCTGGTGCCTGTAATCCCAGCTATTTGGGAGGCTGAGGCATGAGAATCGCTTGAACTCAGGAGGCAGAGGTTGCAGTGAGCTGAGATCGTGCCACTGCACTCTAGCCTGGGAGACAGAGCAAGACTCCATCTCAAAACAAACTTAAAATAGAATAAAATAAAATAAGAATCCGCCCCCCTCCCCGCCCCAGTTGGTGTTTCAAACCCTGAGACTTGGCCTTGGAATTCATGGGGTGATGAGGACCCCACAGCCAGAGGTGCCAGGCGTTCCCTGCCCCAACCCCAGAGCAGGAGGCCATCATTAAGGCAGGCCAGCCAGGTGGCTTTTCAGTGCCAGCCGTAGCTGAATATATTAGGCAGGGAGACAGGCAAGGGTTTGTATGAGACCCACAGAAGGAACAGGGAATATGCTGGTCTGGGTTCAAGTCCCGGTTTTGCTGGTTAGCCGTGTGCCTCTGGGCAAGTTTATTCCTCTGAGGCTTAGTTTTCCCATCTGTAAGATGGGCATAGAAGTGGTCACTACTGGCTGGGCACAGTGGCTCACGCCTGTAATCCCAGCACTTGGGGAGGCCAAGGCAGGTGGATCACCTGAGGCCAGAAGTTTGAGACCAGCCTGGCCAACATGGTGAAACGCTGTTTCTACTAAGAACACAAAAGTTAGCCAGGTGTAGTAGCATGTGCCTGTAATCCCAGCTACTCGGGAGGCTGAGGCAGGAGGATCGCTTGAACCTGGGAGGCAGAGGTTGCAGTGAGCCGAGATCATGCCACTGCACTCCAGCCTGAGCAACAGAGCAAGATTATGTCTCAAAAAAAAAAAAAAAAACCGAAGTGGTCACTATCTCCGAGGATGGTTGTGGGATTCAGAGAGCCACTTGGATAGGATGCATAGCATGGGGCCAGCCCACTGACACCCCCCAGTAAACGTAGCCAGTGCTATTATTACTGTGCTGTTGTTTAACCCTCCAGAGGGGAAGTCTCTTGAGAGGCTGTCCAGGGCAATGTTAAAAGCTTGGGGTTTGAAGTCACTCAGACCTGATTTCGAATCCTCTCTCCCTGCTTCTCGTGCATTTGGTGACGTTGGGGAAGCCACCCCACCTCTCTGAGCCTCAGCTTCCCCGTCTGGAATTTGGGGATGATCTTCGTGGCTCCTGGGGTGTGCGACGAGGCCTTGGTTGATGGTGGGGCAGAGGTAGCCTAGCCCCAGGAACACAGTAGGTCCTCAGCTGGGGAGAGTTCTACTTGGAAGTCTTGCTTCTCCTTGTCCCAACCTGCGGGGCTGTGGGAAGACCCCTCAGCTGGTGTGTGGCCTCACCAGGTTCCTTCTAAGAGGATGCAAAAGCAAGTTTTCATTTGACTCGGTTTCCCAGAATGTGCTCTCAGAGCCCAGGCCAGGCAGGAGGCTCTTGAGAAAAGGACAAAAAGACATGGTGGCTCACACCTGCCATCCCAGCACTTTGGGAGGCCAAGGTGGGAGGATTGCTTGAGGCCAGGAGTTTGAGATCAGCCTGGACAATATAGCAATACCCTGTCTCTACAGAAAAAAATAAATTTAAAAGGCGTTTTTAGCTCAGGCTTTGCTGGGTTCTAACCTGGCTATTGTCACTCAGCTTTATCCTAACATAAAAAAATAAACAAATTAGCAGGGTGTGGTGGTATGCCCCTGTGGTCCTAGCTACTTGGGAGGTTGAGGCGGGAGGATCGTTTGAGCCCAGGAGGTTGAGGCTGCAATGAGCTATGATCGTGCCACTGCACTCCAGCCTGGGTGGTGGAGCGAGACCCTGTCTCAAAAAAGAAAAAAAAAAGTGGCAGGGAGAAGGAAAGGAAAGGACAAAGAGGTTCACAGCTGATCTCTCCCTGAACCTGCTCCTTCCGTCCCCATCTCTGTCAGCCCCATCTTTTCAGGCTCAGGCCAAACCCCTCGGTTACCCTCCCAGTTCCTCCAGTCACCCATGAATCAGATCTTGCAGGAAACCCTGTCAGCTGCACCTACAGAACCTCTCCAAAATCTGAACTCTTCTCCCCGTCCACTGCCCCCACCCTGCTCCAGCCCCCTTCCCCTCCCCTCTGGACATCCCAGAGCCTCCTCCCTGGCCTCCCTGCTCCCATCCCTGCCCCCCAATCATATCCCACAAAGGGGATATGACTCACTCACTTAACCGGCAATTCTGGAGGGTCTTAAAACCTGGCTGCCTCAAGAGGCTTTAAAATGTTATCAGATGGGGGCCAGGTACAGTGGCTCATGCTGGTTCCCCACTTGCAGCCAGAGGGAGCTGGTGACCACCTGAGTCAGGTCAGGGCCCTCCCCTGGCTGCACCTCACACCAGGTGCCAGCAAAGCCCTGATGTTGCTCTATTTCTAGCTCCCACCTGATCTGCCCCTCCCTGGCTCACTCTGCTCTGGCCTCCCACTGTTCCTGGAGCACTCCCCCCAGTCCCCCACACCAGCCTTGGGATCTTTGCATCTGCAAGTCCCTCTGTCTCCGTGCTGATCTCACACACCTCCTGACACTTTCTCACCTCCTGCAGGTCTTTGTTCTTGCACCACCTTCCCAGGGACGCTCTCCTTGCAGCGACTGAAAAGTGCAACCTCACCCCACCCTCCATGCCGGCACTCCCCTCCCTCGGTGGCATTTTATTTTTCTCTGTGGCCCCTTCCTATCTTGTGACACATAATATATCCTACTTATTTGTCCCTTTCTTGATTTGTCTCACCTACTGAGCTTTGAGTTCCACAGGGGTCGGGGTTTTTGTCTGATTTGTTCATTGCAGTGGTGATTTGTTCACTGCCTAAAATAGAGCCTGGCAGGTACAAAGTGTTTGGTAAATAGAAATCAATACCCCAGGGTCTGTGACCTGACTTAGGTGTTAACAGGTTCCTCTGAGGTGTGTGGGGAACAGACTGAGGGGTTTCAGGGGACATCTGTTCTCACCACAAATTGCCCCCCAACCAGCCCCAGACATGAACAGTCTCCCGGGAGCTCCCTCTAGCCTTCTCGTATATCCCAGCCCTGCCTCATGTCACAATTTGTAATGATGTGTTTGGCTGGGTGACATTTTATGGCCATCTGTCTCCCTATCCCCTATAATGTGGTTTGCCGAAAGCAAAGCCCAGGACTGTCTCGGCCATCTGTGTCTCCAGGATCACCCCTCACTGGGCATGGAGTATGTGTCCAGTTAACGCTTGCTGAGTGAATGAATGAATACTCCATCCTCTGCCTGGAGAATTACGCACTTTAGCATATCCAAGGCTCTGACAAGTCCTGCATAAAAGAGCATTATTGTTTTCTTTCTTTCTTTCCTTCTTTCCCTCTTCTTTTCTTTCTGACTATAGGATATTGATTATCAATCTGGCAATAGTCAAGATTGGCAGTCTGGTGTATTAGTCAAAGGTTTTCAGCCTACAAAAGACAAAAAGAAAAAATAAACTGGCTAAAAACAAAAGGGGATATGATTTACTAACTCACTTAACCGACAGTCACAGAGGTTCTTCAAACCTGGCTGTATCAAGGGGCTTTAAAATGTTATCAGATGGGGGCCAGGTGCAGTAGCTCACGCCTGTCATCCAGCACTTTGGGAGGCCAAGACAGGCAGATCACTTGAGGTCAGGAGTTCGAGACCAGCCTGGCCAACATGGTGAAACCCCGTGTCTACTAAAAATACAAAAAATTAGCCAAGTGTGGTGGCATGTGTCTGTAGCTCCAGCTACTCGGGAGGCTGAGGCAGGACAATGGCTTGAATCCGGGAGGCGGAGGTTACAGTGACCCAAGGTTGCACCAGTGCATTCCAGCCTGGGTGACAGAGCGAGACTCTGTCTCAAAAAAAAAAAAAAAGTTATCAGATGGGAAATGAATTCCGATATTAAAAATTGATATGTATTTATACTATATTATTAAAGTTATTTTTCATAAAACATAGAAGGGTAAGTTTAAGAAATGAGAAGTATTTATACCAAAATGATTAAATATTATTTAATTTAAAGATATAAATGTCTTGTTGGACAAATAATTCAAAATTTCCATTAGACAGGAAAAATAAGTTCAAGAGATATATTGAACAACATGGTGATTATAGTTAATAACAATATATTATATACTTGAACATTGCTAAAAGATATTTTAAGTGTTCTCACCACACACAAAGGGTAGTGCATGTGTTAATTAGCTTGATTTAGCCGTTCCACAACGTATACATATTTCACATCATCTTGTACACCATCAATGTATATAATTTTGTCAATTAAAATAAATACATATTTTAAGGCCGGGTGCAGTGGCTCACACCTATAATCGCAGCACTTTGGGAGGCCGAGGCAGGCAGATCACCTGAGGTCAGGAGTTTGAGACTAGCCTGGCCAACATGGTGAAACCCCATCTCTACTTAAAATACAAAAAAATTAGCTGGGCATGGTGGTGCATGTCTGTAATCCCAGCCACTCGGGAGGCTGAGGCAGAAGAATCGCTTGAACCCGGGAGGCAGAGGTTGCAGTGAGCTGAGATTGCACCACTGCACACCAGCCTGGACAACAGAGTGAGACTCCGTCTCAAAAAAATAAATAAATAAAAATAAAATAAATACATATATATTTTTGAGATGGAGTCTCACTCTGTCGCCCAAACTGGAGTGCAGTGGCACGATCTTGGCTCACTGCAACCTCTGCTGCCCAGGTTCAAGCAATTCTCCTGCCTCAGCCTCCCGAGTAGCTGGGATTACAGGCACCTGCCATCATGCCTGGCTAATTTTTGTAGTTTTCATAGAGACGAGGTTTCATCATCTTGGCCAGGCTGGTCTTGAACTCCTGACCTTGTGATCCACCCATCTCGGCCTCCCAAATAAATACATATTTTAAAAGATAGAAATCACTCTGGAAGGAGAGTTAATCTGTTTGATATAATAATAATAATATATTAATATTATATTATAACAATATATTAGTATTATATTCTAATAATATATTAATATTATATTATAATAATATATTATTATATTATAACAATATATTAATATTATATTATAACAATATATTAATATTATATTATGTAATAATAATACTACTCCATATAGCTATGGAAAAGTTCATATGAAGAAACCAGGCTATGATCTACAAACTGGCAACAAATTTGTTCTTCTATTTTCCATATGCTGTCTGTGTACGTATAAAGTGAGAGGTCTTTTTATATGAGTTAAGGGTGTGACCAAAGACAAATGGAAAAAGACAAATGACAAACATACTAATAAAGAGCTTCGGTTTCTCCACAAAAAATACAATAATAAAATAAAATGTTATCAGAAATCTCTTGACTCTCCTCCACGTTAGCTCACTTTTTCCCTCAAGAGGGTGAACATGACCCTTAACAGATCCAGCCTCAAGTGCTGGATTCTCTTGGGAACTTGGTTAAATGGTTTTTTTTCTTCCCGAATGTCCAAGTCACCTTCCAGACCTGCAGCTCCTGAGCAGCCAACTTAGGACTTCTAATGGAGAGTGAAGTTCCCCTGGTTCGCGGAGGGGCCGGCCACAGCCTCAAGGCTGCTGTTGATTGGTCCGACCTGAGTCCTTGAGTCTGGCAGAGTGCCATGGTGCTCTGTAATCCCACCTGTAATCCCAGCATTTTAGGAGGCAGAGGCAGGAAGATTGCTTGAGCCTAGGAGTTCAAGACCAGCCTGGGCAACATAGCAAGACCCGTCTCTACAAAACAAAACAAAACAAAACAAACAAACAAAAAAATTAGTCAGGTGTGGTGGTGCACGCCTGTGGTCCTAGCTACTCAGGAGGTTGAGGTAGGAGGATTTCTTGAGTCTGGGAGGTCAAGGCTACAGTGAGCCAAGATCACACCACTACACTCCAGCCTGGGCAACAGAGCGAGACCCTGTCTTTAAAAAAAAAAAGTCCTTGAGTCATGATTCCAGATGCAATCGCAGATGTGGGGGCTGCAACCCTCCGATGGGCTGGGGTTCACGTCTACACCACATGGCTGGAGCACAGGCCAGGAGGGGCTCCGGCTGGGGAAGCATGTGGGGAGCCTGGCTGTGGGACCCAGGCGGCCCCGGGCCCTGTCGCCCTGCAGTGCAGGTCAGCTCTGCGGACGCTCGGCTCATGGTCTTTGACAAGACGGAAGGGACGTGGCGGCTGCTGTGCTCCTCGCGCTCCAACGCCAGGGTAGCCGGACTCAGCTGCGAGGAGATGGGCTTCCTCAGGTACTGGGGGCCCTCGGAGGGGTGGGAGCCGGGAGGGGCTGGGGAGCAGGCCTAACCCCTGCCCCGCCCAGGGCACTGACCCACTCCGAGCTGGACGTGCGAACGGCGGGCGCCAATGGCACGTCGGGCTTCTTCTGTGTGGACGAGGGGAGGCTGCCCCACACCCAGAGGCTGCTGGAGGTCATCTCCGTGTGGTGAGGAGGGCAGCGGGCAGGTGGGGCAACACCTCAGACCCCCAAGGCACTCCCTCTCCCCGTTTTCCTTCCACCTGTCTTAACTGGTCTCTATTTCCTTTCTTTCTGTGTCTCCAATCCCATCTCTCCCAGTGATTGCCCCAGAGGCCGTTTCTTGGCCGCCATCTGCCAAGGTGAGATCCTAAAACTCAGAACCCTCTCCTTTAGGCCCTTGGGGAGGCCACGTCCCCTCAAGCTCCCCAGGATGGGGCCATGTACTTTCAGACCCCCTAGGGCAGGGCCAAGCCTGGGCTCTGGGGACCTGGGCTCCAGTCCCCTGTCGCCGCCCCCTGCTGACCCTTGTCCCACAGACTGTGGCCGCAGGAAGCTGCCCGTGGACCGCATCGTGGGAGGCCGGGACACCAGCTTGGGCCGGTGGCCGTGGCAAGTCAGCCTTCGCTATGATGGAGCACACCTCTGTGGGGGATCCCTGCTCTCCGGGGACTGGGTGCTGACAGCCGCCCACTGCTTCCCGGAGTGAGTGCCCCCCAATGGCGCTGATGATGGGGAGGCAGAGGAGCGGAGAGACAGTGGGGAGGAGGGCGGATTGTGCCCAGGCAGGTGGCCACCCTCCACCCCTTTCCCTGGTAGGCGGAACCGGGTCCTGTCCCGATGGCGAGTGTTTGCCGGTGCCGTGGCCCAGGCCTCTCCCCACGGTCTGCAGCTGGGGGTGCAGGCTGTGGTCTACCACGGGGGCTATCTTCCCTTTCGGGACCCCAACAGCGAGGAGAACAGCAACGATATTGCCCTGGTCCACCTCTCCAGTCCCCTGCCCCTCACAGGTAAGTCTAAGGGCTGAGCCATGGGGCTTGAGGACCCGAGGCCAGGAGGACAGAGGAGGGGACCAGGGGCACAAGGCAATCAACTTATGGCTCAGGCATCCTTGGCAATAAGGGGAATGATCTCGAGGGAGCACAAAGTGGGCCTTAACTATCAATGATCAGTGCAGCCAATTTGGAAAATTTGCCAGCATTTCCCCAAGAAGTATACATAAAGTTACCATTGGACCCAACACTTCCACTCCCAGGACAGGAGGTATATACCTAAGACAAATGGAAACTGTGTCTGCACCAAAACTCGTACATCAGTGTTCATAGCAGCATTATTCATAATAGCCCAAAGATGGAAACAGCCCAAGACTGTTTCATCGGACAAATGCATAAAGAAAATGTGGTATATTGACCGGGCGCGGTGGCTCATGCCTGTAATCCCAGCACTTTGGGAGGCCGAGGTGGGTGGATCACGAGGTCAGGAGTTTGAAACCAGCCTGGCCAACATGGTGAAACTCCATCTCTACTAAAAATACAAAAATTAGCCTGGCCAACATGGTGAAACTCCATCTCTACTAAAAATACAAAAATTAGCCTGGCCAACATGGTGAAACTCCATCTCTACTAAAAATACAAAAATTAGCCTGGCGTGGTGGCACACGCCTGTAATCCCAGCTACTCGGGAGGATGAGGCAGGAGAATCTCTTGAACCCGGGAGGTGGAGATTGCAGTGAGCCGAGATCACACCACTGCACTCCAGCCTGGCTGACAGAGCAAGGCTCTGTCATCTTGAAAATAAATAAATAAATAACAAAAAAAATGTGGTATATCCACACAACGGGAGAATATTGGACCATAGAAATGAATGAGGTACTGATTCATGCTACCACAAGGATGAAACTTGAGAACAGTGCTGAATGAGACAAGCCAGCCGCAAAGGCCACATACTGTAGGATGCCACTTGTATGAAATGTACAAGGCTGGGCACGGTGGCTCACGCCTGTAATCCTGGCACTCTGGGCAGCTGAGATGGGAGGATTGTTTGTGCTCAGGAGTTTAAGACCAGCCTGGGCAACATAGCAAGACCCCATCACTTAAAAAAATGAGCTAGGTGTGGTGACGGATACCTGTAGTTCCAGTTACTCAGGAGGCTAAGGCAGGAGGATCACTTGAGCCCAGGAGTTTGAGGCTGCAGTGGGCTAGGATTGTGCCACTGTACTCCAGCCTGGGTAACAGAGCAAAACCTTGTCTGTTAAAAAAAGAAGAAAGAAAGAAAGAGAAAGAAAAGAAAGGAAGGAAGGAAGAAAAGAAGAAAAGAAAAGGAAAGAAAGAAAAGAAATGTCTAGAATAGGCACATCGGTAGAGATAGAAAGTTGATTGATGGTGGCAGGGTGGGAGGTGGGGATGGGAGATTGGGAGGTGACTGGTGAAGGACACAAGGTTTCTTGTCTGGGTGATGAAAGATTCTAAGTCGATCATGATCATGGTTGCACTTGTCTGTGACTACACAAAAAGCCAGTGACTTGTGCCTTTAAAAGGAATTGTCTAATATGTGAATAGTAGTTCAATCAAGCTGTTACCAAAAAACTAATAAAATGAAAAGAAAATGTGTTAAAAATGAATGAATCAGACTTAGAAAGTAAGTTAGGAGTCATTCCCTCTGCAATTCCCTGGAGTATTCCCTTGGTCTTACTGAGACTCACTTAGGTGCCAACATGTCCTTAACACCTCTCCAACACATACATCTTCCTTTTGGATTAAAAGCAGGCCCTGGGCTTCAGATTTCAGCAGGCTGCAGTGTAATAATAATAATAAAAATAGGCTGGGCATGTAATCCCAGGCCAAGGTGGGGGTATCGCTTGAGCTCAGGAGTTCAAGACTCGCCTGGGCAACATGGCAAAACCCCATCTCTACAAACAAAAAAAATTAGCTGGCTGTGGTGGTGCGCGCCTGTGGTCCCAGCTACTTGGGAGGCGGAGGCAGGAGAATCACCTGATCACCCAGGAGATCAAGGCTGCAGTGAGCCATGATCACACCACTGCATTCCAGCCTGGTTGATAGAGCGAGACCCTGTCTCAGAACATAATAATAATAACGGTGATAATGATGATCATGAAGTAGTAATAGCGAGTAGTATTCGAGTTCATGATTGAGTATTCGAGTATAGCGAGTTCATGATCATGAAGTAGTAAAAGGGAATAAGGGAGTACATGATGAGTGTACACAACACAGTAAAATAATCTGGTAAACATAGCAGTGTGCCAGGCACCATTCCAAATATGTCCTGTGTATGGACTCACTTAGTTCTCACAGCAACCCCAGCACACCCTGGTAAGGAGGGTTCTCTTAAGATCCTGTTTTCCACCCAGGAAAAGGTCCCAACCCAAAGAAGGCAAACAATGCCCCAAATTCGTACAGCTGGTGAACGGCAAAGATTTGTGCCCAGGTGGACTGGCACTGGAATCTGTGCTTGTGGCCCCCACGCTGTGGTGACGGAGAATCCAGGGCCATGTTGGGGTTGGCATTATGTTTATTTTTATGTTTATTTTATTTTTCATGATCTGTGGTACTGGTTTCCCATTGAAGGGAGTGATACATGCTTTTCTTTAAAACCAAACCCTGTCCTGACATGGTGGCTCACGCCTGTAATCCCAGCACTTTGAGAGGCTGAAGCGGGCAGATCACTTGAGGTCGGGAGTTTGAGACCAGCCTGGCCAACGTGGTGAAACCCCATCTCTACTAAAAACACAAAAATTAGCCAGGTGTAGTGGCAGGCACCTGTAGTCTCAGCTACTCTGGAGGCAGAGGCAGGAGAATCACTTGAACCCAGGAGGTGGAGGTTGCAGTGAGCCAAGATCGTTGCCACACCCTTCTCCTTAGTGAAAAGAGTGAGAGAGTTAATATTGAAGTAAGGACGCATCTTTGAGGACAGGTGGACAGGTGGAAGCGGCTGGGATTTCAGACACAGGGCTGAGGGGGTCACAGCATGGGCTTTGGGGTCAGATTCAGATATTTGCCAACTGTGTGATCTTGGACACATGGCTTCACCTCACCGTGCCTCAGTTTCCCTTATCTGTAAAATGACTTCCTAGGGTTATTGAGACAATTAAAAGGGTTAATATGAGTAAAGAGCTTAGAGAACTGCCAGCACATAGTGAACACTGGTAAATGTTAGCAATTGCTACTATTGTTGTTTAATACTTTTACTAGTTATATGAACACTTGCTGTTTGCCTGGCATGCAACTCAATGACTCACCAATTTCTCACTACAACTTCTGGGGATAAGTGATTATTATTTCCATTCTACATCTGAGAGCTCTAAGACTCAGGCAGGTGATGTCATCAGCAGGCAGCAGGCAGCAGGCAACAGGCAGGGCTGCCAGGAACCCTTGCATAGGTTGTGCACTGCACAAGGACACCACATCTCAGGGTTACCACTCTCTCTGTAGACCTGTGTATTTATTATTATGATTTTCTGCTAGGTGGAAGTCAAATGTCTCAAGATAGGAGTGTCTCTCTCTCTCTCTCTCTCTTTCTTCTCTCTCTCTCTTTCTTTTTTTGAGACAGAGTCTTGCTCTGTCACCCAGGCTGGAGTGCAATGGCGCAATCTCGGCTCCCTGCAAACTCTGCCTCCTAGGTTCAAGCGATTCTCCTGCCTCAGCCTCCTGAGTAGCTGGGATTACAGGCACCTGCCATCTGTAATCCCAGTGCTTTGGGAGGCTGAGGCAGGAGGATTGCTTGAGCCCAGGAGGTCGAGGCTGCAGTGAGCCATGTTCCTGCCACTGCACTCTGGCCTGGGTGACACTGCAGGCTTAGAAATGAAAACAAGCTGTGTTAAAACATACATGTTATGAAACTTTGGACACGTGACTTGGCCTCATTTTCCCCCTCTCTAAAATGGGATAATATAGACCCTACCTCTCTGGGCTGATGAAACATTAAAGAAAATGGTGCAGGAAGGCGCCTAGTATGCGATGAGCTCTTGGTACGTGGCGACTTCCGTTGTGGCTTTTTTGTTTGTTTGTTTGTTTTTGAGACAGAGTCTTGCTCTGTCGCCCAGGCTGGAGTGCAATGACATGATCTCGGCTCACTGCAACCTCCACCTCCTGGGTTCAAGTGATTCTTCTGCCTCAGTCTCCCGAGTAGCTGGGATTACAGGTGCGTGCCACCATGCCCGGCTAATTTTTGTATTTTTAGTAGAGATGAGGTTTCGCCACGTTGGCCAGGCTGGTCTCAAACTCCTGACATCAAGTGATCCTCCTGCCTCGGCCTCCCAAAGTGCTGGGATTACAGGCATGAGCCACTGTGCCCAGCCTATTGTGGTTTTTTTTTTAAAGAACAGAGAGGGCAGGGTGTGTTAGGGGCCATGGTAGCAGCTGGACAGAGGTTTGTACCAGGTGGGGCAGGCCAGCGGGGGCTGGACCAGCATTGTCTCTCTCACAGAATACATCCAGCCTGTGTGCCTCCCAGCTGCCGGCCAGGCCCTGGTGGATGGCAAGATCTGTACCGTGACGGGCTGGGGCAACACGCAGTACTATGGTGAGTCCTGTCCTCTGCCTCTGATGCCACCGTTTGGGAGACTCTGAACTAGGCTGGGGATGGGCAGTCTGGCTGGTTGGATGAGTCTTGACCATGAGGAGTAGGGACGCTGAGGGGAATGGGGTGGGCACCAGGAGGGAAGGGGGGTGTGTACACCCCCCAGCTCTGGCCAGCCTTGCCTGCACACCCCCAGGCCAACAGGCCGGGGTACTCCAGGAGGCTCGAGTCCCCATAATCAGCAATGATGTCTGCAATGGCGCTGACTTCTATGGAAACCAGATCAAGCCCAAGATGTTCTGTGCTGGCTACCCCGAGGGTGGCATTGATGCCTGCCAGGTGAGGGACTCTGTAGGGGCAGCCCCCTGGTCGCTGCCACCCCAGGGATGGAGATGCAGGGGAGTGGGTGGTCAGGCTCCCCATCTAAAAGCCTGAGGGCTCTGGGGCCACAGCCCATGTCATCCCGGGGTGGGCCTCCTGTCCAACCACTTTGGCCTTCAGCCAGACCTCCCTCTCCCCTCCCAGGGCGACAGCGGTGGTCCCTTTGTGTGTGAGGACAGCATCTCTCGGACGCCACGTTGGCGGCTGTGTGGCATTGTGAGTTGGGGCACTGGCTGTGCCCTGGCCCAGAAGCCAGGCGTCTACACCAAAGTCAGTGACTTCCGGGAGTGGATCTTCCAGGCCATAAAGGTGAAAGTTGGGTCCAGATGGGAGCCAGGGTGGGGACGTTTGGGTGTCTAATGGGGGAAGGGAGGCAGAGATTTGTTTTAGGAAACCTACGCTCAGGCCTAGAAGAGGGCCCCCCTTGGGAACAGATGGACTTTGAAGGGTTCCTGGGGAAGGGAAGCCAGTGGTGGGACGTGGAAGCCTCTCAGACCTCGGGAGCCCCCAGCTGTCTTTCCCCAGACTCACTCCGAAGCCAGCGGCATGGTGACCCAGCTCTGACCGGTGGCTTCTCGCTGCGCAGCCTCCAGGGCCCGAGGTGATCCCGGTGGTGGGATCCACGCTGGGCCTAGGATGGGACGTTTTTCTTCTTGGGCCCGGTCCACAGGTCCAAGGACACCCTCCCTCCAGGGTCCTCTCTTCCACAGTGGCGGGCCCACTCAGCCCCGAGACCACCCAACCTCACCCTCCTGACCCCCATGTAAATATTGTTCTGCTGTCTGGGACTCCTGTCTAGGTGCCCCTGATGACGGGATGCTCTTTAAATAATAAAGATGGTTTTGATTAATGTGGCCTCCGAGCTTACAAATGTACACAGCAATGAGGACATTTTGTCAGGAAGGAAGAGAAGAATTAGGACCTGGCGCAAATCAGACAGAGAGTGTGGGTCCCTCAGTTCCCACTGATTTGAGATTTAAGATTTTAATTGGTTCACTTAACTGGAATTTTCCTGGAGCAAATTGGCTTCAGGTACAGCTGGATCCAGCTGCTCTCTCAAATCTGCCTTAGGCTGTGTTAGCTTCATTTCCAAGCAGCCTCTCCTACAACCAGAGAGAGAGATGTCCCCTTCCACACAAACTCTTTCCCAATCACTGCAGAAAAAGTCCCAGGCAACAACAACAAAAACCCAGGCCCAGCTCCCATTGTACAGATTTGGGTCACGTGCTCATCCCTTGGCAAATCACTGTGCACCGGATGTACGCGGTAGGGGTGGAGCGGGGTGGAGTGGGAGGCGCTAGGCCTTCAAGAATCGTGTGACCTGAGTGTGGGAGTCCCAAAGGAAATAGGGTGCTATTTCCAGAAGTGGAAATAGATGCTCAGTGAGCAAAAAAGACATCTACCTTGAACCAACACGGAAAACGGGGCCCTGTAAGGTGGAGATAGGGAGACGCTGGGAACACAGCCTGAGACCCTCCCCCAACCCCTTTCTCCATCTGGGCAGCTTCTGGGGAGGAACCCCCTTCTGTAGAGCCTCTGCAGAGCCTCATGCAGCCCCGATGGCCACCAGGGGGCACTGCTGCCCCAACATTGTGACACATTAAGGGGTTTCCTGCCTGGAGTCAGCCGCATGTTGCTGAAAACCTGCTGTTCTGCTGAAGAAAGGCTCAGCGGGGGAGCCTGTTCACCATGACTTTAAATAATAACAATTATCATACATCACCCATGGACCACAGCTTCCAAGCAATTTCCTTTTTTTTTTTTTTTTTTTTTTTGAGACAGAGTTTCACTCTTGTCTCCCAGGTTGGAGTGCAGTGGCGTGATCTTAGCTCACTGCAACCTCCGCCTCCTGGGTTCAAGCGATTCTCCTGCCTCGGCCTCCCGAGTAGCTGGGATTACAGGCGTGCCCCACCACGCCCAGCTGATTTTTGTATTTTTAGTAGAGACGGGCTGTCACCATGTTGGCCAGGCTGCTCTCGAACTCCTGACCTCAGGTGATCCACCTGCCTCGGCCTCCCAAAGTGCTGGGTGTCACGCGCATCCATGTGAAGAGACCACCAAACAGGCTTTGTGTGAGCAATAAAGCTTTCTAATCACCTGGGTGCAGGCAGGCTGAGTCCGAAAAGAGAGTCAGTGAAGGGAGATAGGGGTGGGGCCGTTTTATGGGATTTGGATAGGTAGTGGAAAATTACAGTCAAAGGGGTTTGTTCTCTGGCGGGCAGGGGTGGGGGTCACAAGGTGCTCAGTGGGGGAGCTTCTGAGCCAGGAGAAGGAATTTCACAAGGTAATGTCATCAGTTAAGGCAGGAACCGGCCATTTTCACTTCTTTTGTGATTCTTCAGTTACTTCAGGCCATCTGGATGTATACATGCAGGCTTGGGCTCAGAGGCCTGACACTGGGATTACAGATGTCTGCTGCCACACCTGGCTAATTTTTGTATTTTTAGTAGAGACGGGTTTCACCATGTTGGCAGGCTGGTCTCGAACTCCTGACCTCAGGTGATCCGCCCACCTTGGCCTCCCAAAGTGCTGGGATTACAAGCCTAAGCCACTGCACCCAGCCCAGCTTCCTAAAATATAGATGATCTACAAGAGCTCCTTTGAGAAACTGACAAACTGTGCATTTGGAAAACGATCCCAGCGTCACTCCCCGATCCCCACACCCCTGGCGAGGTTGAGCCCCACCACTGCTTTGTTGGTCAGGAGCCCCCAGGCCCACATCGTGTTAGCAGAGCCTCAGTGCAGTTTCCCCAAACGTCTACCTCTGGCTGTGGTGTTCTACCCATGGCATGTGGGATGTAATTTGAGACCTGACCTACGGCTTGCTTTGTTAGAAACGTATTGAGTTACAACACGGAGTGACTGAGTTTTCCTTTGTAATTGCCAGCTGAGAAATGTACTGTACCTGTGTTTTAGGAAGTCTGGGGACTCTGAGAGAACATGGTCCACCCTGGGGGTTCTAAACTGAGGTGACCATGTCCTGGAGGGACACAGTTTGCTCTGGTGAGGAGAAGGGCGGGTGTGAGGGGCACTGAAGAAGGCATGGCCCTGCCCTGGGAAGTCTGGGGGGGATGTGGCCTTATTCTAGGGGATCTGATGGAAATTTGGTCATTAAAAGCCAACAGGCATCCTGCTGGGAAAATAAAAACCAGGTGGCCATGTTATTGGAAAGGGGTCCTGATCCAGACCCCAGGGGTTCTTGGATCTCGTGCAAGAAAGAATTCATGGCAAGTCCACAGAGTAAAGTGAAAGCAAGTTGATTAAGAAAGTAAAGGAATAAAAGAATGGCTACTCCATAGACAGAGCAGCCCCGAGGGTTGCTGGTTGCCCATTGTTATGGTTATTTCTTGATTTAGTCTTGATTTATTATTTAGTTATGCTAAACAAGGGGTGGATTATTGACGCCTCCCCTTTTTAGACCATATAGGATAACTTCCCAACATTGCCACGGCATTTGTAAATTGTCATAGCGCTGGTGGGGGTGTAGCAGTGAGGACAATCAGAGGTCACTTTCATGGCCATCTTGGTTTTGGTGGGTTTTCCCGACTTCTTTACTGCAGTCTGTTTTATCAGAAAGGTCTTTATGACCTGTATCTTGTGCCGACCTCCTCTCTCATCCTCTGACTTAGAATGCCTTAATTTACCGGGAATGCGGGCCAGCAGGTCTCCGCCTTACTTTACCCAGGTCCTATTTAAGATGGAGTTGCTCTGGTTCAAACGCCTCTGACAGCCATTCTGAGTTCTGTCTGCACTGTTGCTTTGTTGGAGGAGTGGAGGGGCTGGGGAGATTGTGATTCACTCAACAGCCATTCACTGGTTTCCCTTGTATGCCAGGGGTCAGTGAGCCTCAGTTTCTCCTCCTGCTCCCAGCAACCTTGCCACTCACCCCAAAGAGCTAGGAAGATATTTAAAAAGAATAATAACAGTCACAAGGTTGCTTTCAGTTCCTGCCAGGGTCTCAGTCTTCAGAAAAGCTGAATATGAAAATTACTTCCATGTCATTGTGGTGCCGCTCAGAATCAGAAATATTTGACCCATCTTACAGAATTAGTGCAACTACATCAGGAACCCAAGCCAAGTTTTGCATTCCTATTTAGCATTTATATCTACATAGTCCTTTTCAAATATAGAAAAGCTTTCTGGATGTTAGTTGGAACAGATAGCTCCATATGTGGTTATAAGTTGGCATTCTCCCAGCTGGGTTGAAGGAGAAATGTACAGCTACTCTGCCACAACAGTTATTTCATACATAAAATCACAGCCATGATTAGCAATGATGGTGAAGGCTATTCATTTTATATTCAGAAATAATTATTGTGAACATTCAGATAGCAGCATAAGTAGGGAGATGGACTTTAGTTTCTGCATAAAAAGTAACACTGTTTCAATCCTGCAGTTATGAAGCGAGGAGCTGTTTTGGCTCTTGCTGCATGACATACCACCCAAAGCTAGTGGGTACAGTAAATGCTCATGGATTCTGCAGCTCAGAAAGTTGGACAGGGAACAGCAGGCACAGCTTGTCTCTGCTCCCTGATGACCAGGTCCTTAGCTAGAAAGCCTAAAGGAACAGGGACTGGAATAGGGAGGCTTCTTTTGTTTGTTTGTTTTGAAACAGGGTCCCACTCTGTCGCCCAGGCTGGAGTGCAGTGGTGTGATCATGGCTCACTAAAACTTCTACCACCTGGGCTCAATCGATCCTCCCAACTTAGCTTCCCAAGTAACTGGGACTACGGGTGTGTGCCACCATACCCAACTAATTTTATTTTTTTTTTGTAGAGATGGGACTGGTTGCCCAGGCTGGTCTTGAACTCCTGGGCTCAAGTGACCCTCCTGCCTCGGTATCCCAAAAGGAGGCTCTTTACTCACAAGTCTAGTATCCGGGCTGGGATCACTCAAAAGCTGAGCTCAGCTGGTACTGTGGACTCATTGTCTGGCTAACTTGGGCTTCCTTCCAATATGGCTACCCAAGGACATTTGAACTTCTCACGTGGTGGCTCATGGCTCCAGAGTGAGCATTCCAGCAGACACTGGCCTTTACACCCCAGCCTCATTTCTGCTCCACTCTGTCAGCTGAAGCAATCACAAACCTGTCCAGACCCTAGAGGAGGAGATGGAGACCCCACCCTTTGGTGGTGGAAGGCAGGTCAAAAAATTTGGGGCCACATCTTAAAACTGCCCTAGGAGCTTATGGACTATCGGAGCAAATTAACAGCTGACAAAGCAGAGAAATGATCCCTCAGTAAGGTGTTCAACCTGAAATATTTCCCTGCTAAAATTGTGGATAATAAAATTATGACAGTAATAACTTTTTAGAACACTTTCACATTTGTTCTTACATTACAGAAGTTCATTCTAAGAAGGTGATAGTCAGCTTTGGGCAAATCTTTAATTTAATACTTCACTAATTAGCATTTGGCCACAATGCCTGTTTCACTTCTAAATAATAATAATAATTTATATTAATAAACATATCCATGCATATTTTTGAGCACTTCCTATGTGACAGGTACTGTACTGAGAGTTTTATACATGTTACTTCAGTATTTCCCCAAATTCAGATGTTTGAAAGTGGCTGTCTTAATTTTTGCTATTCATTCATTCAAATAATATTTATTAAGCACCTATTATGTGCCAGACACTGTTCTAGGAATTGGAGAAATATAGGGGACAGGACAAACCAACTTTATGGAGCTTAGGGGCAAACAAATACCGCTGGTACTACTTGTATTGTTTTATTCAAATTATCTCTTTTCCTTTTGTGTGTGTGTGTGTGTGTCTTTTTTTTTTAAGCTTAGCCTTGACTTTATTTATGTATTATTTTTATTGATTTATTTATTTTGAGACCGGGTTATGAGACTGGCTAATTTTTGTATTTTTGATAGTGATGGGGTCTCGCTATGCTGCCCAGGCTGGTCTCAGACTCCTGGGCTCAAGCGATCCACCTGCCTTGGCCTCCCAAAGTGCTAGGATTACAGGCATGAGCCACTGTGCCCTGCCAGCCTTGACTTTAACAATAATGTTTATGAAACTGTGGGTTTGAGGCCGGGTGCAGTGGCTCATACCTGCAATCCCAGCACTTTGGGAGGCCGAGGCGGGTGGATCACGAGGTCAGGAGATTGAGACCATCCTGGCTAACACGGTGAAACCCCATCTCTACTAAAAATACAAAAAAATTAGCCAGGCATGGTGGCGGGTGCCTGTAGTCCCAGCTACTCAGGAGGCTGAGACAGGAGAATGGCGTGAAGCCGGGAGGTGGAGCTTGCAGTGAGCCGAGTTTGCGCCACTGTACTCCAGCCTGGGCGACAGAGCGAGACTCTGTCTCAAAAAAAAAAAAAAAAAAAAAAAGAAACTGTGGGTTTGATGTGGCGGTGGCAGATATATGTTTTTCAATATAAATCAAAACAAATGTATTAAATAAACAAATGCTAGTGAAATAATAACAATTCCTTCTTCACTGCCATCCTATACTCTCCCGGGGTTTCCCGCCAGCAGCCCATGTGCCGCCCTTTGGGAAACACTTGTTTCATCGCCATGCAAGCTGGGAAGGAGGGTCTGTGGGGTTTGCTGTCCTACAGAGGGGCTGCATATCCCGTCCAAGGTCCACCTCCGAGGGGCAGGGCTGGCGCTGGGGCCTGGGGCTGGAACAGCTCGGGATATGGCACTGAGCTCTCATTCCCAGCCTCTCTCTGCTGAGCAGGTTCGGACACTTTCTCCCTGGCGGGGTGGTGGGGGGGTCCCTGGACCGCTAGGGAAGTGCATGTGTCCAGATGCTGGCGGTGTTCTGGAGAAAAAGATGGGATGCCTTAACCCAGACACTCCTTGGACTGGTGGTGCAAAAAGGAGCCTTCGAATGAGGACTGGGCCCAGGTGTGGCAGGCCAGGTCTCACTAACGCAGGCCTCCATAACAACTGTTTCAGCACCGACTGAGTGGCTAAGTCAAATATTAAAAGCTGATAGAGCCAGTGCCCTATACAAAAGCTGGAATGTAACAAAAGCCTACCAAGAGTTTTGCTCAGGCCTTTCCTGGGCTTTAAAGCATGACAAGATAAAGAATGAATTCTTAACAGGACCCTTTTAGGATTAAACAAGTTTAATTGGGGGTCTGAAGAAACTACACTTACACACAGGCATATAGCTTAGAAGGTATATAAGCTCTGGAAAACTTTGTAATTTTGAGTTGGTCTGGGGACAATTTCCAGGCTTTCACCCTATAACCAGTTACAGAAATAAAAACTCCCTTTTCGCTGGGTGCGGTGGCTCATGCCTGTAATCCCAGCACTTTGGGAGGCCGAGGTAGGCGGATCACCTGAGGTCAGGAATTCGAGACAAGCCTGACCAACATGGAGAAACCCCGTCTCTACTAATAATACAAAAATTAGCCAGGCATGGTGGTGGGTGTTGGTAATCCCAACTACTTGGGAGGCTGAGGCAGGAGAATTGCTTGAACCCGGGAGGCAGAGGTTGCCGTGAGCCGAGACAGTGCCATTGCACTCCAGCCTGGGCGATAGGGCGAGACTCCGTCTCAAAAAACAAAAACAAAAACAAAAACAAAAACAAAAAAAACCTCCCTGTTCTCCCAGTTTATCTGCATCTCATCACTGGGCCATGAGAAATAGCAGCCTAATCCTCAGTTTGGTCCAGGAACACAGGTGACCCTCTGTCCCATGTGGTTTGACCAGGTAAAGGGCTGTCTGGGGTTTGAGGGTCTGGAGCACCCCTTTGGGACACTGCTTTGAAGATGGAGTCCCCAGTGCCTAACTCTGAGCCTCCTCCACCAGGGTGGTCCGTGAATCTCACAGGTGCACAGTAACGAGCCCCCTTGCCTGTATGCTCCTCCTCCCCGTCTCCCCGTTCACGTCTCCAGGCGAATCTCCCCTTCTGGGTCCAGTAACACTCCTAAATGCCTGACCTTGACTATCCACCATGGCAGCCCCAGCCATGCCCTGCAGATGCCCACCCCTGGGCCCCCGGGGCTGGCCAGCAGCCCACGAGTCTCCCCAGCCACACATCTTGGCCCTGCTTGATGCACATGCACTCCGTTCCTGGATGCTGTGTGCTCATCTCTAACCTGCTCCAAGAGAACCAGCAGGGCCCCATGGGAAGAGGCTCCCTGCATGTTCAGCTGTCTGTCAGCAGCGGCCCTTCACCAAGCAGTGGCTCAACTTTCCCACTGTGGATCGCTTGACTTGTGCCCAGCCCTGCTAATGGGTGGGGGGTTCCTCCAGGGTCTGGCAACCCGGCCCCCTGGGAAAGCCCTGGAAGATTTCCATCCCCTCTTTCCTCCCTTGCCCTGCCCACCAACCCCAGACCTGGCCCAGCCTCAGGCAGACCGGATGGGAACCAGGATCCCTGGGAGACCCCCAGGCCCCCTGGACCCTCGAACAATGGAAGGTGAGCTCCAGCTGCCCCGTCCCCACCCTGGCCCCACCTCTGCCCTGGTATAAGCCCGCCTGGCCCGCAGCACCTGCAGCCACCATGGGGATACTGTGGCTTCTGCTGGTGGGTGAGTAGGAGTGGGGACTCTGGAAGGGGGTCGACTGTGCCACGTGGGCCCCAGCCCTTAGCTGACATCCTTCCCCTCAGTCCTACAGAACCAAGTGACTTGGAGCAAGGAGATCAGAGGTGAGAATGGATGTGCTCCCTAACCTGGAGAGAGGACAGGGCCATGTGGACAGGCAGGGAGGGCTCCAGGGGTCTGAGGAGCCATGGCCCCACCCTGGAGTCCCTCAGGGGACCTGGAGCTTTCTCTTGGGGACTGAGGGGACACAGCCCTGCCCTGGGGCTCTGAGGGGAGCCTCAGTGGTCTCGTGTCCCCAGCCTCGCTCCTGTACCCCTATGGGCTGGAGTGTGGGGATCAGGCCCTCCCTGCAGAGGATGATGACTTCTCTGAGGAGCTGCGGCTGCTGGAGCCCTTCATGCTCTTTGAAGCCACACACGGGACGGCCTATGTGAGTGCCCTGGCCCTGACCGTGCGGTCCCTGGGCTCTCTCTCTTCTCCCCACCCCACTCTTGACTCGGAGCCTGTCTATATCTATAGCTCCTGGCTCCTTCTGGCTTCGTCCTCTGTCTTCCTGGGGCGGGCCCTGTCCCTCTTCTGTCCCCTGCCCTGCCAACACCCCCCTGCGGGTCTTGCCCTTCCTCACTTCCCCCAGTTCTGCACCAATGGGCTGGTGTCCTTCGGGGAGCCTGTGGCTCTCTTCACACTGGAGGCATTTCCCCAGGAGATGGGCCAGGCCTTCGCAGTCCCGTTCTGGGCCAATGGGTCCACACTGAGCAGGGGCCAGATGTGGTACCGGCAGAGCCGCCAGCCAGAGCTGCCGCAGCAGGTGGCCTGAGACCTGGCCTCAGCCTTCCCCCATGCCCCGCCCACCCCTTGCGCCCTGCTGGTGGCCATGTGGGACCAAATTCCATTTTACGGGGCACTTGGTCCCCAGGTGAGGAAGCGGGTGGCAGAGAAGGGCCCAGGCTGAGGCTGTTTGGCCCAACCCCTTGGGAAGAAGGGCTTGGATTCCTGGGTAAGGAGGAGACACCACGGAGGAGAGACGGAGATGGGGGAACGAGGGAGAGATAGAGGGGGCGGGAAGAGAGAGACAGAGAGACGGAAGCATGGAGATGCAGCGAGGTAGAGAAAATGGGTGAGAAAGAGGGAAGACACGAACAGGGAGAGAAATGGCGAGAGAGAGGAGGCAAGACAGCAAGCGAGAGGAGTGAGATGATCAGATGGAGAGACAGAGAATAGGAAAAGGAGAGAGACGGAGAGAGAGAGGGGATGAGAGCAGAGCAGAAAAATCGAGACTGGGGGATGTGAAAGGAAGGCTGGCACAGGTGCCAGCAGAGGCAGCTGTGGACATGGTGTGGACAGGGGCCTGGGAGGTGGCGTGGATGGGGGTCTGGGATGTGGCATGGGTAGGGGCCCGGGATGTGGTGTGGATGGGGGCCCAGGAGGTGGCACAGCTGGAAGCAGCCAGCTTAGTGGTGCAGATGGAGCTCGGTTGAGGACTGGGCAGTGAGGAGGGTCCTGGGTGCCCCTGGACCAGCCCACGACACCCTGGCTCCTGGCGCTTGCCCTGCAGGTGAACACCTTCCAGGAGGTGCTGGCCCTGGGCAGCGGCCCCTCCTGGGTGCTGTTTCACCACAAGGACATCCAGTGGACCATGGGGGTGGCCAGCGGTGGGAGCCCCCACCACGGCCTGGGGGGCATTGCGGCCCAGGTGAGTGGGGAACCCACAGGGGCCTCCCTGGGTCCTTGGGGAGGGTGAGGACGCAGGTGGGCTGACCCTGTTCCAAATGACACCCCCAGGCAGGCTTCAACAGCGGCCGACAGAGGGACTACTTCACCCTTCCTGGCTCCCGGACCTCAGGCATCCTGAATGTGGCAGACACCAGCAATGTGGGCATCCCCAGGCACTAGGCCTTCTGCATCAACAGCTTTGCAGTCCCCAACGGCTGCACCTACAATGGTGAAGGGTGGAGAACCTGCCCCAGACCTGCCTGCTCCCAGGGCCCAGCCACAGAGCCCAGGAGCCCAGGCCCCACACTCTCCTCCTCCAAGACCCAGGAGTCCAGTCAGCCCTCAGTCCATTCCATCCTTAGATCCAGGAATCAGAGGCCGGGCGGGGTGGCTCATGCCTGTAATCCCAGCACTTTGGGAAGCCGAGGCAGGCGGATTACCTGAGGTTGAGGGTTCGAGGCTTGACCAACATGGAGAAACCCCGTCTCTGTTAAAAATACAAAATTGGCCGGGCATGGTGGCACATGCCTATAATCTTAGCTACTTGGGAGACTGAGGCAGGAGAATTGCTTGAACCCAGGAGGCGGAGGTTGCAGTGAGCCAAGATCGCGCCATTGCACTCTAGCCTGGGCAACAAGAGCGAAACTCTGTCTCAAATTAAAAAAAAAAAAAAAGATCCAGGAGTCAGAACCCCCAGTCCCCACCTTCCTCAGGACCTGAGGTTCAAGCCTCAGCCCCAGACACCCCCACCGCAGCCCACTCTCTCCACAGCCCAGTTCCTGCCCCTAGGTGCCTCTTTGTGGAACAGCAGTGCCTGCAGCCACCACACTGTGGGCAGGAAGGCCGGGTGTGGTGCTGGCCAGAGGGCTGCCAGGTGGGGCAGCAGTGTATGCCTGCACACCCCTTCCCACACTGCTGGGCCCCTCGTGGCCCCTCCTGCCACCTGGGTCCCCAGGGCCACCCGCACACACTCTCCAGATGGCAGCTGTGGCTCCAGCCCTGCCACTTCGTCCTGGCCCTGCTTCCTGGCATCTGCGTGGAGGTGGAGTTGAGGAGGGGAGGCCCGGTGGCAGAGGCCCTGGTGCGGCTGGTCATCCATGGCTGGGATGTGGTAGTGAGATCGCATGGCCCAATAGAACACATCCTGGTGAGTGGGGCTGGGAGCCGGGCTGGAGGATAGAACCCGGACAGCCGTGGAGTCGCAGACACACTAAGTGCCCACAGCCCCAGAGACTGCCACAGAGACTGGCGGGCAGAGTCAAATGTTAGATGGACAGGCAGGCAGACAGACAGACAAAATGAATAACAGGCAGAGAGACGGACAAGAAGACAGACCAGCTGGCCAATGGACAGGAAGACAGGAGGGTTGGACAGGTGGACAGGTTGATGGAAAGACAGACAGAGTGACGTTGGGATGACCAGAGCAGGTGGCAAGACAGACGGCAGAAGGGGGCTAGATGGACAGAAGGACACATGGCGAGCAGATGGCGAAGCACTTGGTGGACTCGCTGAGGCCGACGATGGTCGCAGGCAGACAGAGCCTCCCGGGCTCTCATCCTAGCCATGGACCTCACATTGCCCACCGATGCAGCCCTCCGGGGCCTCAGCGCCACCTGTCCCCTTGACCCCACCTTTCTCTGTTATACAACCCAGTTTCTGCCGCCCACCCTCTGGTTTCCTGACTGGTTGACCTCACTGGCCGCCCCATCTGCTGAGCCTACTGAGCCTACGGTGCTTCCCCACTTCTTACCTTCTGGGACATCAGGCTCCCTCTCAAATCCCTGCTTGTCTACACTCATACCTCCTGCGCTCCTTCCTCCAATACCCCACAGGTGAACCACACCTCTCCACTTGCACTCACCCCTGCATGTAGGCAGCAGAGCACACCTGGGCTGGTGTCGTACCTGTGACTGTGAACTTGAAAGGACCTTCCTTCCACCTCCCTGGCACCCTCACTCACCTCCTCTCCCTGGCCACCTGTTCACACCTACTCCTCTCCCTTTAGACCAAACCTCCTCCCTGGAACTCATTCTCAGCCTATGAGATCGCTTCCTACTTCACTGGTAGCATCAGCTGGAACCTGCCAGGCACTCCCCAACCCTCCACCTACAGTCCAGGCTGCCATGATGGAGGGTGGTCTGTGCTCCTTCCTGGCTTGGCCACCTCTGTGACAGTTCCTGCATCTCCCAGCAATGCTTCCTCTCCCTCTCCTCTATATCCGTGCTTCTCAAAGTGCAGCTATTAGACCAGTAGCATCAGTAGCACCTAGGAATGTGTTTGAAATGCAAATTCTTGGGTCCCACCCAAGACCACCACTCTGGGTGGGTACATGCAATCTGAATTTTTTTTTTTTTTTTTTTTTTGAGACAGGGTCTCCGTCACTCAGGCTGGAATGCAGTGGCACGATTTTGGCTCAGTGCAACCGCCTGCCTTGGCTTCCCAGGATAATGGGATTACAGGGAGTGCAGGCCAGCACTCCTGGCTTGCAGTCTGTTTTTGCTAGCCCTTCCGGGGATTCTGATGCATGCTGAGCTCCAATGAGCTTCACCATCAATTTGCTATTTTTTTTTTTCTTTTTGAGACAGAGTCTCGCTCTGCTGAAGTGCAGTGGTGCAATCTTGGTTCGCTGCAACCTCCGCCTCCTGGGTTCAAGCGGTTCTCCTGCTTCGGCCTCCCAAGTAGCTGGGATTACAGGTGTGTGCCACCACGCCCGGATAATTTTTGTATTTTTAGTAGAGATGGGGTTTCACCATGTTGGCCAGGCTGGTCTCAAACTCCTGACTTCAAGTGATCTGCCCACCTCGGCCTCCCAAAGTGTTGGGATTACAGATGTGAGAACCTGCGCCTGGCCAATTTGCCTTTTTCTACCAGATCCTTCTCACTGCATTCCAATAGGCTACAATTTTGCCATCTTCAAAAACCTTTCTCCTCAATCCTTCCTCCGCCTCTAGCCACTACCTCATTTCTCACATACCCTGTACAAGAAAAGCACACAGAAGAGTTGTCAGGCTCACTGCCTCCAATGCCTCTCTTCTTTCTTTGAGAGACAGGGTCTCATTCCATGGCCCAGGATGGAATGCAGTAGTGCAGTCATGGCTCACTGCAGCCTTGACCTCCAAGGCTCAATTGATCCTCCCACCTCAGCCTTCTGAGTAGCTGGGACCACAGGCGCACATCACCACGGCTGGCTATCAGTTCCTCTCTTTTCATTCTCTCTTTCGGACCTTCTCTAGTCAGGCTTTTTCCGCCTTCAACTTCATGCAGCCAAAACTACTCTCGATGAGGTCCCCCCAGGACAGTAGTCAATCTTCAGGCCACATCCTGATTGACCGCCAGTTATGTCTGACACAGCCCTGTCCCTCCCTTCTCCATGAGACACTCTTCCCAATTTCCAAGACCCCACATTCTCCCGGTTCTCCTCCAGCCATGCGTCCCCATCAGCCCACACGCTAAACACTGGAGTGCCCAGGGCTCAGCCTGCCCTCCTCTCCTCCCCACCTTCACCCATTCCTGGGCACTCACCCAGGCTTTCTGATGGAAACACACCAATCTTCTCCTACTTTTCCTCTTAAGAATTTTACCTGACCGGGTGCGGTGGCTCATGTCTGTAATCCCAGTGCTTTGGGAGGCTGAGGTGGGAGGATCGCTTGAGTCTAGGAGTTCCAGACCAGCCTGGGCAACGTAGTGAGAACCCATTTCTACAAAAATTTTAAAATTTGCCAGGTGTGGTGGCCCGTACCTGTAGTCCCAGCTATGTTTCAGAGCCTCATGGCATCTTCTCCTTCTTGCTGACAAGTGCATTTCTATCTGAATGCCTCTCGCTGGGAACCTGCGCCATCACACTCACCCCATGCCAAGGCCCCGACCCCACAGCAGGGCCACATTCTGCACCTGGGACCGCAGGAGCTGAGCCCCAACTGCCGTGAGCTGTGTGAGTGCAAGGAGGCTGGGCAGCCACCCCACTGCAGCCCCCAGGCGTGTGAGGACGGGGAGGCCTGCTTCCTGCTCACCGGGGCCTGGTACTGTGGGGTCCGGAGAGGTAGCAGCTGGGTGTCAGGTGACCCCCATTACCACAGCTTCAACAGCACAGCCCTCACAGCCCAGGGTGCCTGTCACTATGTGCTGAGCCGCACCTGTCAGGCCGGCCTGAGGGCACAAGCTTTCACAGTGTGGGTGGACAATGAGTACCTAAGTCCCACGGCCCTCATGACTGGGGCTCGGCCGATCGAAGTGGACGTGCACGGGGTGAAGGTGATGATGGAGGCTCAGACCCCCGGGAGGGCACAGGTGAGCTTGGGCAGGGGCTGGGATCAGGCCCCAGAAGGGCGGGCTTAGACTCAGGAATCCGGGGAGGACCCATTCACATCCTAGGAAGACTTGAGGGGACACAGCCTCACCCCAAAGGTTCTCAGGGATTCCCAGACCCACCTAGGGGTGTTTGATGTGGACATGGCCCCGGGTGTGTCTCCAGGTTAACAGGACCCAGGCCCACCTGCCCCTACGCCTGGCTGGCGGCCAAGTGCACGTCTATTTCAGCGATTCTGGGGCCATGCTGGAGACTGACGCTGGCCTCTTGGTCTCCTACGACTGGAGCCACCATGTATCCATTATGGTGCCTGAGTCCTACGCTGGCACCCTCTGCAGCCTGTGTGGGGACTTCAACGGGGACCCCCATGATGACTTCCATGCCCCTGATGGCTCCCTCCTGCCTGACCCGGAGGTGTTTGCACTCAGCTTGAAGGGCCTGGATTCCCCAGCCAGTTGCTCCACCGTGGGCACTGCCCCTCTGTGCCCCCATGACCGAGAGGGCCGGTACCAGTCACTGGCTTTCTGTGGGCTGCTGGGTGCCCACGATGGGCCCTTCCAGGCCTGTGATGAGCTGGCCCAGGCCCAAGTCCACATGGAGAACTGCATCCGTGACCTCTGTGCCACAAGGGGTTCCCGGCAGATCCTGTGCGAGGCTCTGGGGAGCTATGTCCAGCAGTGCCAGCAGCACGGCCTCCTAGTGAGGCCCTGGAGACACCTGGTGGACTGCGGTGAGTGGCATCCTCTCCATGCCAGCCAGCACGTTCTGCCGGCCAGGTCCAGAAAACCAGTTCCGCCCATTTTGTGGGGTTGCATAATTAATGATCTCAGAGTAGCTACTTCAGGCCTGGCCCAGTGAGGCGCTCGACATCACTGGCCTTGGTTTCATGCTTCCCACCAAATTGGCTCCACATCCAGACAGGCTCACCCTGACCACAGTGGCTCCACACCTTGCAGCCACTCAGGTTTCTCAGCCCAGCAGGAAAGAGAGCTCCGTGGGTCTCAGAAGCTCCAGCATGATTTGCACTGCGTCTCTGTGGCTTCAACTGACTCCTTCTTGTACCTCTCACTGTGGCCAGGGGAATGTGAGTCTCCGATTGACTTCTGCCTGACCGCGGGCTCTGCCCTTGGGGAGACTGCCCAGGCAGAAGTTGGGATGAGGTTAGCAGTGGGCAGTAGTACTGGCTGGTGCCCAAAGGACAAATGTCTGCGGCCTCTCACCCTTGTCCTGCTGCCAAGTGATCTTTGTCAAGAGCATTAAGCAGTCTTTCAAACATTTTTGTTGGAGACCCACAATACAAAATATAGTTCATTTCAGGATCTAATTCTATTAGTTTTCTATCTCTTGCTGCTGTAACAAATTGCAACAAACTCAGCAGCTTAAAATAACACTTTTTTTTTTTTTTTTTGAGACAGGATCTCGCTCTGTCACCCAGGCTGCAGTGCAGTGGTGCAATCATGGCTCACTGCAGCCTCCAACTCCTGGCTCAAGTGCTCTTTCTGCCTCAGCCTCCTGAGTAGCTGGGACTACAAGCATGCACCACCACACCTGGCTATTTTTAAAACTTTTTTTGTAGAGACAGAGTCTTGCTATGTTGCCCAGGCAGTTCTCAAACTCTTAGTGTCAAGCGATCCTCCTGCTCAGCCTCCCAAGGTGCTGGGACTACAGGTGTGAGCCACTGCACCCAGCTAATTTTTATTTATTTATTTATTTATTTTGAGATGGAGTCTCACTCTGTTGCCCAGGCTGGAGTGCAATGGCGCGACCTCAGCTCACTGCAACCTCCACCCCCTGGGTTCAAGCAATTCTCCTGCCTCAGCCTCCCAAGTAGCTGAGACTACAGGCACCTGCCACCACAGCTGGCTAATTTTTTGTATTTTCAGTAGAGATGGGGTTTCACCATGTTAGCCAGATGGTCTTGATCTCCTGACCTCATGACCTGCCCACCTTGGCCTCCCAAAGTGCTAGGATTACAGGCATGAGCCACCCCTCCCGGCCCAACTCCAGCTAATTTTTTGAAAATGTTTTGTACAGATGGGGTCTTGCTATGTCAAATTTTTTCTTACAATTCCAACACAGTTCTCGCTGGCCTAAAAATCAACGTGTCTGCAGGAGTGCATTTCTTTCTGGAGGCTCTAGGGGAGAACTGTTTCCTTAATTATTTAAATTGTTGGCTGAATTCAGTTTCTGATGGCTATAGGACTGAGGGCCCTGTCTCTCTGCTGGCTGTAACCTGAGGGTTGGTGTCTACTTCTAGAGGCCACCCACATTCCTTGGCTCATGGCCCCTTCCATCATTTTCAAGGCCACTAACAGCAGGTCAAGTCCCCATTATGCTTCGAAATCCCCTGCCTCTTTCTGATGGACTCTCTGGCCTCTGTCTCCCACTTTTAAGAGCCCACGTGATTACACTGAGCCCAGCCAGATAATCCAGGTTAATCTCTCCCTTCCCAAGGTCTAGAACCTTAATCACATCTGCAAAGTCCATTTTGCCATGTAACGTATCACAGGATACAGCGATTAGACTGTGGACATCTTTGAGGGGCTGTTCTTCAGCTGACCACACCAATATATGCATACACAGCACACAAAGTGTCACCAAATAGGAAAATGCACTCAATACTTTGCATTACATTCTTTTCTATTCTATTTCATTTTTCAAAGCAGGGAATTATCCCACTGATCTGTATAGCATTGAGATTGAGAACACAGATCCCAAAGTCAGCCTGCCTTGGTTAGGATGCCAGTACCACCACTTTCAGCTGTGTGCTCTTGGGGACGTCACTTAACCTCTCCGTGCCTCAGTTTCCCCTTTAACAAGAGAAAGAATGGTGAAAATAACACTTCTCTTGTGGGGTTGTTGTGAGAGCCAAACAAATAAACAGTAGCTGGCAATATAGTGAATATAGTGAATGCTCTACAAGTATTAGCTGTCACTATGAAATTGATTTTTTTTTTGAGGGGGGATGGAGCCTCACTCTGTCACCCAGACTGGAGCACAGTGGTGTAATCTCGGCTCACTGCAAAATTCACCTCCCGAGTTCAAGCAATTCTCATGCCTTAGACTCCCAAGTGTCTGGGAGTACAGGAGCATGCCACCATGCCCAGCTAATTTCTGTATTTTCAATAGAGATGGGATTTTGCCATGTTGGCCAGGCTGGTCTTGAACTCCTGACTTCAAGTGATCCACCTGCCTCTGCCTCCCAAAGTGCTGGTGAGCCACCGTGCCCAGCCTGAAATTGACTTTTAACCTGTGTTAACATCACTCTGTCCTGAGATCAAAACCACAGGGCTCTGCTGTTGGCAGGTCTTGTCCCAGAGTCTGGGTCAGCCTGTCCTGGGGAGGGCCTGGGATCAGCCCGGCCCACACCCTCTCCAGTCCAGCAGGCAGCTGAGATGGGTCCTGAGCCATCTTTTTATCCCTTTGGTGTGAATGGGACAACGCGACCATTTCACAGATGAAGAGCAGACACAGAGCCGCACAGCTGGGGAGTGGCAGGGAGGGGTCCCCCTGGGCCTGATCTTGCCCTGGGTGATGCAGGGGCCAGGGCAGGACTGAGAAGTGCCGGGTCTCTGACCTCGTAGGGCCCACACGCTGCCAGGGTGGCCGAGTCTGTGGTGGGGCAGCCACGGCAGAGTGATCAGGGCTCACATGAGGGAAGCGTAGGGCCACAGGGGAGCACAGAGGAGGGGCTGGCCCAGCCTGGAAAGTCAGGCCAAGTTTCCCAGAGGAAGGGCCACGAGAGCTGAGGCTTGAATGACAAGTCAAAGCCAATAGGTAAGCAAGGAGAAGCCAAATGTTCTAGGGAGAAGGAACAAGGTTTTCAGAAGCCCAGAGACTGTGTAAATTTGAGCCAGAGATGGGGGAGCCTGGAGAGAGACATGGTCCTGGGCTGTGTCTGTGGGGCCTTGAATGGCAGGCAAGAAGTGAGGACTTTATCCCGAAGGACTGGGCCTCTAACCTCCAGGACCCCAAGGCGCAACTCCTTTTCTCTGCCCCTAGTCCCTCACTCCTCTCAGAGCAGGAAGCAAGTTCAGCATCTTGCAAACAAAACCTCTCTTTGTCCAAAGGAAACAGCCCATTGCAAGCTCCGAAGGCCAACACAAGGGACTGGTGGTGGGTGCTCTGGCCTCTGGCCTGCCTGGCCCACCCCTCCTCCCAAAGCCAGAGACAAGCCCCGGGGGCATCACACACTTTGACTAAGGTTAACTGAACACCCACTAAGTGCTAGGCAGCATTCTAGGCGCTGCAGACACAGCAGTGACCCAAACAGACAAAACCTTGCCCTCATGGAGGCGACATTCCAGTGGAGAAGACAATCAGTCAACCCAGCCAGTAAGTAGGTGATTAAACAGTAAGTCAGGCGGGGCAGGGCTGGGGAGTGCTGGAGAAGGGGCATGCAGTATTAAACTGGGGGGTTAGGGTTCCCTGGGGTGCAGAGAGGTGCCCTGGGAGTGGAGACTGAAGGTGGTGGAAAAGGGAGCCGAGCTGGCTGGGGGAGCGGGGAGGCGGGGGGACATTCCAGGCAGCAGGAATCCAGGAAACCCATCCAGGAAGGGTGCAGGTGTCTCCTCCAGCCCCCAGACTCTGGGTGCTCAAATTAAGATGAACTTTGAGCTGGAATATCTCCCACATCCCACCCAGGACATTTCTCCTTTTCTGACTTTCTTTATTAATCCTGAGACTGGGGGACACCCCCACTCCGCCAGCGCACACACACACACACACACACACACACACACAAAACCCTCCCCAGCAATCTCTCCTCCAGTATGTTTTTCCCCTGATCTGTGAAACCCCCAAAGACAAGGGTTAGGGATGGGGTCTCTCTTGGTCACCAGTGTGTCACCAGAACCTACCATAAGGCATTTAAAAGCATAGGTTAGGGCTGGGCACAGTGGCTCACACCTGTAATTCCAGTACTTTGGGAGGCCGAGGTGGGTGGATCACTTGAGGTCAGGAGTTCAAGACCAGCCTGACCAACATGGTGAAACCTTGTCTCTACTGAAAATACAAAAAAAAAAAAAAAAAATTAGCTGGGTGTGGTGGTGTGCACTGGCTGAGGCGGGAGGATCGCTTGAACCCAGGTGGAGGTGGAGGCTGCAGTCAGCCAAGATGGTGCCACTGCACTTCAGCCTGGGTGACAGAGCAAGACTCTGTCTCAAAAACATAAAAAAAATGAAAAAGCATAGGTCAGATCTCATCAGATTCCTGATTAAAAGCATCCCTGGGTCCCCCTTACCTCTGGGATGAAAACTGACCTCCAAGCCTCCTCCTAAGAGGCCCCCACAGCGGCCTCTCTCTGCTCACCCTGCCTCCTCCTACACTGGCTTTGTCTAGCTCACTCCACACCGAGGGTCCAGCCACACTGGCCTCTCTGCTGTCCCTGGACCACGCCAAATGCCTTCCCACCCCTGGGTCTTTGCATCTGCTGTTCCCCCGGCCTGGAATGCTCTTTCCCAGACGTACACACGGCTGGCTCCTTCCATCATTCAGGCCTCAGCTCCAATGTCACCTCTGCAGAGAGGCCTCCCTAGCCACTGTCCTCAAATCAGCCCATGGGGCTCAGCCACTCTGCGCTACCTAAAGCTGGGTAACACAGATCTAACCCAGTTTCTCAATCCAAAATTATCTTTTATTTATTGCTAGTTTGTCGCCCATTTCCCCCCTCTAGAATAGGCCAGCACACTTTTATGATAAAAGGCCAGATAATAAATATTTTAGGCTTTCAGGGCCACACTCTGCCACAACTACTCAAAGCTTCTGTTGTAACATAAGAACAGTCATAGACAATACACGAACCGGCGAGCTGGCTTTCATGAAGACATTATTTATAGACACCGGAATTTGAATTTTACATGATTTTCACACCTCACAAAATTTCCTCTTTTGGTTTCTTTTTTTCTAACCACTTAAACATGTAAAGACTATTTAGATTGTAGGCTGTGCCAAAACAGGTGGAGGGCCAGATTTGGGCCCAAGGGTGAAGCTTGTCAACGTCTGCCCTAGAACATCTGTTTTATGAGGTCAGGGATCTCTGTCTTGGTCATTGCTGTGTCCCCAGGCCCTGGGATGTTCCCGGCATGTAGTGGATGCCAAAGTTGAACAAATATGTGCTATAGAAAAGGCTTCGACACATTCATTAATTCTTCCAACAAATATCCATTGAGGTTTGCCGTGAGCTGGGCTCTGGGGAGATAGCAGGGAACATAATTTGAACGTGGGGCAGTGAGTTGACATCCTTGCATTGAATGACTTGTGTTCCTCCAGAGCTGACCTGGCCCCCCGACAGCCACTACGAGCTGTGTGGCTTCTCCTGTCCCAGCTCCTGCACCGAGCCTGCCCTGCCCGACAGCTGTCTGACACCATGCCAGGATGGCTGCCAGTGTGACCCAGGATTTGTGCTCAGTGGCACGGACTGCTTGACCCCCATCCAGTGCAGCTGCTCCATGGGGGGCAGATACCACCTGGCCGGGGAGCCATTCTGGGCTAGGGAGCACTGTGAGCAATTCTGCCACTGCGAGGCTTCCACCCATGCTGTGTGCTGCTCCCCCTCCTCCTGTGGGCCAGGGCAGAGATGTGGGACCCTAAGGGGCATCTTTGGGTGCCACCCATTCTCCCCTGGCACCTGCCAAGCAGCCGGGCACTCACACATCATCACCTTTGATGGGAAAACTGTTGAGTTCTCAGGTACCTGTGTGTCCGTCTTTGCCGAATCCTGTGGCTCTTCCGGCTCACTGCCATTCTTCAGGATACAGCTGTGAAAGGAGAACAGATCCAGCAGCCCCCTCATGCTCATCTTGGAGGTGTCTGTCCAGGTTAATGGGACCCAGGTCCACCTGCGGAGGGACAGCCCAGGCATGGCTCAGATAAGCACCAGCTTTGGGACGTGTCGTTTCTAGGAACCCCAACCCTTCACCCAAACCCATAGGCCCAAGGGAAAAACTTATTCTGTCTCCATTATTTCTACATTTTACCTCTATTTTCTGATTATATGCCCATTTTTGACTATATCCATCAGATGCATTCAGCTAATATAACAGAAACACTCTCAGACCAGCTTAAGAAAAAAAAGAATTACTGATTTACACAATTGAAAAAAAAAATCTACAGGTGTATGGATTCAGGCATAGCTGGACCCAGGTGCTTGAACAATATGTCTCAAATCTGTCTCAATTTCTGGGCTCTCCTTTCCTTCATTTTCAGACAGGCACCATCCCATCCCACCTTGTAGGGACAAGGACAGCTGCCAGGTTAGCAAATGTCACTGGAGGAAAAGTGTCCCTCACTGGCCCAGCTTGAGTCATGTGACCACCCCTGAATCCCTGATGGACTAGCTGATTGGCTGGGCCTGGGTCATGTGCTGGAAGTTAGGATAGGATTGACTTTCTGTGAACCACATGGATTGATTTTGGAGGGGTGAGTTCTCAGGGAAATCCAGAGAAAGGAGAAATGAATGCAGAACAGGATAAAACAAGAGATGGTCACTATTATAGTTATGTCCTTGTTCCTTCATCTAAAAATGTTTTACATGTATTGGTACGGTGGCTTACATCTGTAATCCTAACACTTTGGGAGGCCAAGGCAGGTGGATCCCTTGAGCCCAGGAGTTCAAGACCAGCCTGTCTCAAGCAGGCAATATAGCGAGACCCCGTATCTAAAAAAGAATTAGGTGGGTGTGTTGGCGCACGCTTATAGTCCCAGCTTATAGTCCCAGCTACTTAAGAGGCTGAGGTGGGAAGATCGCATGAACACAGGAGTTCATGGCTGCAGTGTGCCATGATTGTGCCACTGCATCCAGCCTGAGGGTCAGAGTGAGACCCTATATCAAAAAAAATCAACATTTTTCACGTATTTGAACACCTACTATGTGCCAAGCAACACTGACCCAACTGTGGTCCTATGCTCCCGAGCCTTCCTTTGATTCTGCCTGCTCCTTAGGTGAATGGTGAGACAACAGCCCTCCCCGTAAGCCTGAATGGGGGCAGCCTTGCCGTCCACTGGAATGGCCTCTTCTCCCTGCTGCAGTCAGACTTTGGCCTCTGGCTCAGCACAGATCTCACCTACAGCCTTACCCTCACCCTGCCCCACCTCTACAAGGGTCACACCTGTGGGCTCTGAGGCAACTTCAACTGCAACCCCAGTGAGGACGCTAAGGCTGACATTACCTTGGAGAAGCAGAGCAAGGCTTGTAGGGACAGCTGTGGGGCTGCCTGTCCAGTCTCAGTCTGCAATGACCAGGGGCAGATTGTGTCAGCCAGGAGGCAGTGCTGGCTCCTGCAGGACCCCCAGGACCCTTCAGCCACTGCCACTGGGAGATCAACCCAGACCCATATGTTTCCAGCTGTGTCGATGATTTGTGTCTTGCTGGGGATGATGACCACATCCTCTGCCTGGCCCTGCAGACATATGCCGCCATCTGCCAGGGCGCCAACATCACCATCAGGCACTAGAGGAATTCTTCCTTCTGTGGTGAGTCATGGTTGAGCAGGGCAGGAATTCATCTGCATGCTCTGTATGGCCACACACAGACTGACATCCTTCTGTACTCCTGGGCTGCCTGAGTGCCCCAACCACTTCCCATATTCCCAATTCCAGCACAGGAAGGCCTTCCAGGTTCTCCTCCTAGGCTCCAGCTGGACGCATGTGGATTGGTAGGGGGCCTGTATGCTACCGACTGTTATGTTTTTTTTTGTTTTTTGTTTTTTTTGAGACAGAGTCTCACTCTGTCACCCACGCTGGAGTGCAGTGACTTGTTCTTAGCTCACTGCAACCTCCTCCTCTCGGGTTCAAACTATTCTTCTGCCTCAGCCTCCCAAGTAGCTGGGATTACAGGTGCCCGCCATCACGCCCAGATGATTTTTTGTATTTTTAGTAGAGATGGGGTTTCACCATGTTGGCCAGGCTGGTCTCGAACTCCTGACCTCAGGTGATCCGCCCACCTCGGCCTCCCAAAGTGCTGGGATTACAGGTATGAGCCATGGCACCCAGCCCGCTATGTATTTTGAATACCACCCTGGGTTGACTGGATCCCTGGCCCCCTGTCAAGGGGATGTCCTTTTCCACCCTCAGAATGCCTGACCTGAGATGCCACAATAATAATCCCAACAACTGCTAATACTTATTGAACATCTACAATGTCCCAGGCATGGGGCCGAAGGCTCTGTGTACCTCTTGCCGCCACTGTCTCAGAAACACCCTGCAAGTGAGAGGCAATGACTGTTATTATTCCCACTTTACATTTGGGAAAACAGAGGCTCACAGAGGTAAAGCCATTTGTCTACTGCTAATCACAACAGACAGAGTTGAGACTTGAACTAAGACTTTCTTTCTCCAGAGACAAAAGAAGTTTTATTACTAGCCATATCATCTAATTCTTTCTTTCTTATTTAACTATTATGGAAAATTTGAACATAAAAGTAGAGAGAATAGCCTATTGAATGCCCCTGTACCCAGAAGGCAGCCTCAACAACAGCCAAGTTGTGGCCGACCTGTGTCCACCTCCACCCCTCCCTTATTGATTTATTTTGTGTAAAGCAAATCCCAGACAACGTGTAAACCTGTAAATACTCCAGCATTATTTTTTTTAATAGATAAGGACTTTTAAAAAGAAAAAAACCTGCTGTGGCCGGGCGCGTGGCTCACGCTCACACCTGTAATCCCAGCACTTTGGGAGGTCGAGGCAGGCGGATCACCTGAGGTAGGGAGTTTGAGACCAGCCTGACCAACATGGAGAAACCCCGTCTCTACTAAAAATACAAAATTAGCCGGCGTGGTGCTGCATGCCTGTAATCCCAGCTACTCGGGAGGCTGAGGCAGGAGGATCACTTGAACCTGGGAGGCGGAAGTTGCGGTGAGCTAAGATTGCGCCATTGCACTCCAGCCTGGGCAACAAGAGCGAAACTCCGTCTCAAAAAACAAAGACAAAACAAACAAACAAAAAAACCTGCTGTGATTTGCTCACACCTAACAAAATAAGCAGTAATTCCCAGATATCATGAAAAGCCTAGTCCATGTTCAGATTTTTCTGATCGTTCCTAAAACATCCGGCTTTCCTCCCTTGCACCAAAGCTTTGCTGGCCCCTAATGCTTGCCCATTAAGGGTTCCTAGCTGGTTCCAACATTAGGGGCGCAATCGGGGCAGGTCATGTTCTACGGGGTGGGGGTGGAAGGTGCCGCTTTCTTGCTCAACCAACAGGCAACAAAAGCCTGTCCGATACCATCCTGGGGATCAAGACACCCCTAAAACCAGGTTCTAACCCACCTATGTTAGATCCAAATGTGAATCTCTGACACCTGGGCCGTAGGGAACCCTCAAAGGGTTTGGAATAGGGAAGGCGGGGAGCGGGGTGGAGTGGGGGGGAGGTAAGACAGTGTTCATGGAGTGAGAAAGGTGGGCCACCTAGGGGCTATTTCTGGAATAACAATAGGTCGCATTTATCCAAGGTTCCCAGGGTGCCAGGCGCTGTCCCAACCACTTAATTTATTTTAACTTGCTTAACCCTCAAAGTCAGTTTGAGGTCAGTACTCTTTTCGGAGAGATGGGTACGGAGTCCTGGAGAGGTTAAGCACCACGACAGAGCCGAGATTTTAAGCACTCGGTCAGGGAGTTGGGCAAATGTGGCCTGCAGATCATGTTTCCTTACCCGCGCTTTTTCTCCTCCCTGCATAGCCGCCACGTGTCCTAAGCACAGCAGCTACCAGCAACGCTTGGACCCGCGCCGGGTGCAGCTCTGCGTCCCCGCGGCCGCCCTGCCTGCTCCGAGGGCTGCGCCAACGATAACGCGCACCTGTGGGCAGGGGCCAGGTGCCGGCACCCGAAGGAGTGCGGCTCGGCGCACGGCGGCCCCTCCTACCAGGTGAGCTGGGGGCAGGGTCTTGCTGTTGTGAGGGGGTCGGCCCATCATGGGGGTCAGGGAGCCCCCAAAACATGCCAGGGATGGGCGCCCAATCCGGGACACCTATATTCAATTGTGCGGATGGCACATTGTGGGTTCACAATGTGTTGACCTGCTTTATTATTGATGATTCCAATACTGCTACTAGTTACTAAGGTCATTCCCTGTGTGCTAAGTGCTTAATAATATTATTATTGGCTGGGTGCGGTGGCTCACGCCTGTAATCTGAGCGCTTTGGGAGGCCGAGGCCGGCGGATCACCTGAGGTCAGGAGTGTGAGACCAGCCTGGCCAACACGGCGAAACCCCATTCTACTAAAAACACAAAAATTAGCTGGATGTTGTGGTCCACGCCTATAATCTCAGCTACTTGGGAGGTTGAGGCAGGAGAATCGCTTGAGCCCGGAAGGAG
This sequence comes from Homo sapiens, assembly GCF_000001405.40. Taxonomy (NCBI): domain Eukaryota; kingdom Metazoa; phylum Chordata; class Mammalia; order Primates; family Hominidae; genus Homo; species Homo sapiens. The sequence continues at coordinate 35,091,570 of NC_000019.10, forward strand.
GAAGCTGCAGTGAGCCGAGAAGGCGCCACTGTACTCCAGCCTGGGCAACAGAGCGAGACTCTGTCTCAAAAAATATATGTATTATTATTATTACTGTCAGCACTATTGACTTTTTAAAATATTAGCCATCACTTATTGAGTGCATAGCCCCCACTACACACTTTGGCAATGTAATAGTAGTAATAATAACAATAATCAAAACAGCTCATTTTATTTATCATTAATAGGTACAAGACTCTGTCCTAAATGTTTTAGCATTGTGGTCAGTGCTATTTTTTGTTTATTTTTATTTTTTTATTTTTATTTTATTTATTTATTTATTTTTTTGACACAGGGTCTTGCTCTGTTGCTGGGGCTAGAGTGCACGGGCGCCATCTTAGCTCACTGCAGCTTCAAATTCCCTGGCTCAAATGATACTCCCCCTCAGTCACCTGAGTAGCTGGGACTTCAGTTGCGTGCCACCATGTCTGGCTAATTTTTAAATTTTTTGTAGAGATGAGGTCTGACCGTATCGCCCAGGCTGGTCTCAAACTCCTGGACTCAAGGGATCCTTCTGCCTCAGCCTCGCAAAGTACTAGGATTACAGGCATCAGCCACCACACCCAAACCATTTGTATTATTTTGATGGCCAACATTTGAGTAGTGATCACACATCAGGTCCCATACTGCTAATAATAATAATTAAAATGTGGCCAGGCGCGGCGGCTCATGCCTATAATCCCAGAACTTTGGGAGGCTGAGGCGAGTGGATCACCTGAGGTCAGGAGTTCTAGACCAGCCTAGCCAACATGGTAAAACCCAGTCTCTACTAAAAATACAAAAATTAGCTGGGCGTGGTGGTGTAGCAGGACGAGCTGCAGACAAAACCCCTCAGACACTGAGTTAAGGAAGGAAGGGCTTTATTTGGCCAGGAGCATCGGCAAGACTCACGTCTCAAAAAACCGAGCTCCCCGAGTGAGCAATTCCTGTCCCTTTTAAGGGCTCGCAACTCTAAGAGGGTCCACGTGAGAGGGTCGTGATCTATTGAACAAGCAGGGGGTATGTGACTGGGGGCTGCATGCACCAGTAAGAACAGAACAGAACAGGACAGGGATTTTCACAGTGCTTTTCTATACAATGTCTGTAATCTATAGATAACATAACTGGTTTGGTCAGGGGTGGATCTTTAACTACCAGGCCCAGGGTGTGGCGCCGGGCTGTCTGCCTGTGGATTTCATTTCTGTCTTTTGGCTTTTACTTCTTTCTTTGGAGGCAGAAATTGGGCATAAGACAATATGAGGGGTGGTCTCCTCCCTTAGTGGCAGGCACCTATAATCCCAGCTACTCGGGGGCTGAGACAGGATAATCACCTGAACCCGGGAGGCAGAGGTTGCAGTGAGCCGAGATTGTACCATCGCACTCCAGCCTGGGGGACAAGAGTGAGACTTCGTCTCAAAAAAAAAAATTTTAAATGTATTGGGGGCTGGGCACAGTGGCTCACACCTGTAATCCCAACACTGTGGGAGGCCAAGGTGGGCGGATCACTTGAGGTCAGGAGTTGGAGACTAGCCTAGCCAACATGTCAAAACCCTGTCTCTACTGAAAAATACAAAAATAAGCCGGGCATGGTGGCACATGCCTGTAGTCCCAGCTACTTGGGAGGCTGAGGCACAAGAATTGCTTGAACCCAGGAGGCAGAGGTTGCAGTGAGCTGAGATAACACCACTGCACTCCAGCCTGGGTGACAGAGCAAGACTCCATCTCAAAAAAATAATTAAATGAATAAGCTAAAATATATTGGGTATTTACTTTGTGTTCATGCCTGGGCTAAGCATTTTATGAATAGTAATAATAATAATAATGGCTAATATATTAAGAGTTTGGGCATTTACAATGTGCCTTGTGTAAGCATATTAAAATAATGGTGATATTAACAATAATAATGGCTGGTATGTACCAGGCATCTGCTGTATTGCTGTGCTAACCAGTTAATGATATATAATGATAACCATCGTGAACATATTTTGGTCATTTGCTGCGTGTGTAATCCTGTCATCGGGATAAAAGGTAATATTTTCTGAGTGCTTATTATGCCTTGAGCACTGGGCCAGCATGTTATTAATAATGGTATCAGATATATGTCAAGAACTTGGTTACTGTAGGCCAGCTGGGTGGTGAGAGCCTCATGCGTATGACCGCACTGACCTTCAAACAGCCCTTTGATTGCCTCCAATGTGCAGAGGGGGAAACTGAGGCTACAGGATGCACAGAGATCTCAAGGGACAGAGCTAGGTCTGGACTCCAGGTCTCTCTGACCCCAAAATTGTGCTGCTAATCACTAGGCTGTGCTTTCCACTGAGAGAAAGCAGGTGTCACAAGTTTGCTGCCCTCTGGGTAAGGCAGTAGCCTGTCATGATGGTCAGACCCCCAGCTGTTGAATCTGGGCATGGCATTCCTGCCCATCCCATGCTGAGCCGGCCCCTGAGCCTCTGCTCTTCTGGGTCAGCTGCCAGGCCAGCCTCGGGCCTCCACCAGGCCCTGTTTGGGTCCACCTGGGCTGGGCTGGGCAGGGCATGCTGATCTGGCCTCCGACCTGGTCTGGCTGAACCGATGCACCCGCCGCTGCAGCTGTGACAGAACGGGGCATTTCCGCTGCAGCCCGGCGTGCTGCCCCACTGGGAAGATCTGTGGTCTGCAGGGTGGCCAGCTGGGCTGCCAGAGCCCCCTGGGCACCTGCATGGCCACTGGAGATCCTCATTACTTCACCTTCGATGGGGCCATAGCCCACTTCCAGGGCACCTGCACCTACCACCTGGCCTATGCCATCCATCCATTCATCCATCTATCATCCATCCACTCATCCATCCTTCCATCCATTCATCCATTCATCCATCCATCCATCCATCCATCCATCCATCCATCCATCCATCTATCCACTCATCCATCCTTCCATCCATCCACTCACAAAATTTTTCTGAGTATCTACTTTGTAGCAGGCCCTGCTGTAGGCTCTGGAGACACAGCAAAGAACAAAAGAGACAGGTCTCTTCTCTCCTAGAGTGCACATTATAATAGTGAGAGACAAACAGTAAAAAATAAATACATAATATTTCAGATGGTGATAAGTCCTAGAAAAATAAAACTAGAAAGGAGAATCAGGAGTGCTTGTGAGTATGGGGTGGGAGTTATAATTTTTAAACAGGGTGAGCAGGAAAAGCCTCATTGAGGAGGTGACTTTGGAGCAGAGACTTGCTGGAGGGAAGGAGAAGCCTTATGAGCAATGAGGGAAGAGCCCTCCAGGCACAGGGAACCTTAGGTGCAAAGTCCAGACGCAGAAATGCCCTTAGCCTTATTAAGAAAGAACAGGGTAATTCCAGCAGTTTAGGAGGCCAAAGTGGATCACTTGAGGAAGTTCAAGGCCAGCCTGGGCAACATAGGTGAGACCCCCATCGCTACTAAAAATTAAAAATTAAAAAATTAGCCGGGCATGGTGGCACGTGCCTGTAGTCCCACCTACTTGGGAGGTTGACTTGGGAGGATCACTTGAGCCCAGGAGTTGGAGGCTGCAGTGAGCCATGGTAGTACCACTGCACTTCAGCCTGGAGGACAGAGTGAGGCTCTGTCTCTAAAATAAAATAAAATAAAATTTTAAAAAAGAAAGAAAGAGGCTGGGCACAGTGGCTCATGCCTGTAATCCAAACACTTTGGGAGGCTGAGGCGGGCAGATCACGAGGTCAAGAGATTGAATCCTGGTCAACATGGTGAAACCCTGTCTCTACTAAAAATACAAAAATTAGATGGGGGTGGTGGCACATGCCTGTAGTCCCAGCTACTCGGGAGGCTGAGACAGGAAAATCGCTTGAACCCAGGAGGTGGAGGCTGCAGTGAGCTGAGATCGCACCACTGCACTCCAGCCTGGGTGATGGAGCAAGACAAGGAAGGAAGGAAGGGAGGGAGGGAGGGAGGGAAAGATGAAAGAAAGAAGAAAGAAAGAAAGAAAGAAAGAAAGAAAGAAAGAAAGAAAGAAAGAAAGAAAGAAAGAGAAAGAAAGAAAGAAAGGGAGAGAGAGAGGAAGGAAGGAAGGAGAAAGAAAGAAGAAAGGAAAGGAAAGGAAGAAGGAAGTAAGGAAAAGAAAAGAAAAGGAAAAGAAAGAAAAGAGAAAGAAAGAAAGAAAGAAAAGAAAGAAAGAAAGAAAAGAAAGAAAGAGAGAAAGAAAGGGAGAGAGAGGAAGGAAGGAAGGAGAAAGAAAGAAGAAAGGAAAGGAAAAGAAAGGAAGAAGGAAGAAGGAAGGAAGGAAAAGAAAAGGAAAAGAAAGAAAGAGAAAGAAAGAAAGAAAGAAAGAGAGAGAGAACAGGGAGGCCAGCGGCCAGTGTGGCTGGAGTGGAGTAAACCCGGGGAGAGTAAGGGGTGAGGTCGGAGCGTTAATGGGGACAGATCCTGTAGGGCCTTGTGGGTCACTGTAAGGACTTTGGCTTTCACTCAGAATGGGTTGGGAGTTCCAGGGATTTCAGGGAGGGCTCTGAGCCCAGGAGGCCCCTGATCTGACTCAGGTGTCAGCAGATCCCTCTGGCTTCATGCAGTGGACAGATGGCCGAGGACCTGGGGGGAGCAGGTAGACTGGAGAGGAGGCTGACAGAATTGTTCAGGCAGAACGTGGCAGTGGTTGGAATCAGGAAGAGGGCAGTAGAGGGAGTGAGACATGGTTAGATTCTGGAAATATTTTGAAAGGATCAGCTGTGGGATGAGAGAGAGGGCAGGTTCCAACATGATTTGGTTTTTGGCCTCCGCGTCCTGGACAAGCTGCCACTGCCTGAGATGGAGAAGGTAGGAGAGGAAGCTTGGGGTAAGATTAGGAGTTCAGATTTGAACGTGGGGAGTTCGAGGTGCCTCTTTTCTCCCAGAGCTGGGACACAGCAGGATGCAGACACCTGGAGTTCTAGGACTGGTGAGGGCATTTGGGAATTGTCAGAATACAGCTGGGGTTTAAAGCCAGGCAAGTGGATGAGAAAAGTAAGGGAAGGGAAACGAAGGGGAAGGGGCTAAGGTGAACTTGGCAGTGTGAGGTGTGAGGTCCTTGGTGGCATGGAGCAGACAGCTCGGCTTGGAGATTCATACACCTTACCTGCTGTGGGGTCATGAGGAGTGTATGGATGGCACTAGGGGGTGGGAGATGGTAGGGGGAAATGGATCCTGAGCTCTTCCCCTGCACTGCAGGTGGACAGCCAGGCGGTAAGCAGGGCCTGGTGCTCCTGCAGGTGGGCACCTGGCTCCAGGTACAGTTCAATGGCCACAATATGCTGTTGGTGTGCGTGGGGCCTGAGTTCTGGAGCCACCTCTGCGGACTCTGTGGCAACTTCAGTGGCGACCCCAGTGATGACAAGGTGCTCCCCAGCAGGGTGCCCACCCTCAGTGATGCCATCTTTGGCAACGCCTGGTGGACCCAGGACAGCCGGCCTGGGTGGGTGGCTGCCTGGGACCAGGAAGGGCCCGGGTTGGGAGAAATACAGGGCTCAGGGAAAACAGTGGGCAGACAGGCAGGCTTTGAGAACAGAAAGGTGGAAGAAGAGGGTGTGAATTGCACACACAACTCTCAGGAGATTGATTCAGGTAGAATCAGGAACAATGATTATACCCTTTCACGGATGGGGAAGACTGAGGCATGGAAGGGCGAAGCATCTGCCCAAGTTCCCACAATAAGAAATGATGGAACGGGCCGGGCATGGTGGTTCTTGTCTGTCATCCCAGCATTTTGGGAGGCCAAGGCAGGAGGATCACTTGAGCTAAGGAGTTTGAGACCAGTCTGGGCAACATAGCAAGATCTCGTCTTTATTAAAAAAAAAAAAAAAAAAATTAGCCAGGCCTGGTGGTGGTGCACACCTGTATTCTCAGCTACTTGGAGGCTGCGGCAGGAGAATCTCTTGAGTCCAGGAGTTCGAGGTTGCCATGAGCCATGCTGGCACCACTGCACTGCATCCTGGGTGACAGAGCGAGACCCTATCAAAAAAGAGGGGAAAAAAATGGTGGAACAGGGATTTGAGTCCAGGCATTCTGGCTTCAGGGTCCCTGATCCTAAATACTCCACCCCCCCACCTCTCACAGGGGAAACAGGAAGCACTCCTCACAGAGACCTTATTTATTTATTTATTTATTTATTTATTTTTGATTCCTGCTCCGTCGCCCAGGCTGGAGTGCGGTGGCACGATCTCGGCTCACTGCAACCTCCGCTTCCCAGGTTCAAGTGATTCTCATGCCTTAGCCTCTCGAGTAGCCGAGATTACAGGCACACGCCACCATGCTCGGCTAATATTTATATTTTTAGTAAAGATGAGGTTTCACCATGTTGGCCAGGCTGGTCTTGAACTCCTGACCTCAAGTGGTCTGCCCACCTCGGCCTCCCAAAGTGTTGGAATTACAGCCATGAGTCACCGTGCCAGTCTCCCTTCACTGAGACCTTAGTCCTGCAAAGTCCAATGCACCAAACACACGTGCTATTTAAATTTATGTGTAAATTAAATTAAACATCTTCTGTCACACTACCTATATTTCAAATACTCGGTAGCCTCTGGTTGCTAGTGCCTGCGGTATTGGATGGCACAGACTTGGGGATTCGTCCAAGTAGCAGAGCTGGGATCTGAAGCTAACAAAGTTGGTTCCAGAATCCAGGATCTAACTAATAACTATCCTGGCTGGGCGTGGTGGCTCACACCTGTAATCCCAGCACTTTGGGAGGCCAAGGTGAGCAGATCACCTGAGGTCAGGAGTTCAAGACCAGCCTGGCCAACATGGCAAAACCCCGTCTCTACTAAAAATGCAAAGATTAGCCGGCTGTGGTCGTGGGTACCTGTAGTCCCAGCTACTTGAGAGGCTGAGGCAGGAGAATCGCTTGAACCCGGGAGGCAGAGGTTGCCAAGAGCTGCGATCGCGCCACTGCACTCCAGTCAGGGTGACAGAGCGAGACTCTGTCTCGAAAAAAAAAAAAAAATTAATGACTCCCTCATGTTGAGTAACTGTATGAAAATCATTTGTTACTATGGGGTTGAGGTTTTTAAACGTGTCTAAAACTGCACCAGGAGCTGTCAGCTGCTGGGAGGGAGAACCTGGTGCGGGCAGAGGAGGACTAGCCAAGGGTGGCCAGGGGGGAGGCAGGAGGAGGAGGAGGCTTGGAGGTGGTGGTGTTGAGTCCTGTGATCCCCCAGCTGCCGGCGGGACCCTGGTGGCGCTGAGCCCTGCCAGGACAGGCCCCGGGTGGAGCAGCTCTGCAGTGTTCTGGCAAACCGCTCCGGGCCCTTGGCCAAGTGCCACTGGTATGAGAGCCCCGTGTCCTACACGCAGGTGTGTGTCTCTGACCTCTGCCAGTATGGCACGGGCAACCGCATGCTGTGCACCATGCTGGAGGCCTACGTCCAACTCTGCGCCCTGCGCTGCGCGTTGCCTGCCCGCGTGGCGAGCCAGCCTGGGATGCAGTTACGTGCTCCTTCCCTTTCACCGCCCCCAGCTCCAACGATGGCCTCCCCACTTGGCTAGCTAGGATGCCTCCTTCGCCGGTGGATCGGAAGCCCTCATCCCCAGGGAGACCCCAGCCCTGCCTAGGATGTTAACCCAAGCTTCAAGCCAGACCAGGGCTCCTCTTGGGCCCTTCCTAATCCTACCTCTCACCTCCCAGCACTGGACCCTATATTGTCCGAGTTGCTCACTGTGTGCTGCAAGTTTGAAGTGGCCTGTGGGTGTGACATGCATAACAAACCACGTGGTTAAAAGTTTCATCGGAACAATCGGGAGGCTGCAGTGAGCTGAGATCATGCCATTGCACTTGGCCTGGGCAACAGAGCAAGACCCTGTCTGGAAAAAAAAAAAAAAGAACAGTGGCAGTTTGGGAATCGTCCTGTGGTTCATTCCTGCCCTTCCCTCCCCTGCACTCACCCTGATTTTTTTCTCCCTCTAATTGAGGGAGCAAAGGTTTCAGGGTTGTGGCCTCTGGGCGATCTTTCCCCTCCCCCAGGTGTGGCGTGTCCAGCCAACAGCTACTATGACTCCTGTGGGCCACCCTTCCCGGCCACCTGTGCTAGCCTCAACTCCTCCGCGCCCTGCACCCTCCAGTGCACAGTGAGCTGCTTCTGCCTCGAGGGCTTTGCCCTGGAGGCGGGCATCTTCGGTGCCCCACGCTTGCTGCGGCTGCCACCTGCAGGGCCGCTATATCCGCCTGGGTACTGAGGTGCTGCCTGCAGCCCCCTGTGATCAGAGGTGCGTGTACCATGGACCTGGACGCCCGCTCGAGTGCCACCCTCATGCCTGCAGGCCCTGTGAGCTGTGCTGCCAGCACAGGGGTGTCTGGGGTTGCTACCCCATGCACTACGGGACACTGTGGCTGTACGGAGACCCCCACCTGCACACTTTCAATGGGACCCACCATCAGGTTCAAGGGCCTGGCTGGGAGATATTGGCTAGAACATGCCGGCCACACCACAGCGCCTATGCCATCTGGGTGGAGATCAGGCGCCAGGAGCCGTGGGATGCCATGTGGGCCCAGCAGGTGGATGTGGATGTGGCAGGATGGCAGCTGTCACTGCTGGCAGGACAGTTTGGAGCCGTCCAGGTACTTGTCACCCAGCTCTGGTCCTGGGCCTCCAGGAACTCTAGTGAGTAATGAGCGTGAAGAACAGCAACGCCGGGCGTGGGAGCTCACGCCTGTGATCCCAGCACTTTGGGAGGCTGAGGCAGGAGGATCGCTTGAGGCCATGGGTTCAAGACTAGCCTGGCCAACATGGCGAAACCCTGTCTCTATAAAAAATTTAAAAATTTAGCCACAAGTGGTGGCACGTGCCTATAGTCCCAGCTACTCAGGAGGCTGAGGTGGGAGGATCATTTGAGCCCAGGAAGTCGAGGCTGCAGTGAGCTGAGATCACGCCACTGCACTCTAGCCTGGGCAACAGAGACCCCATCTCAAAGAAAAACAAAAACAAAAACAAACACAAACAGGCTGAAGAAATGGTGGTGGCCCAAGGGCCTTCCCTTTGGAGAAAGAGCTACTGGGACCTTTAGAAGTGGGCAGAGGGCCCCAGCCCTGAGCTTCAGAGGATCCACCCGCTTTGGCCTCTTCTGGCTGCGTCCCACTCCGTGGGCTTTGGAGTCCTCTGGGAAACGCCCCTGACCCCTAGAGCCTGGAGCCTGCATGGCCCTCCCCTTCCAGACCGTGCTCCAGGAATGGGAATTCCCTGCCTAAAAGGCTCAGAGCTGCTTCCAGGGTCCACGCTGGCCTTGTCCCCAGGTCCATCCTCACAAGAGTGGACCATGCGGCCCACATGACGCATTCTAGGCAGCATTGCAGGAAGCCAGTGTGGACCCAGCTGGGCAGAGCGGCCCAGGCTAGATGTACGGGGATGCAGTGCCTCTTGCAGTGAGGGCCAGAGCTGGGGCTGCACAGAGAAGAGACGGGCCCAGGGCAGTCTCTCCTTGGATGCCAGATCCTGTCCAGGAAAAGTTGGAAATTCTGATTTTGCACCTGACCACCAGGACGCTAGGGAGGTTTATGCATCAAGGCAGGAGGATAGACCGTATTCCATGTAATAGTGTGGCAGCTTGGTTTGTAATCTTAAACATGAAGATGTGTAAGGTGTGTGCCTCCATTTCTACTCTTGTCTGGGCCCCTCAGGGTTGATGGGTGTTGGGTCCACCTGGGGTTCGGTGGATGCTTTAGCTGGCAACGTGGTAACACGGTGAAGCCTGTGGTGATGGGCCCAGGGGACCAGGACTGAGTCCCACTGTGCCATTTGCTAGCTGTGGAACTGGACCTAGTGGCTTTACATCTCTGTGCCTCAGTTTCCCATCTGTAAAAGGGAAGTGAATGGTACCTACCTGTATGTGAGGATTAAGAGGTGTGAATTGTCTAGGAGAAGGCATTTAGTAAGGGCATAAAAGCATTTGATCAATAAATAACACAGGTGAGGTGTGATGGCTCATGCCTTTAATCCCAGCACATTGGGAGGCTGAGGCAGGAGGATCACTTGAGCCTAGGCAACATAGCAAGACCCTATCTCTATTTAAAATTTACATTTAAAATTAAAAAATAATAGTAAATAAATAAAACATGTAACTGCAAAGTCAAGCCAACGTTGTACCACTAGTGCTGCATCCCCACCCCCAGCAGGCAGAGTAAAGTTGTAGTCTTTAAAAATCTGAGGCCGGGCACGGTGGCTCACGCCTGTAATCCCAGCACTTTGGGAGGCCGAGGCCGGCAGATCACCTGAGGCCAGGAGTTCGAGACCAGCCTGACCAATATAATGAAACCCGTCTCTACTAAAAATACAAAAATTAGCCAGGAGAGGTGGCATGCGCCTATAATCCCAGCTACTCGGGAGGCTGAGACAGGAGAATTGCTTGAACCCAGGAGGCAGAGTTTGCAGTGAGCTGAGATCGCAGCACCATTGCACTCCAGCCTGGGCAATAAGAGCGAAACTCTGTCTCAAAAAAAAAAAAAAAAACAAACAAAACTGAACTCAGGAGCCAGGTGTGGTGGTTCGTGCCTGTAATCCCAGCACTTTAGGAGGCCGAGGCAGACAGATTGCTTGAGCCCAGGAGTTTGAGACTAGACTGGGCAACATAGTGAGACCCCACTCTACAAAAATAAAAAAAATTAGGCCGGGCGTGGTGACTAACACCTGTAATCCCAGGACTTTGGGAAGCCAAGGTGGGTGGATCACCTGAGGTCAGGAGTTGGAGACCAGCCTGGCCAACATGGCGCAACCCCGTCTCTACTAAAAATACAAAAAATTACCTGGGCGTGGTGGCAGGCGCCTGTAATCCCAGCTACTTGGGAGGCTGAGGCAGGAGAATTGCTTGAACCTGGGAGGCGGAGGTTGCAGTGAGCCGAGATTGTGCCACTGCACTCCAGCCTGGGCAACAGAGCAAGACTCCGTCTCAAAAAAAAAAAAAATAAAAAAAAATAAAAAAATAAAAAATTAGCTGGACATGGTGGCGCATGCCTGTAGTCCCAGCTACTCAGGAGGCTGAGGCTGAGGTGGGAGGATCAGCTGAGTCCAGGAGGCAGAGGCTGCACCATGCACTTCAGCCTGGGCTACAGAGTGAGATCTTGTCTCAAAAAAAAAAAAAGAAAAGAAAAGAACAAGAAACGAACTCAGGTCACATTCCTTCTGTCTCAACGCCCTCCCATGGCTCCACCTCACTGAGTGAAACTGTGGCCTATGTGACCCTACAAAACTGGTTTCTGTCACCTCTCTGCCCTTGTCCCCTCCCACCTGCCCCTCACTCACTCTGCTCCAGCCGCAGTGACCTCCTAGTGTCCTCCCATACTCCAGGCAGGCTCCCACCTCAGGGCCTTTGCACAGGCTGTTCCCTCTGCCTGAAACACTCTTCCTGGAGGTCCTCATATAACTGATCATTCTCATCTTTCAAGTCTCAGCACAAATGTTACCCTCTCTGAGAAGCCCTCCTTGACCACACACATGAAAAGAACCACCACTCCCACCCTCTCTCTACTGTAACCCTACTCCTTTTCTTTTTTTTTTTTTGAGACAGAGTCTTCTGCCGCCCAGGCTGGAGTGCAGTGGCGGGATCTCGGCTCACTGCAGGCTCTGCCCCCCGGGGTTCACACCATTCTCCTTCCTCAGCCTCCCGCGTAGCTGGGACTACAGGCACCCGCCACCTCGCCTGGCTAATTTTTTGTATTTTTAGTAGAGATGGGGTTTCACCGTGTTGGCCAGGCTGGTCTCGATCTCCTGACCTCGTGATCCGCCCGCCTCGGCCTCCCAAAGTGCTGGGATTACAGGCGTGAGCCACCGCGCCCAGCCCTTTCTTTTGAAGTATCTGTCAGTCTCTTAAATCATCTTTTCTGTCAATCATTTCTTTGTTTATGATCTATCTTCCTTTTGACAGAATATGTGTTCTTCGAAGGCAGGAACTTAATTTTGTTGAAAAATAGACAAAAATCCCTGGGAGAAAGACAATAAACAAATACAGAAGTAAATTTATGGTATGTCAGAAGGTGACAGCTGGTTCTGGAGAACAAAAAAGCAGGAAAGGGGTGAGGGGCCAGTAAGGGTGTTGCCCTTTAAGACAGGGTAACAGGCCAGGCACGGTGGCTCATGGCTATAATCCCAGAACTTGGGAAACCAAGGCAGGAGGATCGCTTGAGCCCAGGAGTTCAAGACCAGCCTGGGCAACATAGGGAGACCCCGTCTCTACAAAAAATCATGTAAATTAGCCGGGCGTGGTGATGTGTGCCTGTAATCCCAGCACGTTGGGAGGCTGAGGCAGGAGGATAGCTTGAGCCCAGGAGTTCAAGACCAGCCTGGGCAACATAGTGAGACCCCATCTCTACAAAAAATCAAGTACATTATCCAGGTGTGATGGTGCGTCTGTAGTCCCAACAAGTCGAGAGACTGAGGCGAGAGAATCACTTGAGCCCATGATGTTGAAGCTGCAGTGAGCCGAGATCATGCCATTGCACTGTAGCTTGAGTGACAGAGCGAGACCCTGTCTCCAAAAAAAACAAAAAGGGAAGCAGTGAAGTGTGGAGCAGAGATCGGAAGGAGAGACCGGGAGCCATGTAGATACAAGGGGAGAGTGTCCAGGCAGAGGAGCAGAGGCTGGAAGGGTGCCTGGTGTGTTGGAGGAGTGGTGGGGAGACCCGGGGAGCTGGCGCAGAGTGGGCAGATGAGTGAAGGGGTGTGTGAGACAAGATGAGGACAGAGGGGACAGAGGTTTATTTTGTGGGACTGCCCAGGCCACGGTGGCGAGTTTGGATTTTCTCCAAGTGTACTAGGGAGGTATGGAAAGGTTTTGAGCAAAGGAGGGATAGGATCTAATGTGCGATTTCAAAGGGCTCCTTGGGTGCTATGTGCAGAGTGGATCTCAGCAGTGGCAGGAGCAGGGGCCCAGGAGGGGCAGGTGTCTGGACGTGGTTGCCCGACGTAGCCTGGGTGTCTGTGTTCCAGGTGAACGGCTCCCAGGCTGGCCTGCCCCTGACTCTGGCTGGGGGGCACACTCCAGGCCTTCTTCACGCCCTTGGCCATCACAGTCCAGGTGGCACCCGGCCTCTCCATGACCTTTCACGAATCCCATGCCCTCTGAGTGGCAGTGCCTGAGACCTACACCAACACCCTCTGTGGCCTGGGCGGGGACTTCAGCGTGGATACCCAGGATGACTTCAGCGGCTCTGATAGCACATGGCTCTCTGATGCCAACAGCTTAATGGGGGCCCAGCCCCTCTGTGCCCACCAGACAAGGCAGCCCTATACCAGGCCTTCTGTGGCTTGCTGGGCACCCAAGATGGGCCCTACAGGGCCTGCAGTAAGGACGTGGATCCCCAGGTGCATGTGGAGAACTGCATCCATGACCTCTGTGCCACGGGGGGCTCAAGAGAGACTCTGTGTGCCATACTGGGGAGCTACGCCCAGGAAAGCCAGCAGCGCAGCGTTCCCATGCAGCCCTGGAGACACCTCTTGGCCTGCAGTAAGTGGGTATTCCCAGGGAGGGTCTTTCTCAGCCTGACCTCCCCAGCTGGCCCAATACCACTTCCAGGATGTCCTCCTAGGTCAACACCACCCAAAGTGACCCACTGCATGCCTTTCTGGCTAACTGTTCCCGCGAAGAACCTACCTGCTTAAAACTCTGCAATAACAATAACAGATGACACTGAGTGCTATTGCATCAGTCAGGATGGTCTGGGTTATGCTGAAGTAACGAACTAACCTGAACATGACCCAGCATGACCAAGGTTGTTTCTTCATCACTATCTTCGTCACCTTTGTCATCATCACAGTCACTATCATCATTACCGTCACCATCACCACCACCACCAGCGTCACCATCACCACCACCACCAGCCTCACCACCACCACCACCACCAGCATTACCATCATCACCACCACCACCATCACCACAAGCATTACCATCATCACTACCACCACCATCATTGTTACCACAACCACAACCATCACCACCATCACCATCATCATTGTTACCACAGCCACAGCCATCATCACCACTACCATCACCACCATCATCACCATCACCACCATCACCATCATCATCACCACCACCACCACCATCAACATCATCATCACCATCATAACCATCACCACCAGCATCACCATCACCACCAGCATCAGCATCACCATCACTACTATAATCACCATCACCATTATCACTACCACCACCATCATTGTTACCACAACCACAACTATTGTCATCACCACCACCACCACCCTCACCACTATCATCACTGTCACCATCACCGCTATCATTACCATCACCATCAACACCATCACATCACCAACAACATCACCAGCCCTACCACCATCATCATCATTACTATCACCACGACCACCACCACCACCATTATCACCACCATGATCACGCCACCAGCATTATCACCACCGTGACCACGCCGCCACCGTTAATCACCGCCGTGACCACGCCGCCACCGTTATCACCGCCGTGACCACGCCGCCACCGTTATCACCGCCGTGACCACGCCGCCACCGTTATCACCGCCGTGACCACGCCGCCACCATTATGCTACATCCTGATGATGCCTCCACCTCCCCTCCTTTGCCTTTATGACTTACCCTTGGCCCCCACAACCCTCTCTCCGCTCCCTTGGTCCTATTCTGGTTGGAAATGCTCCAGAATAGTAATGCTTGCTCAATTATTTAACTCCTACCTGTTTTCTTCCAGAGCTGGCCTGTCCTCCCCGCAGCAATTACGAGCTCTGCGGCTCCTCCTGTCCTAGCTCTTGTGCCGAGCCTGCCCTGCCCGACAGCTGCCTGACACCATGCCAGGATGGCTGCCAGTGTGACCCAGGCTTTGTGCTCAGTGGCATGGACTGCGTGCCCCCAATCCAGTGCAGCTGCTCCATGGGGGGCAGGTACCACCACCCGGCTGGGGAGGCCTTCTGGACTGGGGAGCGCTGTGAGCAATTCTGCCACTGCCAGGCCTCCACCCACGCCGTGTGCTGCTCCCCGTCCTCCTGTGGGCCGGGGCAGAGATGTGAGACCCTCAGGGGCATCTTTGGGTGCCACCCACTCTCCCCTGGCATTTATCAAGCAACCATGCACTCACACGTCGCCTCCTTTGACCGGAAGAGTGTTGAGTTTCCAGGCACTTGCGCTTCTGCTTTTACCAAGTCCTGTGGCTCCTCCAGCTCATTGCGCCTTTTCAAGGTGGAAATTGGGAAGGAGAAACAAGTCCAGCAGTCCCATTGTGTTCATTTCAAAGATGTAGGTTCATGGGACCCAGGTTTGTCTGCAGAGAGAGCCCCGACCTGATGAGGTAAGCACTCATTGGCATCTAGAGACTCTTGAACCGATTGAAGCTAAAAGAAATACATTGGCTCAAACTAAGTAAAAATCATGTGATAGCCTAGTGAAAGTGTAGAGATTCTGGGTCCACAGAAGTTCCCTATATACCACTTTGGCTGTTTTGGTTACAGAAAGCCTCATAAAAGGTAACTCAAACCAGTCACAGACTGTGTTTTATGATTTTTAGACTAATTACATAACTGAAAATTCCAGAGGGAGATCAGGCATGGTTTGATCAGGGTGCTAACTCAGTTTTTCAGCATTTCTCTTGGTCTGTGTTTCTCTATAGCATTAGCTTTGTCCTCAGGCTGGCTTTTCTTGTGATGGCAAAATAACTGCCAATTTTCCAGTCATTAAATGTGTATTCCCCATTGTCCAAAACCCGAATCTTTTCTTACCCCAAGTACTCAACAAAAATTCCAATGCTTCACTTTGATTAAACCCCACTGAGCCAATCAGTGCAGCCCAGAGGTTTTCTTAAGCCTATCTAATCCTACTCAGGAGTTGTAGGTGGGAGAGATCCTGCCCCTACCCCCCATCTCTGGCAGCTACTTCTTGCAGGGAGAGAGGGCAAAATGGGAATCCACCCCTGTGTCCCTATGTCCCCCGAAACCAGTATTTCTTCTTAACAATCTTCAAAGAGTGTAAATGCCCTGGTAAACCTCCACTCTGAGACCTGAAACTTTTGTCTAGAACCCACAGGGGTGGATGTGTTTTCTAGGCCCGAGGGCCCCTGCCTACAAGAGTTCCATTGTTGGCTATTGGAAAACACACAGCCACACCCCTCCCACTCCACCCCCTTCCAGGAAGGGAACCAGCTTTCAGAATTAGTCATGCTGTCAGCGTCCCACACAACGAGCCCATTGACTCCAAAGGGCAGCACAGCAGATGGACTGCTATTATCCCAGTGGTACAGATGGGGAAACTGAGGCCCGGGAAGGCAGACTTGCTTGCCTAATGTCGCATAAGGAGAAAGTGGCTGTGCTAGGATTGGAACCCAGGCTGTCAGGTTCTGAGCCCTTCCCTTTCTGTCTGTGGGCCTACTGTGTGCTCCCAAAAAGCTGTGGCCAAATTAAGGAGGTGGCATGTCTGATTCATCTGTGGCGGGGCCTGGGATATATAGTAACTCTCAACAATGGTGTTCATTAGTCCGGGCATGGAGGCTCACGCCTGTAATTCCAGCACTTTGGGAGGCCGAGGCGAGTGGATCACCTGAGGTCAGGAGTTCGAGACCAGCCTGGCCAACATGGAGAAACCCCATCTCTACTAAAAATACAAAAAAATTGCACTTTAGGAGGCTGAGGCGGGCAGATCACCTGAGGTAGGGAGTTCGAGACCAGCCTGGCCAACATGGAGAAACCCCGTCTCTACTAAAAATACAAAATTAGCCAGGCGTGGTAGTGCATGCCTGTAATCCCAGCTACTCGGGAGGCCGAGGCAGGAGAATCACCTGAACCCGGGAGGCGGAGATTGCAGTGAGCTGAGATAACGCCATTGCACTCCAGCCTGGGCAACAAGAGCGAAATTCCGTCTCAAAAAAAAAAAAAAAAAAAAGAATGGCGTTCATTCATCCACTCATTAAAAACTTCCTGAGCACCTACTATGTGCCAGACCCTGGGCTCAGTGCTGGGGAAACAGCAGTGGGTGGAACGGTCAAGATCTCTCCATCGTGGTGGAGCTGAGATTCCAGAGGAGAGAGAGACAATAGGCCTCACCAGTATGAATTATATAGTTTGTCAGGAGGCCGTATGCGTTCGTGTCAGGGAAGAACATACAGAACAGGATGGGGAGGGGCGGTGGTGGCTTCCAGATGGAAAAGATGGTTTTAAATTGAGAAGCCAAGGAAAGCCTCCTTGAGAAGGTGATATTTGAGCAGAACCCCAGGAGAGAGGCACTCATGTGCACATCTCAGGGGTGAGTGAGTCCCGCAGGGGCTGGATGGGGCCTGGTGCATTGGACGAGCCACAGGGAGGCTGGTGTGGCTGGAGCTGAGCGAGGGGCTGGGGAGAAGAGACGATGAGGTCAGAGAGGTGACGGGGACCAGATGGTGGGGGACTTATGGGGCTAGTGAGGACTTCGCTTTTGCCTGGAGCGAGGTGCGCCGAGGACAGGGCTCTGAGCCAGGTGGCCCCTGATGGGACTCAGGTGGTCCCAGGCTCCCTTTGGCTGCAGGTGGGAACAGACTGCGGTGGGGCAGGGACCAGAGCAGGGAGACCAGGGAGGAGGCTCTGGGACGTCCAAGCTGGAGGGGACAAAGGCTGGGCCAGGGTAAGGGCAGTGGGAGGGGAGAAGTGGATGGTTCTGGAAATATTCTCTGGGGTCTTATCCCCTCTTCAAACCCTGCTGACTGTTCCTGGGGCCCTCAAGTTTACGTGGGCCCCTGGTTTTGTTTTTGTTTTTGTTTTTGTTTTTTGAGATGGAGTCTTGCTCTGTTGCCCAGGCTGGAGTGCAGTGGCGCGATCTCAGCTCACTGCAACCTCTGCCTGCCGGGTTCAAGCTATTCTCCTGCCTCAGCCTCCAGAGTAGCCGGGATTACAGGCATCCACCACTATGCCTGGCTAATTTTTATATTTTTAGTAGAGACAGGGTTTCACCATGTTGGTCCGACTGGTCTTGAACTCCTGACCTCATGATCCGCCTGGCTCAGCCTCCCAAAGTGCTAGGATTACAGGCGTGAGCCACCACGCCCGGCCGCCCCTGTTGTTTTTAGTACTCCGTGCACTCCCTGCAATCACACAGGGTGTGTGTGCAGCCAGACGTGGGGTGGAATCCTGACTGCCCGTTAATTAACTGGGTGACTTTCCGCTAAACAACTAAGCCCGGGTGCCGCAGTTTCCCTAAGTGGAAGAATAACTCTCCGCAGGCAGTTAAGTCCTGCAGCCACAAGCCCCCGGATTATTGGTTGAGAATAGAGAGACAGTCAGCAATCGTAGGTAAATGACTCAGGCCCGAGCAGGGGTGTGGCGCTGGCGCAGGCTGAGTGCGGCACTGCCTTCTTGGATACCAGGGTGCAGGGGGAAGGGGATGTGGAGATGGGTCCCGGCTGCCAGCAGGCTGCTGGGTCAGTGCCTCCCCGCAGCTGAGGGTGCCAGCCAGGATCTTAGAACTGCAGACTCATGGTCCTGCCTCTGCAGCCAGGAGGGAGCCTGCCAGCCCCAGCACCAGCCTCAGAGCCTTGGGGCTCCCACCGTTAGGGGGCTGGGGCTGGGTGGCCAGGAGGAGTTAAGTCACCCACAGCCAGGAAGGGGCAGAGCTGGGACCCAAGGGGCTGTGAACGGTGAACTCATCCAGGAGGAAGGAGAAGGAAGACATTGTGGGAGGGCCAACAAGAACACAGGCAAAGGAAAAATATATAGACAGTAAAAGGAAAAATATATATAGATAAAATATTCAATATATAAACTATAGTAATATACATAAATATAGAGTTTCTTAAGTTCATTTAAATTCTGTTTCCTTAACTGTTAGTTTACCTGGTTCTAAATTTACTTTTCCTTCCACTTTTTCGGTGTTGTTTTTTATCTTGTGATTTATTATTTTGTGTTAACTTTAATATTACATTTTTAAGGGCTGGGCGCAATGGCTCACGCTTGTAATCCTAGCACTTTGGGAGGACCAGGCGGGCGGATCACTTGAGGTCAGGAGTTCGAGACTAGCCTGGCCAACATGGTGAAACCCCATCTCTACTAAAAAATGACAAAAAATTAGCCGGGTGTGGTGGCGGGCACCTGTAATCCCAAGCTACTCAGAGGCTGAGACAGGAGAATTACTTGAACCTGGGAGGCGGAGGTTGCACAGTGAGCCAAGATCTCACCACTGCACTGCAGCCTGGGTGACAGAGCAAGACATTGTCTTGAAAAAATATATTGTTTAATTGATTTTTTTCCCCAACTTTTGAGATTTTCGACTATAGAAAAGTCATGTAACCCGTACAATCCACTCAAATACCCTTCACATAGCTTCCTCAATTCTTAGTATTTTGCCTGATTCGCTTTATCTCTTTATATCTATGTAATTTTCTTCTGAGTTTCTGTGTCTCACTTTTCCTGTCCCTATTTACTTGTCCAGGCGTTTTCAAAAGACTCAGTCTTCTCTGTTGTTGGTTGACCAATAAATAAATATTTAGCCTTTTTCTGGAGGGAGATCACAAAACAGGACAGAGCTCTTCCTGAATCCTTCAGGCGGATTCGCCCTCTCTTCCTGTTCTGCGGAGGACAGTCCTGGGGCCTTTGCTGTGTCAACCATGCCCCGAGGCACCCCAGAAGCTGCATCTGTCGAGTCTGTGCTGTAATCATGGCCTTGAAGGTGGAAGGCAGGTCTGAGATGGGAGGTGACAGGAGCAGGTCTGGGCCGGAGCAACCGCAAGCGCCCGTCTCCTTCTCTCCCTCCCTCCCTCCCTCCTTCCCTCCCTCCCTCCCTCCATCAAACCAGGCAGAGCTGGGGCCTGGGGCACCCCAGGGAGACAGACCTGCCACCTCAGCAATGGCTTCCAGGTGGGAATGGGGGTCTTTTAGTCCAGACTTTTCCAGAGATGCTGGAAACACAGCTTGTCCTGCTGTTTAAATGTTTGCAATTATTAATTTTTGCAATGCTTTGTAAAAACTAAAGGTACAATAGTTGGGTTCCACCCTGGGACCGCCAGTTTGCAATCCTTCTCTTAGGGACTGAGTCAGGCTGGGGGGGGGGGGCGGGCTGCAGGGCTCCCACTTGAACCAGAAGTCCCTGTCCCAGATGTCTAGCTCCAAATGTGTTCCCTGCCCTTTCCTGCTTCCCTGTAGTTCCTGCCCGCACCCAGGACCCCCAGCCATCTGCCCAAGCCCTCCCCACCCCCACCACGCCGCCCCCACTCCCCACATGATGGGGAAGCTGGCCAAGACATTCATTCCTCCACACCCCCTGCCCCCATCAGCAGCTCCACCCTCAGCACCCCCACCTCAGCTCCTCCTGCAAGGCCTCCGTGGATGGGGGGTGGCGGTGGAGAAAGCCTTTCTTTTATAATTGTTTTAAACCTACTTTTATTTTTATTTTTGTAGAGACAAGATCTCTCTATATTGCCCAGGCTGGTCTTGAACTCCTGGACTCAAAGGATCCTCCAGCCTCGGCCCCCCAGAGTGCTGGGATTACAGGCGTGAGCCATGGTGCCCAGCCTGGTAATTAACAGATACTTCGTGACCACCCACTATGCACCAGGCCCTGTTCTATAATTCAGATGAAAATCCCTGAGAGGAGCTGACGTGCTAGCAGGGGAGGCAGATAGCACCACAAAAAAAAAAAAAAAAAAGCAAACAGAAGTCAAAAGGTCATAGAGAGGTCAGGGGGTAGGTGCGATGGTGGTCGGGGAAAGCCACTTGAACCTCATGGCTTTGAGCTGTCCAGATGCGGGAGAAAAGAGAGCCAGGCAAGGGAATAGGCATTGCAAGGGCTCTTGGCCAGAAACATGCCTGGAGTGATCCAGGAACGGCAAGGAGGCCCAGGTGGCCGGAGCAGAGTGAGTGACAACAGGGGTTAGGGGGAACCCTGAACCTCCCCTGAGTTTCCCTAGTCTGTAAGATGGGGGTCTCCAACCGGTGGCCCCAGGGCCTTATCCAACCACTGGATATTTTTCATTCTGTCTACAAAGTGTTAAGAAAACGAAGTTACCAACATTTAAAAATCAGGGCCGGGTGCAGTGGCTTGCACCTATAATCCCTGCGCTTCGGGAAGCCAAGGTGGGAGGATCACTTGAGACCCAGAGTTCAAGACCAGGTTGGGCAACATAGCGAGACCCCCGTCTCTAAAAAAATTAAAAAATTAGCCAGGTGTGGTGACGTGCATTTGTAGTCCCAGCTACAGGGGAGGCTGAGGTGGGAGAATCACTTAAGCCCAGGAGTTGGAGGCTGCAGTGAGCCATGATTGGACCACTACACTCCAGCTTGGGCAACAGAGCAAGAACTCACCTTAAAAAAAAAAAATCCGGAAGGCCGGGCTCGGTGGCTCATGCCTGTAATCCCAGCATTTTGGGAGGCTGAGGCAGGCGGATCACTTGAGGTCAGGAGTTGGAAACCAGCCTGGCCAGCACGGTGAAACCCCGTCTGTACTAAATATACAAAAATTAGCCGGGCGTGGTGGCACACACCTGTAATCCCACCTACTCGAGAGGCTGAGGCACGAGAATTGCTTGAACCTGGAAGGCAGAGGTTGCAGTGAGCTGAGATCGTGCCACTGCACTTCAGCCTGGGCGACAAGAGCAAAATTCCATCTCAAAAAAAAAACAAAACAAAACAGGAGATTTCATCATAAAAATCTCCATTTCTAGCTTCTGTGGGTGAGTGATGACGTCAGAGCAGCACAGAGGCAGGTGTCAGGGAGCCTGTGGACTCTTGGCCACTGTGTCACCTCACATGGCTCCTGGAAGCCAGGCGGACAGTGATACGTCCACAGCCACACCATCCCCATGGTGGTGGGACAGGGTTACCTGCCAGTGCCCACTCTTCTCCCACAGGTGCTGAGACCACAGCGCTGTTCCACAAAGCCCCAGGAAGCCACATTACCCTGTCCACCGGCCTCTCTAGCCCCATCTTGCCCAGGAAGTGGGACCTTGGCGTATCGCTGTGACCACACCTCCCAGCCGGTCAGCCTGGCCGCTCAGGCTCTACCTGCAAAGGCAAGGCCCCACCCAACCAGCACCCCTCTCATGGCTGGGGGTGCCTCCAGGCTGCCCTCTCTAGGGCCAGGAGCCTGCAGAAACGCTCCCAGCCTTGAATAAAGAGCAACGAAATTATTGAAACAAAATCAATAAAAGTTTGAATCAGGGATGGTATAACATGCTCTGGCTTTGATTCTGTGCTTTAATTCAGCGTTCCTGAAAAACTTATGATGTCAGAAACTATCTGTAGGTTTGGTTTTTTTCATTTTGCAAGAATTCCCAGGATATGGAGAAATCACAGCCACTCACAGCCTTAACAGGTTCTTTGGGCCCAAATGATTCCAAAAGCAAAACGAGAGAAACTTTTTCAAATATGTTTATTATGTATATTATATACAATATATTAATAAAACATATTACCTACATGCATTTAAAACATAACTGAAGTCAGATTGGCCCAGAAGACTCACTCCAAATGAGACCTAATCCCCAATAGGGTGCAAGTGACTGCACAAACTCTACTCCTCACAGCCCTTCCTAAGACTCAGTGTGCTCATCACACTAGGGTCTCAGAGTCCTTCTGACCATAAACCCAAGCCCCAGCGCCAGCCCAACACACACTTGGACGCAGCATGTTCACGTCCAGCCTAGGAAGAATTTATGGTTGACCTGGATTGGGTAAAAACCGTAAACGTCTGTACCTCAGAATGTAAGATCATGGTGTTTAAAACTACAGAACATTCAGAGGTTGTCAGAAGTCTCTAATTGCTGGTCCCCCAGGTTGAAACCAGCCCTTAGGTTGAAATTTTGACCTGCAAATTTTTTTTTAAATCTGAACCAAATTTTTTAAATTAAACCCCTTTAAGGTAGTACATTTTCAAGATGCAAAATTCAAAAAATATAAGAGGGCACGTGATAATGAGTGAGTCTCACTTCCACCCCACCCTCCAGCCTCCCAGTTTCCCTCTCCAGAAGCCATGGGTATGGATGCCAATCTCCAAAAATATTTTATTCATTACAAGTATATACATATGCATTATTTTACCGCTCACAAATGGTAGCACACTGCACGGTTTCCCAATACCTTGTTTTTTTTCCCCTTAGCAAGCTGTCTGGGAAATACTTCTGTATCTAACCACGGGCAGGGGTGTTCCTCCAAGATTTTTAGACAACAGTTCTCCAGTTCACCCCGTTCCGGTGAAGGGCAGAGCACCCCCCGCCCTTCCCAGCCACCCTGTACACGCCCCTACTCGCTCTCGGATGCCTGCAGTTCCCAGGCTTCCCAGCAGAGGGAGACACCATTCCACTCCCAAGACCACCAAGGGGTCGTCCCAGACACAAGCTTCAAGGGTCTAGGGAAGAGACGCTATCCGCCCAGACACAAAGACCCCCCTTAGCTATACTGAGTTGGCCTCCGGGCCTCCCCTTCCTGTTTCTATCTCCTCCTGGACCTGTTGCTTAGAGCCCTACCCCGAGGTCCCCCCGCCCGGCTTCCTTATGGGAACTGGCCCCGCCTTAAGAGTGGTAGGAGGGAGCCTTACCCTTGTCTAGGACCTGGGCTTGACAACTTGCCCCAGGGAACCACATAGAGAAGGGGTGTAGCGCTGGGCGAACATTGCCCTCCCCGATCCCTCAGCGATGACAAGTGGGGGGTCCTTCTCTCTGCCCCCAGCAGGCCAGTTTCCGGAAGAGCCTTGACCCAAACCCCCTTTTCCTGTCCTGTGCTCCACACTCCCAGCAGCTGCTTCTCCCTGGCCAGGCCCTGCAGCCCTCCTCCCCGCCCCCACGGTGGTGTTGGGGTCGCCTGGAGTCCAGCTGGTGTCCAGGGCAGAGCTACCCCTTTCCTGGCCCTACCCCTCCCCGTGACCCCAATCCTCCGCCAACCGCTCAAAGGATCCTTGTTCTCCATCCAGCCCCCAGACAAAAGTCCCTCTGTCTAAGAAGGCGGAATTGAGGGGAGGGGGCACCCCCAACTGGGACCATGGGGGAGCCTGCACAGACCCCATCCGGAAGGAATGCCTGGAGGAGGAGGAGCAGGAGACAGGGGAGGAAAGGGGGAGGGAGGCTTGTACAGTGCTGGGGGCCTTATGTGGACTAGGAGGCAGCCGCCCCCACCAGCACCCACTCTGTAGACCCAGGCGTCTGGCTCCCAGCACCCACGGAAAGAGCCTGGCTAGGAAACTGCAGCCTGGTGCCTGGCAGACAGTTCTCATTCTCCCCAGGGCAGGGAGCAGGTTATGACCAGGACTAAGGTCCCAGAGTCCCCACCCTGACCCCTCCCTGCTGTTCCAGCCGCTCCCTCATATCCACCCCTGCCCCATCTCCTGACTTTGGTCACGCTAGCATCTTCTGCTGATCCTGAAATTGTACCAGCGGCAAGATGTGGCCTGGAAGGGGACTTTAAGTTCTCCACAACTGCCAGCAATCCTTCCACCAGGCAAAACACATCATCTAAGGAAAAGAAGTGAGGTCGGAACACCAACGCATCATCTCACTGCATGGCCCTGGAGGCTCTGCCGTTTAAAGACCCCAGAACCTTCCCCATTCAAGGTCCTCTCCTGGGCACAGGAGATTGGAGAAAGCTCCTCCCTTAATTCCAGGGGCCGAGTTCCAGCCCATCCAATTCTCCGTCTCACCTGAGGCTGCTGTGGTCCTGGTGACCCCAGGGAGCAACCTGCCGCCCATGGCTGGGGAGGGGGTGAAGCTGTCTCTTTAAGAGCAGGAATGGAGCCCCTGGGCCTCAGGGCATCTGACTTGTTTTCTACCTGCCCAGGTTTGCTTAGGGCGTGGCAGCTTCGGATAAACGCAGGACTCCGCCTGGCAGCCCGATTTCTCCCGGAACCTCTGCTCAGCCTGGTGAACCACACAGGTGAGCAGCTGGGGCCCCTTCCTCCAAGCCCTCCTTGTCTCTGCCCCTAAATTAGGAAGTATCTACCTGCCCCCTGACCCTGCCCCATAGAAGCTTTTATGTTAAAGCGCCTAAAATCTTGTGAAATGCTTTTCTGGAGCCAGGAGATAAACGGAAGTCCCTTCCCCTAATGTCCCTTTCCCCACCATTCTCCTCTCAGGGACTTGTTGAACCAGCTGAGGTGAGGGCAGGACTGATAAGTGTGGTTGGGGTGTCTGAAAGACTAGTGTCTGCATGGATTAGGGATATCTGGGTTGGGGATAGCTGGGTGGAGGAGAGGGGGTGCCTGGGTAGGTAGGGGTATCTAAGTGGACCAGGGGTGCGTAGATGGACTGGGGACATCTGGGTGGATGAGGAATGCTGGGTGGACTCGGGGTGTCCAGACATTGAGGGATCTGGGTGGATAAGGAGTGCTGGGTGGACTCGGGGTGTCCAGACATTGAGGGATCTGGATTCTGGAGACCTCCAGGAAAAAAGGATGGAGCTGCTGGGGGAAGCTTTAAATGGGGAGTTGCTTGGGAGATTTCAGGAGCACACAGCGGGCAGGATCTTTCTACCCACCCCTGAACATGAGACCATTCTCCCATGGTATGGAGGAATAGAGGGGATAGCAGAGGGCAGGTGGGGGAAACAGTCCTCAGGCCGGCCTTGGGACCTCATGGCCAGGAAGGATGAGAGCAGGTAGACAGAGCATCAGCTGCAGGGCTGCCTTCCTCTCTAACCTGCTCACCAACCACATCAGTTCGGGAGCAGCCCACAGCCTCTTCAGACAACAGCCTGAATGGGGAACGTGAGGGCAGACCCAGCTCCCGGCTCCCTGCAGCCTCCGGAAGCATGGGACTGGACGTTGTTTTGCAGAGGCTGGGGCGAGGAGGATACCATCTGTCAGTCTTGGCTGGATGACATCATGGGAAGGGGGTATAGTGGGGCCTTGCAGGCCAGAGGTGGCTTGGAGGAGCCCCTGGAAAGAGGCTTAAGAGGTGAGACTCAACAGCCATGGCGACAGAGCATAGGGCTTTAAGATGAATTTGCAGGGGTTACAGGATTACAACTGCAATGTGGGCTAATAATAGTGCCCCCTGCATTAAGCTGCAGAGATTGAGCGAGTAAGTGGGAAGCTGAGAAAATGCCCCCATGGGGTAGACACTCAATAAGCATCTGCTGTTATTACCAGGACTCGTATGGTCATGGGTGACAGCTTCAGACCACAGGCAGTCCACCTACAACCTGTGCCCCTATCCAACATGCCATCCTGCCCACCCACCCACGCCAGCTCCCCCAACCCCCAACACTTTTGGGGATCCTAAACACTTCCTGGGCCTCAGTAATGCTCCCCAAAGCCTCAGGCTTTCTTCCCGCAAAAAAAGGAAAAGAAATGGATGCTCCAACTAAAATTGTGAGTTCAGCATGTGGAATTAACTGGGAAGCTGAGAGGATTCCCAGGCCCTGGGGTGCCAGGCAGAGGGAGGAGTCTGTGCCAACCTGCAAGGACCACCCGCACCGTTGGTTGCGGGCACCACCCTCTCTCAGCATTTTTGCTGTTCGTGAAATGAGGACATAGTGGACGACGTCGGGGATTGCTGGGGGGTTAAGTGAGTGAGAACACGGCAAGGTCAGTGTGCACTCCAGGGCAAGGTGGAGGAAGTGCCAGCTCTCGCTATCAAAATTATAACTAGGCCAGGCGTGGTGGCTCACACCTGTAATCCCAGCACTGAGGGAGGCCGGGGTGGGTGGATCACCTGAGGTCAGGAGTTGGAGACCAGCCTGGCCAACACAGTGAAACCCTGGCTCTACCAAAAATGCAAAAATTAGCCGAGACTGGTGGCACACGCCTGTAGTCTCAGCTACTCAGGAGGCTGAGGCAGGAGAATCACTTGAACCCAGGAGGCAGAGGTTGCAGTGAGCTGAGATTATGCCATTGCACTCCAGCCTGGGTGACAGAGTGAAACTCCGCCTCAAAAAAAAAAAAAAAAAAAACAATTATGATAACTATGCACTCAGCATTTGGGCAGGGACAGGGCAGGGACAGGGCAGGGGAGGGCATGCTCGGAGGCCAGGGCTTGGTGCAGCCTTGCAGGCTGGTGAGAGGGCAGGACTGATGCCAGGTCAGGAAGGAGAGAGAAACGAGTTCCTTATGCTGAGCAGGTCTACCTGGGAAAGAGAAAGTGTTTGCTGTCACCAGGAACTCTGCTGGGCCTAGGGTAGGGTCAGGGGCTGGGCTGGGGACCCCGGCTAGGCAGAGCCAGGGCTGGGACCGGGAAGGGCATGGGTGTGGGATGAGGGGCAGGAGGTTCGGGGGAACAGAGATGGAGCTAGGGCTGCAGCCAGGAGGTAGAGTCCCCCTCTACCCCCAGTCCCAGCCTCACGTCAATTCCTCCACACACCACCCCACCCCCAAGCAGCTTGAAGAACCTGCTCAGTCCTCAGCCTGAAGTCTGCAATGTCCTGGCAGGGCCGGGCAGGCTCTGAGCGGTCTACGGAGACACTCCTGGGAAGCGGGCCTCCTGCCGCCTGGCTCCCAATGCCCCGCTTCCCCAAACACCCCAAGGCCCTGACAGTCCCTAGTTAGGAGCAGCTGCTGGGGAGCCAGGCCTGGCTTAAATCCTACTTCCTGGCTAGAGCACCTAGTTTCACCTCTCAGAGCCTCAGTCTCCCCATCTGTCCAGTGAGGACAACAGCGGGCAGTGGCGCCCTTGTTTGGTTGCGGGGCGATTCCCAGAAAGCCTGAAGTCCATGTCCAGTGAGTTATTATGGCTCCTCCCGCCTCAGGCCCGAGTTTCACCCAGTCCCCACTCCACGGTGCAGCTGCGGCTTATCTCTCAGCCCAGCGAGATGCCAGCCTTCCTGTCCCGGGTGAGCTGCGCACCCTGCCTGGGGAGCAGGGGAGGAGGGTTGGGGAGCCACAGGCACAGGGCCAGCCTCCCGGTGGCTCTGCTAAGGCCAGACCTCCCGCCACCCCTCTAGGCCAGCGCTCTGACATGCAGAAGGTGACCCTGGGCCTGCTTGTGTTCCTGGCAGGTGAGTACCCATCCCCCGTCTGCCTTTTCCTCTGGATCCCCTGGATGCGGGGATCCAACCTCTGTCTCTCTCCTGTGCTTTTCTACCTCCCCGGGAAGGTGGTAAATGTTAGAACAGCATCTCCCTGAGGGTAAGAAAAGTCAGACTAGTGATAGCCGGGGATACACGAGAAGAGCTGGCTCACACAGCTGGAAAGTCACCGTCTTCCCCATTCTCTCGATCTCTTCTTTTTTTTTGGCTTTTTTTGTTTTTGTTTTTGTTTTTGTTTTTGTTTTTGAAAGGGAGTCTCTGTTGCTCAGGCTGGAGTGCAATGGCGCAATCACAGTTCACTACAGCCTTGAACTCCTGGGGTCAAGCGATCCTACTCTCTTAGCCTCCTACACAGCTAGAATGCCAGGCACACGCCACCATGCCCAGTGCATTTTTGATTTTTTGCAGAGACGAGGTCTCACTGTGTTGCCCAAGCTGGTCTCAAACTCCTGGCTGAGTTTGATCCTCCCACCTCAGCCTTCCAAAGTGCTGGGATTACAGGCATGAGCCACACTGCACTGGCCTTGATTGACTATTAAACAGAAATAACGGAAGCTAGAGAAGATGATGAAATGACACCTTCAAAGCACTGAAAGAAGATAACTGCCCTGCCAGTTCTCTAAAAACTTCAAGTAGAAGGCTCAGCTCAGTGCGACTGCATCTTTAACTTCCAAACACTTTTCCCTTTTTTCTTTTCTTTTTTTTTTTTCGGAGACAGAGTCTCGCTCTGTTGCCCAGGCTGGAGTGCAGTGGCATGATCTCGGCTCACTGCAACCTCCACCTCCCAGGTTCAAGCGACTCTCCTGCCTCAGCCTCCCAAGTAGCTGGCATTACAGGCGTGTGCTGCCATGCCTGGCTAACTTTTGTATTTTTAGAAGAGACAAGGTTTCACCATATTGGCCAGGCTGGTCTCGAACTCCTGACCTCAAGTGATCCTCCTGCCTCGGCCTTCCAAAGTTTTGGGATTACAGGCCTAAGCCACTGTGCCCAGCCCGCTTTTTACTTTTTCACTGCAGCCTTGACCTCCCAGGCTCAAGAGATCCTTCCACGTCAGCCTCCCAAAGCTCTGGGATTACAGGCACACTTTTTGTCCATTACATAGGGCAAGACCAGTATTCCCTGCAGGGTAGTGATCTAAAATTACATTTTCAATAAAGTCTATTTAAGTGTATAATAGTGAGTCATTTTCAATGATGTGCAAACACCAGACCAGGTGGGTGTGGACATGGTGGAAGCGGGAGGATGGGCTTTGAGCATGATTGGACTTGGGGAAACAGGAATCTGGGAACTGAAACCATCTGTCGTCTTGACCAGAAAAGTCCCCCGCTGCTGCAGGAGGCATGGATTAACCACGTGTCTGGAAACATGAGACCAAATAGTGGCTAAAAACCTCCTAGATTAGAACCCATTTCAGGTGGCAGAATGCTGGCGTGACTCGGAGGTGTGGGGCTGAGTGGGCGAGTCCACATTTCCTCGTTGGGATATGAGGGGATGAGGTGGCTGCTCAGTGACAGGACCCCTGTCCCGCAGGAGACCCTTTCCCAAGGCCCCTGAAACTCCCCAGGCCCTGCCCAAAGGCTTGGCTGAGGCCGGCATCACCATCTCCCCTCCTTCCCCTCTTCTCCCACTAGGCTTTCCTGTCCTGGACGCCAATGACCTAGAAGGTGAGTCAGACTGGACTCTCACCCGTCACACCCCCAAATTCTCCCCTGGGTGGGGAAGGCCTGCATCCTGGCTGTAATCCTGGATTCATGATCTTTTTTCTTTCCTTGCAGATAAAAACAGTCCTTTCTACTATGGTGAGAGCCCGTGCCCCCTTTCCCCTCCCCACAACCCCACATACTGCTTGGTGCCAAGGGTTCCCATACAGGGTTGGGGCCTGACGTGAGCATCACAGGACAAAGATACGAAGGGACTAGGATGGGGTTACTGAATATGCCACACAGTGGATTAAAGGAACTAGAGGCAGCAACCTGGCCTTTGGGAAGGTTCTATTCCAGCAAGATAGACACACGCAGGAGGTGAGGACAGTTTGCAAGAAGCCATTGGTTGGTTCAGATCAACTGCTGGGAGAAGTGTTGACTTGAGAAAACTTCCTGGAGGTGGTGAGCTATTGGATCAAAACCCTCATCTGGCCTCCAGGTTCCAATGACCTGCTCCCTACTCCCCGCTCTGCCCTCACCTCTCCACGCTCCTCATTCCTTCTGCTCCAAGCCTCTCAGACACAGCAGACATACTGCCAGCCTCAGACCTCTGCACCTGCTGGTTCCTCTGCCTGGAACACTTCCTTCCACAGAACCACATGGCTCCCTCCCTTCCCTCTGCTCAAATGCAGCCCCCTGAGAGGCCTTCCCTGACAACTCCCTCTAAAAGAGCTGCCATCTGACTTTTTTTTTGTTTTAGAGACAGCGTCTCACACTGTTGCCCAAGCTGGAGTGCTGTGGTGTAATCATAGCTCACTGCAGCCTCAAACTCCTGGTCTCAAGCGATCCTCCTGCCTCAGCCTCCTGAATAGCTGGGACTGCAGGCATACACCACCATGCCTGGCTAATTTTTGTATACTTTGTAGAGATGGGTTCTCACTATGTTGCTCAAGCTGGTCTAGAACTCCTGAACTCCTGAAGTCCCAAAGCACTGGGATTATATTAGGTTGGTTCAAAAGTAATTGTGGTTTTTGCAACTGCTTTTAATGGCAAAAATGCAATTTTTTTTTTTTGAGGCAGAATTTTGCTCTTTCACCCAGAGTGTGACTGGCTGGAGTGCAATGGTGCAATCTTGGCTCACTGCAACCTCTGCCTCCCGGGTTCAAATGATTCTCCAGCCTCAGCCTGCTGAGTAGCTGGGATTACAGGCGCCTACCACCATGCCTGGCTAATTTTTGTATTTTTAGTAAAGACGGGGTTTCACCATGTTGGCCAGGCTGGTCTGGAACTCCTGACCTCAGGTGATCCGCCCACCTTGGCCTCCCAAAGTGCTGGGATATCAGGCGTGAGCCACCATGTCTAGCCAAAAACGCAATCACTTTTGCTCCAACCTAATAGGTGTCAGCCACTATGCCCAGCCCGCCCTCTGACTTTCCATCTCCCACCCCACTTATTTTTCTTCAAACCACTTATCTCTGCCTGACCCTGCACGACAGATCGTGTTTGCTGGTGTGTGAACCAGAATGTGAGCACCTGGGATTTTGTCTGTTTTCTTATGGCGGTGTCCCCAGCACCCTGTGCATCCTAGGTGCTCCATATATATTTGTCAAGAGAATGGGGGGACAGATGGAGAGGACACAGGCTGGCACTGAGGTCCCCTCCACTTTCCTCCTAGACTGGCACAGCCTCCAGGTTGGCGGGCTCATCTGCGCTGGGGTTCTGTGCGCCATGGGCATCATCATCGTCATGAGTGAGTGGAGGAGCTCGGGGGAGCAGGCGGGCCGGGGCTGGGGCTCCCCTCCCCTGACCACTCAGCTCTCCCCAACAGGTGCAAAATGCAAATGCAAGTTTGGCCAGAAGTCCGGGTAAGATACTGTTCCGGCATGCCCGCCTCAGGCTGACTGGACGCTTTTCAGGGTGAAAGGGCTAACTCTCCCAGCAGGAGAGGCCTCGGGGCTCTGCCCTTTAGAGTTCCTGCCGCTAAGATTTCCAGGTTTATTGTTTCTAGCTGGTAATCCCCAGGGGGCCCCAAATCCTGAAATGCTTTGGCCCCTGGGATTGCACAACCCCCCAAATGGAAAGGCAGCCAGGAAGACATGTCTGGGCAGGCTAAGAACCCTCTATCCGGAGGGAGAGGGCAAATGGGGGCGGACACCAATCTCACCACTTTTGTCTCCTTAGTCACCATCCAGGGGAGACTCCACCTCTCATCACCCCAGGTAAGATGGGGCAGCATGGGGCTCAGGGGAACACGGAAGTGGTGTGTGTGTGTGTGTGTATGTGTGTGTTTGCACACTGGAAAGAAAAGAACTCAATCCACCCTCACAAACGGACCCCATCACTTCCCGCAGGCTCAGCCCAAAGCTGATGAGGACAGACCAGCTGAAATTGGGTGGAGGACCGTTCTCTGTCCCCAGGTCCTGTCTCTGCACAGAAACTTGAACTCCAGGATGGAATTCTTCCTCCTCTGCTGGGACTCCTTTGCATGGCAGGGCCTCATCTCACCTCTCGCAAGAGGGTCTCTTTGTTCAATTTTTTTTAATCTAAAATGATTGTGCCTCTGCCCAAGCAGCCTGGAGACTTCCTATGTGTGCATTGGGGTGGGGCTTGGGGCACCATGAGAAGGTTGGCGTGCCCTGGAGGCTGACACAGAGGCTGGCACTGAGCCTGCTTGTTGGGAAAAGCCCACAGGCCTGTTCCCTTGTGGCTTGGGACATGGCACAGGCCCGCCCTCTGCCTCCTCAGCCATGGGAACCTCATATGCAATTTGGGATTTACTAGTAGCCAAAAGGAATGAAAGAGAGCTCTAACCAGATGGAACACTGGAACATTCCAGTGGACCCTGGACCATTCCAGGAAAACTGGGACATAGGATCGTCCCGCTATGATGGAAGTGTTCAGACAGTTTATAATAGTAAGCCCCTGTGACCCTCTCACTTACCCCGAGACCTCACTTTATTACAAGATCTTTCCAAATACCCAAATGTCCCTGCAAGCCCGTTAAATAATTCCCTATGCTACCCTTAATAACATACAATGACCACATAGTGTGAGAACTTCCAACAAGCCTCAAAGTCCCTTGAGACTCCCCAATACCTAATAAGGCATGCGAAATGTTCTCATGAACTACCCCACAACACGCCTAAAACTCAAAACACCCAAAAATATCTCCTCCAATGTCCTGAAACATGAACCCAAAAAGAGACCCACAATAAACTCGTGACTTGTCCCCTCATCATGCCGTTTTATCCCTCAAACATCCCCTGAGTCCCTCCATAACCACGAACCCACACTCAGAGACCATGAACTGCGGAAACGCCTCCCTGGGACCTGGGCCGCTCCGAGCACTGCTCCAGGGACACCATCCCCGCCCTGTGCCGTTCACAGGACATCCTCTCCCAAGGATCCACAACACTGGGCGGGGAGGGTGCACAGCGCATTTATTGAGCTCGGACTCGTCTTGTCCTTGCCTCCGTCGCCCATCTAGAAGGGCACCAGGCTCCCCGCGACACCTCCCGCTGTCCCTCCCTGTGCCCCGGCGCACGCGCAAGAGGCGCAAAAGGCACAGCTTGCTGGGCGGCCGCACGCATGCGCACAAGCAGCAGAGGGGAACCCGCCCAGTGCTGAGTTGTCTTCGAGGTTGGCGCTCCTCCAGGAAAGCGATTGGCTGCGTGGAGTTTAGAATGGGAAAGGAATGCCATCAACCCCTCGGTGCTTTCAGAGGGACCAGCGGGGTAGGAGCGGGTTGAGAGGGGGGCTCCGGGACCTCATGGAGCTCTGCACGTGACCTCCACCTCGACTCCATGCAGTGCACCAGCCTGCACCCCCCAGGTTGCCTTTGATGGGGAATCTGCCCCAGCCGAGATGTCCAGATGTTGCTTTAGACCTGAAGGGCAGCTCGGGAGGTCCAGTAGGCTGGGACCCTCTATGTCCCCCCATGGGTGCAGATCCTTTAAGAAGTGGGCTTAAGGCCTAGACGTGTGGCTGATGAACGTGGCCCACGGTCAGCAGCTCACAGGCGGGCCATCACCCCAAGTAGGGCCAGGAGCCAGCCAAGGGGCCGTCCAGGGGCCCCAGCCATGCCCAGAGTCCCGTTGGTGGTCTCAGGCACTGAGGTCGATCTCGTGATGCTGGTAGATCTGTGTGGGGCCCTTAAAGCAAGCAGCAAAGAGGAAGCGTCTGCCGGCCATAGTGATGTGGGCAAAGGCACGGGGGGCCACCAGGGCCGGAGGCCCCAGCTCCTGCAGTGGCTCCAGGAGCCCCTTGTCAGGCTCAAGGCGGAGGACCTGGCTGAAGGCGAAGTCGCTGCCTAGGATGGCCAGCTGGTCCCTGGCGATGAGCAGTGGCTGGAAGACGTGGGCACCGCGCGAGGGAAGTTGCTGCAGCAGACGAAACATGGAGCCGTCCCAGCGCATGACCTGTGGGGGTGTGGCCAGTGAGGGCCTGGGGTCCCGGGGGTCTCTGGGGGCCGTGGAACAGCTTGGAAGCAGAAGCCTGTCGGTCCCAAAACTCCCATAGCTTTCTTATCTTCATAAAAGTCACCACCCACCTGTTCGGCCACACACATGCAGTTGTTCTGAGCCCTTCCCTTGCCCTCACGCCCCACACAGAAGCACTCAGCCATGGACTCTGTCAGTTTCACCTTCTACAGTTGTACATTTCTCCCACCACCTCTGGCTGAACTCCATCCCCTCCTGACTGGACCATCCTGGCAGCCTCTTCCCTGGCCTCTAGGCTCCTCTCCCTGCTCCCCCAGTCTGTTCCCCACCCAGAGACCTTGTGAACACCTGAGTCAGATCAGGGCCCTTCCAGACTCAGAACCCTCCCCTGCCTGCACCTCACTCCAGAAACAGTGGGCAGTGCTTAACCCTAGCATCAGCCTTGGGGGCTCAGTGTCAGGGTGGGGACAGGTGTGGCTGTGGTGAAGTCTGGAATGCATCCGAGTCACAGAGCCAGCATTTGGGGGTAGAATCAGGATGTTGGGGCCAGCATCAGTGTCGGGGACTGGGGAGTGGTTCGGAGTCAGCCAGCCTTGAGGGGGTCAGAGTCTTGGCATCAGTGTGGGGTGGGGTCCTGGTTCAAAGGTCGGCATGTGAGGGTAGGTCAGAGTTTAGAGGCTTAGTGTGCAAGATTGGGTCAGTGCTGAAAAGCCAGCCCCCCGCCCCCAGGCCCAGCCTCACCATGGAGTCCCCAATGTAGCGTGTGAGGCACAGGAACACGTCCCCACCAGCCTGGAAGTGGCGTGTGGCATAGACATCCTCGGCCTCGGGGATGTCTGTGCGTCTCTCGAAGCGGCCACCGGTCCAGTGGAAGAGCACGGGCCGCTGGGAAGCCGAGGCCAGCAGCAGGTGGGGCCGGCCGTCCAGCTCCAGGGCCTCAGCGTCCGTGTCCCGGTGCCAGGCGTGCAGGCTCTGGTGCGGGTAAAAGCCGGGCCCGTCGCGGCACAGCAGCGTGGTGCTGCCCGCCTTGGAGGCATCGGCCACCACGAAGCAGGGTTGCCCTTCCAGCCACAGGAGCTCGGCGTCATTGGGCCGCAGCAGCCGCCGCGGGGCCAGGGTCTGCGTTGGGGCCAGGCGCAGGCCGGGACTGGGCCGGGCCCACAGCTGTGAGCCCCCCCACAGGCGGGCAGCCAGCACGAAGAGGCTCGGGCCCAGCACCAGTGGCTTGCAGGACACCACGGAGGCCGCTGTGGGGAGGTGGGGAGGCAGGTCAGGCCAGCCAGGCAGGCTGCTGGACAGGCAGAAGGACGGGGAGGGGGCTCACCGGGCAGCTCTTCCTCGGGCCGGAAGCGCTGCAGGCTGTAGTCCCAGGAGAGAATCAGGCAGCGGCCGGCGAAGGGCTGTGCCAGCACAATGTGAGGCTCCCCTTGGTAGGAGAAGGGCTCTACGCTCAGTGCCGACTCCCCCACCGTCTGGAACCAGGACAGCTCTGTGGGTGGAGAAGAGAGTCAGGCAGGCCCCAGGACCCCCAGGGTCCTCATTGCTGAGCCTCAGTTTGCCTACATCTCTGAAATGGAGGCCATTCATGGTACCCCCCTCATAGGGACATATAACTGGAATCTTGATCTGTAGATGTTTGTTTGGTTTGGGTCGAGGGGTATTTTGTTTTGTTTTGAGACAGGGTCCCACTGTGTCTCCCAGGCTGAAGTGCAGTGGCACAATCATAGCTCAATGCAGCCTCCACCTTCTAGGCTCAAGCAATCCTCCTTCCTCAGCCTCTTAAGCTGAGACTACAGGTGTGTGCTACCATGGCTGGCTATTTTTTTATTTTTTGCAGAGATGGAGTCTTGCTATGTTGCCCAGGTTGGTCTGGAATTCCTAGGCTCAAGAGATCCTCCTGCCTTGACCTCCCAAAGTGCTGGGATTACAGACATGAGCCACCTCCACCTCCTGGGTTCAAACAATTCTACTTCCTCAGCCTCCCGAGTAGCTGGAATTACAGGCGCCCGCTACCACGCCCAGCTAATTTTTGTATTTTTAGTAGAGATGGGGTTTCACCATGTTGGCCAGGCTTGTCTCGAACTCCTGACCTCATAATCTGCCCGCCTCGGCCTCCCAAAGTGCTGGGATTACAAGCGTGAGGCACCGTGCCCGGCCCATAAATCTTATTTTCTAAGCTGTGTGGCATCACCAAATAATCCCTTAGAAACAGCATCTGGATTAATTCATTTAACTTCACAACATCCCTGTGAGGTACATTCTGTGATGATTTCCCCTTCGCAGATGAGAAAACAAAGGCTAACTGGCACAGGCAGTCTGTTATCCAACAAAATCCATCCTTCCCACCTTCCAGGAGAGAGGATTGGAGCTGGTCACCAGGCCACCCAGCTAGAGGCTGCATTATCCCGGGACCCCCATTCACCGCCCTCGCTGAAAGTTAGATGTGGCTGTTTTGAGACTGAGTAACCAGTGGAACAAGGGCAGATGTGATGAGTGTAATGAGCCACCACACCTGGAAACAGCTTGTCCCAACTTGGTCTCCTTTCCCACCACGTGGGTGTGCCACAACCTGGTTTCAAGCCTGAAAGCAAGGACAATGCCCAGGGACTGCCCCACGTACCTGGACAGCTCACTCCAGATCCTTCTATCCTTAATTCATGGTATTTTGAGAGTTTGTGACAGCGGCTTGGCTTTCATTGTCACTGGGGCACCAAGGCTGCTCCGCTTGTTAGTAGGGGAGCTGGGCAGTTGACTCCAGGCTGTAATATTTCACTCTGCGTGCCAGGCCCTGTTTCCAGGTGCCAGCGTTGAAGCAATGAGCCAAACTACATATAATGCCCACCTAAAGGGCGAATCTTTTTTAAATGGCTATCAAATCACCTCTTGCTCAAAACTCTCAGCCGAGAGTGGTGGCTCACGCCTGTAATCCCCACATTTTGGGAAGCCAAGGCAGATGGATCAGTAGAGCCCAGGAGTTCGAGAGCAGCCTGGACAACATGGTGAAAACCCCATCTCTACAAAAAATACAAAAAATTAGCAGGCATGGTGGTGGTGCACCTGTAGCCCCAGCTACCAGGGAGGCTGGGGCAGGAGGATCACCTGAGCCTGGGGAGGTCAAGGCCTCAGTGAGCCGTGATTGTACCACTGAACTCCAGCCTGGGCGACAGAGTGAGATCCTGTTTCAAATAAACAAACAAACATACAAAAAACTTTCTATTCTTGCCATGGCCCAGAATAAAGTCTCCTCTCCTCTCTGTGGCTTCCAAAATCCATACCTGTCCCTCCACTCACTACCCCTGAGCCACACCTGCCTTCGTTTGATCTTCAAACAGGGCACACTGTATGCTGCCTCAGGGCCACCGGCCAGGCTGTTCCCTCTCTCTGAAGAGCCCTTCCCTCTGTTCCTCACTTAGCCACATCGAGACCTAACATCCCCACTTGAGAGAAGCCTTCTCTGACTCCCATAGGAACCCTCATTCTCTCATCACTCCTTGTAGTTATCACAACGTATAGCACACATTGATCTGTGCCGTGTTTGTTAAATGTCCATCTCCCCAAACTCCCAGGACTGTAAGTCCCGTAAGGCCACGGCTCAGGTCGCAACCACAGTGACCATCACCTCTCACAGGGCTGGGCACTGAGTGGACTTCAGTGAACATTTGTTGGATAACTTGAATGAAGAGGGACTCCCTAAGTTAAATCCCCTTCTTCTATGTGTCCCACAGACCAAAAACATGTCTTTCTTACACTTAGAATAATAATAATTATATGCTGATAATAATTATGTATGCATATATAATTATATATATATTATATATACATGTTGTGGGGGAAAGGAAGAGAGATCAGACTGTTACTGTGTCTATGCAGAAAAAGGAAGACATAAGAAACTCCATTTTGATTTGTACTAAGAAAAATTCTTCTGCTTTGAGATGCTGTTAATTTATGAACTTAGCCCCAACCCTGTGCTCACAGAAACATGTGCTATATTGACTCATGGTTTAATGAATTTAGGGCTATGCAGGACGTGCTTTGTTAAAATGTGTTTGCAGGCAGTATGCTTGGTAAAAGTCATTGCCATTCTCCATTCTCGATTAGCCGGGGACACAATGCACTGTGGAAGGCCGCAGGGACCTCTGCCCAAGAAAGCCTGGGTATTGTCCAAGGTTTCCCTGCACTGAGACAGCCTAAGATATGGCCTCGTGGGAAGGGAAAGACCTTACTGTCCCCCAGCCCGACACCTGTAAAGGATCTGTGCTGAGGAGTATTGGTGAAAGAGGAAGGTCTCTTTGCAGTTGAGATTAGAGGAAGGCATCTGTCTCCTGCTCGTCCCTGGGAACGGAATGTCTCGGTGTAAAACCCGATCGTACATTCTGTTTACTGAGATAGAAAACCGCCTTATGGCTGGAGGTGAGACATGCTGGCGGCAATACTGCTCAGCTACTCTTTACTGCACTGAGATGTTTGTGTAAAGTTAAACATAAATCTGGCCTACGTGCACATCCAGGCACAGTACCTTTCCTTAAACTTATTTATGACACAGAGTCCTTTGCTCACATGTTTTCCTGCTGACCCTCTCCCCACCATTACCCTATAGTCCTGCCACATCCCCCTCGCTGAGATAGTACAGATAGTGATCAATAAATACTGAGAGAACTCAGGGACCAGTGCCGGCGCGGGTCCTCACTTGCTGAGTGCCAGTCCCCTGGGCCCACTTTTCTTCCTCTATACTTTGTCTGTGTGTCTTATTTCTTTTCTCAGTCTCTCTTCTCCACCTTGCGAGAAATACCCACAGGTGTGGAGGGGCAGGTCCCCTTCATATTGTTATAGATAATAATAATTATTGCTGTTGTTATTGTATTCATAGCATCTGTGGCCGGGTGTGGTGGCACATGCTTGTAATCCCAGCACTTTGGGAGGCTGAGGTAGGAAGATCACTTGAAGCCAGAAGTTCAAGACCAGCCTAGGCAACGTAGCATCTCCCAGACCCTATCTCTACAAAAAAGTTTTTTAAAAAAATTAGCCAGGCACAGTAACATATGCCTGTAGTCCCAGCTATTTGTCAGGCTTAGGCAGGAGGATCTCTTGAGCACAGGAGTTTGAGGCTGCAGTGAGCTATGATGGCGCCATTGCACTCCAGCCTGGGCAAGAGAATGAGACCCCAACTCTTAGAAAAGAAGAGCATCTGTGTAAAGACCCTTCAGGCTTAAACTCCTTCAGGAAGCCCTTCCTGTCCCCCCAGCTCTGTGTGGCCCTGGCCCTGACTCTGGGCTCCCTCAGCTCCCACAGCTTTCCCCATCCCTGCCCTGACCCCTCTGGCTGGGCCTCCCCATCCTGCCCAGATCGTCCTGGGCTGTCCTGTCTGGGCCTGCATTCCTCTGGACTTTGAACTCTTTGAGGGCGAGACCCAGGGCTGGCCTCATCATTCTGTGCTCTCTGCACTGCCCAGTATCCTAAAAGGCAACAAAATCTATTTATAGAAAAGGCGAGTCAATGTAAAGGAGGTGACATTGCACCTGCAGTTCTTAGCGCAATACTTGGCACTTAACGAAGAATTTTTAAATTGGTTGCTTTTATGTTAACAAGGGTGAACGTTTATAAGGACCTCCTGTCCCAGGCCCGGCGCCAAATGCCGAACACGTGAAGATGTATCATTGAATTCCCATGGCACTCCTATATCACTGTTTATTACCCCCACTTTACAGATGAGAAAACTGGGGCTCAGGAAGGCAGTGCTGCTTGCTCAGGGTCTTCCCACTCCGGGAAATGGCAGGGCAGGGAGTGAGACGAGCCTCTTGGCCCTGGCAGCCTTTCCCCCAGATCTCCCGCCTCCCACCCCATCGGGAAAGCCCCCCACCTATGGCTCTGCACTTGAAAGTCTTGGGGTCGAGGTGGTGGAGCTGCATGTGGCTCAGGGAGGCGGGGCCCGCACAGGCGCCGGTCCCCACGCTGGCATTCACGGTGGGCATCCACTGCAGGAGCCAGAGGACGCGGCAGTCACACTGGAACGGGTTCCCGCGGAGGTCCCTGGGGCAAGAGGCCAGGGAGGGGCTGCGACCCGGCTTCCACGCCCTGGGGGCCATGCTCCTGCCCCCACCTCAGGCAAGTGTCCCCAGAGATGGGGCCCCATAGTGGTAAGAAAAATACGTAAGAACCACTGCAGCCAAATGCATGCACGCCAACCAGAAGTGGGCACGGATGCCCCCCGCCGACACAAACATTCCCCAACCCCCCACATTCCCAGCCCCCATGAGCCTCACACATGAGTAAGGGTGTCCAGGCCTCGGAACAGGAATCTGGGGAGGGTCTCCAGATGGTTATTGGCCAGGCTTCTGGTGGAGGAAGAGAAGGCACCGTCAGCAGCCACAAGGATACCCTGTGTTCCCTGGGGGGTGGAGCATGGGTGCCTCTCATGGAGGGCTGGGGCGGTGGAGGCACGCACAGGTGTGTAAGCGAGCGAAGTCCTCTG
Source organism: Homo sapiens (assembly GCF_000001405.40). Taxonomy (NCBI): domain Eukaryota; kingdom Metazoa; phylum Chordata; class Mammalia; order Primates; family Hominidae; genus Homo; species Homo sapiens. Next base: position 35,131,998 of record NC_000019.10, read on the forward strand.
AGGGCATTCTTAGAGATGGAGCCAATCTCATTGTCCTCGATGAAGCTGTGGAGGGAAGCTGGGGTCAGGGGGAGGCCCGCTGAGCTTCAGGGAACGCACCCCATGAAAGACATAGGCCCACTGGAAGGTGCTGAATTCTCTTCCAATACCACGGACAATCCCAGGGAAAGCCTCTCAAAAACCTCTCCTCCCAAAGTCCCAGCCATCAATTCTAGGAGCCATGAAACTGGCCCCATAGTCATTGCCAGTTTCACTGTGAACATTGTCCTGCTGCCACCACCACAATCACCATCACCAGTGCTGACACCCAAATCACCAATACCTCCAGCATCATTGGTAATGACCAACACCAATGCCAGCATCCCCAACACCCATGTCTTTATCACTGTCATCAACCCCAGGACCAATAACTGCCATTATCCCCAACACCATACCCTGCCACCACCATCACCACCACCAGTGCTAGCACCCACACCACCACATTACCTCCAGCATCATCTGTAATGACCAACCCAATGCCAGCATCCCCAACACCCATGTCTGTTACCATCATCAACCCCAAGACCAATAACTGCTGTTATCCCCAACATTATACCTTGCCACTATCATCACCAACACTAGCATCATTGTCACCAATAACATCACCACCCACTCCCATCAACACCATCACCAATATCATCATTACCAAACTCCACACCAACAACACTAATAATCATCACCAACAACACAATCTTCATGATCAACACCAAAAAGATTGCCACCCGCATCTCCAATGCAGCACTATCACACACATCAGCATGAGCGCCACCAACACTGCCAACACTCACATCTCCATTATGCCCAAGATGCACATATTCACCCACCACCAGTACTACCACTGCCGGAGTTTCCATAAATACCAACACCTTCACCATCATCACCAACCCAGTACCAACAACATTGCCATTCATACCAACCCCAACATCCTACCCACAGCCATCACCAACATCAACACCAATACTGTAATGACCCACCCCCACAACATTGATAATTATCACAGACACGAGCCCCAAGAACTTCATCAGTGATTTCATCCATAGCATCATCACCACTGGGGCTACCATTTTTACCAACATCATCCCCACTCCATCATCATCAATAATGCCACCAATCCCATGTCAGCAGCAGCAACAGGGTCATCACCACTGCCATTATCATCAACGCCATGACCCACACCAATGCCAGCATTGTCATGCTGTGACTGCCACCGCTGCCACCATCACCACCACTACCCAATCGTCAGCACCACCCTCAACACCACCACAGTATCACCACCACTACCTAATTCAGAGTTGTTTCCTGGTCATTTGAAACGTTTCTTGTCTCTGACTTCTGTACACCCTTCCTGGGTTTCTATGAGTCAGGGAGAGCCAGAATCAGGCTCTGGTTATCCGGGCCCTTTGTAGATCTTGAAGCAGAGAAGTGAGGTGATAATCAACACTGATAAACATCATTGACACCAGCCCTGAGAACTTCATCAGTATCACCCAAAGCATCATCACCATTGGGTTCGCCATTTTTATCAACACCATCCCACCATGATGTCCAAACACCTGCTCCTCAGGGCCACAGCTCCCATCTCCCCCTACTCTGGGAGCCACAGAAGGGTCCCTCCTTGCCCAGACCCACCTGCCTCCATCCCCTGGCCTCACTCACAGGTACTGCAGGTGGGACAGGCCCGCAAATGCATCGTCCTCAATCACGGAGAAGGAGTTGGAGGTGAAGAGGCTGGCAAGGGGGCAAGAAAGAAATTTTTCCAGAATTGCAGCCCCCATCTGACATTTTAACCCTGGCCTCCACCCTCAGCCTAGGTGGGCATGGGCACGCAGGTGTGAGTATGTGCATGGACACAAATGCTTTTGTACAGACGTGTGCATACACCCCCACACACGTGCATCAATGCCCACCTGACATCTGTGTGAGCATACACTCCCACACATGTGCATAAACGCACACTCCCTTGAGCTGGTTGTCGGCCCAGCCAGGCCCCACTCACAGCAGGTGCAGAGACGGAATTCTCAGGAAGCTGCCGGCCTTCAGCTGGGTGACTCCCGTCCTGACGAGTGAGCTGGGGATGTGGGCAGTGGTAGGTGAGAGGGACACCACAGCAATACTCCAGTTGCAAACCAGAACCTTCTGCCATCCGGGAGACCCCAGCGTGCCACCCTGACCCTGGATGTGTCTCCCCTGCATGCCAGAGGAGGCAGGCATTTGCCCTCCTGGCTTGACAAGGACCCTGACAGCACTCAACCCTCCTCCTGGGCCCCAAATGCTGTCCCTGCCCTCTGGGGTTTCCTTCTGCTCCTTCCCAGATGCCAGCACCCCTCTTCAAGGCATCCCGACAGGCTTTGCTGCCCATCTCCTGAGATCCTGATGGGCCCCTGTTTCCCTGGAGACCCGGCACCACATCCCAACCTCTGGGGTCCCAGGACTTCCGTCCCCACCTTCGGGCATGCAGAAGGCTGGACACTCACAGTGACAGCAGGGTCGGAGAGAAGCTGACGGGCAGGTCCGGGGAGCCCTCACACAGGGCGCTGTCTTTAGAGCAGGAGCAGCGCAGGGGACACTTTCCCTTTGGGGGTCTCCAGGCCACCACCACCCCCGCCCCAGCCAGCAGCAGCAGCAGAATGCCTGCCCCTCCCATGCCCCCACCCCCACTCTGAGGCACCCGCTTCTCCCGGCCCACCCAGCTCAGCCCAGGCCACTACGTCTCCTCCTCCACCAGGCCGCCCTCCATCCGCCTGCTGGCACGCTCGGCCCTGGCTTCTCTCTCCTCTTCTCCGTCTTTCTTTCAGTCGGCCTTCCTCCCTGTTCGTATGTCTTTGGTGTCTAATTTTCTGTTTCTCTTTCTCCCTGTCTTTCTGTCTCTGTATTTTTGACTCTGTGTGTTAGTCTGTTTCTATTTCTGTCTTTGTCTCTCTTTCTGCCTGTTTCTTTTTTTCTGTGTTGCTGTCAGTCTTTCAGGCTTTAGGTAGCTGTCTATCTGTTGGTCTCTATGTGTGTGAGTGTATGTGAGTGTGTGTGTGTCCTGCTGCCTGGTGTCTTGATTTCTTGTCTCCTGCCCCCCCCACCCCCCCTTCCAGCTCCCTGCCTGTAGTTTCTTTGCCTCCTCCCACCTCCCTTCTCCCCGAAGGTTTGGGAAAGGGGTTCGCTGGACACCCGGCACACCCGGCAGAGTAGGATGGGAAGGAGGAGGGGGTCAGAGGCCATGAGAAGGTCGGCCTTGGGGGAAGGGACTGGACAGCCCCACAGGAGGGGGAGGGGCCACCAAGGGCTGGAGCCGCCCCACCACTCCCGCCAGCCCCCTCCCCAGATTCCCCACTCAACCCTATTGGGGGAGCAGGAGGACGATGTCACCAGGGTGGGGACCAGATGGCTCTGCATTCTGGAGCAGGGTGGGAGGAGAGGCCCTGGGGGGGCTGGGGACATCCCGTCCTGGCCACTCTCTGCCAGCCCCCTCCCCTGGCTACAGGAGGGTGTGTTGGGCGCTGTCAGTGGGGCCAGATCACGTCCAGCTGCTCCCTCTGGTGGTCATACTCGGCAGGACCTCTGCCCGGCCCCAAGCCCTTAGCCTCCCTCCCCTACCCTGAAATTAACCCTCTAGTGGCCAACACCCACTGGGGGACAGCACCAACCCGAGGACATGATGATGATGAAGATGATGATGATGGTGAAGATGATGATGATGATGCCACCCCTTCTTCAGCGTCTACTCTGAGCCTGGCCTTGTCCTAAAAGCTCATCTATTAACTCATTCTGATCTTGCCAAAGCCCTCTGAAGTTAGTGCTGTCATCATCACCACTTTACAGCTGGAGGAAGTGGAGACAGAGGTCAGGGAACCTGAACTCTAGGTTACCCAGCTGAGGGCACAGCCGGGATTCAAACCCAGGCATCCGGCTCCAGGTTATTTTGCATTCTTTCTTTGGAGATCAGAGTTCATGGATAGATGGATAATTGGTTGTTTTAATCTGGACTAAATTTTAGTCATTTGGATAGATTCTGTCCACTAAATAAGAAACATAAGTAAATGACACTTGTTAGCTAAGATGAAATAGTAGTAATGTTTATACTCACTCAGCCTTCACAGCCACCCTGTGAGATGGGCAGTACTGCTATCCCTGCTTTACAGATGGGGAAACTGAGGCACAGGGAAGTTATGTGATTAGTTTCCTGGCTCTAGTCAGCTCTAAACCTAACCCCTAGGCTGTACCACCTCATCGCCTGGGGACGAGACTCATCCTGTGATTGAGGAATGCATGCAGCCTCTCTTGACACTGACGCCCACGCCCAGAAGCCTCGTTGGAGGATAAGGGGGCTTAACAGCTTGGAGGTCATGCAGATCTGGGTTCCAGGCCCAGTCCTGTGTGGCCTCAGTTTTCCCATCTGTCAAACGGGGACAATCGTGGCACCCGCTTCCCAGTTGTGGAGAGGACTCAGGTGATGGAGGCAACTCATCCTTTTGGGGTTCAGCACAAGGTGGGCATCCCACAGTGGTCGGCAAGCTTGGGGGTGGGCTCCGGATCCAGCTCCTAGAGGAGCAGACCCCAGCAGCTTGTGGTTTGAGCCATGCCCGTCAGCTCTCAGTTTCCTTCACTGACTATTGGGTATGATAAACAGGGTCCCTGAAAGTGAAGTTGGAGAGCTGAGTGCCAGGGGCACAGAGGGATCTGAACCCACTCTCATAGGGTGCCCAGCCCAGCAGTCCAGTTCACAAGGAGGAGGATGACAAGGACAATAATAATAGGCCAGGCACGGTGGCTCATTTCTGTAATCCCACATTTTGGCAGGCTGAAGTGGGAGGATCGCTTGGGGCCAGGAGTTCAAGACAAGCCTGGGCAACATAGAGAAACCCCGACTGTACAAAAAATTAAAAAATTAGCCAGGCATGGTGTCGCACGCCCATAGTCCCAGCTACTCAGGAAGCTGAGGTGGGAGAATCACTTGAGCCCATGAGGTTGAGGCTACAGTGAGCTATGATTGTGCCATTGCACTTCAGCCTGGGTGACAGAGCAAGACCCGGTCTCAAACAAACAAACAAAAAATGAAGTTAATCATAAGACAATGTCAAGTTCAGAGACCTCTGAGCCCTGTCCAGGATTATACACGTGATCTTAGTGATTTTTCCATTTTGGAGCATGTGAAAATGAGGCACAGAGCTGCTCAAGTTCACACAACCAGGAGTGCAGTGCCTGGGCCATTCCAGGTTTCCCTGTCACCAGGACCTGTAAACCTGGCCTGCCCATGGGGACGCCAGGTGTGTTGTCCCCGACAAGAGCTCAGGGGAAGGAAAGTGTGGGGTTAAATACATATCTGTGGTTTTGGAATGTGTGAACATGCAAGTGTGTCAGCCTGCGCATCTGTCACCGTGGCCAACCATGTGCCTGTTTGCTCAAGCATAGGGTGTGAACCAGTGTGTGTGTTTCTGCTTTTGTGGGTATGTGTGAGAGCGGCGGGTTGTCCTTGATGGTGTTTCTGCTTGTGTATCTGTGCCCATGGAAATCTGTCTGTGTGTACACAAGCTTGTTGGCCTTCCTATCTTTGGGACCATGTAGGAGTGCTGGCTGCATGTCTGTACCTTTGGGGTTTTTTTGTTTTGTTTTTGTTTTTGAGACAGAGTCTCGCTCTGTTGCCCAGGCTAGAGTGCAGTGGCATGATCTCAGCTCACTGCAAGCTCTGCCTCCCGGGCTCAAGTGACTCTCCTGCCTCAGCCTCCGGAGTAGCCGTGATTACAGGCGCACGCCACCACACCCAGCTAATTTTTGTATATTTTTTTAGTAGAGACGAGCTCTCGTCGGGTTGGCCAGGCTGGTGTTGAACTCCTGGCCTCAAGTGATCCTCCCGCCTTGGCCTCCCAAAGTGCTGGGAGTACAGGTGTGAGCCACCGTACCTGGCCATGTTTGGCCATGCATCTTAGAATGCATTTATGTGCGGTGTGCACATACTTGTGTGTTTCTGTATGGCCATTTGTGGGTGGGTCTTCACATAAACATGCATTTTTGTGGCCAGTTTGTGAGTGTAGATGGTGATGTGGCTATGTCTTTGACTGTATCTCTGTGTGGCCATCCATCTACATGAGCGTGCGTGGGTCTGTGTAGACATAAATGTGCTTGTTCTGGTATTTTGTGACTGGCATAAAAGGTGTTGGCTGTGTGTCCGGGTCTTTGGGTTTCTCTATCAGTGTGTCATTCTGTGTGTGTCTGCTTCTATGGATGTACATACATACATGGTTTTGTCTGGTTTTGTACCTGTATATCTGGGTCTTTGGGATTGTGTGTGGGTGTGTGTGTGTGGTGCATTTCTGGGGATCTCACCACAGCAGATAGCGCACATGCGCGCGCACACACACACACACACACACACCTCCCTCCCGTCCTCTAAAACAGCCCTGTTAAGGACCTCACGGAGCACTGGGATCGGGGGTCAGTGGGCTCCTGGGCAGTCAGGCTGGGTGACCTTCGGCCCTGGCTGGACCCAGTTCCCAGGGGGCAGCCGCCTCAGCCCAAAAGCTCTTGGAGGCGTGTGTGTTTGTGTGTGTGTGTGTTCACAACCCTGTCCTCCACAATCCTCCTAGCCTCTCCAGCCTGCCTGCTGGCTGCCTGCTGCTGCTCTCTCTGAACTGAGAGAGTTAACCAAGCGGGCCAGGGCAGTCTGGGCTGGGGGCCGCCCCCTGGCCCCCCTCCAGCCCCAGCTCCAGTTTCAGCTGCTGGTTGGGGAGGGCATGGGTGGGGTGGGGCTGGGAGGGGAGGCTGCTGGGGGCGGCGCGTCCAGCTCTGGGCCAGGGGGTCCAAAGTGCTCAGCCCCCGGGGCACAGCAGGACGTTTGGGGGCCTTCTTTCAGCAGGGGACAGCCCGATTGGGGTGAGCGTCCCCCACTCCTTCCCTCCAGGCCTCACCCCTGGTCTGGCTGGGCCGCCTATTTTGGGAGCAGGAGTGGCCAGCCCGAGGCTTCCCAGGCAGGCCAACCCAAGAGGGAGGGAGTGTGGTTGAGGCAGTGGGTTCTGCAGGGTGGGATGTGGGTGACTCCTCCCTGCCCTGCTGGTGCGTGTGCACCCTGGCAGGGTGTGGAGTTGGGACACACACGTGTGTAGGGCTGGTTGCGTCACTGCGTGGGGGCACCGGAGGCCCAGAGGAGGAGTATTGGATGCCTGACGGTGTTTACACCCCACGTCCTGCTCCAACCAGCAGTTTGGGGAGAGGTTGTTGTTCATGTCCATTCCGGCCCCACTGTGTGTGTGTGTGTGTGTGTGTGTGTGTGTGTGTGTGTGTATCCCTGCCCCAGCATGTGTTTTCTATCTCTAAGGCCCACTGGGCTGGGCCTCATGTCACTTGCCTGACATCCGATTGTGAAAGATGTCACCCAGAGGCGGGCAGAGGGGCTGTCTTTTCCTTTTCTCGTTGCTGCCCAGGGAGGAGACGGGGTGACCTTTCCCACAGGGGCAGCCTGTGGCGATGTGGCAGCTGGGCCTCACCCCGGCAGGGCTGTGCGTGACCCCCTGAGTGGGGGAAGGCAGGCTGTTGCCATGGTGGCCTGAGCGAGCAGAATTCCTCCAGGGTGAAGTGGGAGATATTTATACCCGGGGTCAGGCCGCGAGCGGGCGGGCGGAGAGGGCAGGGAGCTGGGATTTCGCGGGGCACAGTGAGGCCGGGCATGTAGGCAGGTGGGACTTGGGCGTGCCCTGCTGTCTCCTGCTCTGTGTTTGTGTGAGGCAGCGCCTCCTCTGCCCTGCCAGGGTAGGTCTGGGAATCGGGGGCCTGCTGCGGGAGGTGGAGGCCCAAGGGAGGCCCCCCGGGGACTGTGTGTCTCACCCCCGTCCCTGCTACGTTGTGTTGTTGTGTGATCCCATCGTGGAGGTTGTTTTGGTGACACTGTGTCCCCACGAAGCTGGGGATACCCGTTTCTCTAGCTTGGAGCCACCAAGATAGAGGACAAACACTTCTGTGATTCAGTCCCCAGACTGTCTCTGACTTAATCCCTTGGGTTCAAGCCCTATGTGGGAGAGCAAGGGCACACACTGCCTAATCCGTGGTGTCCCCCCCAGGACAATGGCGTCTCTTGGCCACATCTTGGTTTTCTGTGTGGGTCTCCTCACCATGGCCAAGGCAGGTGAGTGCAGGGGAGGCTGCCCGCTACCCACCTCAGCCCCAGGGGTGGCGGTGGGGACCGAAGAACCAAGTTGGAGACCCCAACCTAGACTAAGTCGGCTGGGGTACCAAGAAGTTTGGGGGTCTCCACGTGGGGTCCAGTCACAGGCTGGTATTTGGGGGAGGGGAGAGGAAGCCCCAGATCAGGCAAAGATGGGGTGGGATGGGGCTGAATCCCCGATGGGATAACTGGGTCACAGACAGCCTGCCGTGAGTCAGGGAGCTGGGGCAGTTAGGTGCCACCTGCCCCATCTGGGACAGTGCAGAGGGGGCAGCTGGGACCCAGAGAGTGTGGGCAGCCTGCCCAGACACCCTCAGACTCTAAGCCCAGCAAGGCAGAGCCTCCAGTGGTCTCCTCATGCCCCTCCCTGCCAGGACCCCAGGAAGCATTCAACCCCTGATTTCTCTCTCTTTCCAGAAAGTCCAAAGGAACACGACCCGTTCACTTACGGTGAGCGGGGGGTCTAATTTTGAGTCCTGGGGGAGAGCCTGGCTTTGCTGGTCCTTTGATTCCCCCTCGCCCTCCCCCAGAGTCCCAGTATTGATATCTCTGTCATTCTCCTTCCCTCTATTTTGTCCTTCCTCTCTGATTCCACCTGTCTGCATCTTTTCCTGTCTGTGTCTATCTGTGTCACTGTCTATGTGATACCTCTCTGGTTCTCTTTCTCTTGCCTGCGTCTGTCTCAGCATCTCGTGGCCCATCCTCTGCTTCTTCCCGTCTTCTCTCCCCCCTGTCCTCCTCCTCCCTGTCCCCTCCCTCCCTTTCCTATACACCCCTTTCCTCTCCCTGGTACCCCACTTTCCTCCTCCCATATCTGCTCCCCCTTAATTATCTTACTTCCCCCCTTCTGCCTGCTGGTCCTTTCTCCCTGTTCCCTCCTTCCCAATTTACCCCTCTCCTATTCTCCCTCCTGTCTTCCCTGCCCTCACCTTCCCTGCTCTGCTGCTCACAGACTACCAGTCCCTGCAGATCGGAGGCCTCGTCATCGCCGGGATCCTCTTCATCCTGGGCATCCTCATCGTGCTGAGTGAGTGCCCCTAGCTCCCGCCCTCTACCCCGCCTCTCCCTGGCCCCACCTCTCTCTGGCCCCGCCTCTCCCTGGCCCCGCCTCTCCCTAGCCCCCCTCTCCCTGGCCCCGCTTCTCCCTGGTCCCGCCCCTCCCTGGCCCCGCCCCGCCCCAACCCCTCCCAGGCCTTGCCCCGCCTACCCTGCCTTGGTTCCCCGGCCCCCGGTCTCGCCTCTAGCCCCGCCCCGTCCCCCAAGCCCCGCCCCTCGCGAGGGCGAGCTGGAGCTACAGCGCCGCTTGGCGCCCGCCGGGAGGGAGCCTCAGCTTCTCCTACCTCTCCACGCCCACAGGCAGAAGATGCCGGTGCAAGTTCAACCAGCAGCAGAGGTAAGACGCCCCTCCCCGCCCTCCTTCGCCCGCTCCTGCTCTGGAGGGCGCCGCGGGTGAGGCGGGGAGTACCCCTGACCCGCAGCCCGATCCCCGTCAGCGACTATGTATTAAGCACCTACTATGTGCCATGGCCCAAGCCTGGCCCTGGGACCAAGCGAGGAAAAAACCTCCCGCCCTTCCTGGCCGAGCTCCCAGCCTAGTGGAGGCGGTGGCCGTGGGTTCCAACAGCCCCACAGATAGAAAAATCACAAAGCGTGATAACACAAAGTGCAGGAAAGAAGAAACGGCGGTGAAATGAGATCATCTCACACGCGGCCCAGTTTAGCTTAGAGTCTTGTTCCTAGCTCTTTGATTCCTCTTCGAATAAAATGTTAAAGCATGGACAATGTATGAATATGTTAGAACAATTATAGATATTATCATAAGTAGTAGCTAATATTTACTGGGTGTGTACCACGTGTTAGATACGGTTTCACTTCCTCTGGGAGGGAGGTGCTGTTATTAACCCCATTTGACAGATGAGGAAACTAAGGCACAGGGAGGTAAAGTCACTTTGTTCAAGATCACTCAAGTGGAAGATGGGGGGTTCTGGGTTTCCAACCCAGGCCATCTCATGGCAGTCTGCCAAGTCCCCATGACTATCCCTCCCCCACCAACTTCACATCCCTGCCCCCAAATCCGCGGAGGTACTCACTGTTAACCAGCTTAGAAGCCCCCTGCCAGCACATAAGCTGCTCCTGGGTGCTCCTCATTTCTGGCGGACCCCGAGCCTGCTCTTCGTCCATATCTGGGCCTAGTTACACCAATCTGGGAAAGGAGGCTTGTACTGGGGGGTTCCTAGAAGGGCAGCCTCTCCCCCTTTCCATCCCGAAATCCCTCTGCCTCTGTCTTCCCAGGACTGGGGAACCCGATGAAGAGGAGGGAACTTTCCGCAGCTCCATCCGCCGTGAGTCTGGGGAGACTGCGGGTATTCTGGGGAGAGGGCTGGTTCCAAGGACCGCTTTTCCCGGCCCTCCCTGGCTGCGTAGAGGGAAGGGCTGGATCTGAAAGCGGAGGGCGGGGAGTTGCCCCGCCGCGGGCCCCACCTGCCCAGGAGCTGGGGATGCCTCTCCAGAATGACCCCCGATCTCCGTGTTCCCCCCAGGTCTGTCCACCCGCAGGCGGTAGAAACACCTGGAGCGATGGAATCCGGCCAGGTGCTGCAGCTCTGACACGGCGGTGGGAGGGAAGGAGGGAGGAAGGAAAGGCGGGAGAGGGAGGGGGCCAAGTGCCAGAGTTGAAGGGCGGCGAGGGGTGGGGCTGGACGTCCCCCCTCGCCTCTCACCCTTTTCACCCTCACAGGACTCCCCTGGCACCTGACATCTCCCACGCTCCACCTGCGCGCCCACCGCCCCCTCCGCCGCCCCTTCCCCAGCCCTGCCCCCGCAGACTCCCCCTGCCGCCAAGACTTCCAATAAAACGTGCGTTCCTCTCGACAGCACTTTGTCGGTCTCGGTCCCTCAGCGCGAAACGCCAGCGCCACTGGGCCCCAGCAGGGGGCGCCCCACCCTAGAGGAAGGGGCGGGGACGACGGTGGTGGGCGGGGGCGGGGGCGGGGGTGGCCTGCACGGGGGCGGGCTCCCCGGGCCCCCATTGGCTGCAGGCCCCCCCACGCCAGGGCTCCCCCCAGCTCCCCCCCACATCGGTCCGTCCTGCTTCCAGCTGCTGCAGCGCGCCTTCGCCGCCAAAGCATCCAGCAGCCCCCTGCTCCGGCCCAGCATGGCGACCCCGACCCAGACCCCCACAAAGGGTGAGCGTCGTTTGGGGAGGGGGTTGCAGGGGGGCTCCGGGATCTGAGAGCCTAGGAGAGAGGGTGTCGGGAGATTCAAGCAATGGTAAGGCAAGGGAGTTGGGGGAGGGAGGTCCGCTCCTCCTGTGGGCGGAAGCCCCTGTAATGCGCCCCCCCGATCGCCCCTCCGGGTCTCTGGGACACCCCCTCCCCGGCAGGCGTCCTGTGCCAGACCTGCGGTTGGAGAGTGGCAGTCCCGGGAGAAGGGATGCTCGGACAGGTCGCTATGGCAACCGGGTGGCTGGTCCCGCACCGTGGTGGTAGCAGACGGGGAAGAGATGAGCTTGCAGGGTGGGAGCGGGTGGGTCTGCGACCAGAGACGTTCTGGAAGATTTCAGGGTCCCTGGGGTGGGCAAGGGAAGGGGAGGAGGTTCATGTCCCTCTTCTTTCCAGTGCTGTCTCCTAGGGTGTCTGTTTCCTGAAACCCTTGACAGCCAGGTTCAGAGGAAAGGAGTGAGAGCTGAAGGAAGAGACAGAGAGAAGGGATATAGCAAGAGACAGACAGGGAGAACCTGGAAGAGACAGAGACCAAGAGAGGCAGGAGATCCAGAGTCACAGATACAAAGACCCAGGAAGACAAATAGATGGACTCAGAGAGATTCCCAGTGGAGGGGAGAGGCTGAGAGCAGTAGACAGAGATGCAGAGAGAGAGAGAAAAAAAAATGAGAGCCTGGGAGATAGTGGGATTGAGACCGCTATGGAGAGAGAAGCAGAGAGACGGAGGGAGAGAGACGGACCCATGGGGAGAGAGGGGAGTAGAAAGAGAAGAAGGGAGCCATGTGGGGTGGGGCCCAAACCACTGCAGTGAGACCCTATGTGTGGGAATGGGGCGATGGGACCCTCCTTCCAGCCCACAGCAGGGGTGTTTTCCAATCCCAGAGGTGCTGTTGGGTATACACCTAGCTGCCCCTACTGCCCCCATCCAGCCACACACTGATTTCCATTCCACACCAATTAACCCAGTTATGCACCCACTTAAACACCCACTTCTACCGTCGCCCCCTAATAGCCCCCACTGCTAATCCTGCTTCTGCAGATGAGCAAGGCACAGACTGCTTCAAGAGGGAGCCAGTGCCCAGCAAGGGTCTCCAGCACTGAGGGCAGGGGACCAGGGGTGCTGAGAAGCCCCTGGCAGTGAAGGGAACCCGAATTCCACTTGGATGGCTCCCTCCCTTCCGCGCTTCCCAGCAGGCGGGGGCTGCTGCACTGAGCCATATCTGCAGAATCCGAAGCAGGGCGGGGGGTGGGGGGGGCTGCAGAGGCTGGAAGCTACCCTAGGGAGGGGGGCAGGGCTGAGGCAGCAGGCCTGGCGGGAGCCCAGGGCTTCTTTTTGCAGAGGTGGTGGTTAGCAGGATCGATGGCAGCAGACGGGCAGAGGTGGGAGGACAGACTCCTCAACCCAACCTCCTCTGCCTCCCCCTTTCCCAGTCACAGCATGACAGGGGACCGCAGGTCTCGGGAAACCCCGGGGGAGGAAAAGCATGTTGTGCATTGCAAGCTGCTTAAGGAAACTAATTAATGAATTGTTGGGGAGCGAGGGGGGAAGAGGGGAGAGTCTCCCTCCACCCTGCCAGAGAACAGGAGGGAGAGTTAGGAGTGAACAGAAGAGGGATGCATGAGCACAGCTGGGTCCGGGTCCCTATCCCTGAAATGGACCCTTAGCTTGGCCAGAAGCCAGTCCTGCAGGGGCAACGGCAGGAGGTGCAAAAGGAGGGGAGAGGGTCAAGATTGAAACCTGCATCTCACACAGGACCTCACAGGGGACCCCACCCAGCCTGGGGTGGCGGGACCTATCACCTCTCTTCACCTCCCAAGATGCCCCAGTTGCCATAGCAACCACCTCCTTCCTGATATCTCTTTGGCAGCTGGCCAGGAGTAGTGCACATTCCTTTGCCTGACTCCTGGCCCCACCCTTAGCCCAGCCACGCCTGAGGGCCCAGGTTGCCGGGGCAGCAGGGACCAGAGGAGGATCTTCCGCATGGAGGAGGATCTTCCACATGGAACACCAGATTCTGGGACAGGGGCTCACCCAGTGGGCTCCCGATAACTTTGGGGAAGGACGGGTGTGTGGAAAACAGACAAGTGAGACAATCCACCTTTTACAGCCTCCTGCAGCCTAGGACTGCCTCATAATCATTCCTTCATTCATTCATCCCAGAAAACTTGAAGAGCCTTTCATAAATGTCAGGATGAACAGCAGTGATGAGTCAAACAAATTTACTCTCTGGTGGGGAAACTTACACAGAGCACAAGGGACCCTGAAGCAGCGTCTCACCATCTTGGCGCTTTTGAGTACTACCGTCACAATTTTTGCTTTATTCAAATATTCCTCACACTGCTATTTATTTAATTTTTTTCCTTAAAAGGATTAGCTTTTTTATTTTTATTTTTTGAGACAAGGTCTCACTCTGTCGCCTAGGCTGGAGTGCAATGGCACGATCACAGCTCACTGCAGCCTCAACATCCTGGGCTCAATCTATCCTCCTGCCTCAGCCTCCCAAGTAGCTGGGACTACAAGGCACTTCTGCTACACCCAGCTAATTTTTGTATTTTTCATAGAGACTGCTTTTGCTATGTTTCCCAGCCTGGTCTCAAACTTCTGGGCTCAAGCAATTCACCCACTTTGGCTTCCCAAAGTGCTTAGGATGACAGGCGTGGGCCACCATGCCCAACCCAGGATTAGCTTTTGAAAACAACGAGCTTTATTTTATAGCACCATCACAACTGGAAAATTAATCTTCTTTTTTTTTTTGAGACAGAGTCTCGCTCTGTCATCCAGGCTGGAGTGCAGTGGCACGATCTTGGCTTACTGCAACCTCTGCCTCCCGGGTTCAAGCAATTCTTCTGCCTCAGCCTCCCAAGTAGCTGGGACTAGCAGCGGCACACCACCACACCCAGCTAATTTTTGTATTGTTAGTACAGATGGGGTTTCACCATATTGGCCAGGCTGGTCTCAAACTCCTGACCTCGTGATCCGCCCACCTTGTATTCCCAAAGTGCTGGGATTACAGGCATGAATCACTGTGCCCAGCTGGAAAATTCATCTTCTTTTTGCCTTAAGTTGAAGGCAGCATAAGAGCAATCTGAAGCAGGTGATTTCGCTTTTCTGGGTCTGGTGTCCCCCTTCCAGGAAATGGGGATGAAGATCGCACCCATATGAAAGAGTTGCTATGAAGATTAAGAGTAAATGCGCTGATATCTGTCAGATGCTTAGCAGGGAGGCTGGAATGGAGTCAGGGCTACCCACTGCTGGTTACATCAATAAATAAAGGAGAAAACCAAATAATGCCACAAAATTCTGCCTAGATTTTATTGCCTGCTGAAGACTTGGAGCCCAAGGCCTGTTTTCTCTTAGGTAAAGGGGGGAGATTAACAAGGGTTGGAAGGTGGTAAAGATACCTCAGCACCAACCTAAGCCATCCTCTTTGAAGACTAGACAGAGACCTGGGAAGGGTAAACTTACACATTGTGTGAACCGTGGTCTTGCTTTGGGGCCACCTCTATCAGTCAGTTTCGGCTACAGCATGCTGTGGTAACAAACAGGTGTTGCTTTGGGGCCACCTCTATCAATCAGTTTCAGCTAGAGTATGCTGTGGTAACAAATAGTACCAAAAGTCTCAGGGGCTTATGACAACCAGGTTCACGTATACGTCCATCACAGGTTGACCAGTCACCAAAGAAAACTAGAGCAGTCACCACTGTGAACATTCAGGCCACCAGGCTAGAAGTGAAACAGAGCTTTGGCCTGGAGGCCTGAATGTTCCTGAATGTTTAAATGCCCCAGCCTGGAAGTGACAATGCACTTCTACTCACCGTTCCTTGGCCAGAATTAGTCACATGGCCCTACCCAACCTCCAGGGAGCCATCCATCTGAGCCTGGAAGGGGGAAGGAGAACACCAACGACATCAGGCATCACCCTGGCACCCCTCACCCTCTCCCCATGTGGCAGACAGTCTGCTGCCAAATTCTGCTCTAGGGAAGGCCAAATATAATAAGAACTGTCAGAGGCATTCGAGAACCATCAGGATGAACTTGTTGAATGGGAAGGATGTTCTGAGCTCTCCTGCAGGGGAACATGATTAGGGTCCAGGAAGGTGGGAAGTGGAGAAAAGTGAATCCAGAGACACACACACATTTTATCCACATGTGAACATTTCTGAAATCATTATGTGTCTTCTAATGGATGGGGACATTTCACGTGGTAGAGTTCCAAACATATTTACACATACACACACACACAGGGAAAACTATTACAAACTCAATTTTGAATCTTAAACTTGATGGTGCCTTAGAAATAAGTAATAATGGGCCAGGCATGGTGGCTCACATCTGTAATCCCAGCACTATGGGAGGCTGAGGCGGGCAGATCATCGGAGGTCAGGAGTTTGAGACCAGCCCAGCCAACATGGTGAAATCCCGTCTGTACTAAAAATACAAAAATTAGCCAGCAGTGGTAGTGCACACCTATAGTCCCGGTCCTTGGGAGGCTGAGGCAGGAGAATTGCTTGAACCTGGGAGATGGAGGTTGTAGTGAGCTGAGATCGCGCCACTGCACTCCAGCCTGGGTGACAGGGCAAGGCCCTGTCTCAAAAAAAGAAAGAAGGAAAGAAAGAAGAAAGAAGGAAAGAAAGAAAGAAAGAAAGAAAGAAAGAAAGAAAGAAAGAAAGAAAGAAAGAAAGAAAGAAAGAAAGAGAGAGAGAAAGAAAGAGGGGAGGGAGGGAGGGAGGGAGGAAAGAAAAAGAAATAAGTAATGTGGGGTATGAATCAGCACAGCTTCCCTGTACTGGATGGAGTATCAGGAGTGAGTGGATGTCAGCAGTAGCAGCAGGTGCCTGTCGGAGCTCTCAGGTGACTGAGAAGTTTTAGGGAGTATTCAGGGGAAGCTGAGACATTCATTGGTTCACCAGTGGAAATGGGGTCTGTTTTAACCTCATGACATCATGTGCAAGTGGGAGTGTGTCTGTGTTTTTCAGGGAATGAGTCCATAGCTTGCATCAGACCTCCATAGGGGTCCAGAACCAGGACTGCCATGTAGTTTGAGAAGATTGTACACTGCATAGAGGATGGTGCTGACTGATGGAGTGAGTAGGGGCTGGAATCCAGCTTGAGCTATGCTCTTCCAGCCTTGCGGCCTGCCATGAGGCCACATCATCCAAACCAAGGGGTCTCTATCTGACTTCCACAAAGAAATGATTAGGCCAGTGGCTCCATCTGGATCCTAAAAAATATTAAGAAATACACTGTTAAGTTTTTTTTTTCTTTCTCTTTTTCTCTGCTTCTTTCCCTCAGCTCCTGAGGAACCTGACCCATTTTACTATGGTGAGTGTTGGATTTGGGGATAGGGCTGGACTGGGGAGTAGCTGCAGGTGCTCACAGATCACTCCGGACATGGCTTCAGCTGTGGCCACACGATACGTGCTGGGCCACTGGCCACGGGACCATATATGTGGGTGTGGTTCACATCAGCTGAGTTCATGGAGGGCAGAACCAGATGGGGGAGTGGGGATGCCTCACACTCTCTCTGAGCCCCCTTCAGGTCTCACCGGGATCTGGGCTGGTGCCTTGGTGTCGCCAGAGAAGCAGATGAAGGAAAACCTTAGAAGCAATGACTCTGAGCCCAGGCTGCCTGGATTTGAATCCTGCCTTATCCACTCACTAGCTGTATGGCCTTGGGCAAGCAACTTTGCCTCTCTGGGCCCTTCTGTAAACAAGGGATAGTAATAGTTCCCACCTATGAGGACTGTGGGAAAGATACCTGACTGGTGGCATTAAATCTCCTCCATGGCACTGAAGCTCAAATAAGCTACCCCAGGCCTGGTAGATCGGGCTCCAGTTTCCCCTCTGAACACCCTCCTCTTGCCCCCACCCCACCCCTTTGCTCATTCATACTTTTTCCCTAGGTGTCAATTTCTCTCCCATCTCAGGACCTTTGCGTGTGCTATGATTCTGCAGTAATGCTTCTCCTTTGTACACGACCGGCTAAGGCTCCCCCTTATTCAGGCCTCAGATCAAACATAGACTACTCTACTGGGATAGGCCCTCCTGACTCCCTGGCAAGGAAGAGCCACACCATACTCAGCTGGTGTCGCATGACTTGTTTTTGAGGGGGATTGTTTCTTTAATGTTTTATCACAATACGAAAGTCAACTCCTTGCTGGTAGAGGCCTGGACCACTACTGGTACAGAGTGAGTGCTCCATAAATTCATATCTCAACAAATACTTAGCGGGCACAGGCTCTATTTCTGGCAATGTTCCAAGCAGCTGGAGACACTGCAATGAACCACACAGACAAGAATTCAAGAATGCAAGAATTCCTGCCCTCCTCCTGGACCTTCCACTCAATGGGAAAGGGACAGATACTCAAGAAAACAAAATATGAAAATTATATATTAGACAAGAATATTATTGGCCAGGTATGGTGGCTCATAACTGTAATGCTAGTGCTTTGGGAGGCTGAGGCAGGAGGATCGCTCAAGTCCAGGAGTTTGAAGCTGCAATGAACTATGATCGTGATTTTTTTTTCTTTTTTTAGACAAAGTCTGACTCTGTGGCTCAGGCTGGAGTGCAGTAGCACAATCTCGGCTCACTGCAACTCCCGCCTCCCAGGTTCAAGTGCTTCTCCTGCCTCAGCCTCCCGAGTAGCTGGGACTACAGGCCCACACCACTGCACCTGGCTAATTTTCATATTTTTAGAAGAGACAGGATTTCACCATGTTGGCCAGGCTGGTCTTGGACTCCTGACCTCAAGTGATCTGCCTGCCTTGGCCTCCCAAAGTGCTGAGATTACAGGCTCATTACAGGCATGAGCCACTGTGCCCAGCTCTACATAAAAAATTTAAAAATTAGCTGGGCATGGTGGTGTGTGCCTGTAGTCTCAGCTACTTGGGAGGCTGAGCAGGGACAATCTCTTGGAGCCCAAGAGGTAGAGGCTGCAGTGAGCCATGATTGCACCACTGCACCCCAGCCTGGGTGACAGAGTGACACTACATCTCTTAAAAAAAAAGACAAGAATATTATGAGGCAAGAATATTAGGCAAGAATAATTCCTATGAAGTAAAATAAAGAAGGGAATGAGATTGGAAAGTGTGGAGGAGAGGATGGAAATTCTGAATAGGACAGCCAGAGGTTTTGCTCACAATCAAATAAAGCCCAGACACTGGTGAGGGAAGGAGCCACGTGGATATTTGGGGGAAGAGCTTTCAGGCTGCAGGAACAGCCAGTGCAAAGGCCTTGGGATAGGATCATGCTGGATATGCCCCAGGAACAGTGGGGAGGCCACTGTGGCTGGAGTAGGATTGATGGGGAGAGTGAGGTGGGGTGAGGTCCAAGAAGGAAAGGAACTGGATCATATGGGACTTTGAGGGCCCTAGTGAGGAATGTGGTTTCTACCTTGAGGGCAATGGGCGGGAGGAGGGCTCTGAGCAGAGGAGAAACCAGATCTGACTCAAATGTTGATGGGTCCTTGTGGCTATCAGAGGTGGGAGTGCAGGCAGGCCAGCAAGACCCTAGAGAAGGCTGCTGCAGAGGCCAGATGGGCGACAATGGTGGACAGAACCAGGGCCAGGGAGGAGGTGGTAGAGGGAGAGTATTATATATATATCCAGGGTGGAAAGCGCAGGGGGAGAGGGCAAGGGAGGAAAGTAGAGGGTACAGAGGGCAAGGGGAGCTAACGGTGCCCAAGCCCACACCCTACATCCTCACATCAACCCCCTGAAGGAGTGTCCAGCACAGTCCACAGCCTCCCTGGGCGATTCTGGGTTCCTGGCTGGGCCACCCAGAGCCAGGACTGGGCTCCAGGTGCAGCCAAGGTGCTGTCCCTGCCTCGATGTCCCCCATTATCTTCCCCAGACTACAACACGGTGCAGACTGTGGGCATGACTCTGGCAACCATCTTGTTCCTGCTGGGTATCCTCATCGTCATCAGTAAGTGCGACCCATTCCTGGGCTGCCTCAGCCTCCGCTTCCTCTGCTGGCTTTCATCCATATCCTACCCGCTATGTCCTGTCTTCTTGTTCTGTCTCTCTCTCCCAACAGGCAAGAAGGTGAAGTGCAGGAAGGCGGACTCCAGGTCTGAGAGGTCTGGCAGCAGTGGGCAAAGAGCGGGAGGGGGCCTCGGGGTGCCTCCCTAGCAGATGGGCAGGATCCACTGGGCCTGCCATGCGTTTTCCCCAAAGCCTATGGTTATTGAACCTCTTTCTACTTTTCTCTCTCATCTCTGCCTCCACAGCCCAACCTGCAAATCCTGTAAGTCTGAGCTTCCCTCTTCAGGTGAGGGTGAGAAACTGTGTGGTTCTGGGAGAGTTTTAGGTGGGGCAGGGAAGGGAACCCTCAGAAGGGAAGTCGCGGGGATGGACTGGACGCAGGGGGCGGAGGGGGGGTGGTGCCTGCAGATATCACAGGACAATTCCCTAGGAAGCTGAGGAAATTCCGCAGATGAAAGATGCTAAACCTGGCTGGGCGCGGTGGCTCATGCCTGTAATTCCAACACTTTGGGAGGCTGAGGCAGGCAGATCACCTGAGGTCAGGAGATCGAGATCAGCCCGGCCAACATGGTGAAACACCGTCTCTGCTAAAAATGCAAAAATTAGCCGGGCATGGTGGTGCGCACCTGTAATCCCAGCTACTCAGGAGGCTGAGGCAAGAGAATCACCTGAACCTGGGAGGTGGAGGTTGCAATGAGCTGAGGTTGTGCCACTCCACTCCAGCCTGGGTGATAGAGTGAGACTGTCAAAAAAAAAAAAAAAAAAAAAGAGGAAGGAAGAAATGAAGGAAGGAAGGGAGGGAGGGAGGGAAAAGAAAGATGATGCTAAACCGTGGGGAGGCTGTGGGATGTGACATGTCCCAGAGTCCACAGAGATTCCCAGAAACAAATGCTCAAGCCTATAAAAGCCAGGACAAGCTGATTTGCCAGGAGAGGAAGACACAGGCCTGTGAAGAGAAGGGCCCCATGTGGGAGGAGCTCTGTCAATCAGGAGGGAGAGAGAGGGAGCACTGAGGAAGACGGGGAGAGGCTTTCCAGACTTGATCGTTCAGCCAGGCAGATCCAGGATGAAATAGCCGAGGAAGCGGGACAGAGGGAGGGAGGGAAGGTTTCTGAATAGTTGCATCAAAATAACAAAAAGAGAGATGAATAGAATGCAGATTTTAGAATTCACATTGGAAAAGAACATATGGGATGCAGGGAATGTGAGGATGGAGAAGAAAGCTGGGAAGAACAGGAGGGGAGAGAGTGGAGAGGACGGAGGTGTTGGGGAGAATGTGGGAAGGAGGAGCCCAGGAAGGAAGGGGAGGAGGATGGGAGGAGGAGGGCGTGGAGGGTGGAGGAGGGAGAATGGGTGTAAGCATGGAAAGTGTAAAGGGAGAGCGAGAGGGATGCAGGGCAAGCATGTCAACGAAAGACTGATCTCTTTGAGGCTGTTAATTTTAATTATGTAAAAATAACTTGACCTGTTTTTAGTGGAAATGCAGCCTTTCT
This sequence comes from Homo sapiens, assembly GCF_000001405.40. Lineage (NCBI taxonomy): Eukaryota > Metazoa > Chordata > Mammalia > Primates > Hominidae > Homo > Homo sapiens. The sequence goes on from NC_000019.10 coordinate 35,152,881, forward strand.
GGAGACTTGTAAAAGAACAGAAATGGGAATTTCTGTGTCTCTTATAAAGTTCTTATAACTAAAAAAAAAAAAAAAAAAAAAAAAAATGCGGGAGGGGGACACGGGTTATTCAATGGTTGAGAAGTATTTGGTGTGGAATTTGTTTCACGTTCCTTTTTTTTTTTTTTTTTTTTTTTTTTTTTGAGACAGAGTCTTGCTGTGTCCTCTGTTGCCCAGGCTGGAGTGCAGTGGCACGATCTCAGCTTATTACAACACTGCAACCTCTGCGTCCTGGGTTCAAGCGATTCTCCTGCCTCAGCCTCCCAAATAGCTGGGACTACAGGCACACACCACCACACCCGGCTAATTTTTATATCTTTAGCAGAGATGGTGGTTCACCATTTTGGCCAGGCTGGTCTCAAACTCCTGACCTCAAACGATCCGCCATCCTCGGCCTCCCAAAGTGCTTGGATTACAGGCGTGAGCCACAGCGCTTGGCCTGTTTCATGTTTATTTAATGAGTTTTAAAACATGAACAAGGCACTTATGGATGCGTGGGGCAGCATGGGGGTTGGCCTTGTCACCTGGGGCACAGCTGAAGACTTTGCACAGGTTTCTGGTCTATCCTAGGTGAATGATGGTCTGCAGCGGGTGGGGAATGGGGGACTTCCCGTTGTATCCAAATGTTCAGGACAGGGAGTGTAGGAAAGGAGTGAGGGTGTAGGAGGAGATTGCAAATGGGAAGGGAGATGGGGACTCCCTTTCTGGCAGGCGGATAGCCCCAAAAGCCCAGGTTGGGTCTGGGGTCGCCAGCCCCGTAGCAGGTGTTTCTCTCCATGACAGCAGCCAGGAGGTGTCCCCAAGGGAACAAGACATTAGAGTGTGGGAGGCAAGACAGCTCCTCAGTGTTAGCTCTGGGGTGACAGTCCCTGGGGTCTGGCTTCCATGGTGCCGGGGAATGGAGAGCCAACGAGCTGTGGGGAGGGAGGCAGTTTCCACCTTTCTAGTGGCTCACGCACCCCCTCTCTCCCCAGCCCCTGGTGGCGGCGGCGTGTAACACCTTCCCGAGGAAACTCCGCTGCCGACCCTGCCTGAGCGCGGGAGCCTGAGGACCGGGTGGAGGCGGTGGGGACCCAGCCGCGCGCCGGGAGCGCTCCCCGGAATGAGCCGCCCCACCCACCCCAAGGCTGGAGCCGCTGCACCCTGCTGTCCCTCTCCAGGCCTTGGCAATGACGATCCCCCAAAGAGCCCGTCTGCACCCCAGACCCAGGGCCTCAGGCCTCCAGCTCCTGGGATCCGGGAGTCCATCCCGGCCCAGCACCCCCAGCATCCCCGTGTATGGCCCCCCTGCACCTCCTTGTCTCATCCCCGAAGATCCGTCCCCCTGGCCCCTCAGTGTCCATGTCTTGAGCTTAATAAATGTGCATTTGGTTTTTTCCTCTGTTCTGTCTGTGTGTTCTCATCTGTGGGGCACGGTGTGGGTAGGGGTGCAGAACTGAACCTGGGGTAGCTCTCCCCTGCGTGCCCGGAGTCGCCCCCTCTTCATTCTCCTCCCCCAGTGCCCCGAGATGCCCCCCTTCAATCCCTTCTCCTTCCTCAACACCTCCGGATTTGTCCTTTCCCTTCCTCCAGCGACCCCAGAATAGAGCCCTCCCGTTTCTCCCCCTGCTCTCTCAGAGGCGTCCACTCACCCTAGACCTGCCTGCCCCATCCCCGTTCCCACCCTCTCCCACCACTATGCCCTCACCCCTGCCCCCCGTCGCCCTCAGCGATTCCCCCTCCTGCTCCCACCCCGGGCTCTGAAGCCAGGAAACCCAAGAGGAAATGACTGAGCCCGTCTGGGTCCCCGCCCGCTCGCGCTCCCCTGGCCACACCCTCCGCCTGGACGCAGCAGCCACCGCCGCGTCCCTCTCTCCACGAGGCTGCCGGCTTAGGACCCCCAGCTCCGACGTAAGTCCCTCTCGTGCGCCACCTCCATCCGCTGCCCCTCTGCCCACGGGCCGGGCTCAGGTGGGTAGGGGTTTGACCCCTTCCGCTCCTCTCCGCCCCCCATCCACGCCCACATCTCTCTGCCTCCTCTCCTGGGCTACAGTGGGCCGCTCTGCCTCGCTCCCGCCCGCCTGCCTCAGTCTCCCCAGCTCTCTGCCACCCCCCTCGGACCAGTGCCTCTTAGGTCTCTCCAGCGCGCCATCCCTGCAAGGCGGCCCCTGACACCAACTCACTTTTTCCTCTGAGCGCGGGAGGCGTTACTCACTCTTCCTCCTTCCCCTCCTCGCCGACTCCCGGGCTCTGGGCCCCTGGGGGAGGGAAGAGGCCTCCTATCTACTCCTCTGCCCCAGTCCCCTCCTTGCGTCAGTCCCAGTGAGGGATAAGCGCCTGGCGGAAGGCGCAGGGAGGTGTTTCTCTGCTTCAGGAGTGCCCGCCGGCCCTTGCAGCTGCTGGAAGACCCATTTATCTCATGCTTCTTGTTTTCTTTGGGGACCTGCAGGGGAAGGAAGCAGGGTGACGGTTTGGTATCCCCACCTAAGACCCTCCCCTTTCCCCTGAGGCCAGCCGTCAGCCCCTGGCAGGGGGTCTTGGAAGCCAGAGGTTTTTGCTCAGGGCAGGGAAAGGGCTGCAGGATCCCCGGGGGCTGCCGGAGGTCGGTCTCACTGACATCATGGCTGACCCCAGCATCGCCTGGTCCCACAGATGTCGCCCTCTGGTCGCCTGTGTCTTCTCACCATCGTTGGCCTGATTCTCCCCACCAGAGGTAAGACCCATCTCTGGCCTCCACCCTGCCCCAGAGCCCCCAGCCAGGCCAGCCCCACGTGTGCTGCGGGGTGGGTGGTTGGCCCGTGTGAACGTTGTCCTGCCCTGTCACCCTCCCGCTGAGCCGGCACCAGGAAGTGGGGATCCCTATGGCGGGGCGACGTTACACCCTCTTTGGACACCTCAGACCCGGGTGGCTGCTTCCAGTGAGTCTGGCCAGGGCCTGTCCTGCTGAGCATCCTCCAATTTCACCTCCAAGAAGAACTCACTGAGTTTCATTTGGCGGGGAGATTGGTGTCGGTTTTCTACTCAGCAGCCAGGAAACCTAGGCTCCCAGAGTCCCCAGGCATTACACAGTTAGGCAAAGCTGTTGAGCTGGGGTTAGTCCAAAGAGTTGGCAACATCTCAGCCTTGCCTGGAAAGTGTCTCCTGAAAGATGGGAACCACAGGGGGGTATTGATCGTTCTTTCTGTGTGGCAGGTGTGGTGTGTGTTAGGTCAGTTAGGCTTTGCCTCTGACAGTCAGTCACACCTGTTGTCTTGCCCATTTTACTGATGAGGAAACTGAGGCTCAGCGAAGGGAAGTGCCCTGTGTCAGAGGAGAATGGGTGGAGGAGCTGAGAAAACAACTGTCCTGCCTGCCCCCAGAACCCAGGGTGCATGCCCCACTGAAGGCGCCCTCATTTCTCCTTCATAAAATGATTTTCATATACTCGTTCAGTCATTTGACAAATATTTATTGAGCACCTACTATGTGCTAGATATTCTGTGCACTGGGGAAACAGCACTGAATAAAACAAGAGGTCACACTCTAGTGGAGAGAGACAAGTTAGTAAATTATATCGTGTGCTAGGAGGTGATACGTGCTTGCAGAAAAGTAGAGGTAATGAGGATTGTTTAAACTGGGTGGTCAGGGAGGGCCTCACTGAGGAGGTGACATTTGGACCAACAAACACTTGGAGGAAATGAGGGAATGAGCTTTGCAGGTGTCTGGGGGCTGAGTGTTGTCTGGTGTGTTTTAAGAATAGCAGGCAGGTGGGGTGGCTGGGTTGGGATGAGAAGGGGCAGAGTGGGATGACGAGAGGACAGAGAAGTGATGGGACCAGATGGAGGAGGACTTACGGGCCACGTGAGGGCTTTGCTTTTATGTGGAGTGAAGTGCAGCCAGGGCAGGGCTCTGAACCAGGCGGGCCCCGACCTGACTCAGGTGGTCCCAGGCTCCCTCTGGCTGCAGGTTGGAACAGACTGTGGGGGCGGAGACAGGAGCAGGGAGCCCAAGAAGGAGGCTGCTGGGATGTCCAGGCTGGAGGGTACAGAGGCAGGACCAGGATGGGGGCAGTGGAGTTATCCAGCACTGACCACATGGTAAGCCGTGTGGGAGACCCTTTCCCTGCTCTGTGTCATTTCACCCTATCTACAGCCCTGTGAAGTAGATTCAGTTATTATCCCTGCTTTGCAGATGAAGCAACTGAGGCTCAGAGAAAGGACTTCACTTGTTCCAGGTCACACAGCAAGAAAGTTGTTGGGGGCAGGATTTGAAACCAGGGCCCAGGCTCACCCTAGCACCTGGGCTCACTAGACTAAACTGACTTTCCCATCCCACAGGGATGGGCGGGGAGGGGGACTAGAAGAAGGGTTCCCAGGCATTGGCATAGCTGAAAACACTTTCAGAATTATGGATTGATGCAGCCAAAGCTGAGTGATTCCACCAGCAGACAGGACCCCTAAGGTTTCACCAGGGAGGCGAGGGCGGGGGTGGTGAGAGGAGGGGGACCAGGCTCCCTCCTGACTTCTCATCCTTGATTCCCCAGGACAGACGTTGAAAGATACCACGTCCAGTTCTTCAGCAGACTCAACTATCATGGACATTCAGGTCCCGACACGAGCCCCAGGTGAGGAAAGGGACACATCTATCAAGATCCTGTCATTGCAAATAACAACAGCAACAAAAATCCCAAACTTGGACCAAACAAGGGAATTTATGGATTTATGTAACGAAAAAGTCCAGGTACAGACCTTCAGGCATGGCTTGATCTAGGTGCTCAAATGATGCTATCAGAACCTCTCTCCACCTCTTGGTTCTGTTTTCTCTGTGTTGGCTTCATTTTCAGGAAGAGTCTCCTCTCATGGGGCCAAGATGATCCCTTGAAGCCTGGGGCTGTCATCCTGTCTGCTAAGAATCCCAGCAAGAGAATTTCCTTTCCCCAGTCCAGCAAATGTCCCAGAACTGAGTTATCTTTGGCCAGGCTCAGGTCGTATCCCTGAGCTGGCCACTGTGGCCACAGGCATAGAAAGCTGATTGGCCAGGCCTGGGTTCCATGTCCAACCTCCACCAGGGCTGGTGTCAGCCCCGCTGAATAAAGTGGACCAAGAGTCAGGGAAGGATGGTCCCTAAAGGAAGTTCTGGGGGCTTTTATCAGAGCAGGTGCATTTGGGAAGCTGAGTTAAACATGTTTTTTTAGGCAGCACTTCTCAGAGTCTTGAGAAAGACAATTTGCAGCCAGCATCTCGAAGAAGGAGCTGTAGTGTGGCATCTGTGGGACGTAAGGTCCCAAAGAAGGGGACATATTGGTTACACATTTCGGCAGTTAGCAAATGGCTGGATTAATTAAGCCATTTCTATTACATTAAAGTTGAGTTGCTACGGGAATCTCTGGCATCTCCACCCATAGACCTTGCCCACTTCTTTTTCTCTCTCCTTTTCTCTCCGTGACTCCTTGTTTCTGGACTCCAGATGCAGTCTACACAGAACTCCAGCCCACCTCTCCAACCCCAACCTGGCCTGCTGATGGTGAGTAGTGCAGGGGCAGGCGGCGGGGACAGGACCAAGACAAACAAAGTTTCCCCTCTTCCTCTGACACTATAGGTCTTTGGTTGCCCATTTCAGTCCCTACTCCCAGCTCTGAATGCCCTGGTTTACTCTGGGTGGGGACAGCCAACTCCATTCAATTCTTTAGAAAAAGAAAACCAAAACGCTTTTGAAATTGTGAAATTAACATGCATATAGAAAAATACAAAACCCATAAATTTACAGTGTAATAACTTACTCTAAATTGAATCCCTATGTAACTACCAACCGGGTCAAGGAGCAGAACTTTGCAAACACCCCCAGAAAGTCTCTGTGTGCCAGTCCCATTTATTTCTTCCTTTCATCTCTTTTTTCTCTGATCCCTTTTTTGAATTTTTTGAACAATTTTTGGACGTTTTCTTGAAGTATAATTCAAAAAGTGCTCCCGGCCAGGCACAGTGGCTCATGCCTATAATCCCAGCACTTTGAGAGGCCAAGGTGGATGGATCACTTGAGCTCAGGAGTTCTAGACCAGCCTGGGCAACACAGTGAGACTCCATCTCTACAGAAAAATACAAAAATTAGCCGAGTGCGTTGGCGTGCTCCTGTAGTCCCAGCTACTCGAAAGGCTGAGGCAGGAGAATCACTTAAGCCCAGAGGCAGAGGTTGCAGTGAGCCAAGATCTTGCCACTGCACTCCAGCCTGGGCAACAGAGCGAAACCCTGTCTCAAAAAAAAAAAAAAGTGCTCCCTGATTTTTTCAATCGATGTTTAAAGACACAGTAGTACAAAAACACATTCTGCCTGGAAAGAATAAAATGATTGTAGGCAAAACTAAACCCCTTTGTCACCTCCCCTCCCCAATCCTCGTTCTCTCCCTCTGTCTCTGAGAGGTCCCCACTGTCAGCATTGGGGTAGGTCCCCAGTGATACCACATCCCATGTATATTACTTGGAGAAAATGCACTGACTGTGTGCTGTGTTTGTGTGAGCTTAAGGAGACCTTATGATTGTTCTGCAGCTTGCTTTGTTTCTTCGTGCAGTCGTATGTTTGGAAGTTCTTCTCACATCACTGCATAAAGACTTGTTTTGTTTTCTCTCCTGCCTGGTATTCCACAAGGCGCCTATATCACAGCTTATGGAGTCACACACTTCTTGATGAACATGTTGGCTGTTTCCAGCTTTTTCTGTCTACACACAGCACCACAATGAGCAACTTTGTCCCTTCCTCCTTGAGCAAACGCACTTGGAATATGTACTGACTATGTGCTGGTCATGGTTCTAAATATTTTGCGTATGTTAACTCATTCAACCTTCACGCAAACCCTAAGAGGCAGAAATTACCATTGTCCCCATTTTACAGACAAGGAAACAGAGGCTGTGAGTAACTGGTTCAAGGTCTCACAACAAGTCAGGGACGCAGCTGGAATCGAAGTCCAGGAATCTGGCACCAGAGCCTGTGCTTTTATCCAAGACAATACAGGGCAAAGGACATGCATGCTTAATGTTTTAAAATTTGCCCTCCTGCCGCCCAGGCACAGTGGCTCATGCCTGTCATCCCAGCACTTTTGGAGGCTGAGGCGGGTGGATCGCTTGAGCCCAGGAATTTGAGACCAGCCTGGACAACACAGCAAAACCTATTCTCTACAAAAAGTACAAAATGATTAGCTGGGCATGGTGGCATGTGCCTGTAGTCCCAGCTACCTGGGAGGCTAAGGCGGGAGAATCACTTGAGCCCAAGAGTTCAAGGCTACAGTGAGCTATGATTGCACCACTGCACTCCAGCTCAGGTGATAGAGTGAGACCCTGTCTCAAAAATAAATAAAAGTAAAAATAAAAGTTCCCCTCCCAAGTGACTGTACCCATTTCCTAACCCACCAGCAGTGTGCAGGAGTGTCCCCCTTCCCAACCCTACAGTGACACTTGGTATACTGACATTTTCAGGTTTTGCCAGCCTCTTAGGTTTTTTCTGAGATGGAGTTTTGCTCTTGTTGCCCAGGTCGCTGTGCAATGGTGCAATCTCGGCTCACCACAACCTCTGCCTCCCAGGTTCAAGCAATTCTCCCTCAGCCTCCCGAGTAGCTGAGATTAGAGGCATGAGCGACCACGCCCAGCTAATTTTGTATTTTTAGTAGAGACAGGGTTTCTCCATGTTGGTCAGGCTGGTCTCGAACTCCCGACCTAAGGTAATCTGCCCGCCTCGGCCTCCCAAAGTGCTGGGAATACAGACATAAGCCACCGCGCCCGGCCCCAATTCTCTTTCCCCAGTGACTCTTTCTTATCCTTCCCTCCTTGCTCTCCTGACCTGAATAGAAACACCACAACCCCAGACCCAGACCCAGCAACTGGAAGGAACGGATGGGCCTCTAGTGACAGATCCAGAGACACACAAGAGCACCAAAGCAGGTATAGCATGGGACTGAGAGCAGCAGCCTACGATTTTTGTTTAATTCTCTATCTAGGTCAACATTTCCCTCAGTACGTTTCTCAGTGCCCCTGTTTGGGGAATTGTTAATACATTTAAAAAAAATGTTTTTGGTTTGTGGTCAAAGTTATTTGGGGAACCCTGAGTTAAAGTTAACCATGTTTCTTTGTGGCAGGACTTCTGAGAGTCTTCATTAAGCTAATTTTCAGCAAAGGATCCCCAAGGGGCAGCGTGCAGTATGCAGTGTTTCCCTAACTGATAGACTTTGGAACTTTCTTTCTGTCAGTTCCCCTCGGAGGGCTGGGGCTATAGAATGTGCCTGTGGATATTTCTTTTTTGTACATCTCCTTAATGTTAGAGCAGGAGCTTTTCAGTTGCAAAATATAGAAAATTCACCTTAAACACACACACACACACACACACACACAAAAGAATGATTGGCTATATAAGTTCTGGAAAGTCCAGAAGTAGCCAACTTCAGGCATAGCTGGATCAAGGCGAGTAAGCACTGTCATGAGTGCTTTGTTCCCTCTCTTGGTTCTGTTGTCTTCATTCTCTACTAACTTCTCCCCTCTTGATGGCAGAGATGGTCCCATAGTTCTAACTTTAGGTCACATACGTGGTGGCTAGAGAACAAAATCTTTCCCATTATTTCTAGCCTGAGGCCTAGAATTGACTCTCATTGGTTCAGCTGGAGTCACATGCTCATGTCTGAACCAATGAGAGCCTGAGAAATGAGCTGCTCTCATTGGTCAGGCCTGAGTCTTGTGCCCCACCCTGGGGCTAGAGAAGAGGCTCAGCCAGCCATGCCTGAACCACATAGACCAAGAGTCAGGGAAGAGGGGATTTTCCTTTGGACAAGTGAGTTAGTATTACCAGAAGGTGTGGGAAAGGAGACTGAGCTGAGATAAGGCAACAGATCGCCTCTAATGCCTGCGTGATGATCCTTATTTGAGGGGCAGCCCCACACTGGAAAGTGTTGTAGAGTAGGCCACTCCCAGAGAGACATGTACAGTTGTGCAGACTGGGTACTGAACGAGAGCACCACCTCTCGGGCAATGCCATTCCCTTTGTCGGTCTTTATAATTGTTCCAGTTTTCTAGTGATAGCAGCAAAGCATCTCATTCTTACAGAATCTATCTATTAAAACAATCCTACAATGGATGGAAATAAAGTGCTTTACAGAAGGGAACTTTTCTAGTTTGTACAAAAGTGCACCTGTAGGGGTGGGGGATAGCAGCTGTGTCCACACTTATCAATGATAAAGCATTCTCACATCACTGCATTAATTTACTGAGTCTTTGCTGACCTGAGTTGCTCTATGTATTGGTCCATGTTCCTGGATATATGTGACAGAAATTCATCAAGGACAAATGGCTGTCACTGCTGAGCCTCTGGGTTGCCTAGAGGCTGGGCATGAAAGCCCCCAGGGCCTCTCTTCCTCCTCTATCTTTGCTTCTCTTCCACCTAGGAAGGAAATGGCTCATGTTATTTGAGCCTCCTAGCTCAAAACTTCCAGACTTCACCTAGGGTTTTAATCTGCTCAGGTTACGATAACAAAATACCACAGACTGGATGGCTTAAACAATAGGAATTCATTTCTCCCGGTTCTGGAGATGGGAAGTCCAAGATCAAGGTGCCAGAAGGGTTGGTGTCTGTCGAGGGCTCCCCTTGGGTCACAGACAGCCATTCTCTTGCTCTGTCTTCACCATGTCCTCTCCATGTGTGGGTGGGCTTGTGAGCTTGAAAGCAAGCTCTCTGGTGTCTTCTTATAAGGGCACTAATCCCATCATGAGGGCCCCACCCTCATGATCCTATCTAACCCTAATTACCTCCCAAAGGCCCTCGCTCCAAAATACCATCACATGGAATTTGGTGGGGTGGATAGAATTCAGTCTATAGTACCTAGCTGTCACTCAATATCCCTACTTGGGATTTCAAAGGTCTCAGGGAAGGACCAGACTGAGGTCACAAGCTTCCTTTTGTAGCCTGGGTTATAACTGGGGAAGGGAGGGCAATGTCTTCCCACAAAGAAAGGGAGAGCTGTTCCAGAAGGAGGAAGAGTGCTGAGCAGACAGTAATAGCAATGGCTGACTTTTGCTGAGAGCTTGTTCATGCTGGGCACTGTGCTAAGCTTCTGTGTATTCAGTCATTTGATGCTTGTGATCATCCTGTGTGGTGGGAACTGTCATTACTCCCATTTTACAGGAAAAGGAACTGAGGCCCAGAGAGGTTACTCAGCTTGCCCTAGGCAATACAGCCAAGAGTGGCAGAACCGGAATTTGAGTCCAGACTGTCTCACCCCAGGGTGCATGAGCACCACACACCAGTATGGCTGTCCTTCGCATTCCTGTGGTCTCTGCCGTGGATCTGGCTTATACCTTCCTCTGGGCAATGCATTCCCTGAATATCTTGTAATCCTTGGTTGCCAGTTCCTATTTAGGGTGTGGGGCACTGAGATAATTCCAGGGAACTTGGGTTTCACGAGGGAGCTTCTCTGTCTGCTGGCTTCTTGTTGAGGCCTCCGATGTGGTGTGGGGGCACTTCTCAGTGCTTGGGGGAGGCCTTTTCTTTGGAGGTACTGATTTTTTTTTTTTTTTCAAGAGAAGAATCCTTTGGTATTTTCGGTCTGGGGGCAGAGGTGATATTCAGAATAGTTTTGTTGTTGTTGTTGTTTTTGAGACAGAGTGTTGCTCTGTTGCCCAGACTGGAGTGCAGTGGCGAAATCTTGGCTCACTGCAATCTCCACCTCCCGAGTTCAGGCAATTCTCCTGCCTCAGCCTCCCAAGTATCTGGGATTACAGGTGTGTGCCACCAGGCCCAGTTAATTTTTGTATTTTTAGTAGAGGCGGGGTTTCACCATGTTGGCCAGACTGGTCTTGAGCTCTTGGCTTCAGGTGATCTGCCCGCCTCAGTCTCCCAAAGTGCTGGGGTTTACAGACATGAGCCACTGCACCCAGCCAATATTCAGAATGTTTTACAAGTTTCTCCAGACTATGTAGCTGGGTCAGAGTCCTTGGCAGGTGTTGCCCTTTCGTTCCTTTATCTCCTGGATTATAGTGTGGGCCAGAAGGTCCTAGGAGAGGGGTCTGGAGTCCCTCGGGGATTGAGGCAGATCAGATAGTCGCAACCGGGGCTATGTGCTTATTTCAGCATTTCAATGCCTGTCATTACTTATTGCCTCTAGGTGTGGAGTAGGGGGGATGCCTGACCCTGCACACCAGCTGTGTAGATGTGGGAGAGGGGTTTCTTCCAGATGCAGACTCTCAGTAATATCCCTTGTTTCTGCCTCCATGGCTCACTCCTGCCCTCCACTGATCTGGCCACTCTCTCAGCTCATCCCACTGATGACACCACGACGCTCTCTGAGAGACCATCCCCAAGCACAGACGTCCAGACAGACCCCCAGACCCTCAAGCCATCTGGTTAGTAACTGCCTCCCCAGACTGGAAACAGGCTATTTTCTGTTCACTGTGTATTTCCAGCACCTGGAGTACAGCCCAGCACAGAATAGTTCTCAGTAAAGACGTGATGGGAAAGTAAATGACTTCAAGCCAGGCAGAGGGTGGGCACATGATAAATGTCTGAATAGATAAGTGAATGCATAAATTATTGCTGCATACAAACCACCTAAAAACTCAGTGGCTTAAAAGGATAACCATTTATTTAGCTCTCATTTCTGCAATTTGGAAATCTAGGGTGTGCTCAGCTGGCTGGTTCTTCTGGTTTCAGCTGGACTTACTCATGCGTCTGAGGTCAGTTGTGGGTCAGCAAGGACCTCTGTTTCTAGGGGCAATTTGATTCTTTCCCTGGTGATCTTATCCACCACTTCCTGCCCAGTCAGCCCCCCAGTGAATGAATGGAAATGATACGCCCATGGGTCACATAGAGAGCCCATTCATCCATTCATTCAACAAATAGTCACTGAGTACTTGTGTGCTAGGCTAGTTCTAGGGGACAGAGATAGAGTGGTGAACAAGCCAGAAAAAATCTCTGCCCTCATGGAACTACTATTCTAGTGGTAAGAGAAACACAACAAGAAATAATCATAATTATGTATCAGTTGATTTCAACTTGCTATCAAGAAAAGTAAAGTAGGGTTAGAGAGTGACTGGGGAGTACAGGTTGAGTATTCCTTATCCAAAATGCTTTGGACCAGGAGACTTTCAGATTTCAGATTTTAGAATATTTGCATTATACTTACCAGTTCAACTTTCCTGACCCAAAAATCTGAAGTCCAAAATGTTCCAGTGGGCATTTCCTTTCGGTGTCATGTCAGACTGTTACTGGAAAGGGGTTCCGATCCAGACCCCAAGAAAGGGCTGTTGGATCTTGCACAAAAAAAGAATTCAGAGAGTCCATAGAGTTTATTTAGAAAGTAAAGGAATAAAGAATGGCTACTCTATAGGCAGAGCAGCCCCACAGGCTGCTGGTTGCCTGTTTTTATGGTTGTTTCTTCGTTATATGCTAAACAAGGGGTGGATTATTCATGAGTTTTCTGGGAAAGGGGTGGGCAATTCCCAGAACTGAGGATTCCTCCCCTTTTTATACTGTATAGGGTAACTTCCTGATGTTGCCATGGCATTTGAAACTGTCATGGTGCTGGTAGGAGTGCCTTTTAGCATGCTAATGTATTATAACTAATGTATAATGAGCTGTGAGGATGACCAGAGGTCACTGTCATTGCCATCTTGGTTTTGGTGGGTTTTAACTGGCTTCTTTACTGCAACCTGTTTTATCAGCAAGGCCTTTATGACCTGTATCTCGTGCCGACCTCCTATCTCATCCTGTGACTAACAATGTCTAACCTCTGGGGAATACAGCCCAGTAGGTCTCAGCCTTATTTTACCCTATTCGAGATGGAGTTGCTCTGGTTCAAACACCCCTGACATGACATCAAAAAGTGTCAGATTTGGGGACATTTTGGATTTTGGATTTGGGGATTAGGGATAGTCAACCTGTATTTCATATACAAAACCAGGGAGGGCCCCACTGGGAAGGGAGTGAAGGAGGGAGCCATGCGGATGTCTAGGGAAAGTGTGTTCCAGGCAGAGGAAACAGCCAGTGCAAAGGCCCTGAGGTGAGAAGGTGTCTGCATGTTCAACAGCAGGGAGGCCAGTAGGGCTGGAGTGCAGGGAGTGAGGGGGATAGGAAGGAAATGAGATTAGAGGAATAATGGGAGCCAGATTGTGTGCCATGGTGAAGATTTTGGGTTTTGTTCTAAGGGTACCCAGGTATCCCCCTTTCCTGACTTTGCCATTCACGTATTCACTTCACAAACCTTTGCTGAACCCTGACTTGCTCTTTGTCTGCCTCTCCAGGTTTTCATGAGGATGACCCCTTCTTCTATGGTAAGTTATCCACAGGAAGATGTGGGGGAAGGAAAGGTGAGGTCCGTCTGACTCTACCCCTTCATTTTTCTCTCTGCAGATGAACACACCCTCCGGAAACGGGGGCTGTTGGTCGCAGCTGTGCTGTTCATCACAGGCATCATCATCCTCACCAGTGAGAACTGGGGTTGGGTGGGAAGGACACCAAGACCAGGAGGGGGACTTATGACGGAGGGCTGGGTTCTCAAAGGTCCCTGGGCAATTTTGTTTTAAATGAGGTATCTATTAGCTGCATATACATACAAACCACCACAGAATTCAGTGGTTTAAAATAATGACCATTTATTGAGCTCTCAATACCACAGTTTGGAAACATAGGCTGGGCTCAGCTGGGTGATTCTTCTGGTCTCAACTGGATTTACTCTTGCATCTGAGTTCAGTTGTGGGTCAGCAGGAAACTTTGTTTCTGGGGTGCCTTGGCTCTTTGCCACATCATCTTATCCTTCACTAAGCTAGCCTGGGCTTGTTCGCATGGTGGTGGCAGGGATCTAAGATAGAGTGAATGCATGCAGGCTCAGAACTGGCCATTATCACTTCTGCCTCATTCCATAGGTCAAAGCAAGTCATGAGGCTGGGTTTCATTCAAGGAAATAGACTCCACCTCTTGATGGGAAGATAGGCAAAGTCACATGGCAAAGGACATGGATACTGACAGGGAGGGGTAGAGACTAAGGGCCATTTGGCGGTCAGCATACCACCCCAGCAGTCACAAGCCCACTGCACCCAGGCCTGGCAGGGAACAAGGGCTGAAAAAGGCTGTGTCAGGAGGAGATAACTGAGGATTAAATGCCTCATGGAACAACCCCACCCACTCAATCCAGCAAGAATAGAGGCTTGAAGCAGCCAGAGTAACTACTCTTTTAAGAGCTTAATGTTTCTGTAAAATCTTTTGGTACTCAAATGTTGACAGCTGTGTTGATCAGGGTCATGGCAGGTGGCAGAAGGACCTGCAAACGATTAACTGGAGAAAGTTTAATAGAGTGATATCTCTGGAGGTACAGGCAGGGCAATGAGATGGTGCAGTGCCCTAGGACTAGCAAGGATGGGGACCTGTTATCCCCCAGCCTGAGGGACAAGAGGAGGCACTGGCTTTGCAGGAGGCCTGGTGAGAGATGGAACTGGAGGTGGGGCTGCTGGCAGGAGCTGTGGCCTCAGAAAGAGGGTTCCAGCCACTGCCTCACTTGTGACCAAACCAGGAGGGAGCAGGGGTGGTGGGGATCAGATACCTAAACCTCCCTCTCCTCCCACCCCCCTGTCTCCTGCCAATGCTTAACCAGAGGGCAAGGGGCCCAGGGCCCCATGCAGGGAGAGGAAGTTGTGGGGAAAGGCAGAATAACAAGCAGAGAAACTAATTTTTTAAAAAGGTTTTTAAAATGTTGTGGGTGAAATAAAACACGAGCTATCAGTTAATCTGTATAACCAATGCCAAGTTTCATTACCTCTCTTGTCCAACTTCCTCATCAAGAAAATGAGCATAGCCACATCTTTTTTTGCCTTAAGGGGAGAGGCAGAATTCTAACAATCATAAGACATGATTCCTGATGTGTGCGTGATCCCCACTGAATCTGAGAGTCAAGCACTGTTGCCTCGGTCATACAACATGTATGTGTTGATCCTGACTTTGCACCAGGTCCTATTCTCACCCCAGTGGAGAAGTTAAGGCTCAGAGAGTTAAGGAGTTTGCCTAAGGTCACACAGCACAGAAGAGTCAGTAAATTCATTTGCTGGCGGGACACGGTGGCTCACTCCTGTAATCCCAGTACTTTGGGAGGCCAAGGTGGGAGGATGGCTTGAGCCCAGGGGTTCAAGACCAGCATGGGCAAAATAGCAAGACCCTATCTCTACACAAATAATTTTTTTTACTTAAAAAAAAAAAAGAATCAGTGAAGGATTGGACCCAGGTTTGTGTGAGAGCAGAGCCTGAACGTTAGCTCTGGGGCCATGTATTTTTCCAACAGCAAATATTTGTGGGCTCCTAGTCTGTGCCAAACCTGTGCTGGGTGATGCTGGGGGCATGGTGGTGACAAGCAGCCCTGGTCCCTGTCCTCAGGAGCTCACATCTGGTCGAAGATGATAAGCAAATAAATGCATGAATGAGTGGATACAGAGAAAGATATTTGCCAAATAAAGCAGAGTGACAGGGAAGAGAGGGGTGGGGAGAGAAGCCCTCCCTGGAGTGGTGAAATTGGAACTGATCCCTGATGATGAGATGAATCACCAGGTAGAGAGAGCAGCAAGTGCCAAGCCCTGGAGGCAGGAATGAGCTGCGCCCATTGCTATAGCAGCAGAGGAGGCAAAGTAGCCAGGACAGGGTAGGTTGGGGGAGAGGAGAAGACGAGGCCAGAGAGCTGAGGGGCTGGAGGAGGCAAGGGTGGCAGGTGTTTTCTAAAGTACCCTTGGCTTCTAAGTTCCCCCTCCCTCACTCTGGAGCAGCCACAGATGAGTCTCTGGAACCCATCTGTGTCCTCGTACCTCAAGGCCTTTGCGCTGCTGTTCCCTCTGCCTGTAACACCCTTCCTCCAGGTGTCTCCCTTACGTCCTTCAGACCTTTGTTCAAATGTCACCTCCTTGGCAGGCCACAGTGGTTCACGTATGTAATCCCAGGACTTTGGGAGGCTGAGGCAGGTGGATCCCTTGAGGCCAGGAGTTCAAGACCAGCTTGGCCAACATGGTGAAACCCTGTCTTTACTAAAAATACAAAAATTAGCTGGGCTTGGTGGCACATGCCTGTCATCCCAGCTACTCGGGAGGCTGAGGCGGGAGAATCGCTTGAATCCAGGAGGTGGGGGTTGCAGTGAGCTGAGATTGTGCCACTGCATTCCAGCCTGGGTGACACAGCAAGACTCTGTCTCAAAAAAAAAAAAAAAAAGTAACCTCCTCATTGAAGCCCCAGTAGCCATCCCTGTGAGGATGAGCCCAGCTCCTGGGCCTCCATGCCTCCTTCCTGGCCTTATTTCCCTTTGTAGGACTTAACACCCTCCCACTTAGCACCTTCATACATTTGATTTTGTAATTTTTCTCCTTGTTGGTCTTTCCCCATAGAAAGACAACTCTGCCAGGGCAGGGATTTTTTTCTTTGTCCTCAACTGTGTTCTTAGTGCCTGAATGAATGAATAAGTGAGATACAAAATAATGGGAGTTTCCAAACGGCTCATCTGTGAGCCTGTGTGGGAAGGGCCTCTCGCAGGGCCCCAGCACTGGCTGTTCTCGGTGTGTTTCTCCATCATTTGTTTATGGAGTTGCCTTTGAGTTTCCCGAGGGGCAGGGTTGATCAATCTGGTTCCCCAGCCCCACAACACACGATAAGAATCAATATCACTCTAGCTCGTGACTGAATCATTTCCTTCACCCACAGGTGGCAAGTGCAGGCAGCTGTCCCGGTTATGCCGGAATCGTTGCAGGTGAGTCCATCAGAAACAGGAGCTGACAACCTGCTGGGCACCCGAAGACCAAGCCCCCTGCCAGCTCACCGTGCCCAGCCTCCTGCATCCCCTCGAAGAGCCTGGCCAGAGAGGGAAGACACAGATGATGAAGCTGGAGCCAGGGCTGCCGGTCCGAGTCTCCTACCTCCCCCAACCCTGCCCGCCCCTGAAGGCTACCTGGCGCCTTGGGGGCTGTCCCTCAAGTTATCTCCTCTGCTAAGACAAAAAGTAAAGCACTGTGGTCTTTGCCCCAGGATCTCTGATCATTTGGGACAGGGGAGTGGAAAGAGGAGGCAGGGGCTGCCTCAGGGCCCTCAAGGAATAAAGCAAAGGCCGGACGTGGTGGCCCACACCTATAACCCCAGCACTTTGGGAGGCTAAGGCGGGAGGATCACTTGAGGCCAGTAGTTCAAGACTAGTCTGGGCAACATAGTGAGACCTTGACTCTACAAAAAATAAAAATATTAGCTGGGCATGGTGGTGCGTGCCTAGAGTCCCAGCTACTCAGGAGGCTGAGGCAGGAGAACTGCTTGAGCCCAGGAGGTCGAGACTGTAGTGAGCTGTGATTGCACCACTATATTCCTGCCTGGGTGACAGAGTGAGATCCTGTTTCTAAAAAAGAAAAATATAACAAGCCAAGGCAGGGAATAAAGTTAGGGAAGCCAGTCTAGTGTGTGGCAGACAGGATGGCGGTGGGCGGTTGCAGGTGAGTCTGTGTGCTGGGTGACTGGCCAGAGAGAGAGTCAGGGCTGGCTTCTGCCTGCAGTCAGTTTGAGAACACTGGCGTGGTCCCCATAAGGGAGCAGGTACCCAGTGTCAGCTCACCCCTAACATTTTTAAGGGTTTGGAGGTCCCAGATCACAGGGATCCCCTCTCCTTCCTACTTCTAGTCCCTTCCCACACCGGGAGGGGCCTTGCACACATGAGTGTGGATGCCACAGCCTGCACCTCCAAGCTCTATCCACAGCCCCCAATACACAAATGGCCACCCTCCAGGGCACTTCTTGGCTTAGGAATGTGTCCACCAAGAAGGCCCTGCAGGCCCCAGCATGGGCGCAGAGCAATTTGGGAGAGGAATTCAGGGGTCCTAGGGATCTAGAACATGGTCGAGAAGAGCATAGGTGCTGGTGGGCACTTCCTGAAGGCCCTTGGGCTCGACCAGATTAGGCCAGAGCAGGTCCCCTGAAGTGCAGGACTTAGACCAGAGCTCTACTCAGGCTTAAGGGTCGTGCCAAAATCAAGAGACAAGGTCCCGGTCACAGGGCTTACATAACAGTGTTTCACAACTTCAGGTCATAGCCCATTCATGGGTTACTAAATCAGTTTAGTGGGCTCTGAGTAGCATAAGAAAAAAGAGAGAAAGAAAGAATAATTTTTAAAAGACATTAGTATATCACTAATAAATGTAAGATTGTATATATATAATATACATAGCATGTCATATACATCATATGCAATATAATTATATATAATGTATAGAATATGACAATTATAACATATATAATTGTTATTAATGCATCACTATAAATGTTATTACTGCATCACTAATCTCAAATATAAGACTGTATATATAATATGTAGCATGTTATATACATTATATATGTATGCATATCTTCATTATAATATGTATATTATACACATACAGGGGGATACTAAAATTATTTCATTATTTGCACCTACCACATAAAGCAGAACAGATGTCTAACTGATCAGGAGGGGATGTCATCTAGATATGAGTATACATTTACATATACAATGGATTATGTCTTTTTTTTTCTCTTTTTTTTTTTTAGATGGACTCTTGCTCTGTCACCCAAGCTGGACTGCAGTGGAGTGATCTCAGCTCACTGCAACCTCTGCTTCCCAGGTTCAAGCGATTCTCCTGCCTCAGCCTCCCAAGCAGCTGAGATCACAGGCGCCCGCCACCACGCCTGGCTAATTTTTGTATTTTTAGTAGAGATGGGGTTTCGCCATGTCGGCCAGGCTTGTCTCGAACTCCTGACTTCAGGTGATCCGCCCGCCTCAGCCTCCCAAAGTGCTGGGATTACAGGTGTGAGCCACCATGCCCAGCCTGATTATATATATTAAGTTGAATAATTTGAAAATGTCAATATTCAAATGTGTTTGACCTATAAAACTAGCAATGTCATATGGCTCAACCTAACAGTATACATGATAGTGTGATATGAAATGCATTTCATACTGCAGGTTGCTTTTTGAAAACGTTGAGAAGCACTGGGCAGTGGGGGACATAGGTTGTGGCAGGGAAGATAAATTTCCGGTTAGAACAGGAAATGCTGGCAGCTATTTTTGCCTGCTGGCTGGGTGGTGGCCACACCAGTGTGTGCAAGATGTTTCTAGTACGATAGTTCTCAAACTTCAATCATCACATATTCCCAACTTATGACATATTTTCACCCCATCTGTACTATTATTCTCTCTTTTAAAAGATCAACTCCCTTTTTAGTTTAAACATATTTATTTTAAAAGCCACAATCATGTATGGAAAATCAGTACTGCTTGATATAGATAGAAGATAGCTATAAAGATAAATCCAAGGCCAGGCGCAGTGGCTCACGCCTGTAATCTCAGCACTTTGGGAGGGAGACCGAGGTGGGTAGATTATTTGGGGTCAGGAGTAAGAGACCAGCCTGGCCAAGATGGTGAAACCCTGTCTCTACTATATAAAAATACAAAAATTAGCTGGGCGTGGTATCGCACGCCTGTAGTCCCAGCTACCCAGGAAGCTGAAGCACAAAAATTGCTCGAACTCAGGAGGCAGAGGCTGCCGTTAGCTGAGATCGTGTCACTGCACTCCAGCCTGGGTGACAGAGTGAGACTCTGTCAAATAAATAAATAAATCCAGTGAAAAGAAATGAAGATGTTATGTTGCATTCTAGCTGGGTCTGGAGTTTCTTGCAGAGGGCTGTGAACCAGAGGCCTGGGTCTGTGGTGTTGGAGGGAGACCCTCAAATATCAGGGAGGTGATCTTCACGCTGCTGCCCAAAGAAACTGCAGGGTTTGGGAGTTTCTTTGGAACTCTCAGCTCTGACTGTGAGTCTCACTTCTGACACCAGCTGCGGGTTTGAGGGTTCCCGAGGGTTTGACAATTCACTACAAGGACTCACGGAACTCACCGAATGCTCTCAGACTCACAGTTAGGGTTTATTATAGTGAAAGGAAACAGATGAAAGCCAGCCGAGGACAGAGACACATGCGGAAGCATCCAGGAATGTCCCAAGTGCAAAGCTTCCAGCTGTCTCCTCCCAGCGCTGTCTTCTGCGGGCACCCATGTGGGACAGTACACGCAGAGTGTTGCCAATCAGGGAAACCCACTCGAGCCTTGGCGTCCAGAGTTTTTACTGGGGCTCAGTCACATAGACGTAATTGACCACACGTGTGGCCGACATTAGTTTCCAGCCCCTCCAGGGGTGGAGCTGATACTGTGTGGCCCACATTCCTCAATGGAAATCACACTGTTAGAAATGATCTGGTGTGGCCCTAGGTCCCTATGTAAATAGAGACACTCTTATCAGGCAGAACATTCCAAGGGCTTAGAGATTACCTTCCAACAGCAAGGCCAGAAGTCAGCCCTTTGGGGTAAAATTAATTCCTTACTATAGAGACTTTCTCCCTCATCTCATTTGATGGATTAAGAGATATTCAAGGCCGGGCGCTGTGGCTCATGCCTGTAATCCCAGCACTTTGGGAGGCCGAGGCAGGTGGATGACCTGAGGTCAGAAGTTCGAGACCAGCATGGCCAACATGGTGAAACCCCATCTCTACTAAAAATACAAAAAATAGCCAAGCATGGTGGTGCATGCTGTAGTCCAGCTACTCAGGAGGCTGAGGCAGGATAATCGCTTGAACCCAAGAGGTGGAGCTTTCAGTGAGCCGAGATCACACCACTGCACTCCAGCCTGGGTGACAGAGTGAGACTCCATCTCAAAAACAAACAAACAAAACATAAGAGATATTCAAAGGTGATTTACTTTCTGACCATGTGACTCAACATGATTTTACCTTGTTTGGGGCCTAAAGCCATGTTGTGTGCTACCACGTCAGTTCAGGAGAATACCTGACAGCTTCCTTGCGCAGAATAGAGGCGGTACTAACTCAAGGGGGGATGAGTGGGGTTGGCCCTCGGTGTTCTCTCGCCACTCATTCTATCTTCCATGGGGTCGGGATGAAAACGCCAATACTATGTTTCCCAGATGCGCTCAAAGATGTGGTTTTGGGTGTGGATTCAGCTCTGCGAATTAGAGGCCCTCGCAGAAGACTTGGAAGACCAAAAGAGACCATCTTTCTGTGCCATTTGCTGTTTGCTGTGAGCTCATAGGATGGTGAAAGTGTTGAGTTTTTTTGGCTGTACCATTCCAGTGTCCAGTCACTAGCCTCGTAGGTACTAAAAGGCAGTTATGCTCATAAAAGAATATCTAAATTGGCCAGGCGTGGTGGCTTATGCTTGTATTCTCAGTACTTTGGCAGGCCAAGGCAGGCGGATCACCTGAGGTCAGGAGTTTGAGACCAGCCAGGCCAACATGGCAAAACTCTATCTCTGCTAAAATACAAAAATTAGCCAGGCGTGGTGTAGTCCCAGCTGCTCAGGAGGCTGAGGCAGGAGAATCGCTTGAGCCTGGGAGGCGGAGGTTTCAGTGAGCAGAGATTGCGCCATTGTACTCCAGCCTGGGCAACAGAGAGAGACTCCATTTTGAAAGAAAGAAAGAGAGAGAGAGAAAGAGAGAAAGAAGAAAGGAAGGAAGGAAGGAAGGAACGAAGGAAGGAACGAAGGAAGGAAGGAAGGGAAAGGGAAATCTAAATGGCCAATAAGCACATGAAAAGATGTTCAATATCAACAGTCATCAGTAAAAATAAATGAAAATCACAATGAGATACCACCACACACCCACTAGGATGGCTAAAATTAAAAAGACAGACACTTCCAAGTGGGAAGAGGATGTGGAACAAGTGGAATTTCCATTCGTAGCTGGACCAGAAAGGGATACAATCACTTTAGAAAACTGGCAGTTTCTAGGCTGGCCACGGTGGCTCACACCTGTAATCCCAGCACTTTGGGAGGCTGAAGACCATCTGAGGTCAGGAGTTCGAGACCAGCCTGGCCAACATGGTGAAGCCCCGTCTCTACTAAAAATACAAAAATTAGCTGGATGTGGTGGTGGGTGCTTGTAATCCCAGCTACCCGGGGGGCTGAGGCAGGAAAATCACTTGAACCCAGGAGACAGAGGTTGCAGTGAGCCGAGATCAGACCACTGTACTCCAGCCTAGGCAACAGAACGAGACTCGGTCTCAAAAAAAAAAAAAAGAAAAGAAAAGAAAATTGGCAGTTTCTTAAAAAGGTAAATGTGCACTTAACCTATGACCCAGCTATTCAACTCTTAAGTATTTATCCAAGAGAAGTCAAACCACATGTCCACACAAAGACCCACACACAAATGTTTACAGCAATATCTGTAATAGTAAAAAGACTAGAAACAACCCCAATGTCCATCAGCACAAGTGAGTGGACTACAAACTGTGGAAGGAAGAAAGACTGAGCTACACAACACATGAATGAATCTCAAAAGCATTGTCTTGAGTGAAAGAAACCACACACGAAAGAGCACAGACTGTGTAATTCCATTTATATGAAGTTCTGAAATATGCAAAACTGATTAACAGTGATAAAAATCAGAAGAGTAGTGGCCTCTACTATGTCAGCAGGAGGTGGGGAGAGACTGCAAAGGGGCATGAAAGAACTTTCTGGAAGGATTGAAATGTTCTGTGCCCTGATGACAGTGGTGCAGATTACATGTCCATATATTGATCAGAATGATCAAATTGTACGTTTAAGTTTTGAGGGCTCGGTGCCGTGGCTCATGCCTGTAATCACAACACTTTGAGAGGCCAAGGCAGGTGGATCACTTGAGGTTGGAGTTCGAGACCAGCCTGGCCAACATGGTGAAACCCCGTCTCTACTAAAAATACAAAAATTAGCCAGGCATGGTGGTGCATGCCTGTAATCCCAGCTCCTCAGAAGGCTGAAGCAGGAGAGTCGCCTGAACGTGGGAGGCGGAGGTTGCAGTGAGCCGAGATCGCGCCACTGGACTCCAGCCTGGGTGATGGAGCAAGACCCTGTCTCAAAGGAAAAAAAAAAAAAAGATTTGTACACTTTACTATGTGTAAGTGATATTTGGATGTGTGACCCCTCCAAATCTCATGTTGAAATGTGATCCCCGATGATGGAGGGGGGCCTGGTGGGAGGTGATTGGGTCATGGGGGTTGATCCCTCATGAATGGCTTGGTGTCCTCCCCATGGTCATGCGTGAGTTCTTGCCCTCTTAGCTCACGTGACAGCTGGTTGCTTAAAGAGCCTGGCACCTCCCCCTCTCTCTGTCTTACTCCTGCTCTTGCCATGGGACACGCCTGCTATCCCTTCACTTCCTGCTATGAGTAAAAGATTCCTGAGGTCTCTTCACCAAAAGCCAAGCAGATGCTGGTGCTGTGCTTGTACAGCCTGAAGAACCATGAGCCAAAGAATTCTCTTTTCCTTATAAATTACTGTCTCAAGTATTCTTTTATGGCAATGCAAAATGAACTAACACAGTAAATTATAACTCAATACAAAACAAGAACATTGAAAACAAATAGGCAGTTCTGTCCTGGGTGGTGATGATTTTCTGATCCCTGGATCTCAGACAGAGCAGCCAGATGCTGAAGCTGACGTGTACAATGGGGGCTCCTGATTAGGGTGGAGGGAGAAGCTCCTTGGGCAAGTCAGTCTGCTCATGTTGTGGAATCATTTGCAGTCTTCACTTAGAGCGCACTCCACCAGCCTTTCCAAAGAGCTTGTCAACCTCTAATTCCTTATGCCAAGCCAGACCAATTTTGCTTAAAATTGACAGTCACAAATAATCTCAAAATCTCGTGGCTTACAACAAAGGTTTGTTTCTCGCTCTCACTACATGTCCCTCACGGTTCAGCTAGGAGCTAGGATGGGACCCAAGATGATGGGGAAGCCTGGGCTGGGCGCAGTGGCTCACACCTGTAATCCCAGCACTTTGGGAGGCCGAGGCAGGCAGATCGCTTGATCTCAGGAGTTTGAGACCAACCTGGCCAATATGGTGAAACCTTGTCTCTACAAAAAATACAAAAATTAGGCCAAGTGCAGTGGCTTACACCTGTAATCCCAGCACTTTGGGAGGCCGAGGCAGGCGGATTACCTGAGGTCAGGAGTTTGAGACCAGCCTGGCCAACATGTCAAAACCCCATCTCTACTAAAAATAGAAAGATTAGCCAGGCATGGCGGTGCATGCCTGTAATCCCAGCTACTCAGGAGGCTGAGGCAGGAGAATCACTTGAACCTGAGAGGCGGAGGTTGCAGTGAGCCGAGATCAAGCCACTGCACTCCAGCCTGGGTGACAGAGTGACAGAGTGACACTCCGTCTCAAAAACTAAATAAAAATAAGCTGGGCATGGTGGCTTGCGCCTGTGGTCCCAGCTATTTGAGGGGTGAGGTGGGGGGATCGCTTGAGCCCAAGAGATGGAGGTTGCAGTGAGCTGAGATCACGCCACTGCACTCCAGAGTGAGACCCTGTCTAAAAGAAAAGAAAATAAAAGAAAAGAAATGTTTCTGGTTATCATAGCAGGCAGAAGGCAGAACAAGGAACAAGGTGAGACACACACTGGCTCTTATAGCCTCTGTCAGGAAGGGACACACCTCATTTCTGCTCACATTGTCATTATCGAAAGCAAATCACACGGGCACATTTGAGTTCAACAGCACAGAACATTACAATCTTCTTATAGGAAGGTATATTAATCCGTTTTCATGCTGCTGATAAAGACATATCTGAGATTGGGAAACTTACAAAAGAAAGAACTTTATTGGATTTACAGTTCCACGTGGCTGGGGAGGCCTCAATCATGGCAGAAGGTGAAAGGCACGTCTCACATGGTGGCAGACAAGAGAAGAGAGCTTGTGCAGGGAAACTCCCCTTTTTAAAACCCTCAGACCTCATGAGACTCATTCACCATCACAAGACCAGCAAGAGAAAGACCTGCCCTTATGATTCAACCACCTTCCACTGGGCCCCTCCCACAATATGTGAAAATTCAAGATAAGATTTGGGTGGGGGCACAGCCAAACCACATCAGAAGGGAACTGGGTATTGATGGGCAGTAATATTGTTTACTGCAAAGGACATTTATTATCTCACATAGCAAGAGTTCTAGAGGCAGAAACTGTATTCAGCTTCAGGAGACAGCCAGAAACAACGACTTAAACAGGTTATTTATTCCTCTCTCACATAGCAGAACTCTGAAGTACATAGTGCAAGGCTGGGAAAGAGGATCCCTAATATCATAAGGGACCAGACTTGCTGCTCTGCCACCCTAAGCATGTGGCCTGAAGCCTCAAGATCACAAAATAGCTGCAGAAGCCTCAGCCATCATGCCACATTCCAGGAAAAAAATCAAGAAGGGGAAAAAAAAGTGAGAAAGGAAAGGCACCACTAGGTGATTCAGCTCCTTTTAAAGGGACTTCCCAAGACTCCCTCCCAAAGATTTCTACTTCCTTCGGATTGCTACCTCTAATTGCAAAGGACACAGAAATGTGGTCTTTTAGCTGAGTCCGTGACACCCCAAATACCATCAAGGAAAATAATTGCCCTCAGGAATTTGTTGATTAGGATGCTGAGAAGGATGGGGAGCTGCCACCAAGTCAGGAGATGGAGCCTCAAGTCATTTTTACTCCAATGTAAAAGGAAAAGATAACTGTTAAGACTGGGGGTTGGCCAGGCACAGTGGCTCACACCTGTAATCTCAACACTTTGGGAGGCCAAGGCAGGTGGATCACCTGAGGTCAGGAGTTCGAAACCAGCCTGGCCAACAGGGTGAAATCCCATCTCTACTAAAAATACAAAAATTAGCCAGGCATGTGACACATGCCTGTAATCCCAGCTACTCGGGAGGCTGAGGCAAGAGAATCACTTGAACCTAGGAGGCGGAGGTTGCAGTGAGCCAAGATTGCACCATTGCACTCCAGCCTGGGTGACAAGAGTGAGACGTCATCTCAAAAAAAAAAAAAAAACTGGTCGTTTTTGAAACTTCCAGAGGACAGCAGCACTGATTCTCAGACTTGATAGAGACTTCCAGACATCACTTCAACAGCGCCTCCAATGCTCTCCAATGCTACCCAATCCCTTTCTGGCAAAAGACATCTTTTTCTGTGGCATCATGGTCTGAAGTGAAGCCTCCTCCTCCTCCACCCTTACATCAGGGGAGATATCTTGCCAGGAGCTAATGGAGTGGATGTTGTAATTCAGCTAGCCTCCTGAGTACAATTCTGTCAAGGTTCTTGTTTTGAAATTGAGGCCAGATCACATTAACTGGAAGGAATCTGCCTTTTCTCATCTGACACTAGATTGTGCTTTTCTTGGAGGTGTTGAGGATGACCTCCAATGATTGCTTCGGTAAAGTCTGTTGGCTTCTCAAGAAGTTATTGAGTCAAGGACTCCAGCTGCTGATGGTGGGAGGTTAAACAGGGTTTGAAACATCGCCTGAGGTGGCTTTGTAATGTATCACCTTGGCCAGGTTAAACTACACTTCCCAGAATCTTTTTCCCTAGATGCCTGTGTTTTCTGGTTAGGGTGAACCACAAGAGACATTCTTGTCAGGGATCTGCTGGGTAGAGGTGAAGCCACGGACATTTCGCAGCTTATACCAGTTGTCACTTATCAGACAGCTCATCTCATTGGCATAAGGCAGCAACCAGGGCTGCAACTGTTTCACCTTCCGCTGGATCCTCCTTCAGCTTCCCCAGTTGTTGGGCCAGACATGTGTGCTCAGCCCCGTGATGAAGGACCATGACTCTAGCAAGACACCCACAGCACCAAGGTCATAGACAACAAGAATTAGCATGGGGCTGGGTGCAGTGGCTCATGCCTGTAATTCCAGCACTCTGGGAGGCCGAGGCGGGTGGATCACTTGAGGTCAGGAGTTCGAGACCAGCCTGGTCAACATGGTGAAACTCCATCTTTACTAAAAATACAAAAATTACCCAGGCGTGATGTTGCATGCCTGCAATCCCAGCTACTCGGGAGGCTGAGGCAAGAGAATCTCTTCAACCTGGGAAGCAGAGGTTGCAGTGAGCAGAGATCACACCACTGCACTCCAGCCTGGTCGACCGAGTGAAACTCTGTCTCAAAAAGAAAAACAAAAAGAAAGAAAGAAAGAAAAAAAAGAAGAGAAAAGAAAAAGAAAAAGAATTAACATAGGATTCAGTCCATCCTTGTGGACTCCAGCTTGTGCTTGTGGGTTCTAACTTGTTCCGTGCTCTCCCCAATCTTACCTCAATCTTCCCTTCCTGACTTCCTGCACCTGTGGGTTTCAAGTTCCAGCATCAAGACAACAGCCCTACAAAGAGAGCTTCACTAGCAACTACAATTGTTGAAGGTCAAATTCGTGTAGCAAACTGTGTGTGTGTACGCCCACATATGTATTAAAGGTTCAGCTTTGCTGATACAGAATTTGGTACTAAGAGTGGTTCCAGAAGGCCAGAATCTTAACAATGAGATCTGGTTTTTCTTTCTCTTTTTTTTTTTTTTTTGAGATGGAGTCTCACTCTGTCACCCAGGCTGGAGTGTGGTGGCGTGATCTTGGTTTACTGCAAGTTCCGCCTCCCGGGTTCACGCCATTCTCCTGCCTCAGCCTCCCCAGCAGCTGGGACTACAGGCGCCTGCCACAACGCCCAGCTAATTTTATTGTACTTTTAGTAGAGACGGGGTTTCACCGTATTAGCCAAGATGGTCTCAATCTCTTGACCTTGTGATCCACCTGCCTCGGCCTTCCAAAGTGCTGGGATTACAGGCGTGAGCCACCGCGCCCGGCCGAGATCTGGTTTTTCTAGAATTGGTTCTCTAATTAAATTGAAAGCCATTAATGACCTTGTTTTCAGTAATGAAGGGTACACTGATAGGTCATAGCATGGAGTGGCAAGGCAGTCACTCAGACCATCACCAGTAGCTTCCTATATTAGGTTTCTATAGAAGGAAAGGCTCTGGGTGACTGAGTATTTGCTTCCACAGAACAGTTTAGTGAAAATAAGAAGTGTAATGGGGTTGGCTCATTGCTGCTGACTGTGCTGGAAAACTTGGAGCTGAGGTGGAATGATGGCACTCAGAACTTTACCTTCCCAGCTCTGGTTCTGTATAAGGGACTTGAAAGCTTCTGTGAGTGGTGGCCCTGAAAGAAACTTGTATTTCCCATAGTCATAGGGCTGAGATTTCTGAAAACCAAAGCTAAAGTCTAATCCAACAAAAGTTGAACTTCTAACCTCACAGGGTCTTTTTTGTTAAAGTTAGGGCTTTGATTGGGGAGGAATGGGATCCTGAAAATTGGGATGGAGACATATGAGCAGATTCCAGTGAAGCTGAGGACTTTAAGACCCCTAAATTCTGCCAAATCTCTTTGCCTGCAGAGGCAGCCCTTTCACTCTTGCCTGCAGAAGTGAGTCTCCTCTTCCCTGAAGAAATTGTAATGGCCTTCCATAAGGCAAGGCATCTATGCTCCTCAGGACCTATTCCTATCACTTCTTACTTCTAAGACCTATGACTAGACTCAAGGCTCAAGAGAATGTGAAAGGTGAGGTATAAAATGTGACCCATGAGGGGGTGCAACACACACCCAAATAATTGTCAATTTATATCAACAGAGAACTGGGGAATATGTGCAGAAATGGATCTTAAGGGTGTGGAATCAAGGTGGAAGACAATATAGTTGGATCAAGTCAAATGTATTTACATTGGCCCACCAAGCAGAGATGTAATGTTTGAGCTTGAGGGGCTAGGAATGGTTCTGACAGTTTGCTTGGTTGGCTGATTGATATATGGACCCGTACCTGGGCCTATAATAGGTTGAAAATGCCAGAATTTCCTTGGGTGTACTAAAGAGCATGAATCAGCATATTTTTTTTTCTGTAAAAAGCCATAGAGTAAATGTTTTAGGTTTTACAGGCCAGTCTCAGTTTTTCACTCTTCAGCTCTCCCATTGTAGCAATAAAGCCATCAAGGACAATTTGTAAGTAACTGAGCATGGCTGTGCTCCAATATAAGTTTATTTATAAACACTGAAATTTGAATTTGTATCATTTTCATGTGTCACAAATATTATTTTTCTTTTGATTTTATTTCAACTAAAAAAATGTAAAAACCAATTCTATTTTGTGGGCCACACGAAAACAGCCCAGGAATTAGATTTGACCCATGGACTGTCATTTGACGATTCCTGCTGTAGTGAAAGGTGGCCAAAGGCTCAGAGAGATTGGAATGCTGGAGTGGCTTTATCATGTAAGATTTGCTCATCTATACACATTGACAGTGCCAAGGGGACACGACTTTCATCCTAGCTATCAGAAATAAATTTGTGAAGGAGAGTCCTAGCATCCTTGAAGAGCTCTGTGGTGGCTCTTCTTTGTAGGTCAGAAACTCTAGTGGAGGTCATTAAGATGGCTGACCAGAAGTGCCCAACACTCAGCTGCGTAGAGTGTCTAAGAGAAAACACTGGAATTCAGCAAAGAAGTGACAAAACCCCAGAATATTGTGATGGCAGCATAGACAGGGAAGCAAAGCACCTGAGCAGTATTGGTGCAGAGCCAAGAGGACTCCCCATTGCAGGTAAAAGGTAAGTGGGGGGTGCCCTGCAGTCCTTGCAGCAATCCTAGCTATAAGAGGGCCTCACGGTCCTCACAGGCCTGAAGCCCAGTCTAGGGAGCTGCCTAGAATCCACATGGCTACACTGCCCCAGAGAAAGGACTCACACTGAGGCCCCACTCCCAAAGACCCAGGCTGCTACCACACAGGGCTATTTTGAGAACAGAGCCCACTGCTAGAGGGCATTCTGCCTTGGATGCCAATAGCTCCTGCATCTCCACATCCCTGGGGTCCTTCTGTTATTCCACCATGTCTACACAAAAGGGTGCAATGCCACAACACCAGTTAGATCCAGAAGTACAGCTATGACCCCAGCATTTGAACTCATACAGTGCCCCACACCCCAGGGAACAGGCAATCTATCACAGCAGGGTGGCAGCCCCCAAAACATGGGGAACCAATGTGCAAATCCCTCAGGGACCAAGGACTTGCCTGCCTGGTGCCCAACAGTGATGGCAATGCTGCCTCACAACTAGCAGAGCCACCATGCCCAGTGCACACTTCCCTAGGGTTCACCCAGCTCCTTCCTCCAGCAAAGCCACACCACTGCCTCCTTAAACACCTGAATATTAGGCCACTGAAGTATTCACAGACACTGCTGACATTAATTACAGCCAAAGAAATCACATGGAGATCATACTACTGTGTTTATCTAGAACCACAGCCAAAGCATCCTACACAACCGACACTATAGGGTACATATACAGGAAAAAGTCTTTACTTATGAAAGTTACTCCATCAAATTGGAAGAGGTAGCTATTATACCAGATGTGTAGGAACACAAGAAACATGAAAAAGCAAGAAAACATGACACCTCTAAAGGAACACAATAATCCTCCAATAATAGACCCCAAAGAAAAGAACATCTGTGCAATTCCCAAAAAAGAATTCAAGTGATCATAAGGAAATTTGATGGGATACAAGAGAATACAAATAGACAATTCAACAAAATCAGGAAAACAGGGCTGGGCGCGGTGGCTCACGCCTGTAATCCCAGCACTTCGGGAGGCCGAGGTGGGTGGATCACCTGAAGTCAGGAATTTGAGAGCATCCTGGCCAACATGGCAAAACCATGTCTCTACTAAAAATACAAAAACTAGCCAGGCATGATGGTGCATGCCTATAGTCCCAGCTACTTGGGAGGCTGAGGCAGAAGAATCGTTTGAACCCTGGAGGCGGAGGTTGCAGTGAGCCAAGGTCGTGCCACCGTACTCCAGCCTGGGCAACAGAGTGAGACAACATCCCCCGCCCAAAAAAATCAGGAAAACAGTTCATGATCAGAATGAAAAAAAATCAGTAAAGAGATGGATATCATAAAAAAAAACACATAAATTTTGGAGCTGAAGACTTAATAAATGATTTTTTTTTTTTTTTTTTTGAAACAGAGTCTTGCTCTTGTCACCCAGGCTGGAGTGCAATGGCATGATCTTGGCTCACTGCAACCTCTGCCTCCCAGGTTCAAGCAATTCTTCTGCCCCAACCTACTGAGTAGCTGGGATTACAGGCCCCTGCCACCATGCCCAGCTAATTTTTGTATTTTTAGTAGAGACGGGGTTTCGCCATGTTGGCCAGGCTGGTCTCGAACTCCTGACCTGGTGATCTGCCCACCTCAGCCTCCCAAAGTGCTAGAATTACAGGCGTGAGCCACCGATCCCGGCCAATAAATGAAATTTAAAATATAATTGAGAGCTTCAACAACAAACTAGGTCAAGCAGAAGAAAGAATTTCTAAACTTGAAGACAGGTCTCTTTTGAAATAACTCAATCAGACAAAAAATAAAATAAAAAAGAATGAAGGAAGCCTACAAGACCTATGGGACATTGTTAAGCAAACAGATATTCCAATTTCCAAAAGGAAAAGAGATGAGAAAAGACACAGAAATCCTATGTAATAAAGTAATAGCTGAGAACTTCCAAAGTCTCGGGAAAGGTATGGACATCCAGATTCAGGATGCTCAAAAGTCCCCAAATAGATTCAACCCAAAAAGGTCCTCTCTGTAGCACATTCTGGTCAAACTGTCAAAAGTTGAAGACCATGAGGGAATTTGAAAAACAGCAAGAGAAAAGCATCAAGTCACATATAAGGGAATCCCCATTAGACTAATAGAAGACTTCTCAGCAGAAACCTTATATTACAGGAGCGAATGGGATGATATATTCTAAGTGATGAAAGAAAAAAACCTGGCAGCCAAGAATACTGTAACAGCAAATCTATCCTTTAGAAATGAAGGAGTCATAAAGTCTTTCCCAGACAAGCAAAAACTGAGGGAATTTATTACCACTAAAGTAGCCTTACAAGAAATCCTCAAGGAGTAGTAAATCAGCAAATTATCTGAATAGGCATTTCTCAAAAGAAGACATACAAATGACCAACAAGTATATATGAAAAATATTCAACATCATTAATCATCTGGCAAATGCAAATTGATACTACAATAAGATATCATCTCACTCCACTTAGAATGGCTGTTATCAAAGAGAAAAAATAACAAAAGCTGGCAAGGATGCAGAGGAAAAGGAACTCTTATACACTGTTGGTGGAAATGTAAATTAGTACAATCATACTGGAAAACAGTATGGAGGCTCCTTAAAAACACCTAAAAATAGAACTATCCTATCTATGATCCAGCAATACACTCTAGGGTATATATTCAGAGGACAGGAAATGAGTATGTCAAAGAGATATCTGTACTTATATGCCAAAGATAAGGTAAGCATGGTTACTATAGTTGATAGTGAAGTCAAAATAGTAATAAGAATAATGTGACTCAAAGAGACCTTTGGCATTCACTACTTTATCATGGTATGCCTCGAAATGAAATAGATGGGGGAGCCTACTAAACTCTTGCTTGATCTGTCTAGGTGGGTAAGTTCTGAGTCTGGCAGACTTGCAGCACCATTCTCAATAGCCAAGATATGGAATCAACGTAAGTGTTTTTCAAGAGATGAATGGATAAAGAAAATGTGGTACAGATACACAATGGAATACTATTCCACCGTAAAAATAATGAAATCTTGTCATTTGTGGCAACATTAATGAGCCTGTAAGACATTATGTTAGGTGAATTAAGCCAAGCATGGGAAGATAAATACCACATATTCTCATTCATATGTGGAAGCTAAGAAAGTTGATATCATAGAAGTAGAGAATGTAATAGTGGTTACTAGAGGCTGGATAGGGGTTGAAGGGGATAGGAAGATGTTGGCAAATGGATACACAATTACAGCTAGATAGGAAAAATAACTTCCAGCATTCCTTAGCACTGTAGGATGACTATAATTAGCAATGATTTATTGCACCATTCCTCAGGACAATCAACCAGTCTGCTGATGGCTAATTAATTACGTCGAACTGTCTCTTTTTTAATTTTCTTTTCTTTTTTGAGACAGAGTCTCGCTCTTGTCACCTAGGCTTGAGTGCAATGGAACAATCTCGGCTCATTGCAACCTCCACCTCCCAGGTTCAAGAGATTCTCCTGCCTCAGCCTCCTGAGTAGCTGGGATTATAGGCATCCATCACCACACCCAGCTAATTTTCATATTTTTAGTGAAGACAGGGTTTCATCATGTTGGCCAGGCTGGTCTCAAACTGCTGACCTCAGGTGTTCCACCCATCGCAGCCTCCCAAAATGTTGGGATTACAGGTGTGAGCCACTGCGCCCAGCCACATTGAACTGTTCCTGTCATGGAAAGGGCAACTCTTTTTTCTTATTTTAATTTTTTAATTTTTGTAATAGAATTCGCTTACCATACAATTCACATGCCATACAGTTCACACATTTAAAGCATACAAGCCGATCTGATTATTTCACATTGCATGCCTGTATCAAAACATCTCATGTTCTCCATAAATAAATACACCTATGATGTACCCACAGCAATTAAAAATTTTTAAAAATCATGTACAAGTCAATGGTTTTTAGTATATCCATAGATATGTACAGCCATCATCACGATCAATTTAAAAACATTTTTTTTTTTTGAGAGAGAGTCTTGCTCTGTCACCCAGGCTGGAGTGCAGTGGCATGATCACGGCTCACTGCAAACTTGGCCTCCCGGGTTTACGCCTTTCTCCTGCCTCAGCCTCCCGAGTAGCTGGGACTACAGGTGCCCGCCACCACGCCCAGCTAATTTTTTGTATTTTTAGTAGAGCCGGGATTTCACCATGTTAGCCAGGATTGTCTCGATCTCCTGACCTCGTGATCCACCTGCCTCGGCCTCCCAAAGCGCTGGGATTACAGGTGTGAGCCACCGTGCCCAGACCAATTTTAAAATATTTTTATCACCCCCACAAAAGAAACCCAATGCTCCATAGCTATTTTCCTCCTGTTCCCAAATGTCTCAGCCCTAAGCAACCACTAGTCTACTCTCTGTCTCTATATATTTTCCTATTTTGGACATTTCATATAAATGTATTCATATAATATGTGGTGTCTTGTGATTGGCTTCTTTCACTGAATGTAATGTCTTCAAGGTTCATCCGCATCATAGCATGTATCAGTACTATGTTCCTTTCTATGGCTGAATAATATTTCATTGTGTGGATTTACCACATATTGGGGTTTTTTTTGTTTTTTTTTTTACAGACCCCGCCCCCCCAAATATTGTTTATGCCTCCATCAGTTTGTAGATATTTGGTTTTGTTTTCACCTTTTGGCTATTATGAATAATATGAAAATAAACTTATGTATTTGTTATTATGTGGACATAAGTTTTCATTTCTCTTAGGAATAAAATTGCTGGGTCAAATGGTGACTGCATTTTTAACAGTTTGAGGAACTACTGGACTGTTTTCCATAGTGGCTGCAGTGATGAGGTGTGGTGGCTCACGCCTGTGATCCCAGCATTTTGGGAGGCCGAGGGGGGCAGATCATCTAAGGTCAGGAGTACGAGACCAGCCTGGCCAACATGGCGAAACCCCGTCTCTACTAAAAATACAAAAATTAGCCTGGCGTGCTGGCAGGCACCTCTAATCCCAACTACTCGGGAACCTGAGGCAAGATAATCCCCTTGAACCTGGGAGGCAGAGGTTGCAGTGAACCGAGATCACACTGCTGCATTCCAGCCTGGGCAACAGAGGGAGACTCTGTCTCAAAAGAAAAAAAAAGTTTTGTTGAACTAACTCATGAAGCCATCTGGTTTAAGACTTTTCTGTGTCCATTAAAATGATCATGTGGTTTTGTAATTTATTCTGTTGATATGGTGTATTACACTAATTTTCAGATGTGAAGCCACTGTTACATTCCTGGAATAAGTCCCACTTGGTCGTGGTCTATAACACTTTTTATATGTCTCTGGATTTAGTTTGCTAGTATTGTGTTAAGGATATTTGCATTTATATTTATAAGAGATATTTGTCTGTAGTTTTCTTGTGTCTTTCTCTGGTTTTTGTACTGGGGTAATACTGGTCCCAAATAATCCACTGGAAAGCGTTGCCTCCTTTTTTTAATTTTTGCAAGAGTTTGAGAAGAATTGGTATTAGCTCTTCTTTAAATTTTTAGAAAAATCTGCCAGTGAAGCTATCTGGTTCTTGGTGTGTGTGTGTGTGTGTGTGTGTGTGTGTGTGTGTATGTGTGTGTGTGTCTTTGGTCATTAATTCAATCTCTTTACTTATTAGAGGACTATTCAAATTGTCTGATTTCTCTTGAATCAGTTTCAGTAGTATATGTCTTCTAATAATTTATTTCAACTGGGCGCAGTGGCTCACGCCAGTCCCAACACTTTGAAAGGCCAAGGCAGGTGGATCACTTGAGGTCAGGAGTTCGAGACCAGCCTGGCCAACATGGTGAAACCCCATTTCTGCTAAAAATACAAAAATTAGCCAGGCATGGTGGTGGGTACCTGTAATCCCAGCTACTTTGGAGGCTGAGCAGGATAATCGCTTGAATCCGGGAGGCTGAGGTTGCAGTGAGCCAAAATCACACCACTGCACTCCATCCTGGGCGACAGAGCAAGACTTCATCTCAAAAAAAAAAAAAAAAAAAAAGAATTTACGGCCAGCACGATGGCTCATGCCTGTAATCCCAGCACTTTGGGAGGCTGAGGAGGGTGGATCACTAGGTCAGGAGTTCAAGACCAGCCTGGCCTCAAGACCAGCCTGGCCAACATAGTGAAACCCTGTCTCTACTAAAAATACAAAAAAATTAGCCAAGAGTGGTGGCGGGCGCCTGTAGTCCCAGCTATTTGGGAGGCTGAGGCAGGAGAATCGCTTGAACCCAGGAGGTGGAGATTGCAGATCGCCACCATGCCTGGCTAATTTTTGTATTTTTAGTAGAGACAGGGTTTCGCCATGTTGGCCAGGCTGGTCTCGAACTCCTGACCTCAGGTGATCCTCTCACCTGAACCTCCCAAAGTTCTATGATTACAGGCATGAGCCACTGTGCCCAGCCGCATGATTTTGATTTTAATTTTAAAATCAAAATTTTATACAGATTTGTTTTGTTGCCTAGTGCAGGTTCTATCCTACAGAATATTCTCCGTGCAGTCGAGAAGATTGTGTATTCTGCTTTTGTTGGGAGAAGTGTGCTATAGTTGTCTGTTATATCTGGTTGATTAATACTGTTCAGATCTTCCATTTTCTTGTTGATTTTATGCCTAGTTGTTCTATCCATTATTGGAAGTGAGGTACTGAAGTCTCCAACTATTATTGTGGATTTGTTCATTTCTCTATTCATTTTTATTAGTTTTTGCTTTATGTATTTTGGTGCTTTATTATTAGATGTATATGTGTTTATATTGTTATATATTCTGATGGACTGACCGCCTTATCATTATACAATGCTTCTCTTTATCTGTAATAACTTTTTTGTTACAAAGCTTATTTTTTCTGACGTTAGTATTGCCACTCCAGCTTTCTTGTAGTCACTGCATGATATATTGATATATTGTCTTTCATCATTTTACTTTACATTTTTGAATCTTACATGTTTTTCCTATAGATAGCTTTTGGCTGTATCTTGGTTTTTAAAAAAAATCTAGTCTGAAATATTTGACTTTTAATTGAATTGTTCATTTCATCAACATTTAATGTTATTATTTATACAATTGGATTTACATCTGCCATATTAGCTTGTGTTTCCTACAAAATTTCTTTATTAGTGCCAGGGGTTTTTTGTTTTATTTATTGATTGATTTTATATTTATTGAGATTTTCTACATAAACAATCATTTCAACTGGGGATGGGAACAGTTTTATTTTTTCCTTCCCAATCTATATGCCTCTTACTTCCATTTCTTGACTTATTACACTGGCTAAGACTTTCAATATGATGTTGAATAGAAATGGTGAACATGCTTGTCTTGTTCCCAATCTTAAGAAAGAAAGCATTCATTTTTCACTGTTTGGTATGATATTAGCTGTAGGCTTTTTGATGCTCTTTATCAGGTTGATGAAGTTCTCTTCTATTCCTAGTTTGCTAGGATTATTTTTTGCAAAACAAAACAAAACATGTATGAGTGTTTTATTTTGTCAATACTTTGTCTGCACCTATTGATATAATCATGATTTTTCTTCTTTAGATGGTTAATATGGTAATAGTGATTGATTTTAAAAAATTGGACCATTGTTGCATTCTTAGTATAAATCCCATTTGGTCATAGTTTATTGTATTTATTCATTTATTATTATTATTATTTTGAGACAGAGTTTCACTCTTGTTGCCCAGGCTGGAGTGCAATGGCAGGATCTCGGCTCACCCCAACCTCTGCCTCCTGGGTTCAAGTGATTCTCCTGCCTCATCCTCCTAAGTAGCTGGGATTACAGGCTGTGCACCACCATGCCTGGCTAATTTTGTATTTTTAGTAGAGATGAGTTTTCTCCATGTTGGTCAGTCTGGTCTTGAACTCCTGATCTCAGGTGATCCGCCCACCTCAGACTCCCAAAGTGCTGGGATTACAGGTGTGAGCCACCGCGCCCGGCCGGTCATAGTTTACTACTCATTTTACATATTGCCGAGTTCAATTTGCTAACATTTTATTGAGTATTTTTGCATCTATATTCATGAGGAGTATTTTAGTTGTGTTTATTATTATTTTTTGTACTGTCTATCTGGTTTGTCATCAGGGTAATGCTGGCTTCATAACATGAGTTGGAGAGTATTTCTCCTTTTGTATTTTCTGGAAGAAATTATGAAGAATTAGTGCTATTTCTTCTTTAAATTACTTATTTAAAACCATTGAAACCACCTGGGCCAGGAGATTTTTTAAAATGGCATTAACTATACATGCAATTTATTTAATAGTTACTAGACTATTCATATTATCTATTTCAACAGTGGTGAATGTAGTAGCTGGTAGTTTTTGAGAAATTGGTCCATTTCATCTAAATTTTGATATTTATGTGTATAGAGTTATTACTGATATTCCTTTATAAGCTTTTTAATAATTATAGGGTCTGTGGTGATAGCTGTCCTCTTTCTACCCTAATATTGATAATCCCTCCCTTCTCTCTCTTCTCTCTTTATCTCTACCTCTATCTCTTTCTCTCCCTTCTTCTCTCCTCAGTCTTGTTAGAGGTTTATCAATTTTACTGATCTTTTCAAAGAAACAGCTTTTGGTTTTACTGATTTCTTCTATTGCTTTTTTGTTTTCATTGATTTTTGCACTTATTTTTTCCTTGCTCTTCATTTGGGTTTATTTTGCTCTTCATTTTCTAATTTCCTATGGTGAAAACTTAGATTATTGACTTGAGATCTTTCTTCTTTTCTAATATAATCAACATTTAAGACTATACATTTTTATATAAGCACTTCTTTAACAGAATTCCACAAATTTTGATAGGTTTCTTACTTTCTTTCAGCTACAAATATTTCCTAATTCCCTTTGGAATGTCCTATTTTTCAAATGATTAAAGATTGTCCTGTTATCTTCCTGTTATTGATTTCTAGTTTAATGCTGGCCAGGTATGGTGGCTCATGCCTGTTATCTCAGCACTTTGGGATGCCAGAGCAGGAGGATCACTTGAGGCAAGGAGTTCAAGACCAACCTGGGCAACATAGCAAGACCTCATCTCTACAAAAAATTTCACGTGAGCCCAGAAGTTTGAGGTTTCAGTGAGCTATGATTGTGCTATTGCACTCCAGCCTGGGTGACAGAGTGAGACTATGTCTCAAAAAAAAAAAAGTTCTAAACGGTCAAAGAACATACTTCATATGATTTCAAATTTTTTCAACTTTTTAACTTCTGTTTCATGACTCACAATTCCATTTGTCACGGTGAGTGTTCCATGTGCATGTAAAAAGGCTGCTTATTCTGCTATTTTGGGGGGAGATGTTCCATAAATATTGATTAAAGCCATTTGGTTGATGGGTAAGTTCTATGTCTGTGATGTATAACTTCTATATCCTTAATTTTCTCTCTACTAATTATATTTATTACTGAGAGGGGAATGTTGGTCTCTAACTACAGTTGTAGAATTATTTATTCTCTTTCCTGTCTTGTCAGTTTTCACTTTGTGTGTTGTTTTTTTTTTCCAGGAAAGAAAAATAAAATGGTTTTTAATACCATATATGGATATTTCATTCTTGGGAATGGTGCTGTGCAATTACTGTGCATGAAATCAGATTATTCAAGAAAGCTGGTTTTTAAATACTAGTGTAATTGCCCCAAAAAAGGCCCAACAAGACCTGCAGCCTGTTTCATGCATGCAACATTTAATCTAACAGCTTCATCAGCCCTCTCTCTGCTTGTCACGGCTTTGCGTATTTTGAAGCTCTGTTAGGTTAATACATCATAATTGACCCTTTTATCAATATGAAATGCTTCTCTTTACTCCTGGTAATTTTTTTCTCTGAACTTTAATTTGTCTGATATAAATATAACAACTCCAGCTTTCTTTTGATTAATTTTACAGGTATATCTTTTTTCACTCTTTTACTTTTAATCTACAAATTTCCTTAAATTTAAAGAGTTTCTTGTTGAGAGCATATAGTTAAGTGAATTTTTTAATCTATTCTCATAATCTCTTTTAATTCATATATTTAGACCATTTACATTTAATGTAATAATTGATATGTTTGGGTTGGGTATACCATTTTATCATGTGTTTTCTATTTGTTTCATTTATTTTTTATTTTATTTTTTTTCTGAGATGGAGTCTTGCTCTGTTTTCCAGGCTGGAGTGCAGTGGCATGATCTCAGCTCACTGCAACCTCCGCCTCCTGGGTTTAAGCAATTCTCCTGCCTCAGCCTCCTGAGTAGCTGGGATTACAGACACCCACCACCACACCCTGCTAATTTTTGTATTTTTAGTAGAGATGAGGTTTCACCATGTTAGCCAGGCTGGTCTCGAACTCCTGACCTCATGATCTGCCTGCCTCAGCCCCCCAAAGTGCTAGGATTACAGGTATGAACCACTGTGCCCAGCCTATTTTGTTTTTGTTCCTCTCTTTTTCCTTTCCTGACATTTTTTTTGCTTATTTGAACATAGTTTAGTCTTCCATTTTAAGTTATCAATTATGATTTTTACTATAACTATTTGTATAAGTTTTAGTGGTAACTCTAGGGATTACAAAATGCACACTGAACTTTTTACACTGTATTTAGAAACAATATTTTATCACTCAAAACTTTAGCACTAGTAGGTCTCTTAATTCTCCCCCTTATGTTATACTTGTCATGTATTACATACACATTCATGAAAATTCCATGGCCAATGTTATAGTTTTTTTTTTTTCCAACTGTAAAACAGATTTTAAGGAACTCAAGAGGAGAATAGCCTATTATATTTACCCAGGTAGTTATTACTTCTGTTGTTCCTCCTTTATTCCTGATGTTCCAAGTTTCCTTCCGGTATCATTTCCCTTCTGTCTGAAGCAATTCCTTTAGCAATGTTTTTTACAGCATTTCCGCTGGGTATGAATTTTCTTAGTTTTACTTAATCTAAGAATGTCTTTATTTCGCCTTTATTCCTGAAAGTTATTTTCACTGGAGATAGAATTCCAGATTGACACTTATTTTCTTTCAGCACTTTAAGAATATTAGGCCATTTCCTTCTGGCTTCCATGGTTTCTGCTGAGAAATATGCCATCATTTGAATTATTCACATGTATTGGCTTGTTGGGTTTTTTTTCTTTTCTTTTTTTTTTTTTTTTTCTTCTTTCAAGATATTTTCTTCATATTTAATTTTTAGCAGTTTAATTATGATTTGTCTGTGCATGGATTTCTGTGGGTTTATCCTATTTGGGGTTCACTTAGCTCCTTGAATCTGCAGGTTTAAGTCTGTATATAGGGAAAACAAACTGTTTTTCCTCTTCTATACTCACCCTCAGCACTCAACACTTCTGATGCCAGATGTGTGGGGTTCCTTCCCCCCCCAAACAAGCAATTCTCCTATGGCAGTTGGGAGTCCTACAATTCAATTCAGTTCTAACACTATTTACCTAGAGACAGTGTCAGATCCCAAAAGTTAAGGGCTCAGTCCCGTAAGACTGCATCCCACTTCAGATGTCAATCATAAGTGATAGATTCCCAGGTTATCCACAACTTCTGTCTGACTTGGCTACAAATTACAGGTTCACAAGATCCTTTACTTGGGTTCAGTCATTTGCTAGAATGGCTCACAGAACCCACTCTGTATGCTGAAACTGAGAATTAACTTGATTAAGCCCACTGAACTTAAACTGCCTTACTTACTTTTAATTCCTTACTTCTAGTTAATCTTAATAACTATATAGCTAAAAGTCATGTAACTAAGCAATCTACTATCTTCCTTATAGATAATATCTCTGATGTATAGGTCACCATGGTAACAGTTGCTTAAAGTTATTTTTCATGAATTTGGGGTCAGCTCTTGTCCAGTTCAAGCCGCTTGAGACCACTTCACCTGGGCCTGCGTGAATGTCCAAGAGGTGAGCTTCTGACACCAGAGGGCCATAAAGATCTTCCTACAGATCATACTAACGCCACCATTTTCTAAACATGCTTCCTATGAAGAGCCATGAGGCTTGACTATGTGTGTGCAGATTGCCAATTACCTCACTTTTTCTTATCCCAATTCCCTTTCTCCACACCTCAGACCACTCTGCTTCTTTATCTCATAAATATCCCTAAATCCCATCTTTGGGGAGGCAGATTTGAGACCCATTCACCCACCTCCTCACTTGGCTGTCTCATGAACAAACCCTTTATTTTTTGCAAAACCTTTCGCCACAGTGATTGGCTTATTGAGTGCAGGCAAAATGAACCTTGCTCAGTATCAGTATTTACCCACTTGTTACAAAGAATCCAAATCAGGAACAGCCGGATGGAAGATGCATAGGGCAAGATATGAGGGAAGGGGTGCAGAGCTTCATGTCCTGTCCAGCTGTACCTGCCTCCTAGCATTTCCACTTGTTCAGCAACCCAGAAGCTCTCAGAACCCTATCTGTTAGGGTTTTGGTGGAAAGCTTCATTACATAGGCATGATTGATTGCATCGTTGGCCTTTGGTGATGAACTCTACCTTCACTCCCCGTCCCGCTCCCCAGAGATGGAGGTGGGGTGTGGCTAGAAGTTCTAGCCCACTCATCACGTGTTTGGTTCTCTGGGCAAGGAGACCTCATTCTGAAGCTGTCCTGGATCCCCCAACCATCAGTCATCTCATTAGCATACAAAAATATTTCAGTTGTTTTAGGAGCAGTGTGTCAGGAAGTG
This sequence comes from Homo sapiens, assembly GCF_000001405.40. Classification (NCBI taxonomy): domain Eukaryota; kingdom Metazoa; phylum Chordata; class Mammalia; order Primates; family Hominidae; genus Homo; species Homo sapiens. The sequence continues at coordinate 35,194,968 of NC_000019.10, forward strand.
GGGGAAGGCATAGACCAAAATTTATTTCTTGGCCGGGTGCGGTGGCTCATGCCTGTAATCCCAGCAGTTTGGGAGGCCGAGGCGGATGGATCATTTGAGGTCAGGAGTTGGAGACCAGCCTGGCCAACATGGTGAAACCCCGTCTCTACTAAAAATACAAAAATTAGCCAGGCATGGTGGCGCATGCCTGTAATCCCAGCTACTCGGGAGGCTAAGACAGTAGAATCGCTGGAACCCAGGAGGCAGAGGTTTCAGTGGCACCACTGCACTCCAGCCTGGGCGACAGAGCTAGACTCTCTCAAAAAAAAAAAAAAAAAAATTACTTCTTATTATGTCACAATGGCTTTTGCTAAACTTGAGATGTTTTCTGTCATTATTTCTTCAAAATATTTTTCAGCACCGCACTTTCCTCTGGCCTCTGGGATACAAATGTTAGACCTTTGTGGTTGTCCCACAGGTTCCTAAGGCACTGTTCAATTTTTTTTTTTAAGTCTTTTTTCTTTCTACTATACAGATTTGGTTATTTTTATTGTTGTATCTTTATGTTGACTGACTCTCTTCTCCCATCTCCATTTTGTTATTGAGCCCATTCGATGAATATTTTATTTTGGTTATAGTGTTTTTCAGTTGCACAATTTCCATTTGTTTCTTCTTCATGTGTTTTATTTCCTTGCTGATATCTTTAATATTTGTTTTAAGAGTTTTTTTATATAATTGCAAAGTTTACATCATTGCAATAGCATGAATTGATTGTCTTTTCCCATGAGAGTTAAGAATTTTGGTATCCTTTGTATGCCAAGTAATTTTGGACTGCATCCTGCACATTTTGAACATTATATTATGACACTCTGAGTCTTGTTTAAATCCTATTGAGAATATTGATGGTTTTGTTTTAGTGGCCAGTTAACCTGGGTAAATTCAGACTGCTAAGTTCCTACTTGCCTTCTATGCCCTGTAGTTCCAATGTCAGTTCAGTTTTTGAAGCATTTGCAATGCTATTCTGATCTATCTTCCAAATGTGTCATCCAGTGGTCAGTCTGGGCCCTGGGCAGAAGTCTAATCATTAGCTCAGTTTCCAGTCTGCGGCATGCTAATTAGGGCCAGATGAGTCCATGAGTTCATAAATAACTTTATGGGGTGACTTTCTCAAGCCCTTCCCTCTCTGTTATCTTCCGATACTTTCTGGTTCCCTGGGCTCCCCTTTCTGATCCTCCAGACAGAAACTGCCCAATTTCATGATTGTGCCAGGTCTAGGATCAAGAGGTTGGAGAACAGAGAGGGAGAAAAAAAAGCAATGGAGTCTGATCCTTTCCACTGAATGGAGAGAAAAGTCCTTTCCTGAATTTTTGGCTTCTGCCAGCTGCTCTGCTACTGCAATGGGATTGCTCGAAAGAAAACAGAAAAGGGGGAGAAAATAAATTCTCCCCACTCTCTCTGAACTTTAGGAGTACCCTTTCCTGCTCCTTCAGCCAGGCCTCTCCTAGGTTTCTCCCTGTCTGCACCACAGTGCTCATTTCCAAGTTTTGGACTGTATTGAGTTCAGGTCAGGGGATACAGGAGGAAAATAATATAGTAAACTCATCATTGATTTGGTGGCACTTTGAATTTTTGTGTTCCTTTCCCAATGCAACTGTTGTAACTGACTTTCCAAAATTGTCAAATAGCTGGGCCATGTATTCTGTCTGGATTTTCTAGTTGTGTTCAGTGGAAAAGAAAGTGTAGCACGTGTTTACTCCTTCTTGCCTGGGTTTACTACTTCTTTCCCAGAACTGGAACTTGAAATGGACTTTTGAAGATTTGGTTTCAGTGTCATCTGTCTTAGTCTATTCAGGCTGCTCTAGCAAAAATACCATAAACTGGGTGGCTTAAACACTGGAAATTTATTGCTCACAGTTCTGGAGGCTGGTAAGTCCAAGATTAAGGTACCAGAAGATTCGGTGTCTGGTGAGGGCTTACTCTCCGGTTCATAAACAGTCCCTTCTCACTGTGTCTTCACATGGTAGAAGGAGCAAAGTATCTCTCTTGAGTCTTCTTCACAACAGCACTAATCTCATTCATGAGGGATCTTCCCTCATGACCTAATCATCCTCCCAAAGGCTCCACCTCCTAATACTATCACCTCAGGGATTAGAATTTCAACATATGAGGCCGGGTGCAGTGACTCACACCTGTAATGCCAGTACTTTGGGAGGCCGAGGCAGGCAGATCACTTGAGGTAAGGAGTTCGAGACCAGCCTGGCCAACGTGGTGAAACCCTGTCTCTACTAAAATACAAAAATTAGCTGGGTGTGGTGGTGCGCACCTGTAGTCCCAGCTACTCAGGAGGCTGAGGTGGGAGGATCGCTTGAACTCAGGAGGTGGAGGTTGCAGTGAGCTGAGATCATGCCACCACACTCTGGGTGACAGAGCGAGGCTCTGAAAAAAAAAAATTCAACATATGAATTTGGCAGGGAGGACACAGACATTCAGATCATAGCATAATCTATATGGCAACACCTGTGGGGCTGGAGCAATGTCCTCTAGGATGTGGTATGTGCCCTAAATCAATGACTAATATATGGTGCTGTCTTTCCCCAGGCAGGATTCATGGGTTCCCAACACAAAGGGATGAAAATAGGATTGGATTTTCTCATTATTTCCCCTAGTGATCCACTATCAAAATTTTTGCTACCTCCCACAACTCTAGGTTCTTCTGGTCTAGAGGTCCTATTTCCAAAGGGAGTGATGCTTCCACCAGCAGACACAACAATGATTCCAGTGAACTGGAAGTTGAGACTGCCCCCTGGCTACTTTGGGCTCCTCATGCCACTGAATCAACAGGCCACAGGGGAGGTCACTGTACTGGCCAAGGCAATTAATTCTGAGTATCAAAGGGAAATTGAGTATAAAGAGTATGTCTGGAATACAGAATATGGTCTAGGGTGTCTCTTAGTACTATCATGTCTTGTGATTGAAGTCAATGGAAAACTACTGCAACTCAATTGAGACAGGGCTGCTAATGGCTCAGGTCCTTCCGAAGTGAGGGTTTAGGTCACCCTACCAGGCAAAGATCCAACCAGATGAGGTAGTTGCTGAGGGCAAAGCGAATATGGAATAGGTAATGGGAAAGGTAACTGTAAACATAATTATAAATGCCAGCCATGATTATGTGTCCAGAAATAAAAAACTGTAGTAGTGTAAACCAAAACTAAAATCCTAAACCCCCCAAACAACTGAACACACCCCCTCTTGGCTGAGGGGGATCACAGAGAAACCTGAAACACTGAATTCCCGGCCATGACAGGAAGGGAGGTCAGACGTGCCTCATTTCAGCCCCTCCATTTTGAGAAGTTAGGCACAACTGACCAGCATTAATATTAAAATGGGGCCAGATATATGTGTTTTGCCCCATGATAAAGGACCCTGGCTCCACCAGGATACCCACACCACCAAGGTTGGAGGCAACAAGAACTGAAATGGGGCTGGGCGCAGTGGCTCATGCCTGTAATCCCAGCACTTTGGGAGTCCAAGGTGGGAGGATCACTTGAAGCCAGGAATTTGAGACCAGCCTGGGAAACACAGCAAGACCCCATTTCTACAAAAAATTTTGAAAAATTAGCCAGGTGTGGTTGTGCACACCTGGCATCCCAGCTGTTTGGGAGGCTGAGGCAGGAGGATTGCTTGAGCTCGGGAGGTCAAGGCTACGGTGAGCTATGATCATGCCACTGCACTCCAGTGTAGGTGACAGACTGTAATCCTGTCTCAAAAATATAAAAAATAAAATAAATAAAATTTACAAAAGAACTCACATGGGGTTTGGTTTGTCCTTGTGGACTCCGGCTTATGCATGTTGGTTCCATCTTGTTCTTTGCTCTCCCCAACCTTTCCTCCATCTTCCCTTCCTGACTTCCTGCACCTATGGGGTTCAGTTCCAGCATCTGACTCAAAGATAACAACCTGACAGAGACCATTTAGCCAGCTCCCTAAATTGCATAAGATCAAATCCAGTAACAAGTCCTTTTGTAGCAGCTAATCAGTCTATAGGTATATCTTAGTGGTGCTTCAGCCCCCCACCTGTGATTCAATCCTGACTGATCCAGGCACCAAATTCTAGCCACTTCACAACCAGAGCCTGGAATATGTGTATGACCCCTTAAGAATAGGAGAGCTGGCTGGAGGAGAGCTTCTGTTATTATCTGACTGAAGTCTCAATTAAAAAAAGAAATGCAAGGATGGAATTTCACAGGAAAGTAGAAGAACCCCAGACAGGAGGGCTGCAAAGAGAAGGCTGTTGGAGGGAGGCTGAGAAGAGAAAAAGGGAGCAGGAGAGAGTAGCTTGCACTTCAGACACCTCCTTTTCCAAGCCTAGGGGGGGCAAGAAAGGTGGGTAAAGTCACATCCTTGAGCCCTCCAAGAAGAGATCTGCATGACTATAGGCGACATATGTTGCTGCACCCTGCTTAGCTACCATTTTCTCCTCTTTGGGTCACAGCACTCCTGTTTTCCTTTAGGGCGCACTTCTACCCATGTTCAGCCCCTATGATTTAAGTAAGATGCGATCCCCTCTCCAAGCTCTAGAAATGGACATATGTCCCAGGCCTGGGAAATGGGAATCTATGTAACCCTGGTGACTGTTCTTGGTTCTGGGACAGATTCATGGTCACACTGAACTGAGACCCAATTCTAGGACGTTTGCTGATCCTCTGTCTGGGTTGCTCAGATGGTAGAATGTGAACCTGGAGCTGCTGGTGGCCACTGTTTCCCCCAGAAGGGAGGAGTCAGTTTGAGAATGAGGTCAACACAGAGGCACATTGAACTGGCAGAAGGGACAGGGAGACACTCCTCATGTCATCCTTTGAGCACCTGGATACAACTATGTCTGAAGCTAAATATAGCTGGACTTTTTAGTTATGTGTACCATTAAGTTCCATCTTTGTCATTGTTATTGTTGTCTTTCTAATTAAGTCAATTTGAAATCGGGGTTCTGGCACTAGCAACAGAGTAAAAACTAATAAACTGACCTTTCAGTAAAAGAATTTGTTAACGCCCATCTCATATCTCAGGTGTGTTTGATTTGGGGGAAGAGCAGGGAGGCTGGAAATACTATTACCGATGGTAGCTAACTTTGTCGAGGACTTACTATGCACCAGATGCTCTTCAAACACTATACACATTGTACCTTATAATCCTCAAAACAACCCTATGAGGTGGCTACTAAAATTGCCCCCCGTTTTATTTATTTATTTTTTGAGACAGAGTCTCACTCTTGTCGCCCAGGCTGGACTGCAGTGGTGCGATCTTGGCTCTTTGCAACCTCTGCCTCCCGGGTTCAAGTGATTCTCCTTCCTCAGCCTCCTGAGTAGCTGGGATTATAGGCACCCGCCACCATGCCCGGCTAATTTTGTATTTTTAGTAGAGACGGGATTTCACCATGTTGGCCAGGCTAGTCTCAAACTCCTGACCTCAAGTGATCTGCCCGCCTCGGCCTCCCAAAGTGCTGGGATTACAGGTGTGAGCCTCCGTGCCCAGCTGCCCCCAGTTTTAGATGATCAGTTTAGTTTAGATCAGAGAGCTTAGGCAGCCACCTCAAGGTTATACAACAAGCAAGAAGCATTGTTAGGAAGGGAGTGTCCACCGCTTCCTGACAATAGTGGCTGAGATGACTTCCCGGGCATGGGAATGGGAGAGGGAGACATTGAATCCCCCAATTTGGACCCGTCCAGGTTATCTAAGCACAACCTCTTGCAATGCTGAATGGGAGGGGTCCTGCCTCTGGCTAGTCAGGAAAGACCTTCTTTATTTTGGGCTAGAAGTGCCCCCTCATAATTGCCACCTAACAGTCCTCCTGCCCTCTGTGGTCACAGGTAAGTGGAGCTCTGTTTCTCTCACTGTAAGACTAGCAGATGCTAGAAGCAGCTGTGCCCTTTCACCGCCAACCCCTGGTTTCTTCGATTGTTACTTGGAGGCTTTCCTGGCTGCCCTCAAAGTATCTTCTTGGTGTGGGCTGATTAGCTCCCACCTTAATTACCTCCTGACATCACCTCAAAGCTCACTTTAGGCTGAAGAAAAACTATAAAGTAAATGCTTCTTATTTTACTGCCAGTGAAATGATGAGCTTTTCAGTGCTGTGGATTTTTTTTTTTCTTATCATGTTCACGTCTGACCTTTCAGAGGCTGACTTCTAAAATGCAGGTTAGCAAAAGTCATGTCAGGAGGAGATGGAGATGTCTCCTCTCCTCTGCATCTGTGAAGAGGACAGTGAGTGCAATCTGCACCATAAATCTAGTTTGCAGAATCCGATAGGACGAGGTGTAAAAGAGGGCATGGCAATGCGGGAGTAGCTTTGTGAGAATTGCTCTTTGCATAAAAACCAGAGGCCTCGTGCTGCCTCAGATCCCGCGTGGCCGGGATGCTCACATCTGCAGCCTGGTATCTCCATCTCTCACTCTGCTGCTACATCCTCTCCACTCCAGCTATGCTGTGCAGACTCACCATCCTCTCTCAGCACTGGTCTTTTGTACACACTATTCCTTCTCATTGAAATACTGTTCCCCGCATTCTTTGTCTAGTTAAATCCCCTCATCCTTTAAGTCTCTGCTCAAACTTCGTGTCCTTGGAGAAGCCTTGTTCGAATTCCTTCTGTTATCTTCTCTCATGAATTCCTATACTTCTCCTTCATAGCAGGTGTATAGAACATAGCACACATAAGGCACGTGTTTATATGTGTTTTTGTGGTTGAGTAAAGTGTGCCCCCGTCCTTTTAGGACAGCCTGTGCCAGGGCAGGGACCAGGTCTTGGTCACTGCTGACTAGCAGTGTGCTCATAAAGGTTTGACAACCCTTGTAGGGGCTGGGGGATGCTGACTTATAGAGTTGCTGATTCCGTAGTATAAATCTTCCACCACGACTGATTTCAAGCTACCAATGTGAGTTCAACCATAACTCCTGAAAAACTTAACAAAGGGCTCTTGTGAGTTGGGATAAACTGGCTTCAGCACATAATATGGTTTGGCTGTGTCCCCACCTAAATCTCATCTTGAATTGTAGTTCCCATAATCCCCATGTGTCAGGGGGAGGAACGCAGTGGGAGGTAACTGAATCATGGAGGAGGTTACCCTCATGCTGTTCTCATGATAGCGAGTGTGTTCTCATGAGATTTGATGGTTTTATAAGGGGCTTTTCCCCCTTTGGCTCAGCACTTCTCTCTCTTGCACCAGGTGAAGAAGAACATGTTTGCTTTCCCTTCCACCATGATTGTAAGTTTCCTGAGGTCTCCCTAGCCATGCTGAACTGTGAGTCAATTAAACCTCTTTTCTTTATAAATTACCCAGTCTCCGGTACGTCTTTTTTTTTTTTTTTTTTTTTTTGAGAGAGAGTCTCGCTCTGTTGCCCAGGCTGGAATGCAGTGGCGCAATCTCAGCTCACTGCAAGCTCCGCCTCCCAGGTTCATGCCATTCTCCTTCCTCAGCCTCCCGAGTAGCTGGGACTACAGGCATCCGCCACCATGCCCGTCTAATTTTTTGTATTTTTAGTAGAGACAGGGTTTCACAATGTTAGCCAGGATGGTCTCGGTCTCCTGATCTCATGATCTTCCCGCCTCGGCCTCCCCGAGGATTACAGGCGTGAGCCACTGCACCCAGCCTTCAGGTATGTCTTTATTAGCAGTGTGAGAACAGATTAATACAGCACGCCACTGCTGCTGACCCTCCAACACCTGGTACAGATTTGTGGAATGAATGAATGAAGTTAGGCCCAGAAAGCAGAGCCTCCTCTGCCTGTGCCTATCCATGGTATACTCTCCATCTGTCTGCTGTAGAAATTAGCTTTAAGCAAAAGTACAGCATTTTCTATCAAGTAAAATACATTCAGTGTAATGCAAAGGAATATTCTATGAGTAAAACTTTCCCATTTTCCCCTGGTGTTAAAACATACTTTCTAGTGTGTAATTAGAGCTTTGCATGCTGTGAGTAGTGACTCGTTAGTGGTTCATGAGATCAATTTAGAAGGTCCTAACCAGCAATTTTTTTCTGAAATGGAATTAAGTAGAAGAAAAAAGAAATTTCAGAGTATCAGAGTTTGTCTCCAGCCTTAAGTAAGTGTTACTTTGGTAAACTCTTATTGTGAGTGTGTATTGTTGACAGAAAAGCCAAACTTTGTGAAATATTTAAAGAGGTTTATTCTGAGCCTATAAGAGTGGCCATGGCCTGGGGTACAGTCTCAAGAGATCCTGAGAACATGTGCCTGAGGGGGTCAGGTTACAGTTTGGTTTTATACATTTTAGGGAGACAGGAGTTACAGGCAAAGACATAAATCAATACACGGAAGGTGTACATTGGTTCAGCCTAAAGAGGTGGGATATCTTGAGTCAGAGGGTGGGGAACAGGGCTTACAGGCGGATTCAAAGACTTTCTGATTGCCATTTGGTTGGAAGAGTTAAGCTTTGCCTAAAGACTGAAGAAGTCCTTAGAAAAGAATGCTTGAGCTAACATAAGGGGTTGTAGAAGACAAGGCCCTTGTTATGCAGATGAAGTCTCCTAAGTGGCAGCGCTCAGAGAACATGTGACCAGGGTCAGCTTGGAATTTGGGATCTGATTGCCATAAAGAGTCTACTCTGTCAGTCCTGTGATCTGTATTTTAATGTTAATGTTGGTCAGTTGGGCCTAAACTCCAGAAGGGAGGGGCTAGAATGAGGCATGTGCACCTCCCATTTCTTCATGGCTAGAATTCAGTTGTTCAGATGTCTCTGGGGTCCCTTTGGCCCAGAAGGGGGTCCACTTAGTTAGTTGGGGGGCTCAGGATTTTATTTTTGGTTCAAAGTATATATTCTAGGTTGTGATGTCAAATGACTCTCTTACAGTTAACAACAAAAGTGTGAAAGCTACTGTGGTTGATAGCAATATCCTTTGGTTTAGTAGCTTTGTTTTATTTTCCATGTTATTACTTGGAAATTCTTTTCCCCTGGACCCTCCTAAGTCTCTGTCTCCTATCCCCCAGAGACCTAAAGGGTGAAGACACTGAGCTTCCAGATTTGAGGGCAGGAGAGTCCTAGTGAGGCCTGGCTTGGAGGCCAGGGAACTTCCTATTCCAGTCTGCAATGTTACCCTTCAATCTCCAGCTCCCCTGGCTGTTGGTGCCCACCCCAGAGTTGTGGAAGCCCTTTCAGTCTAGCTGCCCCACTTGGTGACAGCATGGGCAGGGCAGGACAGGGAGCATCATGGGGTTCATGCTTTCTGCCGTCCAGCCTCCCTACATGCAGGGCGATGGCCCCTAGCTGACCCTTGAGAGCTGAGGGGAGGCTAGGAAGAGGGTTAAAGGCGAAGCCAGACCCAGGCCATTACTGAAGTCACATGGCCTGCCAGGAAACCCCTGTCTATATTGTAGCTGGTTGAACTAATTATATTATAAATACTTTTCCATTTTCTGCCTAGAACCATGCTCTAGACATCTGCATGAGGTCATTAAACCTGCACCACAGCCATGCACACACACGTGTGTGTGTGTGTGTGTGTGTAAAAGACAGACATGAGGTATAGAAGAGCAATATAGAGGTCTCCATATTATGGGGGAACAGACAGTCCCAGAGCAGGGAGGTCACTTGAACAGGGTCACAGAGGCAGGAGGCCACGAACCTGGCTGGACACTGCAGGGCCAAGCAGGTAAACACTGTGCCTGACTCGCACCCAGACTTCGCAACAACCCTAGAATATTCATAAGTCAGTAATAATAGTGTTACAGGAAAGGAGTCCCGATCCAGACCCCAAGAGAGGGTTCTTGGATTCCCACAAGAGAGAATTCAGGGCAGGTCCATAAAGTGAAAGCAAGTTTATTAGGAAAATAAAGGAATAAAGAATGGCTACTCCATAGACAGAGCAGCCCCGAGGACTGCTGGTTGCCCATTTTTATGGTTATTTCTTGATGATATGCTACACAAGGGGTGGATTATTCATTTCTCCCCTTTTTAGACCATAGAGGGTAACTTCCCGACATCGCCATGGTATTTGTAAACTGTCATGGCGCTGGTGGGAGTGTAGCAGTGAGGACGACCAGAGGTCACTCTCGTGGCCATCTTGGTTTTGATGGGTATTATCTGGCTTCTTTATTGCATCCTGTTTTATCAGCAAGGTCTTTATGACCTGCATCTTGTGTTGACCTCCTATCTCACCCTGTGACTCAGAATGCCTTAACCATCTGGGGATGCAGCCCAGTAAGTCTCAGCCTCATTTTACCTGGCCCCTACTCAAGATGGGGTTGCTCTGGTTCAAACGCCTCTGACAGGGTGACAACTGTGACCACAACAGATTCACAAACATGACATTTTCAGAGAGAGGAAGGTATGCAGGGTGGTGTGATTTGGAAGAGGCTGTGGGCGTAGAGGGATGGGTAATTCAGTTGGGGTGGTCAGGGAGGGCTGCTTGGTGGAGGGGACTCTTGGCTGAGACCTGAGGGCTGTGAAGTTCTTAGAGAAGGGTGTTCCAGGCAGAGGGAACAGCAAGCACAAAGGCCTGAGACGAGAGCTAGCTTGGTATGCAAGAGGAACAGAAAAGAGGAAGTGAGAGTAAGGCGGGGGAGGGAAGGGGCAGGGAATGGAGGCTGTGGAGAGGGGAGGGTTTCCAGGCAGCCCAGGACCCTCAAGGAGAGAAACGTTGGATGTAGTCTCCCAGGTAGGGTCCATCTGGCCCTTCCTCCTGGCTCCTGCGGAGTCCGAGTGGCTCTTTCCCTCCTTCCCTCCTCTCCCCTCCTCCTTCTCTCCCTCTCCATTTTCCCTGCAAGGTCTGCAGCCCAACTCCAGCTCTCCCATTACTACAGGGGCTGGTGGGTCCTTCTGAGCAAGAAGATGGGGCTCTTTGTCTACAGTGTCTGTCTATAGTCATTCACCCACTCATTCATTTAATCATTCACTCATTCATTCATTCATTTAGCCACTCATTTGTCAAATATTGATTTTTCTCAGGTGTTTTGCCCTCACAGGTCCTGCCGCCTAAAACACTGACTTCTTATCTCTCAAGGCTTTGCTTTCAACACTGTCTCTTCCAAGACCTCTCCCTGACCACTCCCAACTTACTAAACCCCTATCACCCTGTTAGCTTTTGAATGCTCTTCATGGTAAAACAGGACAGGTTGATGCTCTCCGGGGCTCTCTCTACACACAAGAGAGAGATTAGCCTGACGGGCATTCGTTTACCCTTCTCATTTTCTTTGGGAACCAGCCTCCCCTGCTCTTAGTCTATGTGATTCGGACACAGCCAACTACATTTCCCAGATCCAGAAATGAACACGCCATTCCAAGTAAAGCCAATGAGAGACAGCTGCAGGACTTTTGCTGGAACTATTGGGAAAGTGGTGTTTCTTTTTCTGCTATGGTTACTTATCTGCTATGCTCTAAGCCTGGAACTGCTGGAGGTCATCTTTGCTGCATGAAAATGAAGTCAATATTGAGGACAGCAGAGGTGAGAGGGAGAGAGGCATAATCCTGAGTGTATTGCAGGGGCACCTGGATCCAGCCATACCTGAAATCCGAGACTTTCCATTCTAAGAACCAATACATTCTCTTTGTACTTAAGCTAGTTTGGGTTTTAATCACTTGTGCCAGAAGGCCTGATTGATAATAAAACCTCAAAGATAAGCAGGCAGTCAAGCTTAGGTACTTTCCTTTTAAGAGATGCGGGCAGGTGCTTCCTTCTCTCAGAAACCACTCCTCCTCTAGGACCTTCTATTCTAAGAAGCCTGGGTGTTTGAGGTTCGTTCATCCTGAGGCATAAAAACAAGATCAAAGTGCCAGGCCAGACGGAGGCAGAGTGTCTACAGAAGCAGCCGTGCAACTAGCAGCAGGAATTGGGAATCTGCATTATTAATAAGCAAGCCCATTTTCCTTTACTTCTTTGTAAGCAGAGCCTTAATTTTATTAGCCTGTTTATTAGCTCTGACCATGTGTTCAGAAAAAGTACCCTCAGCCTCTGAGTGATCTAAGCCAGGCATAGTTCTCCTGTCTTCTTGTTGGTGATTGGTTCTGGAAAAGGCTGGGACACACTCCTGGCCAAGGAGAAGTCACAGCAGTGACTGACTTGGAGGGGGAGTCTGCTGGGGGCTGGCTAGTGGAAGGCATCTGGGGTAAAATGTTTTTGCTCTTAAAAAGTACTGTAGGAGGCCAGGCATGTTGACTCAGGCCTGTAATCCCAGCACTTTGGGAGGCCAAGATGGGCAGATCACTTGAGGTCAGGAGTTCGAGACCAGCCTGGACAACATGATGAAACCCCATTTCTATTTTTAAAAATACAAAAATTAGCTGGGCATGGTGGTGTGCACCTGTAGTCCCAGCTACTCAGGAAGCTGAGGCAGGAGAATCACTTGAACCTGGGAGGCGGAGGTTGCAGTGAGTGGACATTGCACCACTACACTCCAGCCTGGGTGACAGAGTGAGACTTCATCTCAAAAGAAAAAGAAAAGTACTGTAGGAGGCCAGGTGTGGTGGCTCACACCTGTAATCCCAGCATTTTGGGAGGCCAAGGCAGGAGGATCGCTTGAGCCCAGGAGTTCGAGACCAGCCTGAGCAACATAGCAAGACCCCATCTCCAAAAAAATTTTAAAAAGATACACAAAATTTGCCAGGCGTGGCGGTGTGTGCCTGTATTCCTGGCTACTAAGGAAGCTGAGGAGGGAGAATCACCTGAACCTGGGAGATCAAGGCTGCAGTGAGTCATAATCACACCACTGCACTCCAGCCTGTGTGACACAGCGAGATCCTATCTCAAAAAAAGAAAAAAATAATAATGTAAGAGAAATAAACTTTTTCTTTTCCTCGCAGAGAGAATGTGGCAGTGTGAGGAGGCATTTGCTGGCTTAAGCTGGGCTCTCAAACTCTTAGTCTAGAGCAGAGTTCTAACAGCATCACGTGTTTTTGCTTTCTCTTTCATCCACGTTGAAGAAGAGGGGGTAGTAAAAATATTCCTCTGGTTTAACAAAAAATTCACAAATATTTATCCTTTTCAGAATCTACATGCAATTTAAGTATTAGTCCCAGAATCACAGATGCTGGAATGTTAAAGTTTCTTTGACAAGACATACTGATGATCTCTGAAGTCCCTGCGGCCTGCAAAGAATATTTGCAAACAGAGTTTTATGATGCTGAGGATGATTCTGAAGCCACAGAGAAAGACATCATTTTTCTTCTTTTCTTTCTGCAATTTCTTTCATTAGCACTTCGGAGCACCTATAGTCGCCATGAGTTGAAATCTCATGAGTTAGTAGTAAGAGCAGAATCAGAGAGGCTAAACACTGAAAATACAGAAAGGAAATGGGTAGAGTAGGATTTTAGCAAGAGGAAGTATACGGTTGTGATGCTTTGCACCTATAGGAAATGATGGCTGGGGCTGTGGCAGCCACGTTACCACCGTGAGGGATGACATTGCCCACATGCTGAGGAGCCTGAGTCTATAAGAACATCATTCAACTGATGCATTGACCCCTGGAGAACCTCCCCGCCTTTGGGGGACCAGCAGTTCTGTAAAATAATACGTGTCCTTATTGCTTTTTTTTTTTGAGATGGAGTCTGGCTCTGTCCCCCAGGCGGGAGTGCAGTGGCGCGATCTCGGCTCACTGCAAGATCCACCTCCTGAGTTCACGCCATTCTCCTGCCTCAGCCTCCCGAGTAGCTGGGACTACAGGCGACCGCCACCATGCCTAGTTATTTTTTTGGATTTTTAGTAGAGACGGGGTTTCACCGTGTTAGCCAGGATGATCTCAATCTCCTGAGTTCACGCCATTCTCCTGCCTCAGCCTCCCGAGTAGCTGGGACTACAGGCGACCGCCACCATGCCTAGTTATTTTTTTGGATTTTTAGTAGAGACGGGGTTTCACCGTGTTAGCCAGGATGATCTCAATCTCCTGACCTCGCGATCTGCCTGCCTCGGCCTCCCAAAGTGCTGGGATTACAGGCACGAGCCACTGTGCCTGGCATCCTTATTGTTTTAAGATGTTTGGAATTTATTCTTCTCTTACTTGCAGCCAACAGCATCCTACATGAGGCAGCCAGGGTAAGTGGTCCACATACAATGGGTGAACAAGTGCTTATCCAGGAATTGAAAGAGCCTGGCTCATTCAGTGCTAGGACCAGAGCCCTCAGTGGACATTGTCCCACCTTTCAGCACTGAGGATGCCTCCTCCCCTCCAAGCCAGTCATTGCTGTATGTGATCATGTTAATTAGGTATCCATATTCCACAGGAGGGAGCAACGAGGTTTTCTTTTTTTTTTTTAAGATGGAGTCTTGCTCTGTTGCCCAGGCTGGAGTAAAGTGGTGCCATCTCAGCTCACTACAACCTCCTGGTTCCAGCAATTCTCCTGCCTCAGCCTCCCAGGTAGTTAAGATTACAGGTGCCCACTACCACATTGGGCTAAGTTTTGTATTTTTAGTAGAGATGGGGTTTCACTATGTTGGCCAGGCTGGTCTCAAACTCCTGACCTCAAGCTATCCGCCCACCTTGGCCTCCCAAAGTGCTGGGATTACAGGCATGAGCCACCACGCCTGGCCGCAATGAGGTATTTTTTTGTTTTTTTGTTTTTGTTTTTGTTTTTTTTCAATTCTAGCCGCCAATCACAAAATTTAACTAAGGTCCCTCCCAGCACACACCTGTCATCCATCCTGAAAATTTAAAGTAAAGGTATAAAAATATCAAAACCATGATTGCCTTTGGGGATGGAGTGGAGGTGGGGATTATCTGGGAAGGGGCATAAGGGGATTTTGCAGGGGTCACGGAGATGTTCTTTATCTTAACAGGGGCTTGTAGTCTAAAGCAGAAGCGTATACTTATTACATAAGTGCATTCATTGGTCAAAACTCAGCAAATGGAGATGGGAACAGTGGCTCATGCCTGTAATCTCAGCTACTGAGGAGGCTGATGCATGGGGATCACTTGAGGCCAGGAGGTCAAGACCAGTCTGTGCAACACAGAAAGACCTTATCTCTTTTAAAAAAAAAATTGTTTTAATTCCCCAGGCATAGAACTCACCCTGTGGAGAAAAAAAAAAAAAATTAGCCAGGCGTGGTGGCATATTTCTGTAGTACCAGTTACTTTCAAGGCTGAGGCAGAAGGATCGCTTGAGCCCAGGAGGTCAAGGCTGCAGTAAACTATGATCACACCACTGCACTCCAGTCTGGGGTACAGAGTGGGAGCGCATCTCTAAATAATAATGACAATACTAAGAAATTCAGCAAATGGATGTTTCATATGTGTGCATTTCATTGCATGCAAATTTATAAAATCTCAAAGATAACTGCAAACATTGAACTCCAGTTGGTGATATGAATCCTGAAATGTTTAAGGGTAAAGAGTACTGATGTCTGCTTTAAAATTCTTTAACCTTCTTTAAAAATACATTTTTAAAAAATCAGATGACTTGATAGAGGAATGGACTGATAGATATGTAATAAAGTAAATACAGAAAAATGTTAACAATTGTAGAATCTAGATGATGGGGCCAGGTGCGGTGGCTCACGCCTGTAATCCCAGCACTTTGGGAAGCTGAGGCAGGTGGATCGATCACCTGAGGTCAGGAGTTTGAGACCAGCCTGGCCAACATGGTGAAACACCATCTCTACCAAAAATACAAAAATTAGCCAGGCGTGACAGCGCATGCTTGTAATCCCAGCTACTCAGGAGAATCACTTGAACCCGGGAGGCAGAGGTTGCAGTGATCTGAGATCATATCACTGCACTCCAGCCCGGGTGACAGAGTGAGACTCCGTGTCAAAAAATAAAATAAAATAAAATAAAATAAAATAAAAGTGATGATGATCATAGTTATGAACAACAGTGAGAGTTCACACACTGCCTGTACTGTGGGCAAAGCCCGTTCTCAGTGCTTCGTGTGAATGAATTTGTTCACTCCTCACTACAACCTTCTGAGATAGATACTGTTATTCTCATTCACAGATGTGGACCCTGAGACCAGGGAGGTTGCGTGGCATCATTACATCAGAAGGGGAGTGGTCTGAATCCACTCCTCCCCTTCCAGGGCAGGAAGTCAACAGAGAAGGGCTCTGTGGTAACGTTGACAATCACAAATCAGTGGCATAAACATCTCCTTAAGACATGCAGAGGCAGCTGGGCGTGGTGGCCCACGCCTGTAATCCCACCATGTGGGAGGCCAACGTGGGAGGATCACTTGAGGTTAGGAGTTTGAGACCAGCCTGGGCCACATAGTGAGACCCTGTCTCTACAAAAAAAAAAAAATTAAAAATTAGGTGGGCACGGTGGCTCATGCCTGTAATCCCAGCACTTTGGGAGGCTGAGGCAGGTGGATCACCTGAGGTCAGGAGTTCGAGACCAGCCTGGACAACGTGGTGAAATCCTGTCTTTATTAAAAATACAAAAATTAACCAGGCATGGTGGCAGGTACCTGTAATCCCAGTTACTCAGGAAGCTGAGACAGGAGAATCGCTTGAACCATGGGAGACAGAGATTGCAGTGAGCCGAGATCGCGCCAGTGCACTCCAGCCTGGACGACAAGAGCGAAACTCTGTCTCAATGAAAAAATAAATAAATAAATAAAATTAAAAATTAGCAGGGCATGGTGGTGCATGCCTGTAGTCCTAGCTACTCAGGAGGCTGAGGTGGGAGGATTGTTTGAGCCCAGGAGTTCAAGGCTTCAGTGAGCTATGATTGCACAACTGCACTCCAGCCTGGGCAACAGAACAAGACCCTGTCTCTGAAAAAAAAAAAAAAATGTGGAAATTGTGAGAGACACATGACAACAGAAATGTGACTACTGCTTGCCTCTGGAGGAAGGAAGAGGTGGTGGAGGAGAGATAGGTGGCTGGACACTGTGGCAACACCAGCATACCAGGGGCTGGGAGTGGGGGGCAGTCAGGACATGAGGCCAGAAGCTGTGAATCTTGGAATCTGCAGAGTGCCCCTTATGAGACCCCAAGCATTCATGTAAGCGTCCATGCCCCCACTGATGATATCTGGGCAGAGAGGCAATAAAATCAGAGTTGTTGATCAAGATTTGGAGGCTGCGGTTGGAGGCCGGACATCCTGCCTGCAGGGCAGGCTTCAGCTTGGAAGCTTGCGGCCCAGAACAGTCCCCGTGGGCACACCCAGGCAGAGGGTTTTGCTAGGTGTCTGACCCAGCTTCCAAAGCCAGGGTCTAATAACAACAGCGCCACCAACAACAGGAAACATTTGTGACGCACATGCTGCCAAAGCACTGTTCTAAGCACTCCTTACAGTTTAATCCTCCCAACAATAAGAATGAGGTAGGTACCAGTGCTAACCCCATTTTACATAGGGGGAAACTTAGGCACAGAGAGGAGACCCCATGAAAGGCAATGGGGACACCTCCAGGAACCTCCCACCAAAAAAGATCACTGCAGAGTAAGGACAAATCGAACATCAGATTTCCTCAAGGGTGGGCACTTTCTCGATGCATTTCTGGTGCCCTCTTTTGGATTTCAGCCTCAGTGGCCACAACACCACGGGTGTCAGTGACAGGAGCAAACCAAATGCACTGGGGACTCAGCTGGGAGGAGCCGCCCTGGCATTCCCACCATGTCCGTGAAATGGGGGGAATCGTGGTATGTACTTGAGAATCAACAGAGGCTGGGCGAGGAAGACTTGGGATACTTGTGAGCCCATTCTAACATCAGCAATTGCTAATATCATGTTTATTGCCTTGAATAAAAGAGATGAAGAAATAAAGGAAAAAGAGGAAAGGAAGGGGGAAAGGAATGAAGAAAGGAGAGACAAGAAATAAAGCATTTTAGGCCGGGCCTGGGGGCTCACACCTGTAATCTCAGTACTTGGGAAGACTGAGGTGGGCATATCACTTGAGGTCAGGAGTTCAAGACCAGCCTGGCCAACATGGCAAAACCCCATCTCTACTAAAAATACAAAAACTAGGCCGGGCACGGTGTCTCACGCCTATAATCCCAGCACTTTGGGAGGCCGAGGCAGGCGGATCACGAGGTCAGGAGATCGAGACCATCCTGGCTAACACAATGAAACTCCACCTCTACTGAAAAAAAAATACGAAAAAAGTTAGCCGGGCGTGGTGGCATGCACCTGTAGTCCCAGCTCCTCGGGAGGCTGAGGCAGGAGAATAGCGTGAACCCGGGAAGAGGAGCTTGCAGTGAGCCAAGATCACACCACTGCACTCCAGCCTGGGCAACAGAGCAAGACTCTGTCTCAAAAAAAAAAATGCAAAAACTAGCTGGGCATCGTAATGCACACCTGTAATCCCAGCTACTGGGGAGGCTGAGACAGGAGAATCACTTGAACCCAGGAGGTGGAGGTTGCAGTGAGCCAAGGTCGCACCACTGCACTCCAGCCTGGGCAACACAGCAAGACTCCATCTCAAAAGAAAAAAAAAAGAAAAGTATTTTAATATCAAAGAAGAAGGAAGAGGGCCAGAAAGAAGAGATAGGGCTGAAAAAAGAAGGCAGGAAACAAGCAGAATGTTTCCAAAGAGTCCCATGAACTATTCAGAAAACAGTTGTTTTGTTTTGTTTTGTTTTGAGACGGAGTCTTGCTCTGTCACCCAGGCAGGAGTGCAGTGGCATGATCTCGGCTCACTGCAACCCCACCTCCTGGGTTCAAGTGATTCTTCTGCCTCAGCCTCCTGAGTAGCTGGGATTATAGGTACACGCCACCATGCCCAGCTAATTTTTGTATTTTTAGTAGAGACGGGGTTTCAACATATTGGCCAGGCTGGTCTCAAACTCCTGACCTCATGATCCACTCACTTTGGCCTCCCAAAGTGCTGGGATTACCGCGCCCGGCCAAGAATTTTGTCTTTAAAGGAGTTGACAGTGGGGTGTGGACCGTGTAGCCGAGACAGCTTGCAGGGTGAGTTAAGAGTCCGCCTGGATTCCATCCCCAGCCCTGCCACACTTTGTCCATGAAGCAAGTGACTGTCCCTTCCCAAGCCTCAGTTTCTGCACTGCAGAATGGGGACCATTGTCCGTGGCATTTCCACAGGTTGGCGTGAGAACCTGTTGAGCCCACGCAGCAAGGTGTGCCTGTTGTCTATGGTAAGGGGCAGACGGCATTGCCTACTTTCCACTCGTAAGATGTCATTGCATGTACCCGGTTCTCACTTGGCAGATGAATCAAAGGGCTATAAATAGCCATGTCTTGGTTTCTCATAAACGCATTAAATATGACTTGGCATCTTGCCCAGGCTTCCTGTCAGGGCAGTGGACGAGGATTGTTTTGCAGAGGTCTGATGAGTGTCAAGGTTATAGTCACGTGCAGGTGCGTGAGGCAGGACTCGAAGTGAGCCCCAGCTGCCCTGGGGAATGAGGGGGTCTTCCCTTCCACCCCCATGCCCTCCTTGGCATAGGTTTACACCAGCCACTGTGGGCCCTGGCAAGCCCCGCCTTGTGGCTCAGGCTGGGCCACTGGCCTCTTTGCTGGCTTTGCCTGGACTCACCCCACTGGTCCAGCTTGCATTTGGTCAGTCTATTCACAGGTGAATTCTGGGAAGACTGGACCCGGCTATGGGAAGAGGGGAGAGGAGGGAAAGGTGGACACATGACTCGTGAGCTTGCTGGGCTGTCCTGGGCCCCTCCCTCCATCTTACTTCATGAAGTTCTCTGAGGCTGACCTCACCCCTGACTCAGGGATGAGGCCCTGGGGGTGGCAGATGTGGACTCTGGAACCCCGCTGCCTAGGTTCAAGTCCCAGCTGCTCCATAGAGGACCTCAGGCTTGTCTATGCTCTCAGTACCTCAATTTCCCCCCTCTGTGAAATGAAGGTAATGCCTCATAGAATCTACCTCATGGGGCTGCTGGAAGGATTCAATGGATGTTGATCATGATCATGATTTCCTGATACTCAGAATAATGCCAGGCACAGATTATCTGCTCTGAAAAACGTTTTGCTATTATTATTTTTCTGCTAGTGATAGTTAAGAGCAAGGACTCTAGACCCAGCCCAGTTGGGTTCAACGCTCAGCTCCACCACTTGCAACCAATGTAACCTTAAACCTGGATATAATCTCTCTGTGTCAGAGGCATGTGAACCAGAACAACTCCATCTTGAATGGGGCTGGGTAAAATGAGGCTGCATTCCCAGATGGTTAGGCATTCTAACTCACAGGATGAGATTGGAGGTCAGCACAAGATACAGGTCATAATGACCTTGCTGATAAAACAGTTTGCAGTAAAGAAGCTGGCCAAAACCCACCAAAACCAGAGTGACCTCTGTTCGTCCTCAATATGACACTCCCATCAGCACCATGACAGTTTACAAATACCATGGCAACATCAGGAAGTTACCCTATATGGTCTAAAAAGGGGAGACATGAATAACCCACCCCTTGTTTAGCGTAACATCAAGAAATAACCATAAAAATGGGCAGCCAGATGCCCTCAGGGCTGCTCTGTCTATTGAGTAGCCATTCTTTATTCGTTTACTTTTTTAATAAACTTGCCTTCATTTTACTCTACGGAATTGCCCTGAATTCTTTCTTGTGCGAGATCCAAGAACCCTCTCTTGGGGTCTGGATCCGGACCCCTTTCCTGTAATGTCTGTGCCTCAGTTCCTTCATCTGTAAAATGGGAGTGATGATTATCTGTACCTTATAGGGTGTAATAGGGATAAAATAAGCAAACACCCGCCAAGTACTCAGACGAGAGCCTGGCACACAGTAAATACTCCAATGTTGTTGCTACCATTGATGTTCTTGTTACAGGTGGTTGTGCTCACCCCGCATCAAGGTTGCTAAGCTGCTGTGATGGAATCCTGGAGCTGCTGAAGGACACCTCATCTCTTTGTGGGAAGCATCTGCTTGAGGATTAAGGGAATGCAGAAAAAAAGTGGAGTAGAGAGATGGAGGAAGATGACTTTCGAGGACATTGTGTGAGCACCTGGATCTAACTGTGCCTGAAGCAAAACTCAAACCCTGGACTCTCAATGTATTGGCTCTCAGTTCCAAGACCCAATAAATTCCTTCTTAGCTTAGAATGCTTTGCTCAGATGTCTGTTACTTCCAGCCAAATGTGTTTTAATACAGAAAGCTCTTGGGGGCTCAAATAACAGAAAGGGAAGCTATATGAGAAGCTGAGGGAAGCTAAGGAGAGGAACAGAAGTGATACAGCAGGGTGTGGTGGCTCACGCCTGTAATCCCAGGTCTTTGAGAGGCTGAGGTGGTGGACCACTTGAGGTCAGGAGTTCGAGACCAGCCTGGCTAACATGGTGAAACCCCATCTCTACTAAAAAAAAAAAAAAATTAGTCAGACGTGGTGGCATGCATGTGTAATCCCGGCTACTCAGGAGGCTTAGTCAGGAGAATCACTTGAACCTGGAAGGTGGAAATTGCAGTGAGCCAAGATCATGCCACTGTACTTCAGTCTGGGCGACAGAGCAAGACTCCATTTCAGAAAAAAAAAAAAAAAAAAAGAAGTGATACAGCTTAAGAGAGTAGGCCATGTGGAGGCCACATGCATCATGGGTTAGAATCCAGGCTGTTACTGAGAGCTTGTGGTAGGATGTTGCAGAATGGACACACTCTTTCATGCCTCCTTGTGTACATTCTTACAAGGTGACTTTGCCACTCTTCCCATCAAGGGATGGAGTCTGTGTCTCCACCCCTTGAATCTGGGCTGACCTTGTAATTTCTTTTGGCCAATCAAACATGGTGAAAGTAATGCTGTGTTAGTTTCAAGCCTAGACTTCAAGAAACCTTGCCGCTTCCATGTACTCTCTTAGTTGATCTTGCCATGACCTTGTGAACATGACCGGGCTAGCCTGCTGGAGGATGAGAGGCTGGAGGCTCCCCAGCGAACTGCCCATCCAGCCCCCTGAGGCAGAGCCACCTAGCTACACAGTGCTGGCCACAGATACATGAGTGAGCCCAACCTACATTACCAACCTGCAGAATGGACAGATAAATCCATCAATGTTGTTTTAAGCCATTTTAGATGATTTCTTAGGCAACAGTAGAGAACTGCTTTGTCTGGTTTAACTCAACCTTGCCCAAGGGCCTTCCAAAACCCTGACCTCCAGGTCACATGACAAGGTGAGGCCTCTACATCCCAGTCCCTGGTGATACTGTGCTAGTTTGGAGGCTGGGTCTCAAGTGACCTTGCAACTTCCATTCACTTTCTTGGACTCCTGCCACCACCTTGTGGACACACCTGGGTTGGCCTGCTGGAGGATGAGAGAGCAGGTGGAGGAGAACCCAGCGGCTCCAGCTGATGACATCTGGTCCAGCCTACAGAGAGCCAACTATCGAGTCAGCCAAGATCAGCAGAGCCAACCCCAATTCACTGCTGCTGATCAGAGAAGCAAGAATGATCACAGCTGAAACCAGAACTGCCCAACTAATTTGTAGACTTGTAAGCAATAATGAATGCTTACAATTATTATTAAACAATAATTTAAATCTCTGACTTGGGGGATGTTTTGTTTGCAGCCATAACTGATACACTAACCGATACACTTTGTAAACATGGGCAAATAAACTCACATCTCTGTGCCAGAGTTCCTCTTGTGAAAAACAGGAACCATTTGGGATGGTCATGAGGATGTCATGAGCTCATGATCCTAAAACTCTTGGCACAGAGCCTGGCTGTCTTACTCTGTTCAGGCTGCTATAATAAATTATAGCCTAGGTGGCTATAGCCTAGCCATAGCCTAGGTGGCTTCAACAACAAACATTTATTTCTCACAGTTCTGGAGGCTGGGAAGTCCAAGATCAAGGTGCCAGAAGTGATGTATGATGAGGGCTGTTCCCTGGTTTGCAGATGGCCATCTTCTTGCTGTGTCCTCACATATCAGAGAGCAGAGAGAGAAAAGGCAAGCTCTTTGGTGTCTCTTATAAGAACACTAATCCTATCATGAGGGCTCCACCCTCATGACCTAATGACCTCACAAGAGCTCCCCTGCAACACTATGCCATTGGGGGTTAAGATGTCAACATGCAAATTTCTGAGGAGACATGCAGTCCATAACATTGGCAGAGAGTGAACACTCAATTTAAAAAGAGGTAAAATGAAAGGCAGAGAGACAGTTGAATAACACCCTGCCCACCATGAACCTTTTTGCCTTGTCCAGACAGCTGTGGGTCATTTTTCTTTCTTTCTTTCTTTCTTTTCTTTTTTTTTTTTTTGAGACAGAGTCTCGCTCTGTCACCCAGGCTGGAGTGCAGTGGTGCAATCTCAGCTCACTGCAAGCTCCACCTCCCGGGTTCACGCCATTCTCCTGCCTTAGCCTCCCGAGTAGCTGGGACTACAGGTGCCCACCACCATGCCCGGCTAATTTTTTGTATTTTTAGTAGAGACGGGGTTTCACCATGTTAGCCAGGATGTTCTCAATCTCCTGACCTCGTGATCCGCCCACCTCGGCCTCCCAATGTGCTGGGATTACAGGCATGAGCCACCACACCTGGCCAGCTGTGGGTCATTTTAGTGTAGCCTCCCAATGGCCCATAGGTCCCCAGCCTCTTAGCCCTTCATATCACCAACACAGAGACATTCCTTGGTGGCAGAACAAAAACCCTTGGGAATAAGAACCACGACCTGGTAATCTGAGACCTACCGATTCAGAACAGGTAGCAGCACATTGTTGTAAAAAGCTCTGGATTCAGTTAGACCTGGGTTATGATCCAATCTCTGCCGTTTACCTGACATGTGATATTGAGCAATCAATGCAACCATTCCAATCTTCCATTTTATCCCTGTAAAATAAGGATAATTGTACCTACCTCCCAGGAGTCTTGCTCAATCATTTCTTCCTTCAGTTTAGTATTTTTTTATTTTTTATTTTTTTAAACAGAGTCTCACTCTGTCACCCAGGCTGGAGTGCAATGGCCTCCAGCTCACTGCAACCTCCGCCTCCCAGGTTCAAGCAATTCTGATGCCCCAGCCTTCCGAGTAGCTGGGATTACAGGCCTGTGCCACCACGCCTGGCTAATTTTTGTATTTTTAGTAGAGACAGGGTTTCACCATGTTGGCCAGGTGGTCCGGAACTCCCAACCTCAGGTGATCTACCCACCTTGGCCTCCCAAAGTGCTGGGATTACAGGCATGAGCCACCACGCCCAGCCCTTCAGTTTACATTTATTGAGGTCTTACGTTGTTCCAGCTCTTTCAGAATCTGGGGATACAATGGAGAACAACAACCACAAATTCCTGACCTCATGGAGCTCTCAATTTGTAGCTTAAAGAAAAATACTAATCTGATAGTGACAGAAACAGTGAAAAATTGCAAAAGAGACAAGTGTTTTGGAAGGAGAATGTATCAGTCAGAATAGGCTGGGTTATGCTGTGGTAACAAACATCCCCCAAGTCTTAGCACCTTATAATAACAAAAGTTTACTTTTTATCTGTCACATCTATTGTAGGTCAGTTTCACTTCTCCTCCTTTTCAATCCAGGCTGGCAGAATGGTCTCCAACTCAAGAATTGTGGGCTCTGTGCAGAGGGAAAGAGAATCCTAGAGTATCTTTGCCCAGGCAATTAAGTGCTCTGGCCTAGAAGTGACTGTATTACTTCTGCCCACACTTCATTGGCCAGAACTAGTTGCAAGGCCCCACCCAACCATAAGGAGGACCAGAAATGGCATTCCGTCCTATGCTTGGAAGGGAGAGAGCCAGGGGGATTCAGGGAGCAGCACTAATGACCATTCTGAAAGCATATGTGTGATGGGAAGACTTCCATGAGGCAATGATGCTTGAAGTATAAGAGCAGTTAACTAAGAGAAGGGGAAAGTAAGAGTTTTCTAGGTTGGAGGGCACAGCATATAGTGAGGAGAGTAATGAGTAGAAACAGCTTATGCAACCAGTTTGATTGGAGCTGGAAGGAGCATGTGTGGTGCAAGGAAAAGGGAAAAGCGAGCAGTCATCCATCGTGCAGTAAAGAGGTTTTCTTTTTGAGACAGAGTCTCACTCTGTTGACCAGTCTGGAGTGCAATGGTGTGATCTCGGCTCACTGCAACCTCCACCTCCTGGGTTCAAGCAATTCTCCTGCTTCAGCCTCCCAAGTAGCTGGGGTTACAGGCACCCACCACCATGCCTGACTAATTTTTCGTATTTTTAGGAGAGACGGGGTTTCGCCATTTTGGCCAGGCTGGTCTCCAACTCCTGACCTCAGGTGATCCACCCGCCTCAGTCTCCCAAAGTGCTGAGATTACAGGTGTGAGCCACCGCACCCTGCCTGTAAAGAAGTATTAATAGATGCCAATGAACTTCCTATGTCTGAACAAGGAAATGATAAGTATATACAAGTTTTAGGAATTCAGAGAAGTCCATATTATTCTCAGGTCAACAAATTATTTGTACAAGGAATCAGAATTACAGATTCTTTTTTTTTAGTGGTTAGAATTGCTTTCACAGGACATGGCCACAATTTCTGAATCCCCACCTGGGCGTTAATTGGCCAGATGGCCAACAATTTACCTCCTCTTCCTGGGCACACAGGCAGCCATATTTCCCAGCTTGCTTTGCAGTTGAGGAGGGGTCATGTGACTGCGTTCTGGCCAATGAAATGTTCTGGCCAGTGGACAAAACAGATGACACTTCTAGGCCCAGCTCTACCCTTCATACTCAGTTCCATGTTCTCTCTGTCCATTGTGTGGTGACCTTGGAAGCCAGTACTTCAGATGGCAGCCTGCATTCCTGAGTTATCTGAATCAAGTGAAAGAAAGCCACCTGAGCTGAGACTATGAGGTTGAAACCATGCCCCAAAGAGTTAAAAGAAATCAGTAACTAACAGAAATTCTTGAGTTTGCAGGATGGCAGATAAGAACAACTTGCGGAAATGTGAACCACTCCCTCCACTTATGAGATAAAAGAACTGGCTGAAATCAACTGGAAACAATATGGCTAAGTGGAGTCTGTGCAGAACCAGTTTGCTGAAGTCACAGCCCAAAGTTTCATACTAACCCGTCAAGTTTGCACATGGGACCCCCTAAGGAGGCATGAGAGAGAACTATGCATGCCTGAGGACTTTCCAGACCTCCCCTTGGCTTCCACCAATCACTAGCTAATCCCAGAATCCACCCCCTAACCTTTCCTGGTAAAATTACTGCCTTAAAGCCAGCATAGGGAGACAGATTTCAGTGGGACTCCTGTCTCCTTGGAAGTTAACCTGCAATATAAAGCTTTTATTTTCTCAAAAACCTCATGCCATAGTATTGGCTTGTTGTGCATCTGGCAGCAAACCCCTTTTGCTTGATACTAATGTAAGCAGGAAACAAACCTCTGTGTTTTATTCTGGAGCGTATTTATTGCTGCAGTGGAGCCTATCCTATACTGACTAATACAGAGTAACAAATGAGACTCCTTCAATAGCAGTAGGATTTGCCAAGACAATTTTTTTTTTTGAAATGGAGACTTGCTCTGTTGCCCAGGCTGGAATGCAGTGGTGCAATCTCGGCTCACTGCAACCTCCACCTCCTGGGTTCAAGTGATTCTCCTGCCTCAGCCTCCCCAGTAGCAGGGATTACAGGCACATGCCACCACACCTGGCCAACTCTTGTATTTTTAGTAGAGGCAGGGTTTCACCATGCTGGCCAGGCTGGTCTCGAACTCCTGACCTTGTGATCTGCCTGCCTCAGCCTCTCAAAGTGCTGGAATTACAGATGTGAGCCACTGTGCCTGGCCTGCCAAGACAATTTTATGATGCAGAAAGTATCTGTATTCGGGGTTGTCATGTGGAGTTGTACAAGTTGAGCACTGCCCGACATGTCCAGCCAAGGGATGAGGGGAACCCACTCCATGCTCCACTCACCAGGCCTTTATACAATTTGTTCTAAGGTGACAATTTGTTCTAAGGTGATATAGACAATTTGTTCTAAGGTGACAGCTTTAGAAAGAAAGGGAATATTTTCTCCTTTTCTTTCTCTGGCAGAGTAGAAGAGCCGTATAGCAAGGCTAAGTACTGGAATTGCATTTATAAGCAATTATTTTTTTCCCCAAAAACATAGGCCTAAGAAGTTAAAAAATTACAATAAGAAAAGGAAGAGGGAAGAATAGGATGGTTAAAAATGGAATCTGGGGCGTGTTTTGTCTTACGCTGTACTCTGTTGTGCAGGGGAGGGTGGCAAGGCTGGGCCTGACCATGTCTCCTGCTTGGTGAGGAAAGTTTCTTATTGTACAGCTGGCCACACGCAAAGCGGCTGCTACTCCCTGCTGCAACCTGGGGGGCAACCCACCCTTACCTGTAAGGAACCCCACCTTGTCAGAATCACTTTTTTTTTTTTTTTTGAGATGAAGTCTATCTTTGTTGGCCAGGCTGGAGTACAGTGGCGCAATCTCGGCTCACTGCAACCTCTGCCTCCTGGGTTCAAACAATTCTCATGTCTCAGCCTCCCAAGTGCTGGAATTACAGCTCCGCCACCACGCCTGGCTAATTTTTGTATTTTTCGTATAGATGGGTTTTCACAGTGTTGGCAAGGCTGGTCTCGAACTCCTGACCTCAGGAGAATCGCCATTTTAAGTGGACATCAGGTCATGTCTCTCCACTGCTCAAAACCCTCACGTGGCTCCCATTTCATTTCAAATAAAGCCCACAGCTGCTATCCTGGCCTACAGAGTCCCACACACTCTCGGCCCTGGTGACCTCCTTGATGTTCTCTCCACAGTTGCCTTCCTGTCCTAATCAGCTCCGTCCACCAAGTAGACACCCAGCCCCAGAGCCCTTATATACGCTGCCTGTGCCTGCAACTGCTTGGGGTAGGCTGAATAACACCTCCCAAAGATGTCACTCTAATCCCCAGCACCTGTGAATGTTACCCCTGGGGACCTGCAAGAGGATGTGTAGAGTGTGCCTTACAGGGGTGAGGAAGCTGGGTGCTCCCGTTCCCATCCCTCGAGGTTAAGGACTGCTCCTGGGGTGTCAACTGCCCAGCTTCTAGCCTGCTCCATGAGTGGCCCAGCAGGCTTCTGGTATGAGTTAGGAAACCCCTGGCACCCACTGGAATCATGCCCATGACTGCTAAAGCTGCAGGGGACTTCCAGGTCTTTTCAGGGATATGGGTGAGTGTATTTGTTGTCTGTTGCTGCAAAGCAGATTGCCAGAAATTCAGTGGCTTAAAACAACACACGTCTATGATCTCACAGTTTCTGTGGATCAGGAGTCCAGGCACAGCTTAGCTGAGCCCTCCATCTGAGGTCTCAGAAGGCTGCTGTCAGACACGGATCAGGCTGCACTTTCATCTGGAGGCTCGACTGGGGATGAATCTACTTCTGAGTTCATCCAGGTTATTGGCAGAGTTCGTTTCTCTCTGGCTGTGTGACTGAGGGTCCTGGCCTTTTGCTTGCTGTCAACTGGGAGCCTCCCTCAGGTCCTAGAGGCCACTTGCATCTCCTGGAGGCCACCCACAGCTCCCTACCACGTGGACTTCCTCAATGTGGCTGCTTACTTCATCAAGCCAGCAAGGCTCCCTCCCTCTGATCTTCTAAGACAGAGTCTTAGATAACATAAGGCAAGCTAGGGAGTGACAGCTCAACACCTTTACTGTGTGCTATTGGTTAGATGCAAGGTCACAGGTCTGTCCACACTGGAGGAGAGGGGATCATACAAGGCATGGACACCAGGAGGTGGGAAGTCACTGGGGTCACCTTAGGAGCTGCCCTGACAGCCTTGGAGCACTGGGGCACTGACAGCCTCTGCTATGGGTTGTGAGACTTCAGTGCTGCGAAGAACAAACCCCTTGAGTGTGGGACCCGTGCTTGACTCTCTCTGTCCCACCTCCAGCTCCCATACAATGGGGGCTTCTATGGGTTGCAGGCATTGGGGGGCTCCCTGGGACCTGGGGTGGGCGCTTCAGGTCTCCTTTCACCTTCCAACCACTGGCCCCTTCCCAAGCTCACTGTGTGACCTCAGGCAAGTTGCTTGAAGCTTCTGAGTCTTGATGTTCTCAGCTGCAAAACAAGGTTAACAGTAGCACCAGCCTCTTGGGTGATCGTGGGGACATAGCACTTACAAAGGGTTTGAGTTTTGACCTCACCAGGAAGTCCCCAAATGTTTGCTATGATTATCATTATTATTGTCTACCTCTGGTTCCCAGGGAGGCCTCTTTAGTTCTCAGGGAACGCTCCCTCATTCTGCAGGAATCTTTGAGCATCTGGGCACCACATGAAGCCTTAAGTGTTTTGGCAACAGTGTCTGGTACACGAAGGATGAGCCCTGCCCTATCCTGGGGGCAGAGGTTCTGTTCTGGGAGAGTTTCATCTCTGTCCAGTCATGGCTTCACTGCACTATTAGGGCAATGAATTTTAATGGCATGAATTATTTTTCACTCTTGCACTCTGCTGAACAGTGTGTGATTTCTGGGAACAGTCAGGCCTGGTGATTCCTGCAGGTCAGCTGAGCCAGGCCTGGCACCTTGTACCAGCAAAAGGGCCTGTCTCCCCTTCCAAGGGCCTGAGGGGCCTCACTCCACCACAAGAGCCTGGAAAAGTGGCGCGTGTCTGGCAGTGCCTCTGACTTGGGGAGTGGTGGCTGGGCCTGAAGGCCTGGGCACAGTGGGGAGGGTGGGCAAGGGATGGGCAGGAAAAGACAGCAGGGCCCAGGGCAGATCTGGGGAGCCTAGAGGTGTCCTGCTCATATCCCCCATCTTGTAGTTGGGGGAATGGGATGAGTGAGGAGGCTATGAGTTACCACCTTTAGGGAGACACCCCAAGAATGGCCTGGTTCCATCTCTCCCTCCTTCTGAAGAACACAGGGCTTGGGACAGGCAACCTGGTTTGAACTAGAATCACCAGCCTCAGTTTCCTCATCTGTTCTATGGAAATTACTAATGAGTTAACAGAGCAGCACCTGACCCAGGGAAGAGCTCGGTCACCCTGGGCTACGGGGCACCGGGGCGGAAGTGACAGAAGGGGCGGCTGTGGCTAAGAGAGAACCGGAGGCCGGGTCCGCTTGTGCACCGGGGGCTCGCTTTATTTCACCACCAGCACCTGTGTGCTTCTCCTGCCCGGGGAAGGGTGGATGCACTTGAGCAGCGCCCCCAGCAGGGCCAGGACGGTGACCACGAGCAGCACCAGCTTCAGCCCCTTGAGCACGGAGTCCGCCCTGCCCCGCAGGGCCTTCCTTGCCTCCCGCCACTGGGCATCGTTCTCTCTCCACTGAGCCTCCAGCGTCTCCAGACTGGCGGCGGGTTTGAACTGGGCCACGAGCTCCTGCTGCACGAAGCACTTGTAGACGGCCGGCTGGAAAACCTGCAGCTGCCTGCCGCCGGTGGAGGGGTCCAGAAAGGTGGTGAAGTCCTGGCCGGAGAGCTGGCTCTCCCACGTCAGGGGGGTGTCGTTGGCACGCCAGTTGACGGGCCTGCGAGGAGGACAAGGTCAGGTGCAGGGCCAGGGAGAAAGGAGGGACCGACGTCTCCCTGAGGAACAGAAAATAAAGCACCGCCCAGTCCCCCTCCTCGCCACCCCCCACGGAGCACTGTGCAGCCGTCAACAGTGGGGTGGAGGAGGCACAGCTGGGGGCTCCCAGGGCTCCACCCGTTACTGGCCCCACCCCTTACTGGCTCCCCTCTTCCTGGCTCCACCCCTTACTGGCCCCACCCCTTACTGGCTGGGTGACCTGGGCAAATGCCTCCAGCTCTTTGAACTTCCATTTCTTTATGTAAAACTAAGAGTCTAGACCAGGCTTGGTGGCTCACACCTGTAATCCCAACACTTTCAGAGGCAAAGGCAAGGAGGATGGCTTGAGCCCAGGAGTTCAGAACCAGCCTGGACAACAAAG
The DNA here is from genome assembly GCF_000001405.40 of Homo sapiens. Classification (NCBI taxonomy): domain Eukaryota; kingdom Metazoa; phylum Chordata; class Mammalia; order Primates; family Hominidae; genus Homo; species Homo sapiens. The sequence goes on from NC_000019.10 coordinate 35,225,633, forward strand.
CAAGAACCCATGTCTGCAAAAATTTAAAAAATTAGCTGGACATGCTGACATGCGCCTGTGGTCCTGGCTGCTCAGGAGGCTGAGGTGGGAGGATTACTTGAGCCCAGGAGGTTGAGGCTGCAGTGAGCCAGTCACAGCACTGCACTCCAGCCTGGGTGACAGAGCAAGACCCTGTCCCAAAAAAGAAAACAACAAACCAAAAAAAATGGAGAGTAATGATTGTACCTCATAAGGTTATTTGGAGGAGTTAGCAAGGGCACTCCTTAAATGATTTGTCCACCTGCCTTTGCCTGTCTGGTCTCATCTCCTTCACTCTCCCCTTTACTCACTCTGCCTAGCCACGCTGCTCTCCTAGATGTTCCTCTGACATGCTGGGTGCAGTCTTGGCCCTGGCTGTTCCCTCTGTCCCCAGGGCTTCCTCGCCTCCTTTCAGTCTGGGCTGAAATGGCAGCTTCTCAGAGGAGCCTTCCCTGACCCCACCACTTGACACTTTTAACCTCCCCTATTCCCAGCATCCCTTCCTGCTCCGTCACCATCCAAAATACTATAGGTCGGGCACAGTGGCTCAGGTTTGTAATCCCAGCACTTTGGGAGGCCGATGTGGGAGGATCACTTGAGCCCAGGAGTTTGGGCTCAGCCTGGGCAACAAAGTGAGACCTCATCTCTACAAAACTTAAAAACTTAGCCGGGTGTGGTAGTGCATGTCTGTAGTCCCAGCTACTGTGGAGGCTGAGATGGGAGAATCACCTGAGCCCGGGGAATTGAGGCTGCAGTGAGCTGTGATTGTGCCACTGTACTCCAGCCAGGGTGAAAGAGCAAGACCCTGTCTCTAATAATAATAACAATAATAATAATAAAACTATATATTTATGCGCCACAAGGGCAAGAATCTCCGTTGGTTGTGTTCTTCACTGTTTCCCAGGTCCCTAGAATGGAGCTTGGCATATAAATATGCAGTGAACACGTGTTTAGTGGAGAAATGAATCAGGCACCGACACACCCAGCGTGGTGGAAGAACAGAGAGGATATTCCACAGACAATATCATAAAAGCTTGCATTCCCAGCTAGGTACATTGTGGAACTTCTTATTGGATGCTATGGCAGGCACTCTACAGTCTTTAGTCCCCTTAACACATCACAATGACCCTGTGTGGCCAGGGGCTGGCAAGACCTCTGCACTGAGTTAGACAGTGGCCCCCGCAAAATGCATGTCCTTCCCAGAACCTCAGAATGTAACATTATTTGGAAATTGGATCATTGCAGATATAATCAGTTGAGATGAGAGCATATTGGAATAAGGTGGGCCCTCAATCCCATCTGACCGGTGTCCTTTTAAGAAAAGGAAAAGAGAGACAGGGACACAGACACCCAGGAAGAATGCCAAGTGATGATGGAGGCGGGCATTGGAGAGAAGCAGCCACAAGCCAGAGAAGACCGGGATCTCTGACTGCATCCAGAAGCTAGAAAAAAGGAGGATTCTGCCCAGCTCACTCAGAGGGACTGAGAGGGAGCGTGGTTCTACTGACACCTTGATTTCAGACTTACGGCCTCCAGAAGGGTGAGACAATGGATTTCTGGGGTTTTTTTGTTTTTTTGTTTTTTGAGTCAGAGTTGTCTCGTGATGTTGCCCAGGCTGGAGTGCAGTGGTGTGATCTCGGCTCACTGCAACCTCCGCCTCCCGGGTTCAAGTGATTCTCCTGCGTCAGCCTCCTGAGTAGCTGGGATTACAGGCACGTGCCACCATACCTGGCTAATTTTTGTATTTCTAGTAGAGACGGGGTTTCACCATGTTGGCCAGGCTGGTCTCGAACTCCTGACCTCAGGTGATCCACCCACCTCGGCCTCCCAAAGTGCTGGGATTACAGGCATGAGCCACCGCGCCCAGCCTGCATTTCTTATTAAGGGGCAGGTGGACTGGGGGAGAGGAGGGGAAGGGGCTATTTTCCAGAGGCTCCTGGCAGGAAGTAAGAAGATGAGTGTGAGTTCTGGGAGGCAGGCCTTGATGGGAAGCCCCGGGGGCACCAGCCTCTCCTCCAAGGTCTCACTGACCTTTCCAGATGAAGCAGGGGCCTGTTGGAGCCCCTAAGCTTCCTGGGCTTCCCCCATCACAGCCCCATCTGTCTGCCTGGGCTTCTCCCATCCCGGCTCGCACCACCCTGGGCTGTGTCCCCCTCGGACTGTTTAAGAGCAGGGCCTGGCACTGTCCTGATGACCACTACGTGGCTGAACTGCAAAGAACGCCCACTCATCCCTCTGCACATATTACCAGGAAGGATCCCCTGACCGGAAGAATCTGGGTAGGGGCCAGAGGCAGGGATTCCATCACCTGTACATGGATCCTAAGGGACAGTCGAGCCACACAAATTCTGTCTTCTCATCGAGCCTGAAGTTGTCAAAAATGACGTAATCCACCCTTAACTGTGTGTTATTGGTGCACTGGACGTGGCAGGCTTCCACCTGCAGCTCAGGCCGCAAGCGGCTAGACCACACCAGCACCTCTCCCAGATAGAGCCAGCAGGGCATGGCTTCCTCCAGAGGCTCCTCAATGTAGCGGTACCCCAGGCGTTTACACTCGCCCGGCTCCTCACAGCGGTTGCAGTCCTGCCAGGGCTCCCACCAGGTAAAAATGAGCTGTTTGCTGCCCAAATGCAGGGTCTCGTTCTGCAGGGGCCTCTGACCCAGGTCCTTGTGTGTTATATGCAGGGTGGTGACATCCTGAAAGTCAATTTCATACTGCACCACTTGGCGGCCATTCTTGTTCCAGCAGTGGTAGAGGCCCGTCTGGGAGGGCAATGGATCTTTAATGAGAAGGCTGCCCTCGGGCATTATTTCCATATTGGAAATATTGGTGAGGCTGGTGAGCCTGCCCTTCTTGCCTTGTGTGAATAAATAGTACCAGTGCGCCCCCGAGGAGTTGCAATACAGGAGAATATCATTGCCTGAGAGTAGGGCCTGTTGGCACTGCTTACCACTGGGGCAGCTGATGGAAAAGTAGAACCCCAGTGCCGGGGCAGCAAAGTGGAGCAGCAGCCACAGCATGGGTGGCATGGTGGACTGGGGCTGTGGCAGTGGGCTGGTGCCACCCCGAACATTGTGAGGTCACCCATGAACTCTGGCCTCAGCCCTGGGCAGTGGGATGAATTGCAGCTACCACATGTGTGTGTGAGGTCACCATCCCCTTTTGTTTTGTGACAAGCTGACAACACTGTTTTTCTTTTTTTTTTTTTTTTCAGACAAGGACTCGCTCTTTTACCCAGGCTGGAAGGCAGTGCTGCAATCACAGCTCACTACAGCCTCAAACTCCTGGAATCAAGTAATCCTCTCACCTCAGCCTGTTGAGTAGCTGGGACTTCAGGTGCATGCTAACCATGCCCAGCTAGTTTAAAATTTTTTCTGTAGAGACGGGGTCTTGTTATGTTGCCCAAGCTGGTCTCGAACTCCTGGCTTCAAGCCATCCTCCCACCTTGGCCTCCCAAAGTGTTGGGATTACAGGCGTGAGCCACTGTGCCCCGCTGACCATATTTAATTTCTATTCCAAGCCCTCCATTTTGCTGGGAAAGGAGCAAACTTAATTTGTCTATTCAGAGTTTTCTCTACTACCTGCCCCGCTTCCTTTCCCAGGGGTGAGACTACATTCCCAGGGATGAAATAAGAGCATGAAGGTGTCACATGTGAACACTCAACACATATTTCCTGAACTCTTACTATGTTCTGGGCACACTTCTTAGCACTGGGGATAAAGCAGTAAACAAATCCTCTCGGGCTGGGCTCGGTGGCTCATGCCTGTAATCCCAGCACTTTTGGGAGGCTGAGGCGGGCGGATCACCTGAGGTCAGGAGTTCAAGACCAGCCTGGCCAACGTGGTGAAACCCCGTCTCTACTAAATAGCTGGGTGTGGTGGCGGGCATCTGTAATCCCAGCTACTCAGGAGGCTGAGGCAGGAGAATCACTTGAACCTGGGAGACGGAGGTTGCAGTGAGCCGAGATCGCACCGCTGCACTCCAGCCTGGGTGACAAGCGTGAAACTCCATCTCAAAAAAAATAATAAAAATTTAAAAAAATTTATCTCTGGTTACTGTTCTGACCTCCTGCACCTTTCCCCCTACTCCCTACCCTCCAACCACGCTGGCCTCCCGCTGTTCCCTGAATCTGTCAGGCAGGCAGAGGGGCTCTTGCCCCAGAACCATTGCACATGCTGGTCCCCGTCTCTTCCCTCAGCCATCTGCATGACTCAATACATCTTCAACAAATATTTTTCTCAGTTGCTCCCTTTCCTTCCATCCCCTTTTCTAAACACCTTCTCAGGCGGTGGCTCACACCTGTAATGCCAGCACTTGCCAGCACTTTGGGTGGCCAAGATGGGAGAATCACTTGAGGTCAGGAATTCGAGGCCAGCCTGGCCAACACGGTGAAGCCCCATCTCTACTAAAAATACAAAAAATTAGCCAGGCATGGTGTCGGGCATCTGTAATCCCAGCTACTCAGGTGGCCGAGGCAGAAGAATAGCTTGAACCCAGGAGGCAGAGGTTGCAGTGAGTGCAGATTGCGCCACTGCACTCCAGCCTGGGTGACAGAGACACTGCCTCAAATAAATAAATAAATAAATAAATAAATTAAATGATCTTCCAGACTTTTCCCAACATAGAAAAAGATGGAAGATTTCTATGAGACTTGCATCACCTTATCTCAAAACCTTATAAGGACATTACAACAAAGAAAAACCTCAGGTCAATCTCTTTTGTCAACACAGACACACTATCCCAAAGAAAATATTGCAAATTGATTCCAGTGATTTTCTTTACACAAGGATAAATATAAAGACCAAATTGGGTTATTTCAGGACGGCAAATTTGGGTTATATTTGCACATCAATTAATGTAATTCACCACATTAACAGAATAAAGGAGAAAAACCATATTATTATCTCAGTAGATACAGAGAATGCATCTGATAAAACTCAACATTCATTTATGGCTCAAAACTTTTGGCAAACTAGGAACAAAAGGAAATTTTCTAAGAAGATAAAGTGTTTCTATTAAAAACCTAGGACAGGCCGGGTACAGTGGCTCACACCTGTAATCCCAGCACTTTGGAAGGCCGAGGCGGGTGGATCACCTGAAGTCAGGAGTTCGAGACCAGTTAGGGTAACATGGCGAAACCCTATCTCTACTAAAAATACAAAAATTAGCCGGGTGTGATGGTGGGTGCCTGTAGTCCCAGCTACTTGGGAGGCTGAGGCAGGAGAATCATTTGAACCCAGGAGGCGAAGGTTGCAGTGAACTGAGATTGCGCCATTGCACTCCAGCCTGGGCAACAGAGTGAGACCCTGTCTCAAAAAAAAAACAAAAAACAAACAAACAAACAAAAACACCTAGGGCTAAATTATACTTCATAGTAAAATACTAAGAATAACACAAGTATTTCTGCCATCAACTTTTCCATTCAGCATTTTACTGGAGGTAAGATACAAGCAAAAAATTAGATATAAGGTCATATATTAAATATGATTTATATACCAGCAACAAAGAATTAAAAGATGAAACTTAAAAGATTACTATAGGATAGTATGAAAAAATTAAATACCTAGGAATAAATATAATAAAAGATATGTGAGTCCTCTACATTAATAACTTCACATTATTGGGAGAAATTAAAGAAAGACTAAACAATGGAAGTATTTGCCACATTCACGGATTGGAAGACTAAATATTGAATATATATTGATTTACCCCAAATTTATCTTTAGATTCAATAAAGTCCCAATTAAAAAAAAATAAGAGTTTTGGGGTGGAAACTACAAACCGATTCCAAAATTTGTATATAATGGGCCAAGAATAACCAAGACAATCTTGAAGAACAAAGTTGGGAAACACTACCACATATTGTGACTTATTGAAAGGTATAAAAAGACACTGTGGGCTGGGTGCAGTGGCTTGTGCCTGTAATCTCAGCACTTGGGAGGCCAAGGAGGGCAGAATCACTTGAGGTCAGGGGTTCAAAACCAGCCTGGCCAACCCCTTCTCTACTAAAAATATAAGAATTAGCCGGGCATGGTTGCGGATGCCTGCAATCCCAGCTACTTGGGAGGCTGAGGCAGGAGAATCGCTTGAATTTGGGAGATGGAGGTTGCAGTAAGCTGAGATTGCGCCATTGCACTTCAGCCTGGGCAACAGAGGGAGACTCCATCTCAAAAATAAATAAACAAATAAAAGGAAAAAAAAAAAAGAAAACCAAAGACACTGTGGCATTGGGACAAGGATGGATAGATAAATTGTATCCAGGGTCCAATCAGGAGACAGAAACATCAGTGTCTACATTGTCATGAGCCCATGGGCCTGAGTAGCTCGGTCTCTAGATTCTACATTTGGCCTCCCCCTGAATATCAGAAGCCTGTGCAGACAAGAACTAGGTCATTGCTGTGTCCCTAACATCACCTGCCCAGGGCACACTCAGAGGAAACACCAGGGAATTCTTCCTGCATGCGCATCTCAGCAAGCCAGTGAGGAGACCTTTTCCTTAGCAGAACCAACATGAAGGCTTATGGGCTGGGAGACGGAGCCCGGTTTTCTGTTGGAAGGTAACCCATGAGCCCAGGTGAACACAGAAAACAAAGTCTGGGTGAGGGTCAAGGGCAGGGCTACGGCCCTGGTCCTGTCACCTGTAGATGGAGGCCAAGGGGCAGGTGAGCCACCTGTTGTTCATCCACTTGCCAGGCTGGTAAAAATCAAAGATGAGGTATGGCTAGTGAATTTCCTTGACGGGGTTGCAGGGTACGTGGCAGGCTTCCACCTGCAGTTCGGGCCGCATGCGGCTGAATTGCATCTTCTCATCTCTCAGATACAGCTGGCAGGGCATAGGTTTTTCCACGGGCTCCTCAATGTAGCAGTACCCCAGGCGTCTGCACTCACCCAGTTCCCCACAGCGGTTACAGTCCTGCCGGGGGTCCCAGTGGGTAAAGATGAGTACCTTGCCATCCAGGATCAGGGTCTCATTCTGCAGGGACTTTTGGTCCAGGCTCTTGTGCGTAACATGAAGGGTGGTGACAACCTGGAAGTCGATCTCGTATTGTACCATGAGGGTATCATCATTGCCCTGGCAGCGATAGAGGCCAGTCTGGGAGGGCTGAGGGTTGGTCAATTGAAGGCTACCCCCAGGCAGTTTCCTTATGTCAGGCATTGAATTAAGCAGAGAAGGATCTTCCCCAAGAATGGAAGAGAAGTACCAGAGTGCCATGGGATGGTCACACTTCAGGACAGCATCACTGCCTGAGAGTAGGGCTCGCTGGCAAAGGTCCTTGTAGGCACAGCTGATTAACATCTAGGCTCACAGAGTGGGGCAAGAAAGGCTAAGCAGCCACAGGGTGTCCAGCATAGTGGACCAAGGCTGTAGAAGGAGGCTAGGAACTCCCTGGCCATTGTGAAGTCACTCACAAAACTCGAGGATCAGCCTAGGCAATGGAATGAAACTTGATCCACTGTGCTTCCAGGAGTACAATTCAGTTCGTGTCATCAAATGGCTTGTCATAGGTTGTAGGGTCGAAGGTCAAATATCCACATGAGCTAGGCAGGAAACAAAATGGGTGAGCTTAAATCAGAACAAACGAACTACAAAGGCAAATTATTGGCCCTCCACATACCCAATATATAATGATGGAATGGGACAAAATGACTTTATGACCATCAGAAAGTGGAAGAAGAGGCAGGGCCCAGTGGCTCACACCTGTAATCCCAGCACACTTTGGGAGGCTGAGGCCGGTGGATCACCTGAGGCCAGGAGTTCAAGACCAGCCTGACCAACATGGTGAAACCCCGTCTAACCCCGTCTCTATTAAAAATACAAAAATTAGCCAGGTGTGGTGGTGCATGCCTGTATTCCCAGCTGCTTGAGAGGCTGAGGCAGGAGAATCTCTTGAACCCGGGAGGCAGAGGTTGCAGTGAGCTGAGATCCACCACTGCACTCCAGCCTGGACAACAGAGAAAGACTCTGTCTCAAAAAAAAAAAAAGAGAAAGAAGAAAGAAAGAGAGAGAGAGAAAAAGAAAAGAAAGAGAGAGAGAGAAAGGGAAGACACACAGAAATCACTGCTCTGTACCACTTCTGCAATCCAGTGGGAAAACATTACAAGGACCCCCTATCTTGTAGATGGGAAAGATTCCTTAACTAGCACCGAAGCAGCTCCTTGTTGTGTGTGGGGAGGGTAGGGGGATTCCCAAATCATTGTTCTCTGTGGGTCATGTCTCACTCTCCAGGGAAATATCTCCTTTTCTCATATTCTCCTTGGCTACATCTGAAGATGTGCCCTCCTTGAGACAACAGCAGTTTACTCAGCCTGCTTTCTATCTCCCACAGTTTGGGACCTACGGTTCTTATAAGCCTCTAGTCAACTAAATATGTAAACAAACAAACAAACAAACAAACAAAAACACACACATAGCCGTAGTTCTGTTCGAGATGTTCTCAGGCTGGGCTCGGTGGCTCACGCCTGTAATCTCAGCACTTTGGGAGGCCAAGGTGGGAGGATTGCTTGAAGCCAGGAGTTCGAGACCAGCCTGGGCAACATGGTGAAACCCTGTCTCTCCTAAAAATACAAAAATTAGCCAGGTGTGGTGGTGGGCTCCTGTAATCCCAGCTACATAGCAGGCTGAGGCAGGAGAATTGCTTGAACCTGGGAGATGGAGGTTGCAGTGAGCCAAGATCACACCACTGCACTCCAGCCTGGGCAACAGCACAAGACTCTGTCTAAAAAAAAAAAAAAAAAAGATGCTCTTATCCTCTCTCTCTTTCTGTCTCTTTCTCATTTCAGGTACCTTAAACTCTATCAGCCATCCTTGGCGAGCTATATCTCTTAACTCTCTTTCATGGAGACATTTGTCCACCTGAAAGCGTTTTCTGGTAGTATCTTAATTCATTCAGAGAATTTTTAAACAATGGGTAATAATTATTTACCTAGGCTTATACTTTTGATTTTATCCTTGTCAAAAGCTGAATTCTAATTGGACTTTATCTCTCAAAGCCCTTCTCAATTTTTAGCTAACTTTGGCCAACTTATACTGCTAACATCTTATATTCCAGCAGCTTCCTTGAAAGCTACAAGTCCATTAAATACATTATCTGCCTTCCAGAGTATCTCAGGCAACAGCCTCCATCCTTCTGGTTTCAAATAAGTGTCTTAGTCCCAAAGGTATCTAAGCCAATGCTGTCTTTTTATTTTTGATTACCTCAGCACCCTACTCCTGATACTATTTTGGTATCAATCTAGATAAGTTATTTGCTACTATAATAAACTTCCAGCCAGGTGTGGTGGCTCACGCCTGTAATCCCAGCACTTTGGGAGGCTAAGGAGGGCAGATCACCTGAGGTCAGGAGTTTGAGACCAACCTAGCCAACCCTGTCTCTACTAAAAATACAAAAAATGACAAAACCCTGTCTTTACTAAAAATACACAAATTAGCCAGGTGTGGTGGCATGCACCTGAAGTCCCAGCTACTTGGGAGGCTAAGGCAGGAAGATCACTTGAACCCGGGAGGTGGATGTTGCAGTGAGCTGAGATCATGCCACTGCACTCCAGCCTGGGTGACAGAGCAAGACTTCATCTAAAAAAAAAAAAAAAAAAATTCCCCCCAAATCTCAACCACATAAAACAACTAAGGTTTACTTTTTACTCATTGTGCATTGGTATTGGAATCACTCAGGAATCCAGGGTGATGGCGCAACTGCCATCTCAAACATTTTCAGTTTCTTCCAAGGAGAAAGAAAGAGCTCTCTGTAAGATTTTGGGTCTACATTAAATGCTTTGCCCTTAAGTAACACATGTCATGTCGCTTGCTCACAAACCATTGGCTAGAAACAGCTACATGGCACCACCAATCCACCAAGCCAACAAAAGAAATTGAACTCTAGCTGGGCGCCGTGCCTCACGCCTGTAATCCCAGCACTTTGGGAGGCTGAGGCGGCGGATCACGAGGTCAGGAGATCGAGACCATCCTGGCTAACACCGTGAAACCCCATCTCTATTAAAGATACAAAAAAATTCGCCGGGCGTGGCGGTGTGCACCTGTAGTCCCAGCTGCTGGGGAGGCTGAGGCAGCAGAATGGCGTGAACCTGGGAGGCGGAGCTTGCAGTGAGCCGAGATCGCGCCACTGCACTCCAGCCTGGGCGACAGAGCAAGACTCCATCTCAAAAAAAAAAAAAAAAAAATGGAACTCTACTATTTCCAGGAATCTTTTGGCAAATGGCAGTAATGATTTCCATGGCTAATGTCTATTACAAGGGATTTTTCCTCTGGTGTTCTCCTTTATATCACAGAGTTAAAACCATTTCCAAAATCCTCACATCAGCTCTCCCCTAAAGTTCTACTGGCCAGGATTGGGGCCCATGCCCAGGTCTAAACCAATCTCTGAAAATAAATGAAGCTTACATCGTTGGCTTAAACCAATTAGAATTTGTTGCCTAGGATTGGGTAAGGTCAGCTTTTTCTTAGCAGAAGCCACTGAAGACCCAGACAAAATCAGGGTTTTGTATGCAGGGGAGTTGTAGAAAAGAATGCTGATTTGGTGTAGCCAACCATGTCTTCCACAGCATTGACTGATGGGAAAATATTAGTTGTACCAGAATTGTGCCAGGCACTGTGTGAGCCACATGACCCCAGGCAAGTTGCTGAGACTTTCCTTTTTTTTTTTTTTTGAGACAGAGTCTCACTCTCTAGCCCCCAGGCTGGAGTGCGGTGGTGCAATCTTGGTTCACTACAGCCTTTGCCTCCCAGGTTCAAGCAATTCTCTTCCCTCAGCCTCCCAAGTAGGTGGGATTACAGGCATGTACCACCATGCCCAGCTGATTTTTGTATTTTTAGTAGAGACGGGGTTTCACCATGTTGACCAGGCTGGTCTTGAACTCCTGACCTCAAGTGATCTGCCCGCCTCGGCCTCCCAAAGTGCTGGGAATACAGATGTGAGCCACAGCACCCGGCCAGAACTACTGGAGACTGGTAAATTTATAAGGAAAAGAAGATTAATTGACTCACAGTTCTGCATGGCTGGGGAGGCCTCAGGAAACTTCCAATCATGGTGCAAGGCGAAAGGGAAGCAGGCACCTTCACAAGGTGGCAGCAAAGAGACAGCAATTAGGGAACTGCCAGCTACTTTTAAAGCATCAGATCTCATGAGAACTCCCTCACTGCACGGGAGAAACCACTCCCATAATCCAATTACCTTCCACTGGGTCCCTCCCTTGACCTGTGGGGATTACAATTCAAGATGAGACTTGGGCGGGGACACAAAACCAAACCATATCACTCATCCACCTTGCACCAGACACCAAGGATCCAGGCTAAGTCCCTGACCTCTTGGAGCTTACATCCTAGTGGGGATGTATTAGTCAGGATAGGTTAAGTTATGCTATGTAACAAAGGATTCTAAAATCTTAGTGGCTTAATAAAATTTTTTTTCATGCGACATGTCCAAATTTGGCTGGGGAGAGCTATACTCCACAAAGTCCCTTCAGATACTGTGGCTAACAGAGGTGGTACCATCTGCAACATCATTAGTTGCTATGGCAGGATAAGGGAGTATAGCAAATCATGAACTGGCAATTGAATGCTTTGGTCAGTGATATGGTTTGGCTGTGTCCCCACCCAAACCTCATCTCATATTGTAGCTCTCATAATCCCCACGTGTCATGGGAAGGACCCGATGGGAGGTAATTGAATCATGAGAGCAGGTTTTTCCCATGCTATTCTCATGATAGTGAATAAGTCTCACAAGATCTGATGGTTTTTTTCTTTCTTTCTTTCTTTCTTTTTTTTTTTTTTTTTTTTTTGAGGGAGAGTCTCACTCTGCTGCTGCCCAGGCTGAAGTGCAGTGGCACGATCTCAGCTGACAGCAACCTCTGCCTCCCTGGTTCAAGCGATTCTTGTGCCTCAGCCTCCTGAGTAGCTGGAATTACAGATGTGCACCACCATGCCCAGCTAATTTTCATATTTTTAGTAGAGAGGGGGTTTCACCATGTTGGCCAGGCTGGTCTTGAGCTCCTGACCTCAAATGATCCACCTGCCTCGGCCTCCCAAAGTGCTGGGATTACAGGCATGAGCCACCATGCCTGGTGAGATCTGATGGTTTTATAAAGGGCAGTTCCCCTACACACAGTTGCTTGCCTGCCGCCATGTAAGACACGCCTTTGCTCCTCCTTTGCCTTCTGCCATGATTATGAGGCCTCCCCAGCCATGTGCAGCTCTGAGTCCATTAAACATCTTTTTCTTTAGAAATTACCCAGTCTCAGATATTTCTTCATAGTAGCAAGCAAATAGACTAATACACAGATGGTAAACAAATAAATGACTAATAAAACATCAGGTCATGGTAAATGCTTTGAAGAAAAAAAGAAGGCGCAAAGAGAGATTGGGGATGGAGACTATTAGGGGATGAATTATGACCCCACAAGTTCATATGTTGAAACACTGACCCCCAATACCTCAGAATATGACTGTATTGGGAAACAGGGCTTTTAAAGAGGTAATTAAGTTAAAATAGGGTTGTTAGAGTGGGTTCTAATCCAATATGACTAGTGCCCTTAAAAGATGAGGGAATTAGAACCCAGGCAGAGGGATGACCATGTGAGGACATAGTGAAAAGGGAACCATCTGCACACCAAGAAGAAAGGCCTCAGAATGAAACCAAACCTGCCAACACCTTGATTTTGGACTTCTAGCTTACAGAATTGCGAAGAAATAAATTTCTGTTGTTTAAACCACCCAGTCTCTGGTGTTTGTTATGGCAGCCCTAGCCAACTAATATAGAGACTATTTTATTTTTATTTATTCATTTGTTTTGAGACAGGGTCTCATTCTGTCACCCAGGCTGGAGTGCAGTGGTGTAATCATAGCTCACTGCAGCCTGAAACTCCTGGGTTCAAGTGATTCTCCTGTCTCAGCCTCCTAAGTAGCTAGGACTACAGGGACGTGCCACCATGCCTAGCTAATTTTTAAAATTTTTGGTAGAGATGGTAGACTGGATAAAGAAAATGTATACACCATGTAGAGGCTTGTCTTAAACTTACAGCCTCAAACTATCCTCCTGTCTCAGCCTCCCAAAGTACTGGGATTACAGGTGTGGGACACCATGCCCAGCCTGTGGGGAGAGAGGTAGGTGAGAAGAGAAGGCTTCTCTGAAGAAGTGACATTTGAGCAGACCTATATAAGATGGTTATGAAGATTCACACAGCGGCTCATGCCTGTGATCCCAGCACTTTGGGAGGCTGAGGCAAGTGGAGCACCTGAGATCATGAGTTCAAGACCAGCCTGGCCAACATGGTGAAACCCCATCTCTACTAAAGATACAAAAATTATCCAGGTGTGGTGGTGCACGCCTATAATCCCAGCTACTCAGAAGGCTGAGACAGGAGAATTGCTTCAACCTGGGAGGTGGAGGTTGTAGTGAGCTGAGATTGTGCCACTGCATTCTAGCCTGGGTGACAGAGTGAGACTCTGTCTCAAAAAAAAAAAAAAAAAAAAAAAAAAATCCAGAGAAAGCAAGGTCTGAACTAAGCACACCGCACATGCAAAGGTCTTGAGGTGGGAACAGGTTTGCTATGTGAATACCCATCAGCCAAAGACAATCAGGCATGCACCTATGAACAAAGTTAGGTTTTTTGACTTGCTGCAGTGAGGGCAGATGTACACCATGGGGAATGGTGTGGTGTCTCAGGAAGGTGTCAGAGAAGACTAACAGAATTTGGGCTGTGTTGTATGATTGTGGGAAGGATTCAAAGAAGTGGGGATTTGCTTTGGGTTGGGTGCTATCAAAAAGTGTAACCAATTCTTTTTTTTCAAACTTTTGATTTTAAGTTCAGGGGTATGTGTGCAGGTTTCTTATAGAGGTAAATTTATATCATGGGGGTTTGTTGTACATATAATTTCATCACCCAGGTATTAAGCCTAGTACCCCTTAGCTATTTTTCCTGATCCTCTCCCTCCTCCCACACTCTACCCTCTGATAGGCTCCAGTGTGTGTTGTTCCCCTTTATGTATTTGTGTTCTCATCATTTAGATTCCACTTATAAGGGAGAACATGCGGTATTTAGTTTTCTCTTTCTGCATTAGTTTGCTAAGGATAATGACCTTCAGCTCCATTCTTGTTCCTGCAAAGGGCATGATTTCATTCTTTTTTATGGCTGCATAGTATTCCATAGTGTATATGTACCACATTTTTTTAATCCAGTCTACCATTGATGGACATTTAGGTTGATCCTATGTCTTTGCTATTGTGAATAGTGCTGCAATGAATATAAGTGTGCATGTGTCTTTATGATAGAACAATTTATATTTCTTTGGGTGTATACCCAGTAATGGGCTTGTTAGGTTGAATGGTAGTTCTGTTTTTAGGTCTTTGAGGAATTGCCACACTGTCTTACATGCTAATTAACACTCCCACCAACAGTGTGTAAGCATTCCTTTTTCTCTGCAACCTCGCCAGCATGTTGTTTTTTGACTTTTTAATAATAGCCATTCTGACTGATGTGAGATGGTATCTCATGGTGGTTTTGATTTGCGTTTCACTAATGATTAGTGATGTTGAGCTTTTTTATATGATTCTTGGCCAGATGTATATTTTCTTTTGAAAAGTGTTTGGTCATGTCCTTTGCCCACCACGAGTGTAACCAATTCTATCTTTTCTAGAAGGTGAGAAGAACGGAGCAAAGCTAAAACTGAAATTGGTAAAGAAACAGCAGCCATTCAGATCAGCTGAGAGAAGGGGATGCTTGATATTTTGTGGTTTGGACAGTGTTCCTGTTTTGTCTCTGTGCAGGCATAATTACAGAGCAGTCTTGTTTCTATCTAGATGCATCAGAGTCACAGACAGGCCTTTGTTGTTGTTGTTCTGTGAACATTGTTCACCTTCAACAGGAGAACATCATGACCTAACAGTGCATTCTAGACAAGCTGCTAGCAACACCAAGACCCAGTTGTTACTGTTAGGCCAGCTCCCAGCTGTTAGAGGCTGCTTTCTCTTTCTTACATAGATGAGGAACTTCAGTGAAGTCTCTTCCAGCAATGAAAGACTGATCAAATGGCTTTCACTCTGTGACCCTCCGTTTCCTTATTTTCAAAGGATTTTAATTGTACTGGCCACATAGTGCTCTTGTGTGGATTTGATGAGATGTTATCTATAAAGTATCAGCCAGTATTATTATCTAGGGGTTAGCAATATGGACTCATCCTCCAAATATCAGAGTTCTGTGTTGGGACTCTGGATTACTACTTCTGATCATGGTTGTGCAGACACAGGGGGTGGGCCATGATTGGCTTAATCCCCACCAGCTGAACTGGCTTCCAGAAGGTATAAAGGGATAGCCACTGGATTTTCTCCCCTTTTGTTCCCTTTGGAAGGTGGACATTTAGGGATTAGGATATTCAAAAGCAACTGTGCATACAAGGGAATTTAGAAAGTCACTGCACAAGCTCAGGGAAAGATGCAAATTCAGAAAAGACCTAAGATGATCATAAGCTTTCATTTTAGGTTGATTCTAGCACAGATACATCTTATAACAATAAACAAACAAAAAAACCAGCAAACCCTGGGGAATGGGGAAAAGCTGATTTCCAGAGTTAGCACATTGTAAGATTCAAATGTCCATTTTCAACAAAAAAGTCACAAGACATACATACAAAGAAACAAGAGAGTATGGCCCATTCAAAGAAAAAATAAATAAACAATACCTGAGGAAGCCCAGGTGGTAGACTTACTAGACAAAGACATAAATAACTGTCTCAAAGATGCTCAAACAGCTAAAGGAGACATAGACGAAGACAGAAAAATGATGTATGAACAAAAGAAGAATATCAGCAAAAAGACAGAAAATGCAAAAAGGAACCAAAAGGAAAATTCTGGAGCTAAAAATACAATTAACTGAAATAAAAAATTCACTGAAGGGGCTCAAAAACAGATTTGAGCAGGCAGAAGAAAAATCAGCAAACTTGGTGACAGGAAAATTTATTGAGTCTGAGGGACAGGAAGAAAAAAGATTAAAGAAAGCTGAACAGAGCCTAAAGGATCTGTGGGACACCACAGAGGAGACCAACATACATATTATGGGAGGTCCAGAAGGAGAAGAGAGAGAAAAAGAGGAAGAAAGAATTGTAATTTTAAGAAATAAGATTGAAAACTTCCCAAATTTGATGATAGACATGAATCAACAAATCTAAAAACTCAATAAACTCCAAGTATGAAAAACCCAGAGATTCAAGCTGAGACACATTATAATCAAACTGTAAAAAGCCAAAGCCAAAGAAACAATCTTGAAAGCAGCAAGAGAGAAGCAACTTGTTACATTCAAGAAATCCTCAATAAGATTATTGGCAGATTTATCATTAGAAACCTTGGATGCCAAAGGCAGTGGGTTAATACACTTGACATGCCAAAAGAAGAAGAAGAAAAAAAAGACCTATCAACCAAGAATTCTATAGCTACCCAATCTATCCTCCAACAATGAGGAAGAAGTTCAGATATTCCTGGATAAACAAAAGCTGAGGGAGTTCATTACCACTAGTCCTTCCCTACTAGAAATGCTAAACGAAGTCCTTCAGGTTGAAATGAAAGAGTGCAGACAGTAATTTGAAGACATGAAGAAAAAAATTAAAATCTCTGCTAAAGGTAAATACATGAGCAATTATAAAAGCTACTGTTATCATAATTTGAGTTTATAATTTCACTTTTTATTGTCTACATGATATAAAATAAAATGGATGAAAACAATTATTAATCTTCATTATTGGGAAAACAATGTATATAGGTGTGATTTGTGACACTGACAACAGAAAAGGAATGACAGAGGCCAGGTATGGTGGCTCATGCCTGTAATCCCAGCACTTTGGGAGGCAGAGGCAGGTGGATCACTTGAGGTACCTGAGGTCAGGAGTTCAAGAGCAGCCTGGCCAACATGGCGAAATCTCATCTCTACTAAAAATAGAAAAATAAAATTAGCCGAGCATGGTGGCAGACACCTGTAATCCCAGCTACTGGGGCGGCAGAGGCAGCAGAATTGCTTGAACCCAGGTGGCAGAGGCTGCAGTGAGCCAAGATTGCACCATTGCACTCCAGCCTGGGTGACAGAGCAAGGCTCCATCTCAAAAAAAAAAAAAAAGAAAGAAAAAGGAAAAGGAGTGACAGAGCTATATAAGAGCAGAGTTTATATATATACTATCGAAATTAAGCTGGTATAAATGTAAATTGGAGTATTATAATTTTAGGTTTTATATATAATATAATCTCCTCTATAACCACAAAATAAAAAGCTACAAAATATACACAACTGGAAATGAAAAGAGAATCAAAACATTTCGCTACAAAAAAAAAATTAAACATAAACAGTAATGGAGAAAATGAGGGACAAAAAGCCATAAGGTATATAGAAAACAAGTAGCAAAATGGCAGTAATTTTGCTGATAGTCATTTCTTTAAATCAAGATGGAGATTTCCAGAATGTATTTTTAAAAACCACCCAACAATACGCTGTCTATAAAGGATTCATGTTAGATCCAAAGGCACGAATATGTTCAAAGCAAAAGATATGGAAAATGATATTCCATGCAAACAGTAACCAAAAGATAGCTTGAGTGGCTATGCGAATATCAGACAAAATAGACTTTAAATCAAAACAATTTACAAGAGACAAGACAGACATTACAAATTAATAAAAAGTTAAATATCTCAATAAGATGTAACAGTTATAAACATTTCTGCACCTAATAACAGACCTCAAAATATAAAGCAAAAATTGATAGACTCAAAGGAGAAATACACAGTTCTACCATAATAGTTGGAGAGTTCAAAATCCCACTTTCAATAATGGATAGAACACACAGACAGAAAGTAAGTAAAAATATAGTGGACTTGAACAACACAAAAACCAACTAGACCTAACAGATACATATGGAACACTCACCCAATTAAAAAAAAAATCCAAGTACACATGAGACATTCTCTATGATAGATGACATGTTGAGGCATAAGTTAAATCTCAGTAGATTTTAAAATACCTATCAAACGAACTCTTTTCTTTGATCACAACAAGATAAAGTTAGAAATCAATAATAGAAGGAAAAATGAAAATTCACAAATATGTGAAAATTAAACAACATTCTCTTAAACAACCAACAGGTCAAAGAAGAAATCACAAAGGAAATCAGAAAATACTTAGGGACAAGTAGGAAAGAAAACAAAATATACCAAACTTATGAGATGCCCCAAAAACAGTGCTCAGAGGGAAATTAATAGCTATTAATGCCCATGTAAAAAGAATAACTATCTCAAATTAATAACCTGACTTACATCTTATGGAACTAGAAAAAGTAGAGCAAACAAAACCCAAAGCCAGCAGAAGAAAGGAAATAATAGAGACTAGAGCAGAAACTCATAAAATAGAGAAAGAGAATAGACAAAAAAATCTGTAAAACCAAAAGTTGGTTTTTTGAAAAGATTAACAAAATTGGCAAACCTTTGGTGAGACTGATGAAGCACCAAAGAGAGAAGACGCAAATAACTAAAATCAGAAATGAAAGTGGCAATACCACTAATTTTAAACCACCTAGCAAAGAAAAATCTTAAACCAGATGGCTTCATGAGTTAGTTCAACCAAACATTTAAAGAAGAATTCACACAAATAATTTTCAAACTTCCAAAAAATTGAAGAGAAGGAAACACTTTCTAACTCATTCTGTGCAGCCAGTATTACCATAATACCAAAGCCAAATAAAGAAATCACTAGAAAAGAAAATTACAGACTAATATCCCATATGAATATAGATACAAAAATCCTCAAAAAAATTAGCAAATCAAGTTCATTAGCATATTAAAAGGATTACTCAAATATCCAAGTATGATTTATGCAGGAATGCAAGGGTGGTTCAACATAAGAAAATTAATCAATGTAATACATCACATTATTAGAATGAAGGTAAAAAACACACACATGATCATCTGAATTAATACAGAAAAGGTATTTGACAAAATTCAACACACCTTCATGATTAAAAAAAAAAAAACAGAAAACTAATCATACAGGGAAAATTCCTCAATGTGATAAAGGGTATTTATGAAAAACTCACAGCTATCATCATACTCAATGGTGAAAGATTGAAAGCTTTCCCCCTAAGATCAGGAGTAAGACAAAGATGGCCATTTTCACCATGGCTATTGAACACTGTATTGGAAGTTCCACCCAGAGCTATCAGACAGAAAAAGGAAATAAAAGTCATTCAGATTGGAAAGAAAGCAGTAAAACTATCTCTATTCACAGATGACACGATCTATGTATAGAAAATCCAAAAGAATTCACAAGACAGCTACTACAGTTAATAAACAAGTTGCAGGGTACCAGATCAACACACAAAAATCAGTCATGTTTCTATGCACCAGCACTGAACAATCCGAAGAGGAAATTGAGAAAACAATTTCATTTACAACAGCATCTAAAACAATTAAATACTTAGGAATAAATCTAACCAATGAGGTGAAAGACTTGTACACTGAAAATGACAAAAGATTGCTAAAATAAGGCCTGGCACGGTGGCTCAAGCCTGTAATCCCAGCACTTTGGAAGGCCGAGGCGGGCGGATCACGAGGTCAGGAGATCGAGACCATCCTGGCTAACACGATGAAACCCCATCTCTACTAAAACTACAAAAAATTAGCCGGGCGTGGTGGTGGGCGCCTGTAGTCCCAGCTACTCAGGAGGCTGAGGCAGGAGAATGGCGTGAACCTGGGAGGCGGAGCTTGCAGTGAGCTGAGATTGGGCCACTGCACTCCAGCCTGGGTGACAGAGCAAGACTCAGTCTCAAAAAAAAAAAAAAAAAAAAAAAAAGATTGATAAAATAAATTAACAAGTATCTAAATAAATGGCATAAATGGCAAGATGTGTTCATGGATAGAAAGACTTAACATTAAAAATGTCAATACTACCCAAAACAATCTACAGATTCAACACAATGCTGATCAAAATTCCAACGTCTTTTCCCAAAGAAATGGAAGCAGATCCTCAAATTCATATGGAGTTTTAAGGGGCCCCCAATAACCAAAACAATACTGAAAGAGAAGAATAAAGTTAGAGGACTCACACTTTCCATCTGTGAACTTACTACAGAGCTATAGTAATTAAAACATATGGTACTTGCATAAGGATAGGCGTATAGATCAATGAAATAGAATACAGAACCGAGAAACAAACCCTCACATATATGATTAATTGATTTTTGACAAGGAAGCCAAGACCACTTAATGGGAAAAGGACAGTGTTTTCAACAAATGGTAGAGGGAAAACTGAATATCCATATGCAAAAAAATGAAGTTGGACCCTTCTACCACATACTAAAATTAAAATGGCCCAGGCCGGGTGCAGTGGCTCACACCTATGTGAGCACTTTGGGAAGCCAAGGCAGGTAGATTACTTGAGGTCAGGAGTTCGAGACCAGCCTGGCCAACATGGTGAAACCCCATCTCTTCTAAAAATACAAAAATTAACCCAGTGTGGTGGCATGCACCTGTAATCCCAAATACTCGGGAGGCTGAGGCATGAGAATCGGTTGAACCCGGCAGGTGGAGGTTGCAGTAAGCGGAGATCACACCACTGCACTCCAACCTGGGCGACAAAGTGAGACTCAGTCTCAAAAAATAAAATGAAATAAAATAAAGTGGCTCAAAGACTCAATTTAAGAGTTAAAACTATAAAACTCTTAGAAGAAAATATTGTTGAAAATCTTCATCACATTGGACTTGGCAACAACTGCATAAATAGGATACCAAAAGTACAAGGAAGAAAAAATAGTAGGTAAATTGAACTTCATCAAATTAAGAACTTTTGTGCACCAAAGGACACTATCAAGAAAGTGAAAAAACCTGGAGAATGGAAGAAAATATTTGCAGATCATATATCTAACAAGGGATTAATATTCAAAATATATATAGAACTCCTACAACTTGACAACAAAAAAACAAACAACCCAATTCAAAAATGGGCAAAGTACTTGAATAGACACTTCTCCAAAGAAGATATACTAATGGACAATAAATTCGTGGAAATATGCTCAACATCGTTAGTCATTGGGGAAATGCAGATTACAACCACAATGAGATGCCACTTCACACTAACCAGGATGGCCATAATCAAGAAAATGGATAATAAGTTTTGGTGGGGATGTGGAGAAATTGGAATCCTCCGTGCATTGCTGGTGGGAATGTACAATAGTGCAGTCATTGGGGAAAACAGTTTGGCAGTTCCTCAAAAGGTTAAAAATAGAACTACCAAGTCACCCAGCAATTCCATTCTTAGGCATATATTCAAAAGAAATGAAAGCAGATATTTGTACACCAGTGTTCACAGCTGCACTATTTACAATAGTCAAAAGGTAGAAACAACCTAGGTCCATCCACAAATGAATGGATAAATAAAACGTAGCATATACATACAATGGTACACTAGTCCGCTGTAAAAAGAAATTTTGATCTTACTGCATGCTACATGGCTTCGACATACTACAACATGGATGGACCTTGAAAACATTATTCTTTGTGAAATAAACTAGACACAGGACAAATGTTAGACGATTCCACTTATATGAGGCACCTAGAATGGGCAATTTGGTAAGCAAAGTAGAATAGAAATTACTAGGGGCACAGGTAGCAGGGAATGGGGAGTTACTGTTTAATGGTCACAGAGTTTATGTTGGGGATGATGAAACAGTTTCGGGGATAAAGAGTGGTGATTGGTACACGACATTGTGAATATACTTAATGCCACTGAATTTTACACTTGAAGTGGTTAAAGCGATAAATATTATAGTTTGCATATTTTATCATAAAAATATTTTTTTAAACGATGAAGGGACGTGAACGGGTTGAAATTTTATAAAAAGTGGCCAGGGAAGGTGTCACTGCAATGGTGTCCTACAGGAGGAGGAAGATCATGTGGACATCTGCGGGAAGGGTGTTCTGGCAGAGGGAGTAGCACGGGCGATGGCTCTGAGGACTGTGAGAAGTATAGTTGGAAACAGCGAGGAGGCCAGGGTGTCCGAAGCTGAGTAAGCCAGAGAGAGTGGGAGGAGGTGAGATAAGAGGGGGAAGGTCAGTTTCTGCTGAGAGTGAGGAGGAGCCACAGGAGGGCTGTGAGCAGGTGGACGTGATCTGGCTTGAGTTTTAACAGGGCCAGTAGAACAAAGCACGCCTGGGTACCGAAACCAGCCACTGGCCAGTTGGCAACCTGGGGGAGTCTAACGCGAGGAAGCGCCCAGGGTTCCCCCAGGATGCGCTTTCCCTCGCCGCCACCTGGAGACAGCAGAGTCACGCCCAGCGCTGCGCAGGCTGATCGCCGCGCCGCGCCCCCGCCCTCGGTCGCAGGTGGCTCGTTCCGGGAATTCCTAAGCGGAAACCGGTCCCAAGCCCCGCGCCTTCGCTCGGCCCCTTTAAGAGCCAGAATTTCCGGAGGGCTGACCCGGGGGCTAGGGATGCCCAGGGGCCGAACCACAAGTTGGGAACGGGTGGGGGAGGTGGCGAAAACTTCCGAAGTGGAATTCCAACTTTTCCTGGCCCTGATTCCCCTTGGGCATCCCTGAGGGGGCAGAGCTTCCCTTCCGGGGACTTTAGAGGGTTCCTCAGGTCATCTAACTGGGAGACACAGGAGGCCCGAAGCGCCCCCCCTCCACCCGGTCCGGAGGAACCCCAGTGGAAGTGGAGAAGTCAGGCGCCACCAACAAGCCTCTCCCAGCCAGGACTTTGCTTAGACTCGCTCCTCCCGGCAGGGCGCACCTAGGCGGGTCCATCGCCAGCCGGGGAGAGGGGTTTGGGCAGGGAGGGAACAGGTGCGCGGCGGGACCCGCCCTATCTCAACAGGTGAATCGCTCCAAGTGGGTCTCGGTTGCATGGATCTCGGTGCGCTTGGTTTGGCCGGAGCAGATGGGGGCCGGAAGGGACCTGTGGTCCGCAGGCGCCCTCCCAGCGGGCCAGTCACTTGGTTCGGGCCCTGGGGGACGGAGCGCACCTGGGTCAGCCCACTTCCGGGGAGGGAGGCAGAGGAACCCCTCCCCGCCGCTCACCCCTAAGCCCAGCCCTCGGCTCCCACCCTTGTGTACCTGGGCCGAACCATTCACCGGAGCGCGCAGCGGGTGGAGTGTGGCTCGGAGGACCGCGGCGGGTCAAGCACCTTTCTCCCCCATATCTGAAAGCATGCCCTTTGTCCACGTCGTTTACGCTCATTAAAACTTCCAGAATGCAACAGGACGGACTTGGAGTAGGGACAAGGAACGGAAGTGGGAAGGGGAGGAGCGTGCACCCCTCCTGGCCTTGGTGCGCGCCGCGCCCCCTAAGGTACTTTGGAAGGGACGCGCGGGCCAGACGCGCCCAGACGGCCGCGATGGCGCTGTTGGCCGGCGGGCTCTCCAGAGGGCTGGGCTCCCACCCGGCCGCCGCAGGCCGGGACGCGGTCGTCTTCGTGTGGCTTCTGCTTAGCACCTGGTGCACAGGTACGGGGCACGGGGCCTCTGACGCTGCGGAACGCCGGAGGGAACTGTAGAGGGGGATGGATGGAGTTGGAGGCGGCGGGAAGCGGGAAGCGGGGGTCTCAGAGGCTGGGACCTTCCGATCCCCTGGGTCTTGGGCGATCTGTTGCGCGCGGGAGTGAGAGGAATTCCCCATTTGTGCCGGGGAGCGCTCCCCGCGCCCTTATCTGGAAGATAGCAGGAAGTGAAACTCCCTGGACGGTGAGACCCGGAGCGGCAGGGAGAATGGAACTCTTTGTGGGGAGGGAGTGGAAGACCGCCCGATCTCTGGGAAAAGAAAAGCCGGGATGGGACTTGGGCGCACCCGGGGATTTCTAAGTTTTGGAGTAACGGGGAGAGGGCACGGGAGGGCTGGATCAGACGCTTCCTAGAGGGACAGAGACGAAGGAACAATGCCTAGGCCTCGGGTGGGTGTGGGACTGGGGACTCCCCATCCCCCGCACCCCACCCACCTCCCGCGGGCTCCGGATTATACGTGCGTAAGAGTCTGGTGGGATGGATTTACGGACTTGAAACCGACTTCTGCTGGCAGGCTTTCACCTGGATGGGATATTTGGGTGGTGATGAGGTCTTTCCCGAGACACTTTTGGTTCAGTCATTTGAAATGACTTTAGAGTAGGGTGAGGTGGTGGGAGGCTGATGGAGATATTGTGGGGGCTTTAGTCCCTCCATGGCAAAGCAGTTCAGGCAAACAACTCCATGGTTTTCCCTCCAAATTCAAAAGGCCCCGGGTAACCTGGAATCCTTCGTAGTCGGTTTTGAAGTGGGGCCTTGGGCGCTGGGGGCATCAACATGGCCATCTGGGCTTGCCTGCCCAGGCCACACAGAGGCCCCTTGTTGTGGGTGAATGGCAAAGGGAAGAGGGGACTGGTGTGGTTCAGAGGCCACAGGCTGGGAAGAGGGATGGCGGGCGAGTCCAAGGAAACTGGCCGTGTCACCGTGCACCTGCCACTTCAGCCCCACGGGTCTATAAAATGGGCATGATTATCGTGGCTACCTCACTGGTCCTGGCAATTAAGGAACAATGTGTGCCAGGCACTCTGTAAACCACATACTTGCGAGTGTCAAGCTGGTGACAGGTGGCGTTCCTGTTGAAGCACCTCCCTGAGCTCACAGCAACCCTTGCTGTCTCTCCTCTTGCCCTCAGCTCCTGCCAGGGCCATCCAGGTGACCGTGTCCAACCCCTACCACGTGGTGATCCTCTTCCAGCCTGTGACCCTGCCCTGTACCTACCAGATGACCTCGACCCCCACGCAACCCATCGTCATCTGGAAGTACAAGTCTTTCTGCCGGGACCGCATCGCCGATGCCTTCTCCCCGGCCAGCGTCGACAACCAGCTCAATGCCCAGCTGGCAGCCGGGAACCCAGGCTACAACCCCTACGTTGAGTGCCAGGACAGCGTGCGCACCGTCAGGGTCGTGGCCACCAAGCAGGGCAACGCTGTGACCCTGGGAGATTACTACCAGGGCCGGAGGATTACCATCACCGGAAGTATGTTGGGCAGGGCAGGGGGATGAGGCTGGGCTTGCCCGGGTGGTGGGACTGGCGTCCTTGTGCGGGACCTGGAGTCCCCATCTGAAAGCTCTTGAGTGCCAGTGTCTGAAAGGACCATTGAAGGGAGCAATTCTTTTTTTTTTTTTTTTTGAAGATGGAGTCTTGCTCTGGACTCCAGGCTGGAGTGCAGTGGTGCGATCTCAGCTCACTGCAACCTCCACCTCCCAGGTTCAAGCAATTCTCTTGCCTCAGCCTCCCGAGTAGCTGGGACTCCAGGTGCGTGCCACCACGCCCAGTTAATTTTTGTATTTTTAGTAGAGATGGGGTTTCACCATGTTGGCCAGGCTGGTCTCAAACTCCTGACCTCAAATGATCTGCCCGCCTTGGCCTCGCAAAGTGCTGAGAGACACCATACCCAGCCTAAAGGGAGCGATTCTATTCTACTATTCTTCCTTCTGCTAATCCTTCCATTCTTTAATTTAATAACGAAGATTTTTTGAGTACCTGTCATATACCAGGTGCTGTTCTGGGCCCTGGGAATACAGCTGTTAACAAAATCATCAAACCACTTCCCTCGTGGAGCCCACATTGCAGTGAGAGAGACAAACACGACACACACTCTCAAGTCCTTGAAGATAAAGAAAACTGGGTAACGGAGAGAAGAGGCCAGGGTTTGTTCTATAATCATTAATAACACGAGCAGTAAGAAGTAAAATTTATCTAAGTAACAACTTATAAAGGGTCTACTGTGTGCTAAGCTCTCATCCAGGTTCCCAAGGATTAACTCAGACCACACAGTAATTGAATAGATTCTATCATTGTCATCTTACAGAGGCCCAGAGAGAGAAAGTGACTTGCCTAGTGTCATAGCTGGTAACGGGGCTGGGATTCTAACTCAGCCACTTTGGGTCTAGTGGCCAAGCTCCTAATCCCTTTGCTTGCCTAGGGTGGTCCGCAGAGGACTCACAGAGGAGATGGCAGGAGTGAACTGCAGGGGCAAGAGAGCTTAATGGAGAAAGCCTGTGACATGCCAGGAACTGCACACATATTCTCCCATTGAGTCCTCTCCTCTACCCTCCTGACAGCTGAGGCACAGAGAGGTTACCTTGTTCAAATGGGTGCATAGGAAGTCAAAGTCTGGAGCTGGGGTTTGAACCCAGGCAGCCCTGAGAACCTTGTTCTTTTTTTTTGAGACGGAGTCTCGCTCTGTCGCCCAGGCTGGAGTGCAGTGGCGGGATCTCGGCTCACTGCAAGCTCCGCCTCCCGGGTTCACGCCATTCTCCTGCCTCAGCCTCCCAAGTAGCTGGGACTACAGGCGCCCGCCACTACGCCCGGCTAATTTTTTGTATTTTTAGTAGAGACGGGGTTTCACCGTTTTAGCCGGGATGGTCTCGATCTCCTGACCTCGTGATCCGCCCGCCTCGGCCTCCCAAAGTGCTGGGATTACAGGCGTGAGCCACCGCGCCCGGCCCCTTGTTCTTAACTGTAATGCTGCCTCCTGATAGGATGTGCCTGTTGGGACTAAGTAAGGGGCAGTCATTCATTCATTCATTTGGTATTTATCAAGCATCGACTATGTGTCGTTGGTGCTGGGGATAGAGGTGATTGGGATGGCTGAAGTTTCTGTCGTCAAGGAGATGACATTCTGGTGGAGTGAGACTGGCAGTAAATAAGCAGATAAAGAAAGAGTATGAGAATTTCAAAGTCTGGGCACGGTGGCTCACGTCTGTAATCTCAGCACTTTGGGAGGCCAAGGTGGGTGGATCACCTGAGGTCAGGAGTTCCAGACCAGCCTGGCCAACATGGTGAAACCCCGTCTCTACTAAAAATACAAAGATTAGCCAGGCATGGTGGCACATGCCTGTAATCCCAGCTACTCAGGAGGCTGAGGCATGAGAATCGCTTGAACCCAGGAGGCAGAGGTTGCAGTGAGCTGAGATCGCACCACTGTACTGCAGTCTGGGCGACAGAGTGAGACTCTGTCTCAAAAAAAAAAAAAAAAAAAAAGACTCCGTCAAGGTATAAGAATGTCAGAGAGTACTAAGTGTTGCAAAGAAAATAACACCAGGCTGGGTGCATTGGCTCATGCCTGTAAATTTCAGCACTTTGGGAGGCCAAGGCAGGAGGATCACTTGAGCCTAGGAGTTTGAGACCAGCCTGGACAACAAAATGAGACCCCATGTCTACAAAAATTTTAAAAATTTAAAAATTAGCTGGGCATGGTGGCATGTGCCTGTGGTCCCGGCTGCTCAGGAGGCTGAGGTGGGAGGATTGCTTGGGCTTGAGAGGTCAAGGCTTCAGTGAGTCATGATCGTGCCACTGCATTCCAGCCTGGGTGACAGAGTGAGACCCTGTCTTGAAATGAAAAGAAAATAGGCTGGGCGCAGTGGCTCACACCTGTAATCCCAGCACTTTGGGAGGCCGAGGTGGGTGGATCACCTGAGGTCAGGAGATCGAGACCAGCCTGGCCAACATGGTGAAATCCCATCTCTACTAAAAATACAAAATTTAGCCGGGCGTGGTGGTGGGCGCCTGTAATCCCAGCTACTCGGGAGGCTGAGGCAGGAGAATCGCTTGAACCTGGGAGGCGAAGGTTGCGGTGCGCCAAGATTGCGCCACTGCACTCTAGCCTGGGAAACAGTGAGACTCCGTCTTAAAAAAAAAAGAAAAAAGAAAATAGCACTGGGTGATGTGCTACATGGAATGACTTGGGCTGTGAATATGATTTGAGGAGGGCCTGGGCCTGGGCCTTACAGAACCTAGAAGGCAGAGAGGAAGGGGAGGGGCAGGGTGCCAGGGATGAAGGCTCACGTACCTCATGTCTTAGTGTGTGTTCACTGTCTTAAACAAGAATTTAAAGTTGGGCATGGGGCAGAGCGGGGAAGGGAGCATCCCTTTGCAGACCCCAAGAAGCCAGGAACTGGAGCACATTCTGCTAGAGGATCGATGGGAAGCAGGGTTCCAGGGGCTGAGCCTATGTCAGTCCTGTTTCAGAGGAGGCACCAGGCTTGCTTGCCCTGAATTTCTGTGGGCAGCTCAGCCATGAGCATCCTACTGTTATTGAGGTCACAGGGCTGCTTAGGCCCCCTCCTCTCTAACCCAGGGATTGTGCCTGCCTGGACCAGGCGTGACTGCTAAGCTTCTGCCAGGACAAGCCAAATACTGAGGGTGCTTCCTCTGCTGGACGCAAAAGTCCAGGATGACCCCCCAGGCTCTGTCTCGGGGAAGGGGCCCTGCATGCTCCAGGGGCCTCACAGGCCTGGGTCTTTCAAACCACCCCCACCTGGGCCTGTGTTTGATCAAGGCCCTGAGTGTAAACATCCATTGTGTGTGTCCTTTCAGGAAATCCCATAGCCATAGGAGCTTCCTCTGTTTCAGCTTTGAGGATGGGGAAAAGTGGACTCCCCGTGGTGTTCCTAGGGTCACCCACTGTGCTGGGGTTTTTCTGTTGTTGTTGTTTTTTTTCTGTTGCCCAGGCTGGAGTGCAGTGGTGCAATCTCAGCTCACTGCAACCTCTGCCTCGCAAGTTCAAGTGATTCTCCCGCCTCAGCCTCCTGAGTAGCTGGGATTACAGGTGCACACCACCACACCTGGCTAATTTTTGTATCTTTTTGGTAGAGATGGGATTTCGCCATGTTGGCCAGGCTGGTCTCAAACTCCTGACCTCAGGTGATCTGCCTGCCTTGGCCTCCCAAAGTTCTGGGATTACAGATGTGAGCCACCATGCCCGGCCTATCCTGGTTTCAAAAGTGAAAATAGTCCTGGATAAGGTAGAAGGCTGTCCACTCCAGGCATCCCTCCGGTCCGGTGGCTCATTCCCTGCTTTGTCCTTCCATGCTTTGGGTGATGGACCAGCACCTGGACAGGAGGCCCTGTTCCACCTCCTCGGGCTCCTTGGGGTCCAAGTGCCCCCACCTCCAGCTGCACTGCAGCAGAGAGCCCATGGGACCTCTGAAATCATGAAGGTCACCTTTGCGGTGTATAAAGAAGGAACCAGAGGTTGGAGATGTGGAGGAGGCCTGGCTGCTGTTCCCACTGGAGACCTGGCATCTTCTCCCCGACCTAAAACAATGAAAGCAGTGCTCAGCCCGGATGAGATCACGGCCAGCCCAAGACCAGGAACAGGGTACGCCCTGCAGGAAGAAGGTGTGCCCAGACCTTAGGATGGATCAAAAGAAGCCGGAAAACTATATTTTTTGTGAGTTTTGAAAATGTCAGACAGGTCAAACAAAACACAGTGAGGTCCAGCCTCGGCCTACAAGATGCCAGATTTCAACCCCTGGCCTATATGATCTGTTTGCCATGGCAGGCGGTTCCTGTCCACCTCTTTTGTTTATAGCAGGGACCAGCTCTTGAGCTCCAGTGTTGAAGAGGCACGGTCAGGGTCTGATCTGAAGACACTGGTGGCTCATGCCTGTAATCCCAGCACTTCAGGAGGCCGAGGCAGGAGGATTGCTTGAGGACAGGAGCTGGGAGACCAGCCTGGGCAACACAGTGAGACCCAGAGACTACAAAAAAATAAATTTAGCGGGGCATGATGGCACACCCTGCTACTCTGGAGATGGGAAGATTGCTTGAGCCTAGGAGTTCGAAGCTGCAGTGACCCATGATCGCACCACTGCACTCCAGCCTGGGCGACCAAGCTAGGCCCTCTCAAAAAAGATACAGGTGGAAAAATGATGGACGAAGAGGGCATTGTGGCAAACCTGGGGATTTAGGAGAACCTAGTTTGGAATTCTATGAGGATTCAATGAAAGAATGTGTGTAGAGGGGCCCAGCACATAGTAAGAGCTCAATAAACGGTGGGGGCTAGGGGCGGTGGCTCATGCCTGTAATCCCAGCACTTTGGGAGGCTGAGGCAGGTGGATCACTTGAGCCCTGGAGTTCAAGATCAACCTGGACAACAAAGCAAGATCCCATCTCAAAATTAAAAAACAACACCAACAACAAAAAAACAGTGGCTTAGATGCCTGATCATTAGGGTAAGTCGTGTCCTCAACCCCTTCACATCTGCTCTGAAGGTCACCATATCCGGAAGCCTTCCCTGGCCTCCTTGTTTAAAATGGCACAGCCCCCACTCCACGCCTGGCACTCTCTGCTGTCCCTGATTCGTTTTCTCCATACAGCTTATCTTTGTCTGATATGTGACATAGTTAACATTTTATATTTGTCTTTCTTTCCTAGTTAGAATCTGAACTCTAGAAGGGCAAGGGCAAGGATTTATAACTCAAAGGTTCCGGGCTTAGGCCTCTTTTATATTCTTGATTTTGAGGTTAATTAAGAGCTCAGGCCTAGCGAGGTGGCTCATGCCTGGAATCCCAGCACTTTGGGAGGCCCAGGCGGGCAGATCACTTGAGGTCAGGAGTTCCAGACCTGCCTGGCCAACACAGTGAAAAACCTGTCTCTACTAAAAATACAAAAATTAGCCAGTTATGTTGGCAGGCGCCTATAATCCCAGCTACTCAAGAGGCTGAGGCAGGAGAATCGCTTGAACCCAGGAGGCAGAGGCTGCAGTGAGCCAAGATCGTGCCACTGCACTCCAGCCTGGGCAACAGAGCGAGACTCCATCTCAAAAAAAAAAAAAAAATTAAGAGCTCAAAGAGTTTGTTTTCATAGGCAGCAGAATGAGAAAAGTTTACAAAATAGTTTAAATGACAATAAAGTCATTATAGATTAACATAAATAAAATACCTTTTATGAAAAAAATAATCATTTTCTGAAATCAGACAAAACATTGTGAATGAGAAGGTGGCATGGTTTTATTTTTTTGCAAGTCTCCGAAGCCTGGCTGGATAGAAGAGCCTGGCTTCTCAGAGCTGCTTCAGTCTGTTGTGATATCTATTGTATGTCACGTAGCCTCTGGAAAACTCCACAGTTAGTATTGTTGGGAAAATAACTTTGACCTCAGGATCTCCTGAAAACGTCTTGGGGAACCCCAGGGTCTAGAGGCTGCAGTTTGAGAACTGTTGCTGTGGTATCCCAGGTGTCTCAAATACTGCCTAGAACATAGGTGGTACTCAGTAATTATTGTTGAAGGATGAATGAATGAATGAATGAATGAATGAATGAAAGAAAGAAAGAAATGTGTCTTTGAATCCAGCCATGTGCCCAGAATGATGAGACAGATGACAAAAGCTAAGGGACTTTAGCATGAGGAGAGGGGGTTCGTTTCCTTTTTTTTCTTTTTTTTTTGAGATGGAGTCTCACTCTACTGCCCAGGCTAGAGTGCAGTGGTGCAATCTCAGCTCACTGCAATCTCTGCCTCCTGAGTTCAAGCAATTCTCCTGCCTCAGCCTCCAGGGTAGCTGGGACTACAGGTGCGTGCCACCATGCCTAGCTAATTTTTTACATTTTTGGTAGAGATGGGGTTTTACCATGTTGGCCGGGCTGGTCTGGAACTCCTGACCTCAAGTGATCCACCTGCCTCAGCCTCCCAAAGTGTTAGGATTACAGGTGTGAGCCACCATGTCCGGCCAAGAGGGTGTTCATTTCTGCTCCTTGCCAGGTATTGTGTCAGGCACTGGGGACCCAGCAGTGGCTGAGACAGACAGGGCTCTGCCTCACGGAGCCCACATTTTCACCAGGCAAAGGATGGTCGGCCCCTAAGCTGGGAGATAAGACTTCAGCAGTTGGGTGGGGGAGCCGTGGGAGAAGCCCAGCCCACAGGGGGACAGTGCAAATCTAGAACCAAGGCGATGGCAGGGGTGAGGCTGGCACGGTAGCTAGAGACCACGTCGTGCCAAGGGCCTTGGGGACCATGGGACTATGGGACCTTAGGGAAGGCGTCTGGAATGCTGTAGCCAGACACTGTTGCAAGGAGGATTTTTCTGTAGACATGAGGCCTTCCTTATGAAGAAAGCAAGGGTTCTTTCATTCCTGGGGGTGCCAGGTGCTGTGGACTGCAGCACGCGTGGTTGCTGCCGTCACAGAGCTGTCATGCAGGAGGGCAGCGCGTCCTTGGGAAGGTGGCAGGCAGGTCAGGCTAGGAGGAAAGAGGCCGGGAAGCTGAGGGCATTTCCTGCCCGAGATGCCCAATGTAGCCTACTTCTGTCCCCAGTGGCTTAAGGCAGAGTTGCCTGGTAGGTGCCCTGGTCCCACCCTGGTGAAAGGCTGAAGGTATTTAATTAGTGCCTGAGAAGCAGAGAGGAAACAGGATGTGCCAAAACACTTTGATGGATGGTAGAGTTAACAGGCTCCTTGCCTGCAGCTGCTTCAGACAAGAGCGTCCCCAAGCCCTGGGCCTGACCTGGAATGTGGGGATGGAAGGGGAGGGGGAGGAACCAAGGCACTGGGAGGGTAAGTCTCTCTCTCCCACATAGACACACCCACTCCTTATGGGTGCCTGGGCATCTCCTGGTACCTAGAATCTGGCCTGTTTATCTCCACACCCATCCCTGGGGTCTACACTAGGCCCTGTGGGTGGCAGTTCACATCAGGGGAGTTCTGACTTTGGCTCTGAGAGGTGGTTCAGAGATGGCTGTAAGTTGAGAAGCACAGACTGCTGGGTGTGGTGGTTCACGCCTGTAATCCCAGCACTTTGGGAGGCTGAGGTGGGGGTGGATCACCTGAGGTCTGGAGTTCAAAACCAACTTGGTCAACATGGCGAAACTCCATCTCTACTAAAAATGCAAAAATTAGCCAGGTGTGGTGGCAGGTGCCTATAATCCCAGCTACATGGGAGGCTGAGGCAGGAGAATTGCTTGAATCTGGGAGGCGAAGATTGTAGTGAGCCGAGATTAGTTCGCACCATTGCATGCCAGCCTGGGCAACAAGAGTGAAACTCCGATTCAAACAAAAAAAAAAAAAAGCTGGGCATGGTGGAGTGCCTGTAGTCCTAACTACTCAGGTGGGAGGATTGCTTGAGTCCAGGAGGTTGAAGTTGCAGTGGGCTATAATTACACCACTGCACTCCAGCCAGGGCCACAGAGTGAGACCCTGTCTCTAAAGAAAGAAAAAAAAAAACAACCTCAGGCTCCGAGGGCACCATTACTGCTCTATACTGAAGAGCTGTGCAGCTTTTCCAGACCCGAAATGTCATCCACAAAACAGAAGTGATAATGGTCCTGCCTCACAGACTTCTTGCAGTAGTCCAGGTGTTTAGAACGGGGTGTAAAAGGCCGTGTGCCCTTGGTAGGAATCTTTGCATATGCATTTGATCATCTGCAGCCTGCCCAGCCCACTGCTTGCCCCCTCCTGGGTGTGCTGGGAAGGGGTCTTTGGCCCTCCAGGGGTTAGGTGCCCCAGCCTCCAAGGTGCCCTCACGCCTTTTCATCCCGACTCAGATGCTGACCTGACCTTTGACCAGACGGCGTGGGGGGACAGTGGTGTGTATTACTGCTCCGTGGTCTCAGCCCAGGACCTCCAGGGGAACAATGAGGCCTACGCAGAGCTCATCGTCCTTGGTGAGTGGGCCTGGGAAGGGGGAGGCATGGCCCTTCCTTTTGTCCGCTTCTGTTCTGTCTGCCCTCCCCTGTGTCCGCCCTCTGCCCTCCAGCTTACCCTCTGGGCTCTGTCGCCTGCTCTGCTCTCCCCCAGGCTCTGCCAGTCACTTAGGCTCCCCTGTGCCCTGCACCCCAGGCAGGGACCACTGGCCCACAGTGCCTCCAATCACCCAAGCCAAACTAAGAGAAGAGTGGAGACAATTGGAGACTCTGCCTTTTCAAAGTCTCATTTTTAAAAAAAATCCAGACTTGGGGTCCGGGTGCGGTAGTTCATGCCTGTAATCCCAGCACTTTGGGAGGCCGAGGCGGGTGGATCACTTGAGGCCAGGAGTTCGAGACTAGCCTGGCCAACGTGGCAAAATCCCGTCTCTATAAAAAATATAAAAGCCAGGCGTGGTGGTGCACATGCCTGTAATCCCAGTTACTCAGAAGGCTGAGGCATGAGGATTGCTTGAACCTGGGAGGCAGAGGATGCAGTAAGCCAAGATCAAGCCACTGCACTCCAGCCTGGGCGACAGAGTGAGACTCTGTCCAAAAAAAAAAAAAATCCAGACGTGGTCAGAGTCCATGGGCAGTGAATGAGGACAGTTGATGGTGTGCAAAATCGACCCACCTCTTGCTACATCCCCAAGGCCTCATCTCACCCGAGTCCCTCGCCAAAGCACAGCGGTTTTGCCGTGTGCCCTGCTGGGATGGCGCTGCATGGCACACACACTGTGTAAGTTTGAGTGCAGCTGAAACGAAGCCGATTCCAGACACCCAGGGGCAGGGCGGGGTGTCCGTGTGGCTGGGAGGCCTCCTTGTGTTAGGGGGATGTTGCCATCGGCCAGGTGCCCTGCTGTAAGCCAACACATGGAGTCTTGTATGACATGTGCTCTGCATGAGTGATGCCGCTGGGCTGTACACTGCCATCTTCACATGTGTGAATGAGCACGTGACTGGGGGGTACTTGGGCTGCAAGACAGAGTTCATGTGTGGGGGATGGAACACGTGCACCAGTGACCCAGGAACCTCTGCCTGTTCTTCGGTAAAATGCACCATTTGCATCAGCAGTTCCCAAAATTAGTCTCCAGGTCTATTTACACTCTAAAACATTATCGAGGGTCTCCAAGAGCTTTTGTTTGTTTCTGTGGGTTTTATGTCTATCTGTTGCTTAACATATTAGGAATTAAAATGGGGAGATTTTCCTTTTTTTTTTTTTTTTTTGAGATGGAGTCTCGTTCTGTCGCCCAGGCTGGAGTGCAGTGGCTCGATCTCGGCTCACTGCAAGCTTCACCTCCTGGGTTCACGCCATTCTCCTGCCTCAGCCTCCCAGGTAGCTGGGACTACAGGCACCCGCCACCACACCCGGCTAATTTTTTTTGTATTTTTAGTAGAGACTGGGTTTCACCATGTTAGCCAGGATGGTCTCGATCTCCTGACCTCGTGATCCACCCACCTGGGCCTCCCAAAGTGCTGGGATTACAGGCATGAGCCACTGCCCGGCCTTAAAATGGGGAGATTTTTCAAGCCCAAGATACACAAGGAAGACTGGGCAACATGGCAAGACCCTGACTCTACAAAAAATTTTAAAATTAACCAGGCATGGTGGCATGCACCTGTGAGCCCAGCTTCTTGGGAGGCTGAGGCAGGAGTATCGCTTGCACCCAGGAGGTCAAGGCTGCAGTGAGCCGTGACTATGCTACTGCACTCTAGCATGAGTGACAGAGACCCTGGCTCAAGAAACACAAACACACACACACACACACACACGCATATAGTCCATTAGGCATCAGGGCGATGATGGCATCAGGGAGCCTGGGAAACTCTACTGGACATTCATGGGAGAACAAGTGAAAAAGGCAAATAACATCTTAGTGTTATTCTAAAATTTCTTCTTTTGGCCTTGTGGACAGGACCACGCTTTGAGAGCTGTGACTGACATGCCTCTGTCCTGTTGCGAGGGCCTATAGTGCCAAGTGCATGAGCTCTGGGGAGGGCTTCGTGGGTGCAGAGCTGGGCCTGTGGAGGCCCCTCAGACACAACACTGGTGGGGCTCAGAGCTCCAGGGGCACTCGAGGGAAGACAAGAACCGGCTCTGAGATGCGTGAATGTGACAGTGCATGAGTAGAGATGGAGACCTTGTGGGTCCCAGAACCAGGACTGCATATGACTTTCATATGTGGGTATTTTTGCCTTCATGGGTCCCTTCCTGTTTTAAAAAAAATGTGTGATTATGTTGTCACAAAGAGTTTATTCCTGTATATTGTGTTAATTTGTGTTCAGATTTGTAAAGTAAAATTAAACCATTTCAGCCAGGTGTGGTGACACATGCCTGTAGCCCTAGCTACTTACCCCAGAGGCTGAGGTGGGAGGATCGCCTGAGCCCACGAGGTTGAAGCTGCAGTGAGCCATGATCACACCCCTGCACTCCAGACTGGGCGACAGAGCTGAGATCCTATTTCGTGGGCCCTAGGTCCCTGTGCCTGCTGGAACAGGACATCCCTATCACCGTGGTTGGAGCCCTTTGGGGTGCTAAGACCTATGAATGAGGGAAACTTAGGGTGCCCAAGCTGAGGTAGAGCCCTCAGAACCCCCTGGGATTTGTATTGGAGCCCTCGTGGCATAACACAGGTGGATTATGCAATGGGAGTTTCTTACCTATAAGCACCCACATGTGGGCGGGTGGAGGGTAGGAGCCATGCACTAGGGCTTCAGCCCCCAGCCCCTTCCCGCTTCAGGGCACACCTTGCACTTGGCCAGCCTGGAGCTGGGCTTTCGGGGGTGGCACAGCCTGGGCTGGCTCTGGCCAGCATAATCTGTTTCTCTTTTGTCCCTCCAGGGAGGACCTCAGGGGTGGCTGAGCTCTTACCTGGTTTTCAGGCGGGGCCCATAGAAGGTACGGGGGGTGGATCCTGAGTTGGGCTTCTCGGGAGCTCCCATACATCACCTACTGCTTCTGACTCTAGTTAGTATCCCCTTCCCCACTAAACCCTGCTCACTGTGGACCCCTCACTAACCTGGCCTGACTGTGGCTCTGAGGCATCTAGTGGTCTGGCGCTGGGCCTAGGCTAGGCTGGGCTGAGGAGAGCCTGGGGTGCAGGCCAGGGCTCTGTGACTGGCACCTGCGGTGCTCTTGAGGGTGTGGCGTCTGGGCAGCTGGCTCTCTCTTTGGTCTGGGGGCTGCAGTCTGTCTCCCTCTGTGCAGGCTGCCTCGTTTTCTGCCTTGTGTTTTTTGCACCTGGGGGAGGGCCGTAACTGGGGAATGGCCGGGATGGTAGAATGGGGAGTGTGCTGTGCCCAGCCTCTGGCACAAAAAATCCAGCCAGGGCTGCAGGTTCCTTGGTGAGCTTTGCAAATCGTCCCCGACCTCAGTGCTGGCTCCGCACCATGTACCCCTGCTGTGCCGTTAGCCCTGTTCCCTCCCAGGCCTCCGGGCTCAGGGCCTGTTGTCTTTCTGCAGACTGGCTCTTCGTGGTTGTGGTATGCCTGGCTGCCTTCCTCATCTTCCTCCTCCTGGGCATCTGCTGGTGCCAGTGCTGCCCGCACACTTGCTGCTGCTACGTCAGGTGCCCCTGCTGCCCAGACAAGTGCTGCTGCCCCGAGGCCCGTAAGTGTCCCGCTCATGGCCACCCTGGTTTGGGCAACATCCTGCATCCAAGGGAAGGAGGTGGCCATCCACCTGCCCCCAGGACAGTGGCGTTGGTCTGGAGGGTGTGAATTTAGCCAGTGGGGAGAAAGTAGGCTGAGGAGGGTCTGCTGTTTAGATTGTCGTTTACTTCCTCCAACTTTTAGTTTATTTTTATTTATGTTGTTCTTTTCTTTTGTAAGTATAATCCATACACATGGTAAAAATGTCCAACAGTACAAGATACTAGTCACATGGAAGTAAAGCCCTCTAAAAAAACCAAATCTTGGCTAGGCGCAGTGATTACGCCTGTAATCCCAGCACTTTGGGAGGCCAAGACGAGTGGATCACTTGAGGTCAGGAGTTCCAGATCAGCCTGGCCAACATGGTAAAACCCAGTTCTCTACTAAAAATACAAAAATTAGCTGGGCATGGTGGTGATCGCCTGTAATCCCAGCTACTCAGGAGACTGAGGCATGAGAATCGCTTAAACCCAAGAAGTGGAGGTTGCAGTGAGCTGAGATCACGCCACTGCACTCCAGCCTGGGCGACAGAGTGAGACTCTGTCTCAAAAAAAAAAGAAAAAAAAATGTTAAGTGAAAAAGTTAAGAAACCAAACAAGGTTTACAACACTACATGATTTAAGCAAAAAAAATTTTTTTTGTTTTAGAGAAAGGGTCTCATTCTGTCATCCAGGCAGTGCAGTGCGATCATAGCTCTCTGCAGCCTCAAACTCCCGGGTTCAAGCAGTCCTCCCGCCTCAGCCTCTGGAGCAGCTGGGACTGTAGGCACACACCACCATGCCCA
This sequence comes from Homo sapiens, assembly GCF_000001405.40. Lineage (NCBI taxonomy): Eukaryota > Metazoa > Chordata > Mammalia > Primates > Hominidae > Homo > Homo sapiens. The sequence goes on from NC_000019.10 coordinate 35,263,518, forward strand.
GCTAATTTTTTGATTTTTGTTTTTTGTAGAGACGGGGTCTCAGTATGTTGCCCAGCCTGATCTCAAACTCCTGGCCTCAGGTGATCCTCCCAAGTCAGCCTCCCCAAAGTGCTGGGATTACAGGCATGTGCCACCATGCTGGCCAATTTTTAAAAATTTTCTGTAGAGACAGGGTCTTGCTATGTTGCCCAGGCTGGTCTTGAACTCTTGACCTCAAGTGATCCTGCCTCAGGCTCCCAAAGTGATGGGATTACAGGCATGAACTACCACACCTGGCCTTAAACTTAAGCAAATTTTTTTTTTTTTTTGGAGACAGTTTCACTCTGTCGCCCAGGCTGGAGTAAAGTGGCGTGATCTCTGCTCACTGCAACCTCCGCCCCCCGGGTTTAAGCTATTCTCCTGCCTCAGCCTCCCGAGTAGCTGGGATATAGGCGCCTGCCACCACGCCTGACTAATTTTTGTATTTTTAGTAGAGACGGGGTTTTGCCATGTTGGCCAGGCTGGTCTCGAACTCCTGACCTCAGGCAGTCCGCTCCCCCGCACCCCTACCTTGGCCTCCCAAAGTGTTAGGACTACAGGTGTGAGCCACCATGCCTGGCCAAATTTAAGCAAATGTTTGAAAACACATACCCACAGGAATGCTGCACATTTTACCCAGCTACTATGTCTAGGGTCGTATCTAGCACACCAGCATGGCTACTGTGGAGAGCTGGGACTGGATGTGAGATGAGAGCTAAAGGGGAAGTAAGCAAACCAAGCAGGGGAAGGTAAGAGAAGACAGAAGACAGAGAGAGAGGGACCTAACTCTATGAGAGGAGTCAGACATGTGCAATTGAAAAAGACTTGCTCCTGTCTCTCTTCTGTGAATGTTTGTGAATATCCCAACGGGACACTTTCACAGAGGAGCTGATTGACGTGGTCACAGCCATCAGCCTTGGGACACCAGACCACAGTGTGTACACTAAGTGGCACTGATGGACACTTCAGCATCCCTCTAGCTGCTGTCCCGTTTCCCCTCCTCGGGGACCACAGCTGTTGCCAGTCCTTGGTTTCCTTCAGGAGGGTGTCTGGGTAGACCAGCCTGTGTGCACACAGTCCAAGATACATGAACAGTGAAGTGCCAGGCAATCCTTGCAAGCATGGGCAGGTGGAGAGCTGAGGCCTGCTTGACACCTTCCTGCTCAGAAGCCCAGTGAGCAGTTTCCCTCCCTAGGGCTCAGTGTCATCCCCTATAAAATGGGGCTTATGGCAGAGCTCACCACACTGGGTGCATCTGGGGATTTGGCGAGCTCATGTGCACACCATTGAGCATGGGGCCCAACCTATATAAAATATTCTACGTCTGTCAGCTGCTGGGCACTGCCACTATCAGCCTCAGTAGTGACTGAGGGACAGGGCACCAGTCAGAGCCCTGGTGCACACAGAGTGACCCCAGAGAAGCAGCCTTCCCTCTCTGAGTCCTGTTTCCTTCTGTTAGGTCCTGACTTCATGGGTTGTTGTTAGCATTAAGGAAGTCGCTGGCTAATTTTATAGTCATTGAAGTCAGTGGTGTGCAACCTGGTTCCTCAAAGGATCACTTCCCTGAAAAAATTCCACTGCTCCCTGGAGGCTTATGCAGGCCATCCCATCCCCTCCCTCTTGTTGTGTTCAGCTGACAGCTTTTTGCTCAGTGAGTAAGTGTTAGGTCCATTTCACAGATGGGCTGCAACCAAGTTTGCAGTGAACCCACTAAGACCAGAGCTAGGGCCAGGACTAAATGCTGGTCCCAATGCCACATTCCCCTGTCCCCACACCACATTTCCTCCATCCGGAGACCCTGTTACCCCAACCCAGGGCCCCATTAACTCCCTGGCAGAGGCCCTGTTACATCTGCTGCTGCCACAGCCTCCGCCCACCCTTCAGGAGGCAGCAGGTCCCACTGCTGATGATAAAGTTGCAGGCTGCCTGAGCTAATGAAGGGGCTTCCTCTAGGCTGTGCACTTAGTCTTCTGCTTCCAAACCAAATCAGAGGTGAGGCACCCTCTCTGGGCCCATCTCTCTCCTCCATTTTCCTGTTGGGGTCCCAGGGAGGAAGCCACTTGCCTAGGGCCCAGGAATTTTGCAAGCCTCTTGCCCTAGGGAGGAAGGAAGGGAGGAGGATCTTACCTTGAACTGTCAAGCCTAGAGCCTGGTGGGGCAGGCAGAAATGGGTGCAGTCCATGAGTTAGAAACACTAGAGGAGACACTTTGCTGCTTGGCCGGGGCAGGCAAGTTAATTCCCGAGGCTCCTGCCACTGCATCTCAATCTGGAAGGTGACCAGGTGGGCAGGACCCACGTCTCCCAGATGACTCATTTTTTCTAGAACAGGGGCTTGGCTGCCAAAGAGGATACTTGATTTCGGCTTGTGGGGACAGTGGTGGACCCAGCATCTGGGCTTTATATAAAGGGCAGCTTTGTTGCCCTGTAAACACACAGACCATGGGTGGCCACTTCTTCCAGTAAGTTAGCTGGGGAGTTGGAAGTTTAGGTAAAACCTTTTGATTGACAAATGTTGGCGAATTACCATGCTGTTAAATGAAACATTGTTCTGCCACCCTGGGGCTGTGGGTGCCTGCGTGCACCCTCTGAAAAATCACACAGGAAGTGGGGTGGGGTCTCTGTGAAGCTGGTGTCCCCCAGCCTCAGGGATGCTGCAGAAATGGAATGAGGACCAACAGGGACTCAGATGTCCAAGGAAGCTCTACAGCGGAGAGGACGGCTTGGGAAGGAGGTCCAGGCCCAGGTCCCTCCGGAACCCAATGGGTATGGGGCAGCCTGGCTCCTGCCTCATCCCCCTTCTCCTGTTGATTGTGTCCTCACAGTGTATGCCGCCGGCAAAGCAGCCACCTCAGGTGTTCCCAGCATTTATGCCCCCAGCACCTATGCCCACCTGTCTCCCGCCAAGACCCCACCCCCACCAGCTATGATTCCCATGGGCCCTGCCTACAACGGGTACCCTGGAGGATACCCTGGAGACGTTGACAGGAGTAGCTCAGGTGAGGCCGGGGGAAGCAGGAACAGCTGGTGGGAGTGTGCTGGGCATCTGGACACTGAGGGGCAGGGGCTGGAAGGAAGAGTGTCTTGGGAGCCGAGGAGGGGCTCTGCTCCTGGTGCGCGGCCACTGACAGCCACTCTCCCCCAGCTGGTGGCCAAGGCTCCTATGTACCCCTGCTTCGGGACACGGACAGCAGTGTGGCCTCTGGTGAGAATCCATCGTCCCGAAGTTGGATGTGCCTGTAAGGGAGAGGGGTGGGCCAGGATCCATCCTCCCAAACCGACCACCACCCCCCTGTCCCTAGAAGTCCGCAGTGGCTACAGGATTCAGGCCAGCCAGCAGGACGACTCCATGCGGGTCCTGTACTACATGGAGAAGGAGCTGGCCAACTTCGACCCTTCTCGACCTGGCCCCCCCAGTGGCCGTGTGGAGCGGGGTAAGCAGGAGCCTTGGGGTCTGAGGGCTTTTAAGGTGGGGGGGTGAAACATGTCTCCCTGATACCTGCCGCAGGGACTCTTGGTGCAAACCCTGGACCCCGGGCTCCTCCAGCAGTCAGTGACACCCCCCTTCCCTGCAGCCATGAGTGAAGTCACCTCCCTCCACGAGGACGACTGGCGATCTCGGCCTTCCCGGGGCCCTGCCCTCACCCCGATCCGGGATGAGGAGTGGGGTGGCCACTCCCCCCGGAGTCCCAGGGGATGGGACCAGGAGCCCGCCAGGGAGCAGGCAGGCGGGGGCTGGCGGGCCAGGCGGCCCCGGGCCCGCTCCGTGGACGCCCTGGACGACCTCACCCCGCCGAGCACCGCCGAGTCAGGGAGCAGGTCTCCCACGAGTAATGGTGGGAGAAGCCGGGCCTACATGCCCCCGCGGAGCCGCAGCCGGGACGACCTCTATGACCAAGACGACTCGAGGGACTTCCCACGCTCCCGGGACCCCCACTACGACGACTTCAGGTCTCGGGAGCGCCCTCCTGCCGACCCCAGGTCCCACCACCACCGTACCCGGGACCCTCGGGACAACGGCTCCAGGTCCGGGGACCTCCCCTATGATGGGCGGCTACTGGAGGAGGCTGTGAGGAAGAAGGGGTCGGAGGAGAGGAGGAGACCCCACAAGGAGGAGGAGGAAGAGGCCTACTACCCGCCCGCGCCGCCCCCGTACTCGGAGACCGACTCGCAGGCGTCCCGAGAGCGCAGGCTCAAGAAGGTGAGGGCCGCCCTCCCTGGCGTCCAGACCGTCCCTGGGCCCCCAGCCGGTCCCCGCGGCTCATACCCTTCTTTCTTTCTCCCTTGCAGAACTTGGCCCTGAGTCGGGAAAGTTTAGTCGTCTGATCTGACGTTTTCTACGTAGCTTTTGTATTTTTTTTTTTAATTTGAAGGAACACTGATGAAGCCCTGCCATACCCCTCCCGAGTCTAATAAAACGTATAATCACAAGCTCTGGAGAGAACCATTTGTTCGGCCGCGCGGGGCGGGGGACCGGGGCTGCTCCCGTATGCGTCTGTAAAGCGCCGCGTCCCGGGGGCACCGGAGTCCGGGGCCGGGAGGAAGAGACCCAGCCTGGCCCGGCCCGCGCCCGCGCCGCCGGCCGGAGAACGTGCCCCGCGCAGCCGCCGCCCGCCTGCGTGCGCGCCCCGGCCCCGCCCAGGCGTGCGCATGCGCCCCGGCCCTCCGCCTTCGCGCACCGCAGGCTGGCCGTCCGGGACGCGCGCGCGCTCCTCTCCCCTTCCAGCCCATCCCCCCCAGCCCCCCACCGACCTACTTTACTGTCTCCAAACTCGGGCAGCCCACCTGGCCCCCGACGACCCCAGCCCCTGCACCGGGTACCCCGACGTTCCATCCAGACCCGCGTTTCACCAGGGCGGCGCGCGGCGACCTCGCGCCCCGCGGAGCCCCGGGCTCGCGCGCGCCCGCCCGCCCCCGGAGACAGACCAGCGCGCGCGCCCCGGGCCGCCTCCCCCCAGCGCGCGTCCGCCCCGGGGCTCGCGCCGCCGCCGCCGCCGCCGCCGCGCGCGCGCAGCTCAAGTAAAGGAGGAAAAAAAAAAGGGGGAAAAATAGAAAGCGGCGGCGGCTGCAGCAGCGATCCGCCGCCGGACTGGGCCAAGCCGGGCGGCGGCCGCGCGAGCCGGCGATCCAGGGCACTGGCGGCGGCCAGCCAGGGCGGGCCGTGTTCAAAAAAAAAAGTCGCGGCGGCGGCGGCTGCTCAGGGAAGGAGGCCTGAGGGCCGCGTGCAGCGGGCGGGCAGCTGGGTGGGCTGGGGGCGGCCGCGCGGCGTCCCGGAGCCTCGGGCCGCCCGGAGCCGGCGGGCGGGCGGAGGCGGAGGCGGCGGCGGCTGCAGCGGCTGCAGGAGCGGCGGCGGCTGCGGCGGCGGCGGCGGCATCTCCTCCTCACATGACCCCACTGTTTGTCCCCGTGATCAGCGCGAGCGGCTCCCGTATCTCCTCCGTCCCCTCCTGCCGCGCGGCGTGAGCGCCGGGCTCGGGGCCCCCCCGGCCGCCCGCCCCCTCCCCTCCCTCCCTCCCCTCCCCTCCCCTCCCCCCCGGGCCCCGCGCCCCCCCCGCCCCCGCCCCCCCCATGGACATGCTGGACCCGGGTCTGGATCCCGCTGCCTCGGCCACCGCTGCTGCCGCCGCCAGGTAAGATCCCCGGCCCGGCCGTGCCCCCGCGCCCCGGCCCCGGCCCCGGCCCCGCGGCCTGCAGGCCGGGGCCGCCATGATCCCGAGCGGCCGCGGGCCCGGCTCAAAATGGAGGCCGCCGGCGCGGGGGGGACCTGGCGCCTCCCGCCCCCGGCCCCCGGCCTCGGCGGCGCCCCCGGCCTCAGGCGCGGCCGGGTGGGACTGGGGCCCTGCAGCTGGGCGCGGGGGCGGGGGCGCGGGCGCGGGCCGCGCTGACCCTGCTCCCTCCTGTGCCCCTGGCAGCCACGACAAGGGACCCGAGGCGGAGGAGGGCGTCGAGCTGCAGGAAGGTGAGTGCTTGCCGGGCCGGCCGCGCCCGGGGAGGGCTGGGGGCGCTCGGCGCGGCCCTGACCGTGCCCCGACCCTCCTCGGCCCCAGGCGGGGACGGCCCAGGAGCGGAGGAGCAGACAGCGGTGGCCATCACCAGCGTCCAGCAGGCGGCGTTCGGCGACCACAACATCCAGTACCAGTTCCGCACAGAGACAAATGGAGGACAGGTGAGCGGCGGGCCGCGAGGGCGAACGGGCGGGCGGGCGGGCGCGCCGGGAAGGCTCGGACCTGGCCCCAGCGCCGGCCTCGCCGCTCTGCCGCCCCCTGCAGGTGACATACCGCGTAGTCCAGGTGACTGATGGTCAGCTGGACGGCCAGGGCGACACAGCTGGCGCCGTCAGCGTCGTGTCCACCGCTGCCTTCGCGGGGGGGCAGCAGGCTGTGACCCAGGTGGGTGTGGACGGGGCAGCCCAGCGCCCGGGCCCCGCCGCTGCCTCTGTGCCCCCAGGTCCTGCAGCGCCCTTCCCGCTGGTAGGTGCCCTGCCACCCCTGGGTGGGGGGGGGAGGGAGTGGAGAGGGGACACTGGCTCTGCTCTTGGGGAGCCCCGGGGGTGGGGCAGGTGTCGCCCAGCGGATGCTGCCTTCAGGCCTCAGGCTGCATGGGGCCAGATCCCTGTTGTGCACCGTGAAACCTGGGGACAGTGCTCTTGGAATTTTTTTTTCCCGCAAAATGGGAATGATGTGTCTTAAGAGGAAAGTTTCTTAGAGTGCGAAACGGATTTGCTCAGCAAGTGATCGCTGACCTCCCGCCATGTTCCAGGGCTGTTTGAAACACAGGACAGAATGCTACACGCAGAAGGAGTCCCCACTCCTGTTAATTGCAGAGAATGCAGTAAACCCCAAGCACAGCAATGAGGGGACGGGATGGAGGAACAGAGAAAGCTAAGGGTAGCCTCTGCCCTCCTACTCCCCAGGCTGTGATCCAAAATCCCTTCAGCAATGGTGGCAGTCCGGCGGCCGAGGCTGTCAGCGGGGAGGCACGATTTGCCTATTTCCCAGCGTCCAGTGTGGGAGATACTACGGCTGTGTCCGTACAGACCACAGACCAGAGCTTGCAGGCTGGAGGTGAGGAGTAGAAGTCAGATTGGCAGGTGGGGGAGGCAACGGGCCCAGCAGGGAGGGAAGCCCCCCCAGCCAGTTCTGACTTCACCCTGCCTTGCCACTAACCCCCCACTCTCCCTGCAGGCCAGTTCTACGTCATGATGACGCCCCAGGATGTGCTTCAGACAGGAACACAGAGGACGATCGCCCCCCGGACACACCCTTACTCTCCGTATGTGCAGGGGACACCTGGAGGGCCTGGTGTTGAAATGGAAGGAAGAGGGGTTTCTGGAGTAGAAGCTGGGCAGTTAGCATGAAGTGGGCACATGGTGTAATGTTTTTTTTCTTTGCCTGTTTCTGCTGCTCTAGTGCACATAAAGTATCATGTCTTTTGTTTTTGCAGATGGATTTACCTTGCAAAGATAATTTTCAAATCTAATACTTAGCAGATGCTTGGGCAAACAGCTCTGCGATAATACATGCCCCCTTTTTTTTTCCTCCTCTTGTAGAAAAATTGATGGAACCAGAACACCCCGAGATGAGAGGAGAAGAGCCCAGCACAACGAAGGTGAGGACAAGGTGTGGCTCCGGGTCCCCCTGACCACCACCCTCACAGGCTCAGCCAGCCCTGGAGTGTGGAGTGACAGAGAGAGAAGCCACTCCTGGGCAGGCCACAAGTGCTCCAGAGGGCTTTGCTGGACGCTGTAAAGGTAGAAAGTGAGCAACGAGGGGAGAGTACAGTGTCAGAAGTAGAGGGACAGGGAGTGTGAATTGGAACTGGCCATTTGTTGACCCGGCTGGTGATCTTGAATTCATGGCCCACATCTAAGATGGTGGACTTCACACTCCCATACGGATTGCCTGCCCCACTTGAAAAATGGGGCTGACCGGGCTCACGTGGGCTGACCTTTCCACGTGGCAGCTGTCATGCTCACATCCCGCACTCCCATGCCTGCCTGGCCTCCAGAAGTAGGTCTGTTCCCCCAGGGAGCACATCTGAGGGAGAAACTGCATGAAGTTCTGCCTCTGGCTACCTAAGGCCGGAGCATCCTGCCCTTTCCAGAAACACCAGGTCTCACCTCAGGTCATTTGGCCTTCAGCACTGTCCCGCCCCGCCTGTCAGTAGCCACTGCAGTGGGCACAGCACTGTGCAAGTGCCAGGAGAGTGCTTACACCCAAACAACCATCATTCAACAAATATTTACTGCCCGTGGGTTCTGGGCTGAGCGGCACAGGCCCTGTGCCAGGTCTGGAGTCTGGCCTGGAGCGTCAGGGAGGCTCAAAGGCCTGAGGGCTTATGTCTCATGGGTCTCATGGGACATTGATGGGGGGTGGGCTGGGGTGACGCTTCCCTAGGGAGAGGGGAGTGTGGGTCAGGTTACTTTGTGGGGTGCTGGTTTGGTTGTGGGAGAAGTTCCATTTAGAATGCCTCAGGAGGGAAGATCGGGAAGGCCTCGAATGCCCGAGTGAGGGGCTGAATGCTGAGTCCTAAAGGTGGTGATGGGACTGGGGTCTGTGGCCCAGGTAGTTGTGTTCTGAGCAGCTCCTCCCTGAGTTCAGGCGTTCATTCAGCGCGTGCATACTACGACCAGCCCCCCTTTTGCGTCCTCAGATATGGCAATGCAGCAGATGATAGGACAGACAAGGTCTCAGCTCTCTGTGCGCGTTCTGGTGGGAGAGATGGGAGTCACACAGCCGCATCAGGCAGTGCAGGCAGTCACAGGCAGGAGAGGAAAGCTGGGGAAGAAGGTGGCGGGTGATGGCGGCATGGTAGTGTGCTCTGAAGGGCTCTTCGAGAGGTGACATTGAAGCAGATCCCTGAAGCGACCTGAGGGAAGGGGCCTGTTGAGAACCTCAGGAGAGTCCCGGGCAGAGGGAAGAGCTAGAACACAGGCCAGGCCCTGAGCCAGGGCCGCCATGGTGTGTCTGCAGAAGAGCAGAATTCAGGAAAGGAAAGAGGAAGTTGGCGCAGTGGAGGGGGCTGCCCAGGCCAGATGGTGGAGGACCTTGGAAGAAGTCCCCAGTGTGGCTGTCTGGGCTCCTGTGGTTTTATTCCAGGGTGATGAGAAGCCAGCAGAGGGGTTTGGGTTGTGGAGGCTGTTGGCAAGAGTGGTGGGAAGGGGCTGGGAGGTAGGAGACCATACGACTGTCAGGCCTGAGACAGGGCAGGGGTTGGGGGAAATGTGGGGAGGACTCCAAGGCTGGAGAATAAGGGTTTCGTGCTGAACTCCCCTCCATGCTTGGAAGGGAAGGGGTGCATCTGAGCTTGGTTTTGAGATGCAGTGAGTTTGAGGGGCCCCCAGAGCAGCCCCAGCCCCACGACTTACCTGTGGTGGGGCGTCAGGGTGGTTCTTAATCTCCGTACCTGTCTTCCCTCTGTGAAATGGTGGAAGCACAGCCGCCCCGGGCACCTGGTGGGGATGCAGTGAGTCTTGGTGGCCACACAGTAAGGCGAAGAGAGGACTCAGAACCCTCCCACCCCACTCTCACCCCCGCCTCTCCCTTAGTTAATCTGACTCCAGGCAGCCTTGAAACTTTCTCACCCTGTGAAGCAGTCTTCATCACCTGCCCACTTCTCCAGCTCCGTCCTGTCTCCGCTTTCCTGACTTGCAGAGCATCTGCCCCAATCTGCTCATCCTCCCAGTACCCTCAGCCATCTGGCTCATGGCTCTACCAAAACAGCTCCACTTCCGGTCACCCGTGGTGACCCCATTGCCACATCCACTGGCCTCCTTTGCTGTCTGGGCTCCAAGCATCTGATGCTGCCTGTTTCCCTCTGTTCCTTTCTGGAATCTTCCTTTCTCCTCCATCCTCTCTGATTCTCCTGTGATCTTTGCCTTTCCTACCCCACTGTTAACAGTGAAATTTCCAGGGCTGTCCCAGTTCCAAGTGAGTAGATGGGGGTGCCGGGGAATCTGTGTTTTCCATCAGCTCTTCAGGTGATTTGTCATAGTGGACAAGCTTGAGAAACTGCTTTGGCTGCGAGTGTTTCTTTTTTTTTGAGAAGGGGGTCTCACTCTGTCACCCAGGCTGGAGTACAGTGGCACAATCACAGCTCACTGCAGCCTTGACCTCCCAGGCTCAAGCGATCCTCACACCTCAGGCTTCTGAGTGGCTGGGACCACAGGCAGGCGTCATCACATGGGGTAATTTTTTTTTATCTGTAGAGTGGAGGTCTTGCTATGCTGCCCAGGCTCGTCTTGAACTTCTGGCCTCAGGCAGTCCTCCGGCCTCGGCTACAGGCCTGAGCTGCCACACCCAGTCTTGCTGGTGTTTCATAAGGTCCGGCCCCTCCCGTCGGCCTCAGGTGTATGACTTGTGAGGCCCAGCGATGGGCTCGGAAGCTCTTGGTCAGTATCCCCCAAACTCTGTTCCCCCTTGTAGGTGTTCCTCTTTTTTCTTTGCTGCAGAAGAGTGTGTGACTCACAAAAAGTTGAGGACTGTTCCTTGATGTCCTCCCAGGCTTCGCCCACCACCTGGCTCCTGGTAATGCAAGGAACTGTGTTTCCATCCATTCCCTTCCTTTCACTGCAACTCCAGCCCCACGTTTTGAACTACCTATTCGAGATTTCTGTCTCTGGACATCCCTGTAATGCCTCAAACTCAACTCGCCCAAAAGAGAATGTGCCATCTCCCGTCTCCAAAGGCTTTCATGCAACCTTCTTCTTTGCAGAGCAGCAAAAGCTACCCCTGTCACAGCTGCCCAAGCCAGAAACTAAGACCAGAGCCGCTTTCAACTCTGCCCTCTTCTTCCCTTATGGCCACAAACCCCAAGTTTCTCTTCTGTGGTGATTTCAGATCCGCTTCTCTCACTTCTTTTTCCCTCCTTCCCACCACTTCTTGGTACTGCAGGAGCTTATCCCAGAGTCACAGACTCAAATGCCTGCAGGGGCCTGAGGGAGGGAGGTGCACTTGGCATCTCAGGAAGGGGTGTGTGGCTGGGTGTGGTGGCTCCCGCCCGGAATCCCAGCACTTTTGGGATTACATTTTGGCCAAGACGGACGGATCACTTGAGCCCAGGAGTTTGAGACCATCCTAGGCAATGTGACAAAACCCTGTCTCTACCAAAAAAATTAAAAATTAGCCAGGCCTGGTGGTACATGCCTGTAACAGTCCCAGCTACTTGGGAACCTGTGGTGGGAAGATGGCTTGAGTCCGGGAGACAGAGGTTGCAGTGAGCTGAGATTACCCTCCAGCCTGAGCAACAGACCCAGACCTTGTGTCAGAAAAAGATAGGAAAGGTTGTGGGGGGCCCCCAGTGATCTGGGGCATGTGTGCGCTGCCTGAAGGGTGGCCCTTGCCCAGTGCCTTCCCCTTGCTGCCCTGTCAGAATCTAGGGCCACTGTTGCCAGAAACTCTGAGAAGCTAGAAATCGAGACTTATGTGAAATCTGATTTTTAGGTGCCAGATTAGATTGCTTTTTCCGTTTCATTGATTTCTACTCTTAATGTTACTAATTCATGCTTCTACTCACTTGGTTTTTTGTTTGTTTGTTGTTTTGTTTTGAGATGGAATCTCGCTCTGTCACAGTGGCGCAATCTCAGCTTACTACAACCTCTGCCTCCCCGGTTCAAGTGATTCTCCTGCCTCAGTCTCCCAAGTAGCTGGGACTACAGGTGCCCGCTGCCACACCTAGCTAGTTTTTGTATTTTTGGTAGAGACGGGGTTTCACCATGTTGGCCAGGCTGGTCTCGAACTCCTGGCCTCAGGTTATCCACCTGCCTCAGCCTCCCAAAGTGCTGGGATTACAGGAGTGAGCCACTGCACCCGGCCCCTTCTACTCACTTTGGATTCAATTTGCTAGGTTTCATGCTTTAGCTTCCCTGGCACACCCCAACCCCAGCTTTTTAAGGTAATTCTTTTTTTTTTTTTTTTTCCAATTTTCTACTAAAATCTTTATTTTACAGGATTAATGTTTCACAGCAGGGATTGAGATGATTCTTAACCTTTCTCTTTGCTTAACAACATTTAGAGTTGCCAGTTCACTCCAGCATCACTTTAGCTACATCCCACTGGGATATGTTGTTTTTGTTATCATTCAGTTTAAAGTGTTTTCCAATTTTCCTTGTGATTTCTTCTTTGACCTTTCTGTTATTTGGAGGCAGGTTGCTTAATTTCCAAATATTTGTGGGTTTTTCAGATATCTTTTTGTTATTGATTTTTAATTTAGTTCTGTTATGGTCAGAGAACATACTCTGTATGATTTCAGTTCCTTGAAATTCGATGAGACTTACCCGACGGGCCCGAATGTGTCCTAGCTTGGCGGAAGCTTCTGGGGCATTGACGAGGACAGGTGTCTGCTGCTGTCAGGCAGAATGTCCCCCCAGGTCAGTGAGGTCAGGCTGGTTGAGTGTTCAGGCTTTCTATTCTGATTTTTGTTGTTGTTGTTTACTTGTTCCACCAATCAATGAGAAAGATGTCCATGTCTCTCACTATATTTGTGGATTTGTCCATTTCTTCCTTCAGTCCTGGCAGGTTTCGCTTCTGAATTTTCTCTTTTTTTTTTTTTTTTTTTTGAGACAGAGTCTCGCTCTGTCACCCAAGCTGGTGTGCAATGATGTGGTCTCGGCTCACTACAACCTCCACCTCTTGGGTTCAAGCAATTCTCGTGCTTCAGCCTCCCAAGTCGCTGGGATTATAGGCATGCACTGCTATGCCTGGCTAATTTTTGCATTTTTAGTAGAGCCGGGGTTTCGCCATGTTGGCCAGGCTGGTCTCAAACTCCTGGCCTCATGTGATCCACCCTCCCAAAGTGCTGGGATTACAGGCGTGAGCCACCCCACCCAGCTTCTGAATTTTAAGTTTCCTATGGAGTAACTGAAGTGCTTCTGTGGAATGAACGTGGCCTTGGTCCTAATGGGTCTTCCTGTATTTCAAATGTGCCATGATGGTCTTCCGAAGCCACAGGCTGGACAGCATTACCGCCTGCTAATGTCAGGGCCTGGATTCAAGGGCCTGGGACTCTGGAGGAGGAGGAGATGCGGTCCTGACCTGCGAGCAGAGCACACAAGGCCTTGACAACCGATCTTTACAACCTTTTCCCACCCCTGCATACCCTGAAATGGTTTTCAGGCCACCATTTCTGGGATCTTCCCAGCTGCCTGCCTTAGAGTCTTTCTCTCAGAAACCAGCCCGAATGTTTCCTGGATCTCTGAGGATTCATCCCACCCCCATTCCCATGCAGAGGCCATGGCTCGGCGCCTGGCGTTCCCGAGGCACTTTGTACCATCTTCAGTGATGACACGAATGCAATGGGGTTAGTGCCACTTGCCCACAGTGGTGCTGCGAGTGCCCATGGGGCGCACCGGGGCTGCTTCCACCCTGGACCCCAGCCTGGCGGAGGGCCTGGCACATAGTAGGGCGGGGAGTAGGTGTGTAAGAAGTAAGCTTGCTCTGGAGAGGATGTACCTGCAGCCGGCGCCCAGCTCTCGAGAGGACTGTGGGAGGGCAGAGGCTGAAACGAGGCCGCCTGCCGAGTTCCTCCACAGACCCCTGGGCGAGGAGCGCTCTGCTGGGGACTGCGCCAGCGGTGCCTCCAGGCCTGGACTCTCAGCTCCGCTGCTGCTTTTGGCCAGAGTTCCCAAAGGCGGGTGTGGTTGTCTTTGGTGGGAAGGTTCAGCGCACCGCGATAGTAATAGGGGAGCAAGCACTCGCTGAGCCCAGTGCAGGGCCTGGACCGTGCTCCATAGCAAGCACTGATCTTGGGCTATTGGTTTTGGAGGAAAGAGGGAGCACAAGGATGGAAGGGGCCAGGGAAGAGAGGTCACGGTGGGAGAAGGAGAGTCCGCATCCATCGGAGGGTTTGTCACTCAGGCCTGAGTGGGAGGCACTGGAGGCAGGGAGAGGCCAGTCAGCAGCATGCGGCCACAGCCCAGAGAAGCCAGAGGGGTTTGCTGGTGGGTGGGCCCCAGCCTTTTCAAGGGAACGGCAGGTCTGGGGAGCTGCCGATCTCGGGGTGTGAGGGTAACGGGCAGGCTGTGGCCCACCCCTCCTTCTCAGGCTCACTGGACCCCTGACCGGTTTCATCACCATTATCCAAGGCTTTGAAAAGACCCCCTGGCCTTCCTGCCACATGTGCCCTAGCTATAGGGCTTCGTTCCCCTCCACAAATGGTGCAGACAGCATGAGCCACCCTGGCAGGGGGCTGGGGGTCCGTGGGGTAGGAGTTGGGGGTAGCTGAGCGTTCTTTCCTGTCCCCACGGTGCCTGGTGCTGGGGCTTGGCAGCCAGGGTTGGGACAGCCTGGCTTTAGCAGGTCCTGAGTCAGGGGTCTCAGGCTCCGCAGCACACAGTCCCCAGGCAGGTGTCAGGATGGGATGTGGCCAGAGAAAGGCATGTGCTCTGTCTGGGGATAGCTGCCACCCAGCTGACACAGTTGGCATGAGATTGTGGAGTTTTATGGAGTAAAATCACAAATCTGGGTTTTTTAAGTAAAACCTTCTATGAGTTGCCATCTCTGGCCTTCAACATAGGATTTGGGTCTTTCCTGGGTGAGCTGGTGCTTTGTGGGCCAGGCCCTGGGAGCTGCAAGTACCAGTTGGGATCTGCCATTGCCCTGTGGAAGGATTTTAAGCAGGGGTGAAACATGGTCAGACTTGGATTTAGAGATGAGGAAAAAAAACAAAATCACGGTGCCAGAGTCTCTGGGGAGACTGGAGAATGCAGTGCAGGGGCCGCAGGAGCCAAAAAGGGGCACTGGTCCTGCGAAGAGTGGCTCTGTCCATCCCTGCCTTCCAGTATGTGCCCACTGTGACCAGAGCTCCATTTCTCAAAAGAAGCCAGTGATGCCAATTACCATGAGAAATTTCCTTATTTTTAACTGTCGATTAAAATTTGTACAAGTATGGTGGGGCAGGCCTGCAAAATGATCTCCAAGTGCCTGGCCTTTGATGCCCGTCCTAAAAGCATGTGTGGCACTGGAGGGCCCACGTTTCTTTGTTCCTCTTGAGAAGCTGGGGTGGGGGCCGGCTGGGCTCAGGGTGCGGCCCCTCACTTCCCAGGGCTGTGGTCTCGGTGGGGCCTGCACTGTTCCTGGGTGTCCTTGGGCTGAGCCTCTGCCCTGTGAGGACGGCCGCTCAGGCATGATCCGTCAGCGAAGCCGTGGCTGTGACTCTGTTTTCCGCAGTGGAGCGGAGGCGGAGGGACAAGATCAACAACTGGATCGTCCAGCTTTCGAAAATCATTCCAGACTGTAACGCAGACAACAGCAAGACGGGAGCGGTGAGCACCCCGGACCCTCAGTGTCTGCGGTGGTCCCGGCCCCCGACCCTTGCATGCAGAAAGTCCAACAGCCATGGGGCTCGGGAGTCATCCCTGGGGTGGAGGCCGGTGGGCGGTGCCTGCCCTAAGGCTCCTGGTCCCCTCGCCCCCCAGAGTAAAGGAGGGATCCTGTCCAAGGCCTGCGATTACATCCGGGAGTTGCGCCAGACCAACCAGCGCATGCAGGAGACCTTCAAAGAGGCCGAGCGGCTGCAGATGGACAACGAGCTCCTGAGGCAGCAGGTGGGTGCGGGGCCTGGAGCGGGTCAGGGCCCAGGAGCCCCAGATGCAAGGCGCTGGCCCTCAGCTCCCTTGACCTCCGTCGTGTCCGCCAGATCGAGGAGCTGAAGAATGAGAACGCCCTGCTTCGAGCCCAGCTGCAGCAGCACAACCTGGAGATGGTGGGCGAGGGCACCCGGCAGTGACGCCCGCCACCACCACGCAGCCGCCGCCGCCCACGCCGGCCTCTGCTGCCCCCTTCCCCAGCCCTTAGCACAGAGAGGGACACATGCCCCTCCCCCAGCTGCGTTTTTTTATAGTAGATTTTTAACAAAAAACGGGGAGAAATAATGCATTTCTGTGGATACAGTGCCCACCGCCCTCCTCCACTTGGAAACGGTATCCTCCCTGCCCATCCGTCTGTCTGTCGCCCTTCTCCCGGCCCTCACTAAGCCCCGGCACTTCTAGTGGTCTCACCTGGAGGCAAGAGGGAGGGGACAGAGGCCCTGCCACGTCCCGCTGCCTCCTGCTCTCTGGAGGTACTGAGACAGGGTGCTGATGGGAAGGAGGGGAGCCTTTGGGGGGCCACCCGGGGCCTGGACCTATGCAGGGAGGCCACGTCCCACCCCACCTCTTGTTTCTGGGTCCCTGCTCCCCTTTGGGGGTGTGTGTGTGTGTTTTAATTTTCTTTATGGAAAAATTGACAAAAAAAAAATAGAGAGAGAGGTATTTAACTGCAATAAACTGGCCCCATGTGGCCCCCGCCTTGTCTGCTTGTGTGTTTGTCCATCTCAGGAGTGGGGAGGGGGCCTGGGGTCTGCAGAGCTCCACGAGGCATGGTTCTGCTGTTGTGCACATGGCTGTGCATGGTCCCTGCCAGCTGCACCACCCATTACCCAGTGGTTGGTTGGATGGATGGAGGAATTAAGGAATGAATGTCCCCTTTGAGGCCCTAGACGTGCATGAGGGTGTGGGGAGCTGGGGTCAAGGACATGTCCCATGTTGGAGGAGAGGCAGGGGTCTCCGTGTCAACAGTTCCTGAAAACACAACCAGCCCCTGGCCCTGCCCTGCTGGGCCAAAGCCCTCCCCTCTGCACCAGCCAATAGTGGGGCCTGGCCTTGAGCCCCTCACCCCCAGGGAGGGCAGATGGCCAGGGCGCCAAGCTTGGCCCGTCAGCCTGTCGCCTTGCACCAAGGCTCTGGCGCCTGTGCTGTGACCCCTGCCCCTGCTGATGATGAAACCTGTCCTCAGCTGAGATGCAGCGATGCCTGGTAGGGCTGGGGGCTGCTCCTGTGTCTCCCCAGGTGAGCACACCCCTATTCACTGGGCCCTGCTTCAGCCTGCAGCACCCTTCAACTCCCAGGAGCTGGGCTTGCCACTCTGCTCACCTTGTGGAGCTCCATCTGCCTTTCCTCCCCAATTCCCCCACTCCCTGCACTCGTCTCTTCCCACAAGAGCCCTGTCTCCTTTTCCTAGCTATTCCCATCTGAGGCCATCTTTATTCATTTAGTTTTTAGAGACAGGGTTTCACTCTCACCCAGGCTGGGGTGCAGTGGCACACAATCACGGCTCACTGCAGCCTTGACCAACTACAGGTGCGTAGCACCACAGCCAAGTTTTTGTATAGATGGGGTCTCGCTTTGTTACCCAGGCTGTGACAAGAGGAGCCTCCCACGTGGTGTGGATGAGGAGGCAGATGGCAGGGCCTGTGCATTTCTGTGCTTGAGTGGGCCTTGAAAGTGGTTCAGCAACCAGGAAGAAGTGTTCATTCCTCGACAACAACATCCCCGGGCTCTGGTGACTTGGCTGACACTGGATGGCCCTGGAATGAAAAAGGCAAAGAGGCAAAATGTGCAAGGGCCCATCTGGAACCAAGGTTTGTTGATCCCCTGGGCCGTGTGCACCCTGAGCTGGGCCTGGTAGTGGAAAGGAATGAAGGCACTGCAGTCAGGCAGCCTGGGTTCATCCCCCAGCTAGTGGTGTCCTAAGGAACCGGCTCCCCAAAAACATCCCTGGCTTGTAGTGCTTGCCAATTTCTGGGTGTCAAGACTCCCACTGCTGCTGATTTCAGGATACCAGCATGATGCCACTGAATGCAGAGTTTCGAGATGTGCATGGTCTGCTATGTTGAGCCAGGTCTAGCATACCGCTGTGCCCTGCTGTGTTTTAGGGGAGATGGGGAAACCTGGTGGGTAAGAGCAAAAGCCCTGGAGTCAGGCTGTCCAGGCTAGAATCTCAGCTCTGCCTCTGGCTGAGCAAGCTTGGGCCATGCCCTGATCTCTGCCTTCAGTGCCTTTTCTGTAAAGTGAAGGAAATGAGTGTCCGACGGGGAGGAGGTTCCTAAAAGGGAGCAGGGTCTGGGGAGCCCAGGCCTCTGGGGTTGGGTGACTGAGAAGGCAGCCCCTGAATACAGAGCAGAGCTGAAGGTGGGGCAGTAAGTGCTGCTGGGAGAACAGGCAGCACAGGCTGAGTTGGTGCAGAAGTGAGTCAACATATGTGCCATCGTATAAAATGTACTCATCGGACTGTAGATGTTAGCTATTACTATTACTGCTATTTTATGTTTTATAGACAGGGTCTCACTCTGTCACCCAGGCTGGAGTGCAGTCACACAATCATAGCTCACTGCAACCTCAGCCTCCTGGGCTTAAGCGATCTGCCTCAGCCTCCCAAGTAGCTGGGACTACAGATGTGTGCCACCACGCCTGGCTAAATTTGTTTAAAATTTTTTTTGTAGAGATGGGGTCTCCCTATGTTGCCCAGGCTAGTCTTGAACTTCTGGGCTCAAGCGACCCTCCTGCCTTGGCCTCCCAAATTGCTGGGATTACAGGCATAAGCCACTGTGCTGGGCCATATTACTGCTGTCATTTATGGCCAAAAGTTTGCTCAAACATTTTCCAGTTACCAGAGCCACATCTCAAGGGTCTGACACTGGGAAAACACCACGTGCGGATCGGGCACACGCTGATGCTTGCCCTGCTCAGGGCTATCTAGTGTTCCCTGCCAGAACCTATGCACGTGTGGTGAGAGCTTAAAGCAATGGATGCTTCCCCCAACATGCCAGACACTCCTGAGGAGCCTGGCGGCTGCTGGCCATGCCCCGTGTGCATGTAGGCGATGGGGAAGTGAGTGGAGGAGAGCGGAACCTTGATTCTGCTCATCAAACTGCTTAACCGCTGAAGCAAAAGGGGGAACTTTTTTCCCGATCAGCAGAATGACATCGTGATGGGGAAAGGGCTCCCCAGATGGCTGGTGAGCAGTGTGTGTCTGTGACCCCGTCTGCCCCACCCCCTGAACACACCTCTGCCGGCTGAGGGTGACACAACCCTGTTCCCTGTCGCTCTGTTCCCGCTTATCTCTCCCGCCTTTTCGGCGCCACCACCTTCTTGGAAATGAGACAGAGCAAAGGGGAGGGGGCTCAGACCACCGCCTCCCCTGGCAGGCCCCATAAAAGCGACTGTCACTCGGTCCCAGACACCAGAGCAAGCTCAAGACCCAGCAGTGGGACAGCCAGACAGACGGCACGATGGCACTGAGCTCCCAGATCTGGGCCGCTTGCCTCCTGCTCCTCCTCCTCCTCGCCAGCCTGACCAGTGGCTCTGTTTTCCCACAACAGGTGAGAGCCCAGTGGCCTGGGTCCTTAGCAGGGCAGCAGGGATGGGAGAGCCAGGCCTCAGCCTAGGGCACTGGAGACACCCGAGCACTGAGCAGAGCTCAGGACGTCTCAGGAGTACTGGCAGCTGAACAGGAACCAGGACAGGCACGGTGGCTCATGCCTGTAATCCCAGCACTTTGGGAGGTTGAGGCAGGCAGCCCACTTGAGGTCAGTTTGAGACCAGCCTGGCCAACATGGTAAAACCCCGTCTCTACTAAAAATACAAAAGTTAGCCAGGCTTGGTGGCAGGTGCCTGTAATCCCAGCTACTCGGGAGACTGAGGCAGGAGAATTGCTTGAACCCGCAAGGTGGAGGTTGCACAGTGAGCTGAGATTGCACCACTGCACTCCAGCCTGGCAACAGAGCAAGACTCCATCTCCAAAAAAGAACAGAAATCAATGAAGCACCGAGTGACAGGGACTGGAAGGTCCTAATTCCATGGGTATTTACGGAACCCCTACGCCGTGTGGAGTCTTATTCTAGACAGTGGGGACGAGGCCATGAACAAGGTAGATGAGAGAGGAGATTTCTCCATCCTGGTCAGGGAATTTGTTAAAGACTGATGAAAACATGAATAAATAATTGTGTCTAGTACATTCTATTCGTGAATCTCATAACAGACAGTGGTAGAGTGACCGTGACCCATTCGCCACACAGTAGAGTCACTTTTTTGGTTTGTTTTTTAGAGACAGGGTCTTCCTCTGTTGCTGAGGCTGGAGTGCAGTGGTGCAGTCATAGTTCACTGCAGCCTCAACCTCCTGTGCTCAAGCAATCCTCCCACCTCAGCGTCCCAAGTAGCTGGGACAGCAGGCACATGCCACGGGTTGGGGGACCACAGGCATGGTCAAGGGGCTGGCAGTCAAGCAAGTGTTTCATGAGAAAGTGACAGTTGACCTTCGTCTTGGAGGGTGAGAGATGGAGGCAGCAAAGACCTAAGGAGAGGACAAGCCAGCATAGCCCAGGGTCAGGCTGAACAAGAGGAGATGGTGGGACTTGGGGATAAGGCTGAGGGGTGGGCAGTCCCTAAGTCTTGTGGGCAACCATGCAGACACTGATTTTTCCTTGGAATAAAGAGGAAGCCCCCATAAGCTTTTTTTTTTTTTTCTGAGATAGGGTCTCGCTCTGTCGTTCAGGCTGGTGTGCAGTGGCATCATCTGGGCTCACTGCAACCTCCGCCTCCCGGGTTCAAGCAATTCTCCTGCCTCAGCTTCCCGAGCAGCTGGGATTACAGGCGGCTGCCACCACGCCCGGCTAATTTTTGTTTTTTTAGTAGAGACAGGGTTTCACCATGTTGGCCAGACTGGTCTTGAACTCCTGACCTCAGGTGATTCTCCCACCTCGGCTTCCCAAAGTGCTGGGATTACAGGCGTGAGCCACTGCGCCCAGCCTCCTGTAGGTTTTTAAAATGGAGAAAACCACAATCTCACTGGCCATGTTTTAAAAAACTTAATCTGCCAGTCAGGCACCATGGCTCACACCTGTAATCCCAGAGTTTTGGGAGGCCAAGGTAGGAAGATCAGTTGAGCCCAGGAGTTCAAGACCAGCTTGGGCAACACAACCAGACCCCACCTCTACAAAAAATTAAAAAATTAGCCGGGTGTGGTGGCGTGCACCTGCTGTCCCAGCTACTCGGGAAGCTGAGGCGGGAGCATCGCTTGAGCACAGGAGGTCAAGGCTGCAGGGAGCTATGACTGTGCCACTGCACTCTGGCCTGGGCAACAGAGGAAGACTCTGTCTAAAAAACAAACAAAAAAAGTGACTCTGCTGTGTGGCAAATGGATTGAGGGGCAAGAATGCAGGGAGGTGTGTTAGGAGGCTGGCACTGGCATCCAGGCAGGGGAAGGTGATATCCCAAAGAAGAGTAGCAGCTGTGGAAAGAGGAGGAGGCGGATCTGGGAGGTTTTTTTTTTTAGGAAAAGCCGCCCATGGGAAGGTGAGCAGAAGCAAGAAAGCAAGGCCCCTCCTAAGAGTCCATTTGAGCTCTGGGTTTAAACCACTTGGAGAGGAGCAGGTTGCCGGGAGCCAGTCTCAGAGGTCCACTGGGCCCCCTGCCATCCTCTGCACCCCCTTCTGCTTTCACAGACGGGACAACTTGCAGAGCTGCAACCCCAGGACAGAGCTGGAGCCAGGGCCAGCTGGATGGTGAGCGCAACAGTGATGCCTTTCCTAGCCCCCTGCTCCCTCCCCATGCTAAGGCCGGTTCCCTGCTCACATTCCCTTCCTTCCCACAGCCCATGTTCCAGAGGCGAAGGAGGCGAGACACCCACTTCCCCATCTGCATTTTCTGCTGCGGCTGCTGTCATCGATCAAAGTGTGGGATGTGCTGCAAGACGTAGAACCTACCTGCCCTGCCCCCGTCCCCTCCCTTCCTTATTTATTCCTGCTGCCCCAGAACATAGGTCTTGGAATAAAATGGCTGGTTCTTTTGTTTTCCAAACCAGAGTGTCTGTTGTCCTTTCTCTCTGCCGAGTGTCTGTGCTAAGAGCTTGTCCTGACCCTGCCTTGCAAGCACCAGTGCTTGGTGGGTCATGTGGGGCTGGTGTGTCCTGGAGGTTGCCAGGAAAGTTGGTGAAGAAAATTTGTTTCTGTTCTCCCCCTTCATGTTGCAATAATAGGGGATGAAAGTTAATGTTTCCTCTCCTTGAGATCTTCCTAAAACAGCTGTAGAAATCAGTGCCTGTAAGGCAAGCTTGTCCAACCTGGAGGCCACATGCAGCCCTGGATGGCTTTGAATGCACCCAACACAAATTTGTAGTTTCTTAAGGCATTATGAGATTTTTCCGCAATTTTTTTTTTTCTCATCAGCTGTCATTAGTGTTAGTGTGTTTTATGTGTGGCCCAAGACAATTCTTCCAGTGTGGCCCAGGGAAGCCAAAACATTGGACACTGCTATAAAGGTTCTCAAAGTAAGATCCAGGGACTCCTTTTGTAGGGCTCCTGAAGGTGGAAACTACTAAGACTTTTTTTTTCCTTTTTTTTTCCTTTTTTTTCTTTCTTTTTTTTTTTTTTTTGAGGCAGAGTCTCTCTGTGTCACCCAGGCTGGAGGGCAGTGGCATGATCTTGGCTCACTGCAACCTCCACCTCCCAGGTTCAAGCGATTCCCCTGCCTCAGCCTCCTGAATAGCTGGGACTACAGGCACGTGCCACCACACCTGGCTAATTTTTGTATTTTTAGTAGAGGTGGGGTTTTGCCATGTTGTCCAGGCTGGTCTCGAACTCCTGACCTCAAGTGATCCACCCGTCTCAGTCTCCCAAAGTGCTGAGATTACAGGTGTGAGCCACCACGCCCGGCCTACAAAGATGTTTATTTGCCTTTTTCACCCTGGTTCTCTCATGAGTATACAATGGAGTTTCCAGGAGGCTCTGCGACACCTGTTGGCATCATCACCAGATGGCTAATGGATTGTGTGCTGGTGTATCTCACGCTTTTAAATGTCCCAGTTTCTAGCCCGGTGCAGTTGCACCATCCCTGCTACTCGGGAGGCTGAGGCAGGAGGATAATTTAAGACTGGGAGTTCCAGAAGAAGACCTGGTGTCAAAAAAAAAAAAAATGGGGCAACGAAAATGAGAGCAATACAGCTTTCAAGAATGGGAGGGGCCAGGGGTGGTGATTCATGCCTACAGCACTTTGGGTGGCTGAGGCAGGCAGATCACTTGAGGTCAGGAGTTCAAGACCAGCCTGGCCAACATGGTGAAACACCGTCTCTACAAAAATTAGCCAGGCATGGTGGCATGTGCCTGTAATCCCAGCTAGTCAGGAGGCTGAGTCAGGAGAATCACTTGAACCCTGGAGGTGGAGGTTACAGTGAGCCAAGACAACACTGCTGCACTCCAGCCTGGGCGACGGAGTGAGACCCTGTCTCCAGAAAAAAAAAAAAAGAAGAATGGGCAGGAACTCAGTTCCTTGTGGAGGTGAACTATATTCCTATATGTTTCACGTGCAAAGTGTGTCCTTCCTGAGAGAATACAACTTAAGATGCTCCTGTGTAACAATCCCCCATACCTCGCTCATCTGCTATACCTGGATGGCCTCTGAAGGCCATGGGCCTCACACCTTTTGGTCTTAGGACCCCTTTACATTCTGAGAAATTATTGAGGACTCCAAAAAGCTCTTGATAAAGTGGGCTATATCTCTAGTTGCCTGATGTATTAGAAACTGAAACTGGGAAAATATTTTTACTGTTTATTTATTTATTTTTGAGACAGGGTCTCACTCTGTCGCCCAGGCTGGAGTGCAGTGGCGCGATCTCAGCTCACTGCAAACTCCACCTCCCAGTTTCAAGCGGTTCTCCTGCCTTGGCCTCCTGAGTAGCTGGAACTACAGGCGCCCGCCACCATGCCTGGCTAATTTTCATATTTTTAGTAGAGACAGGGTTTCACCGTGTTGGCCAAGCTGGTCTTAAACGCCTAACCTCAAGTGATCCACCCGCCTCAGCCACTCAAAATGCTGTGATTACAGGTGGGCCTGGCCTGCCCACATTTGATAGAAACAGACATAGGGGCTGTTATTTCACTGTCTTCTTAGCTCCCAGGAAGCAACAGCTCTCACTTGATGGTAAAGGGCATTGGTCATTCGGCCTCAATGTTGGGTGTGGGCAGGGAGTGGGAAGGCCCAGGCTGGGCGGGAGAGGGCTCCAAGACACGGCTGCCACACCCAAGGCAGGTAAACCTGACTAGAACTTCTGATTTTGTCAAGAGAAGGTGGGAATTCCTATTTTTATTAGAGATTTCTTGCTTTGACAGTATTGGCAACTGAGCAAAGCAATTTGTCTTTTAACATCAACATTCTGTGAGCCAAACGAAGCCCAGCTGGGCGCCAGATCAGTCTGGGGCACCATCAATGTCTGCCTTCGCTTTGGAATCCACAGAGGCTTGTCCTCTGGGAGGGGAGGTTTCCTGAATGAAAACTGAAGGGATAGGGAGAGGGGAGTTGTGGTGAGCTTGGCCTCTTATTAGCTGTAACATCTTGCATGCATCTTCTTCATATCCGGAGCTCCACCTCCTCATCTGTATTTTTTATTTTATTTTTTTAGTCTGGGTCTTGCTCCATAGCCCAGGCTGAAGTGCAGTGGTGTGATCATGGCTCACTGCAGTCTTGATCTCCCGGGCTCAAGCGATCCTCCCACCTCTGCCTCCTGAGTAGCTGGGACCGCAGGTGCCTATCACCACGCCCCGCTAAAGTTTTGTATTTTGTGTAGAGACGTGGATCTGGCTGTGTTGCCCAGGCGGGTCTCAAACTCATGGCTTCAAATGATCCTCCCACTTCAGCCTCCCAAAATGCTGGGACTACAGTTGTGAGCCACCATGCCTGGCCTCTCCTTACCTTTAAAAGAACAGAGGCACTGGGCGTGGTGGCTCACGCTGTAATCCCAGCACTTTGGGAGGCCAAGGCGGGTGGATCACCTGAGGTCAGGAGTTTGAGACCAGCCTGACCAACATGGTGAAACCCCGTCTCTACTGAAAATACAAAAATTAGCCAGGCGTGTTGGCGCACACCTATAATCTCAGCTACTCTGGAGGCTGAGGCAGGAGAATCGCTTGAACCCAGGAAGCAGAGGTTGCAGTGAACCAAGATCATGCCACTGCACTCCAGCCTGGGTGACAGAACAAGACTCCATCTCAAAAAAAAAAAAAAAAAACAAAAAAGGAACAGAAGCTAAGTCCATACAGGACTTAGCTTAACTGGCTCTAGAGCTGCTCAACCAAGGGAATGAGTGTGAAATTGCTTTGGAAACTGTCCAATGCTTCCTCAATGTAAAGGATTCATATTGACAGGAGAGGGTAGAGGCCTCCCTCCTGGCAGGTGGGAAACCTGAAATCAGGAATTACACTTAATGACACGGGGTGCTCTTCTCTCCTGAGCAAGCAGTTCTCTGGGGTGGTCCTAGAGAGATGGGAGAACATGTAAAGCAGAGATACTCAAATTTCAGCGTGCTCAAAATCTCCTGGAGGGCCTGCAAAAATGCAGATGGGTCCAGGCTCAGTGGCTCAAGCCTGTAATCCCAGCACTTTAGGAAGCTGAGGCTGGAGGATCACTTGAAGCCAGGAGTTCGAGACCAGCCTGGCCAACATGGTGAAAGCCCGTCTCTACTAAAAATACAAAAATTAGCTGGGTGTGGTGGTGCACACGTGTAGTCCCAGCTACTCGGGAGGTTGAGGCACGAGAATTGCTTGAACCTGGGAGGCAGAAGCTGAGGTGAGCTGAGACCTTGCCACTGCACTCTAGCCTGGGTGACAGAATGAGACTCTGTCTCAAAAAAAATTAAATAAATAAAAATAAAATGCAGATGAGGCTGGGCGTGGTGGAGCATGCCTATAATCCCAGTGGTTTACGAGGCTGAGACGGGAGGATTACTTGAGGCCAGGAATTCAAGGCTGCAGTGACCTATGATGGCACCACTGCACTGCAGCCTGGGTGACACAGTGAGACGATGTCTGTAAAACAAATAAACAAATAAACTGCAGATAGCTGGGCCTCCAGAATTTCTGATTCCACAGGTGCAAGGCGGGGCCCTTGACCTTGCATTTTGAGCAAGCTGCAGTCCTGTGGAGGACTGGTTGTGAAGCTGACACCATTGTCTGAGGGCAGCAAAGGCTCTTGGATGGATTGAGCCTCAGCTCCCATCTATGAGAGCTTTAAGCTTTAAGTGAGAGCTCCCCATGGCCGAGAGCTTCATTCTGAATTCCTGCTGCTAGGAATTCAAAACTCACATTGAAGTCCTAACGCCTAGTAGCTCAGAATGTGACCTTAGTTGGAGGCAGGGTCTTCACAGAGGTAATCAAGTTAAAATGAGACGGGAGAATCCTAATCCAATATAACTGGTTTCCTAAATCTGACAGGGTACAGTGACTCACACCTGTAATCCCAGCAGTTTGGGAGGCCAACACAGGAGGACTGCTTGAGATCAGGAATTCAAGACCAGCCTGGGCAATATAGTGAGACCCTGTCTCTAGCAAAAAAAAAAAAAAAAAAAAAAGTGCCAGTAGTCCCAGTTACTATTGAGAGGCTGAAGCAAGAGAGTCGCTTGAATCTGGAGGGTGGAGGTGGCAGTAAGGTATGATTGCACCACTGCATTCCAGCCTAAATGACAAAGCAATACTATGTCTCAAACATAAATAAATAAATAAATAAATAAATAAATAAATAAATAAACGGCAAATCTGGGCAGGGGTGAATACAGGGGGAAGGGAATGTGAAGATGAAGATGCCATACAGAGAAAGGCCCGGAACAGATCCTCACACCCCTCAGAAGGAACCAACACTGCCAGCACTTGATCTTGTTGATCTTGGAATTCAAGCTCAATTCTGGCAGGGTTTTTTGTTTGTTTGTTTGTTTGTTTGTTTGAGTCGGAGTCTTGCTCTGTTGCCCAGCCTGGAGTGCAGTGGCGCAATCTCCGCTCACTGCCAGCCCCGCCTCCCGGGTTCACGCCATTCTCCTGCCTCAGCCTCCTGAGTAGCTGGGACTACAGGCGCCTGCCACCATGCCCGGCTAATTTTTTGTATTTTTAGTAGAGACAGGGTTTCACCGTGTTAGCCATGATGGTCTCGATCTCCTGACCTCGTGATCTGCCCGCCTTGGCCTCCCAAAGCACTGGGAGTACAGGTGTGAGCCACCGTGCATGGCCTCAATTCCGGTTTTTAAGCCACCCAGTTTGTGAAACTTTGTTGTAACAGCCCTGGAAAACTGATACACCTGCTCTCTCGTAAAAGATCAGCTGATACGGCAGCACCGGCCACTGGATCTGCGGGTCAGTTGTCCCCTTAGACAGGGCACCTGCCCGCCAGTCACAGGTCCTGTCACCCAGCCCCTTCCTCTCATGGGCTCCAGCCGCCTCGCTCCCACAGGTCTCCTGGAGACCCGAGTTGCTGATGTCAGCGACTATTGCGAGTGCTCCTGTGGGACACTGTCCTCTCCCCAGCAACAGCCTTCAGTTCACACCCAGGGAGGAGATGGAGCCCCACACTGCACCAGCACACGACTCCAGCTCCAACTAGGTGGGTGTTGATGCTGAAGGCTGTGACATGCAAATACCCCCCAGGATCTCCTTGTCACCCCGACCACCACCACCAAAGCCCAGGCACCAGGCCCCTCTCTTCTCCAGGACCCAGGCATTCAAGCCCCGCCCGACTCTCAATGGTCCTTTGTCCCGGACTGGGAAAGGCACGGGCAGAGTCTGACATCATGAAGCCTGGGGTGGGGGTGGGACTCCCCCTCCCCCTCCAACTCCCCCCCAGCCCCACAACGCTTCTCTCCCTGGTCTGAGGGATTTCCCCGCCCCTCACCCCCTGGGTTCTCCCTTGAGAGCGAGGACCCCCCCTCCCCACTGCTCTGGCCTGAAGGAGGACAGGAGATGTCCCAGTGAGGCTGAACAGCTCATGGTGAAATCACTGCTGCACTTTGTCACGCCACCTCCAGCTGCCCCGAGCCCCCACCCACCTTGCAAAAGTCATGACCAAGGGGTGGAATCTGCACTCAGAGGGTCCTTGCCCAACTTGGTCAGCACAGTCCTATGTGCACCAAGCACTGCCCCGGGGACAGAAGGGTGCACATGACAGACAGAGAGGCAGATAGGTTTCTGGTGAGCCCCTGCCTCTGAGAGCTCCTGGGTTAGTGGGAGGCAGAGGCGGGCAGACCTAGGGTGCACACGGGCCAGCCTGCCAAGGCTACAGAAGGAAAGGACAGCATTGCAATGGAGGGGCCTGGCTGATGGGCGAAGATGGGAAAGCTTCCCAGGGAAGCGGCACCCAGGCTGCTGAGCCTACAGGATGGGTGAACGGCAGCCAGTGCCAGAGTGGGGAGTGCTATGGGGTGGGGACTGCTTTCCAGGAAGAATGAGCAGCAGGTGCACAGGCCTTGAGTCTGAAGGTGCCCTGGGGCTCTGGGGAACACATTCAACCACCCACACTGTTTATTAAGCTCAACTGCCTGCCAGGAGCTTGTCTACGAGCAAGGATGGATTGAGAATATCCAAGACGAAGCTTCTGGCCTGGTGGAGGTCACGTTCTCATGAAAGGAGTTGGTGAACACGGAAGGTCATTTCAGATGGCAAGAGGAGGTGACACTGACGTTGAGGGTGGAAAGGACCTGTCTCCTCCTGCTGCCCACCTAATGTTGCCACCAAGATTCCCTGAGGACAATGCCTCTGTCCCTCAGCCTGGGACTTCCAAAGAGATTAGACTGCCCCCCCACCCCCGGGACCCAGAATCAGGGTGTACAGGGATGGAAGATGGGGAGAGAGCAAGGCAGCCACTCCCGACCCCTCCAGGAAAGAGCTAGGAGAACCCAGGCGTCAGGCTGCCCAGTCCGAGCCCCGTGGTGACAAGGGCCCCTTTGTGCCCCCCTCCCCCGGGGGTAGGGAGGAGCTGGGCCCTGGAGGCAGGCGGCCCCTGGCACCCAGGGGGAGGGGAGGGGCTGGCAAGTGGGGGCCTAGACCCTGGAAGGCAGGGGACTGCGAGCTGGGCTGGCGGAGCAGAGGTGCAGAAGCAACTGAGTCCAAGTGAGTATGGTGGCAGGGAGGCCAGGGCAAGGGGAGCAGGGCACCGGGGCAGTGGCACCCAGACGTGAGCAGGGTCAGGTGCTCTGGGTGAGGGAGCATCGCTGTGCACCGCTACTGATTTAGGATGCAGGAGTGTGTGGCTTGGGGCTGCTTTGGGGATGGGCTCGGACCATCGCTGGGGCAGCGATGGGGCTCTGGGAAGAAACCACAGAGAGAAAAAACAAAGGGCCCCCCCTCAGCACCCCTTGTGGGTGAAGATTTTGCAGGAGAGGTTTCCTTGGGGTTCCCGAGTGCGGGGCAGATGGGGTGGAGGAGGTCTGCATCTGGCCGAAGAATGGAAGGATGTCCAGGTGATCAGACACCTGCAGGCTGCAATCTGGGAGGTGGATGGGGGCAGTGGGCTGTTAGTGACTGCATTCTAGCACCTGGGCACATAGCAGGTGTGTGTGTGTGTGTGTGTGCGTGTGCGTGCACACACATGGCTGCCCATGCACCTTCCTCTGTAAGCCTCAGTCGACTTTTCTTCATTAATCCCCACTAAGGACACTTTTTATTTTTCGTTACTTTTTTTTTTTTAAGAGACGGGACTCTCACTATATTGCCCAGGCTGGTCTCAAACTTCTGGGCACAAGAGATTCTCCCAACTTGGCCTTCCAAAGTGCTGGGTTTACAGGCGTGAGCCACTGCGCCCGGCCCCAACTACAGAAACTTTTTAGATGCATTTGTCCTCATCCCATCCTTCCCTTGGCATTTTAATCCAACAGATCTGCTGTACATATGTTTATGGACTGTGGCCACACACACTGTAATAGCTGAGGTTGATTTGGCCCCCATCCCGAGAACTTGTTTTCCCCGCTGTTAAGAGTGCATGGTCTACCTGCTTGTTTCATGTCTGCCCGGGCACGTGCTCATCCTCATCTGCATCTCTCTCCTGTACCTTCCTGTCACAGGTGCAAGGGCAGCGTCGGCCAGGTGTCCATCGGCGCGTGTCTGAGTGGACGCGTCTATAGCCATCCTCAGTGTGTGTGTGCAGTTCCTTGCATCTTTGTTAGCCTGGCATGCATGCTGGGCTGTGTGTGTGTGTGTGTGTGTGTGCTGAATGCCAGGGCTGTGTCTGTCCAGGTGTGTGTGGACAGCAGCAGAGGCATTGCATGCACGCCTTGGGAACTATGTGAGTGCCAGCCCATCCCTGTGGGCACAGGGGTCCCTGTGCCTGTCTGTGTGTTCAGGGTCCTGTCTGGGTGTCTGTATGAGTCTCCGCTGCGTGTGCCTGCCCCTTCTGGCTGGGGCTACATCTGTCACATTTCATCCCCGCGATTGGATGTGTCTGTGCATGTGTCTCTGTCCGTGGGAAGAGGGCGGTGAAGGCTGGGAAAAGCAATTGCTTGGAAACCCTGGCTGCAACCCCAAGGCAACCCATGGAGCAGCAGGGTGCCAGGGGCTCGCTAGCCCCCACCCTGGGCCTTCCTGGCCCTGCTCAAAGGCCAGCCAGGAGTGCCTGACCCCTTTCTTACTCCCCACTTACCCTGAAAGCCCCCCGCAGGCTAAAACACCCTCTCCCCGAGGGAACAGGACTCTTTTGTACCGGGGACCAGCTTCTGGTGAGGGTGCGGACACCAGGGGCCGTCTGTGGGGTGGGAGAGGGCGGCAGGAATTCACGCGGCATGTCGGGAATGCTGATACTGTGAAACCCAGTCATTGATGGCTCTGGGTCCCTGCCCGCCACCCCCAGGCCCCGGCCGTGGGACATCTGCTCCCTCACTCCACTCGCCACACCCCTCAGTCTCACCCCCGTACCCCGATGCGGTCGTTCCCCCTTCCCTCCCCACAGTTCTCTGACACCCCAGCTTGGAGGGAGTTGTTGCCAGAGAGTGGCTTCGAGGCTGTGTGGGAGGGTCCCAGGCACAATGGGAGGGCCACATGGGCAGCCTGACAACAGGTCACAACCCATGCAGGAGATACTGAAGCGGGGGTGGGTTGGGTGCCTCAATCCCGCCCCCTTGCACCTGAGTGACTCTTGTTGCATGCAGGTTGTCTGGCGGCTTCAGGTGGACCCAGAAGACGTCCCCAACTCAGGGAGATTCAGGTGAGGGGCAGGGTACCAACTCTCTTCCCTTGCTTCAGCTTTGCAATGCTGGCCCTGCCTTGGCTCTCTGGTTCTTACTTTCTGGAGATCTCCAGGGGCATCACGGTGACAAAGATAATGATCAGCACATCATCACTGCATAGAGACAGGACATGCAGCAAAGACTGCAGACCAACTGTGTGGCCTTGGGCGAGTCACTTAACCTCTCTGGACCTCAGCTATAAAATGAGGATAATGCATCTTCCTCAAAGAGATCCAATGAGTTAAGACAGCAGAATAAGCAGTGAGGGCTGGCACATGGCCAATGCCATAGAAGGGTTTATAATTATAAGTAATAGCAGCAGGCTGGGTGAGGTGGCTCATGCCTGTAATCCCAACACTTTGGGAGGCTGAGGCAGGAGGATCGCTTGAGCCAAGGAGTTCAAGACCAGTCTGGGCAACACAGAACATGGCAAGACTCCCATCTCTAAAAAAAATAATAATAATAACCAAATAAATAAACTAAAATAAAATTAGCCAGGCATGGTGGTGTGTACCTGAGGTCCCAGTTACTCTGAAGGATCGCTTAAGCCTGGCAGATTGAAGCTGCAGTTGAGTGAGCCACGATTGCACCACTGCATTCCAGGCTGGGTGACAGGGCTGAGACCCCATCTCAAAAAGTAAAAAGTTAAAAAATATCAGCAGACCAGGCATGGTGATTTACACCTGTAATCCTTTGGGAAGCCAAGGCAGGAATATTGCTGGAGGCCAGGAGTTGAAGACCAGCCTGGGCAACATAGTAAGACCCCACCTCCACAACCATTTCCACAAAAAAGAAGAAAAATTAACTGGGTGTGGGGTGGCGCATACCAGAAGCTGAGACAAGAGGATAACACGAGCTCAGGATTTTGAGGCTATAGTGAGCTGTTATTGTGTCACTGCATTCCAGCCCGGGCAATGAAACAAGACCCTGTCTCAGAAAAATAAGTAAATAAATGCATAAATAAATAATAATAGCAGCAGCAGCTAACATATGAATGGGCCCCTTCCTGAAGCCCAGATGGAACACCCCCTTTCACTTCCCCCAGCCTTTAACCCTCTCCTCTCCCTTTCCAGCGATCACTCACTCGCTGTACAGAATGATATTCCTCACGGCACTGCCTCTGTTCTGGATTATGATTTCAGGTAACGGCTGACAGGTGCTGGGGACCTAAAGGCTTTGGCCCCTGAGCAGGTTGGAGGTGGGTCCCCGCAGCCCCCCGGCATGTGGTTGGGGATGGGAGCCGGAGGGGGTGATCGGGTAGGACGTGTCCCTGAGCCTCAGCTCTCCTGCTTGCCCGCAGCCTCCCGAGGGGGTCACTGGGGTGCCTGGATGCCCTCGTCCATCTCGGCCTTCGAAGGCACGTGCGTCTCCATCCCCTGCCGCTTTGACTTCCCGGATGAGCTGCGGCCCGCTGTGGTGCATGGTGTCTGGTACTTCAATAGCCCCTACCCCAAGAACTACCCCCCGGTGGTCTTCAAGTCGCGCACCCAAGTAGTCCACGAGAGCTTCCAGGGCCGCAGCCGCCTCCTGGGGGACCTGGGCCTGCGAAACTGCACCCTCCTGCTCAGCAACGTCAGCCCCGAGCTGGGCGGGAAGTACTACTTCCGTGGGGACCTGGGCGGCTACAACCAGTACACCTTCTCAGAGCACAGCGTCCTGGATATCGTCAGTGAGTCCCCAGCGGTTGTGCAGGCACCGGGAGCTGGGGCAGCGGGGCGGGAAGGAGTGTGGCCGGAAGGCCTCCCCGCACCTTCCCCAGCAGGCCTGGATGGCAGATCTGGGAGGTGCTGATTTGGCTGGGGGTGCAAACCTCAAGGCCCACGCAGACCATGCAGATGACAGACATGAACAAAGCAGGGCCCCAAAATAGTCTTGCTGCCCTCAGGGGGAAACAGGTGCTGCTACTCTTTTGGAAACACCTGGAGAAAGGCAGTGGGGCCAGGGGGTAGGGGCAAGGCTGCTGGGCCCCCACTTTAGCGTGGTGATCTTGGGCAAGTGACTTAACTTCCTTGGGCCTTGGTTTTCTTTTCCGTAAAATGGGGATAAGAACAGCACTTAAGGCAATGAGTGAAAAGCCATCAGATGCCCAGAGCAGCACCTGGCACGTGGCCCCCAGCTCTGGCCAACAGAAAGCAGGGCGGTGGCTGTCAGGTGTTCTGAATTTTCAAGATAAACCAGAATTTTGGATTCTTTGGTGTAATCTCCTAATTCTTAAATTTTGGTTGCTGATTCAGATTTCTTTTTTTAAAATCCTTTAAGCCAAATAGAATACAGCTATGGCCAGACATGGCAATCAGAATAGGGCACACTGCCTGATTTCAGGGATCCCCCTGCCTCATTTCTGAGTGGCGCTGCTGCTTGGAGTCCTCAGCGCTGAGTCCCTATGAGAGAGCCGGGTTCACCCTGGTGCAGAAAGAGACTGCACAGGTGCAGTACACACACACACCACTCTACAGAAATCACACACTACACACTGCACACTCTACCTACACACTACCCACACACCACACACTACACATACATCACACACTACACAAACCACACACCACACACTGCTCCTGCTACCTACACACTGCCCACACACCAAACATACACATCACACCAAACACACCACACACACACACTACACAAACCACACACCACACACTGCATACACTACACACACACACACTGCTTGGCGCTGAGGACTCCAAGCAGCAGCGCCACTCAGAAATGAGGCAGGGGGATCCCTGAAATCAGGCAGTGTGCCCTATTCTGATTGCCATGTCTGGCCATAGCTGTATTCTATTTGGCTTAAAGGATTTTAAAACCACACACCACACACACACCACACCAAACACACACCACACACACACACCACATTACAAAAACTCACCACACACTACACACACACCACACACACCACACCAAGCACACACCACACACATCACACACTACACAAACCACACACCACACACTTCATACACTACACACACTACCCACACACCACACACACACCACACCAAACACACACACCACACACACACCACACTACAAAAACCACACACCACACACTGCATACGCTACACACACACTACACACACACCACACAAACACCACACCAAACACACACCACACATCCACCACGCTACAAAAACTACACACCACACACTGCACATGCCACACACACACTACCCACACACCACACCAAACACACACCACACACACCACACACACCACACACTACATAAACCACACATCACACACTGCACATACTACCCACGTACCACACACACACCACACACCTCATAAACTACACACCACACACTGCACACACTACCCACACACCACACACACTACACACACTACACACACCACACACATACACCACACACTGCACATGCTACCCACACACCAAACACACACTACACACTACACACTGCACAAACCACACACACACTACACCCTATATACACTGTACACATACATGCGCCACCCCCACATCACAACACAAACCACACACCCCACACACAACAAACATGCACAACACACGCTACACAAACCACACACCACACACACAACACACCAAACACACACCACACACACATACCACACTACAAAAACCACACATCACACACTGCACATGCTACACACACACACCACACCAAACACACACCACACACTACACAAACCACACACCACACACTGCACATACTACCCACGCACCACACACACACCACACACCACATAAACTACACACACAGTGCACACACTACCCACATGCCACACACTACACACACCACACACTACACACACCACATACATACACCACACACTGCACATGCTACCCACACATCAAACACACACTACACACTGCACAAACCACGCACACACTACACCCTATACACACTACACATACATGCACTACCCACACATCACAACACAAACCACACACTCCACACACAACAAACATGCACAACACACACTACAAAAACCACACACTGCACACACACCACACAGTACCCAAACCACACGCCACACACCACACACTCTACCTACACACTACCCACACACCAAATACACACCACACACCAAACACACACCACACAAACCAGACACCATGCACACACCACACACACAAACCACACACTATACCCACCACACACTGCACACACACACCACATACTACAGAAACCACACAACACACACTGCAGACACTACCTCTAC
This sequence comes from Homo sapiens, assembly GCF_000001405.40. Lineage (NCBI taxonomy): Eukaryota > Metazoa > Chordata > Mammalia > Primates > Hominidae > Homo > Homo sapiens. Next base: position 35,298,519 of record NC_000019.10, read on the forward strand.
ACCAAACACACACCATGCGCTACACACAAATTACATGCTACACAAACCACACACACTACACCCTACACACCCTGCACACATACATGCACTACCCACACACCACACACATACCACACACTACACACAGCACACACACACCACACATGATACAAACCACACACCGCATACACACCACATACTACACTCACACCACACAAACCACACCACACACACACCACACACCACACACACCACGTACTACGCAAACCACATACCACACACGACCCAAACTACACAACACCCCACACACACTGCACACATACATGTACTACCCACACATCACACACACACCACACATGACACAGACCACACACCACATACACCACGCTCTACACCCACACCACACAAACCACACATCACACACACAACACACACTGCACACATACCATACACAAAAACCACACACTACACACATACATCACAAACACACCACATACTACACAAACCACACACATCACACTACACACATGCACCACACACCCACACCACACACACACACACACACATACCTACACACACACACACTCACATGCCCGGCGGAGGGTAAACCAAGCAGGCATGGGAGAGGAGAGCCGCTTGGGAAGTGATGAGGTGTGGGGAGCCCACGCTGACGCCAGAGCCACAGGGTTTGTAGCCAGTGTTACCTGGTGCCAGCTGCAGCCTCAGTTTCTTCATCTGCAAAATGAGCAAAATTACAGTCCTCACCCTCTCGCTTTGCGGGAGGGACTGGCAAGTTAAACGCCGTCAAGTGCTCTGGCCACGACACTGTGATTTTCATTACGATGGCGCTCTGGTGGCTCCGTGGAGGGCTCCGGGGTGACCAAGAGGAGGAAGGGTAAAGGGAATTCTGAATCTGGAGGCAGGGAGCGGAGGCGATACCGTTGAGGAGTACCATTGCCAGCAATGGAGGTGGACAAGGAGGAGGGTGGGTGGGGTGGGACCGGGACCGTAGCCCAGTGCTGCTTTCTCAGCCCTCCCTTTCCCCGCCTCGTATAGACACCCCCAACATCGTGGTGCCCCCAGAGGTGGTGGCAGGCACGGAGGTGGAGGTCAGCTGCATGGTGCCGGACAACTGCCCAGAGCTGCGCCCTGAGCTGAGCTGGCTGGGCCACGAGGGGCTGGGGGAGCCCGCTGTGCTGGGCCGGCTGCGGGAGGACGAGGGCACCTGGGTGCAGGTGTCACTGCTGCACTTCGTGCCCACGAGGGAGGCCAACGGCCACAGGCTGGGCTGCCAGGCCTCCTTCCCCAACACCACCCTGCAGTTCGAGGGCTACGCCAGCATGGACGTCAAGTGTGAGCCTGGGTGCGGGCGGGGCGGGGTGGGGCGGGGTGGGGCGGGGTCCGGGGAGGGGGTGGACCTGGGGATGCGGCCGGAGGCGGGGCCGGGCCGTGATGGGGGCGGGGCCATGCCCAGGGCCAGGCAGGGATTGGGGGGTTGGGTGGGACGGGGGCGGAACCAGGCAGTCCTGGGGCGGGGCCAAGGCTGAGGGCGGGGCCGGACAGTGTTGGGGGCGGGGCCGGGCTGGGAGAGGGCACTGGGCCGGTTCCCCAGCACCTGCTCACTAACCTCGCTGTGTCGCGGGCCTTAGACCCCCCGGTGATTGTGGAGATGAACTCCTCGGTGGAGGCCATCGAGGGCTCCCACGTGAGCCTGCTCTGTGGGGCTGACAGCAACCCCCCGCCGCTGCTGACCTGGATGCGGGACGGGACAGTCCTCCGGGAGGCGGTGGCCGAGAGCCTGCTCCTGGAGCTGGAGGAGGTGACCCCCGCCGAAGACGGCGTCTATGCCTGCCTGGCCGAGAATGCCTATGGCCAGGACAACCGCACCGTGGGGCTCAGTGTCATGTGTGAGTGGCCCACTCTGTGCGTCCACACGCCCACCTGCAGCCGAGAGATAAAGGGAAAGGGGCCTCATCCAGGGCGAGCATGGGCTGGGTCCCGAGGGGACCGGCCATAAACAGTCGAGGCCAAGGTAGACAGGGGGGTTGCAAGTCAAGGTGTACCTTCATTCTTTCCACAAGAATCTGGGGAACACCTGCTCTGCCTCATCCTCCTTCCAGGACAAGACCCAGGCCTGCCTCCTAGGGAAGCCTGTTAACTGCAGCTTCCTGGGGGCAGTTCCTGGTTGTTCTGGGACTTGATGTGGGTCTGGTCCCAGGAATCTGCGTTTTACTTTATAAAATTTTTTTGGAGACAAGGCCTTGCTCTGTTGCCCAGTCTGGAATGCAGTGGCACCATGATAGCACCACTTGCCCTCAAACTCCTGGGCTCAAGCAAGCCTACTACCCCAGCCTCCTGAGCAGCTGGGCCTACAGGTGTGCACCACCACACTCCAGGCTAATTTTCAGATTTTTTTTGTAAAGGTGGGATTTTGCTATGTTGCCCAGGCTGGTATCAAACTCTTGGGCTCAAGCAAGCCTCCCACCTCAGCCTGCTGCGCTGCTGGGCCCACAGGCAGGTGCCACCACACCCAGCCAATTTTTCTATTTTTTTATAGAGACAGAGAATCGATATGTTCCCTGGGCTAGTCTTAAACTTCTGGGCTCAAGTGATCCTCCCGCCTCAGCCTCCCAAAGTGCTGGGATTAGAGGCATGAGCCACCGTGCCTGTCCAGGAATCTGCATTTTTAAATGAATTCCATTGTAGTTCTAATGAGAGGGTTGAGGGGACTTCAGGCCTCATCCAGCCCCTTGTATGCACATTTATATTACTGGGCCAGCAAGAAGGGAGCTGGTCAGAAGAGGATTCTTAGCTGAGAACCAAAGAGATACCATTCATTCATTCACAAATGTGTACTGAGGCAAAGTGCCCAGCACTGGGGATATTAATAATGACAGCCGCAGCCAACATTTACTCCACAGCTCTTGAGTGCTTTTTTTTTTTTTTTTTTTTTGAGACAGAGTCTGGCTCTGTCGCCAGGCTGGAAGGCAATGGAGCAATCTTGGCTCACTGCAACCTCCCACTTCCCTGTTCAAGCAATTCTCCTGCCTCAGCCTCCCGAGTAGCTAGAATTATAGGCGCACACCACCACACCTGGCTAATTTTTGTATTTGTAGTAGAGACAGGGTTTCACCATGTTGGCCAGAATAGTCTCAAATTCCTGACCTCGTGATCTGCCCACCTCGGCCTCCCAAAGTGCTGGGATTACAGGCGTGAGCCACCACACTCAGCCTAATTTTTGTATTTTTAGTAGAGACAGGGTTTCACCATGTTGGTCAGGCTGCTCTCGATCTCCTGACCTCAGGTGACCTGCCTACCTCAGCCTCCCAAAGTGCTGGGATTACAGGTGTGAGCCACCACGCTCGGACTCCTGCATGCTTTTGACATGCAATCTTCCCCCCGGCATTCCCCACGGCTGGCTCTGCCCACCTCCTAGGCTCGCTGAAGCCTTCCCCCATCATCCTATCCCAAACTGTAACTACCCTGATTTTCCATACCCTCAGCCCCTTTATTTTTCTCTACACACTTCTTCCCATCTTACAAATTACATATTTTATTTAATTACATCGGCTGTTTCCACATGGGCCTTGTTCAAGCTAGAGCAATGCCTGTCACTCAGCAGGTTCTCAGTGAATGTTGGATGATCACCCCTATGAGGTTGGAACTATTATGAAGCCCATTTTCCAGATGAGAAAAATGAGGCCCAGAGAGGTTAAGATGTGGGTCCACACACAACTGGACAGGGGTAGAGTAGGGATCTGAAGACAAGCATGCTGGCTACCAAGCTGCTGTTCTTGGAAATGAGATAGCCAGGACTGGGGTCACCTGAGCCTTCCTGAACCGGTGTGCTAGGTTTGGGGTGGGATCTGGGGTCATATCTGGGGATGGTAGTTGGCTGGCAGAAGAAGCACCTCCTGGGTTCTGACCATCAGTCCCGTCCTACCCCGCAGATGCACCCTGGAAGCCAACAGTGAACGGGACAATGGTGGCCGTAGAGGGGGAGACGGTCTCTATCTTGTGCTCCACACAGAGCAACCCGGACCCTATTCTCACCATCTTCAAGGAGAAGCAGATCCTGTCCACGGTCATCTACGAGAGCGAGCTGCAGCTGGAGCTGCCGGCCGTGTCACCCGAGGATGATGGAGAGTACTGGTGTGTGGCTGAGAACCAGTATGGCCAGAGGGCCACCGCCTTCAACCTGTCTGTGGAGTGTGAGTACCTTCCGCTCCCCTATGCTGGGGATGGACGGTTCCGTGGGGGACACCAGGGTTACTGTGGGTGCCCACGCATCCCAATCAGTATTGGCTTTGCCTGTCCTCCGCAGAGACAAGGAAGGGAGGGCAGGGAAGCTGAATTCACAGCAGGAAAATAAAATCCCATCTGAGAATATTGTGTTCCCACATCCGGGAGTGGGCTTTTTTTTTTTTTTTTTTTTTTGAGACAGAGTATTGAGTCTTGCTCTGTCACCTAGGCTGGAGTGCAGTGGCAGGATCTCGGCTCACTGCAATTGCTGCCTCCTGGGTTCAAGCAATTCTCCTGCCCCAGCCTCCTGAGTAGCTGGGATTACAGGCGCTCGCCACCACACCTGGCAAATTTTTGTATTTTTAGTAGAGACGGGGTTTCGCCATGTTGGCCTGGCTTGTCTCAAACCCCTGACTTCAGATGATCTGCCTGCCTCAGTCTCCCAAAGTCCTAGGATTACAGGCGTGAGCCACCACGCGCAGCCTGGGGTGGGCTTTTGACCAGTGAAATTTCTGGATCCTGTGGCCACTGCCCCTCTGCACTAACCGAAACAATGACCATGATCTCTAACCTGTGTAGAGTGTCGCTATGTACCAGGCACTGTTGGAAGCGCTGTACAGCAACCCACTCATTTAATCCTCATGACATCTTCATGAGGGAGGTTCTATTACTGTTTCCCTGTTTACGGAGAAGGAAACTGAGACCCAGAGAGGTTATGCCACTTGCCTAAGTTCCCACAGCCAGGAAATGGCAGAATTTGAGGTTTGAATCCAGGCAGTCTGGTTCCATTCTTCTTCCCTGCCCAAGGCTGACCTCATCCTATGTTATGACAGCAGAATACATTGATGGGGTAATTGCTATACACAAAAGGCTGTGCGGCTCTGTGAGAGGTGGAGGATAGGGCTGAGAAGACACCACGCTTATGAACAGGTACAGAATAGCTGGAGAGATGACACAGATGCACATAAAAAGCTACTGTCTTGGAAATGAAACTCACCATTGCACCGCTGGCCAGCGCCTCTCATCTCCTCACTATGGACTGTGCCACCATCTCCCACCACCCCTACCCCCACAGCCATCACTCCAGGTTGTAGCAGCCAAGTCACAGTTTTGACTCCCCTTCCTTAAGCAATTCCCTCTGGAATATCGCCTTCCTGTTTCCATTTCCCCTGCTTCCTCCCAAGTTCCTGTTGGCTTCTAGCACTCCTCCCCAAATTTCACCTCTCTGGTCTTCACGATGCCCACAATGGCCCCCACCACACAAGTTTGCCAGAAGGTTCGATGACATTCAACATGCAAAGAATTCAAAGCAGTGTCTGCTACACAGTACATGCTCTGTGCTGTGTACATGGCGACAATCAGTACATGGCAGATACAGGTTAGTCCTCGGGGGCAACCTCTCGTGGCAAAGCCGTCCCTCTCCTGCTGACCTATAATCTTCAGGCACTTTCCCTCCTGGTTCTGTTCCCTAGCGGGGCTGATGTGATCCTGGCGCGGGGCTGCGTGGTCCCCTGCTCCCTCCAACTGTGCGTGCTATCCTGGGCCAGCTTCCCCCTCTGGTTGTCCCCTGATCCCTGTTACACCCCACACCAGTGATTCTTCAGTTTAAGAGTCAGAGAGAGGAGCCGATGGGAGTACTTGAACAAGCCTGCAGCACCAACTCACATACATTTTCCGGTGGGGTGCAGATCTCTCCTTTATAGTAAGAGCAGCAGGCAGCAAATGCGCGTTAGGGGCCTGCCCTGGGCCAGACCTTGAATCCTCTACAGCTGTTTTCTGGTTCAGTTCTTATTTTTATTATTATTATTATTTTTTTTTTGAGACTGAGTCTCGCTCTGTCACCCAGGCCAGAGTGCAGTGGCACGATCTTGGCTCACTGCAACCTCTGCCTCCCAGATTCAAGCGATTCTCCTGCCTCAGCCTCCCAACTAGCTGGGATTACAGGCATGCGTCACCATGCCCAGCTAATTTTTTATTTTTAGTAGAGACGGGGTTTCTCCATGTTGCCCAGGCTGTTCTCCAACTCCTAGTCTCAAGTGATCCACCCGCCTCGGCCTCCCAAAGTGCTGGGATTACAGGTGTGAGCCACCATGCCCAGCCTATCTGGCTCATTTTCAATTCTAGGGTCACCCTGTGAAACAGGGGTGTGTTATAATTATCCCCTTTACCAAGGAGAAAACTCAAGGGCGGAATTCCCTGAGGCCAGGCAGCTATAAAAGTGGGTCCGAGCCCGATAATTCCAGACTCCTGTCTGCCCCAGCTGTTAAACCTCTGGCTGCCTCACCTCCCTCACAGCTCTTAGCACTCTAGGACTCAATCCGGCTTCTCTTGAAAACGAACACGCAGGCAGATGTGGAGTGTGCAGGCCTCACCTGCTAGACTTGAGGGGAGCAGTGGCCCTGTCCCCTGCCCCACCTGCCAGCTCCCTACTCTTCACCCAGGCCTGTGTCAAAGTGCTTGCCCTTGGAGAGTGCGACCCTCAGGCCCCCTCCCTCTCCACACAGTCAATGTTCCCTGGCACCAGGTCTCCAATGTTCACTGACAGTGGTGGTGACCCTTGAGCAGGGCCTTCTGTCTTACCTGCCAACCCCAGAGCCCTGAACGGCACGGGGCATGCAGGAAGTGTGCAACCTTACCGAGTGCCTGAGATGTCTAGGGAACTAGCTTGAGTACGTTGTACGCATTGACCTATTTTGTTCTTACAACCATGTGATTGAGGGGAGGGTACCATTCTTCAACCCAGTTTAATACAAGGAAACAGAAGTTTGACTGGCATCCAGTCCCAACAGGGCTGAACAGACCTGGGCTAGAATCCCAGCTCTGTCCCCATCCTCCTGCCTGAGCTCAGGCGAGTGACTTCAGCTTTGCAACCCTTAGCAAGGGTTCATAACAGTATCTTACCACAAAGATGGCTGTGAGAACTAAGAGAATTAGGCTGGGCGTGGTGGCCCACACCTGTAGTCCCAGCACTTTGGGAGGCTGAGACAGTTGGATCACTTGAGGCCAGGAGTTCGAGACCAGCCTGACCAACCTGACAAAACCCCATCTCTACTAAAAATACAAAAATTAGCCAGGCGTGATGGCGCACACCTGCAGTTCCAGCTACTCAGGAGGCTGAGGCAGGAGAATCGCTTGAGCCCGGGGGGTGGAGGTTGCAGTGAGCTGAGATGGAGCCAGTGCACTCCAGCCTGGATGACAGAGCAAGACTGTCCCAGCCCCCCACTCCAGCCTGGATGACAGAGCAAGACTGTCCCACCCCCCCACTCCAGCCTGGATGACAGAGCAAGACTGTCCCATCCCCCCACTCCAGCCTGGATGACAGAGCAAGACTGTCCCACCCCCCTACTCCAGCCTGGATGACAGAGCAAGACTGTCCCATCCCCCCACTCCAGCCTGGATGACAGAGCAAGACTGTCCCACCCCCACACTCCAGCCTGGATGACAGAGCAAGACTGTCCCACCCCCCCACTCCCCCACAAAAAAGAAGAACTAAGAGAACAATACTGAGTGTTCATAGTGCTACATACTCTGTGGATATTGGATGTCATCATCTTTCTCACTGATTTTTCCTTTGGACTCCAGGTTAAATATTTGTTGTGTGTTTTGCTGCTGAGGTTTTGCTCATGTGACCTCTCTGCGGGAATGGTTCTGTCTATCCACCCATGAGTACTTGGGTGGGATGTTACGTATTTTTAATTTTAATTTTTTATTTTTTTGAGACAGGGTCTTGCTCTGTTGCCCAGGCTGGAATGCAGTGGTTTGATCATCGCTCACTGCAGCCTCAACCTCCTGGGCTCAACTGATTCTCACACTTCAGCCTCCTGAGTAGCTGGGACTACAGGCACACATCACCATGCCCAGTTAATGTTTTAATTTTTTGTAGAGATGGGGTCTTGCTCTGTTGCCCAGGCTGGTCTCAAACTCCTGGGCTCAAGTGATCCTCCTGCCTTGGCCTCCCAAAGTGCTGGAATGACAGGTGTGAGCCACTGCACCCGGCTGGGATGTTAAGTGTTTACAACACACTTGCGCGCCTATCTTCGGAGTCCCGTAGCCCCTTGTGAGTTACTGACTGTAACCCCCTGGTTTGCACAGATGAGAACTCCATCCTAGAGGCCCAGGAGCCTGAGTGGCCTCACCCAGCCAGTAGATGGCAGAGCTGGGATTCAAGCCAAATCCATCCCACCACAAACTCCTCATTCTTTGTACCTTTGTCTTACAGGTTTGTCTAGAGTCCCATAACAGTTTCCGCAGCTTCACAGGTTGTCTGAAAAGATACTAAGCACGTGCACCGGCAGGGTGTCGGCGTTCCGCCGACATCCAGGTCGAACACTTTGTCACCAGAGCACCAGTGGGGCTGTCTTGAGTGGAAGTGCTTTGAAAAAGTTTTATGTCTGTCGGTTCAGGTTCGCTGTTATTAATGTACTCCGTGGCGTGTTAGCTGGTTAACGCTATAGCAAGCATATTGCAGCTCTGCCCGAACAGGACTTTTTATTCAGTAGACTTAGAGATGTTTGCACAGAGGTTCCCATTCCTGCCGTGAATCCGTGTGCCCGTGTGACTCCCAGGTCCACCACCGTTACCGGCACATTCTTTTTGCTAGCAATTGAAAATAGGTGGGGTAGGTGAGCCAAGGGTCTCTTGCCTGTGTGTAAGTGGGTTTTGGTGAGAACTCACTGAGAACCAGTGCTCAGTCTAGAGCAAGCCAAGGAGGGTGCTGGACTCTCAGGCCAAGAAAGAGAACACAGTTTAAAAAGCAGCATTCTGTGCTGTAATACAATTGCGTATTTTGGTACAAAAATTAGCCAGGCATGGTGGCACGCACGTGTAGTCCCAGCTACTCAAGAGGCTGAGGCAGGACAATCACTTGAACCTGGGAGGCAGAGGTTGCAGTGAGCAGAGATCGTGCCACTGCACTCCAGCCTGGGCGACAGAGAGACTCCGTCTCAAAAATCATAGTAATAACAATAATAATAATAATAATTTCCTGTTTTGGAAAATGAAAGAAAAAACCTACCAGTACTATTTTTGTAATCCAGTGGCAGCAAAGCAAAGCTCAACCAAGTGACTTTGGGTGGAGGGTGGTGTTTGGTGCTAGTGGCAGGAGGGAATCTCATGGGTGAGGAAGGGCCGGGGTTCAAGGCGGCTTTAGGGGAGGAAGTGGGGGGCATCTGCAGCGCAGACTGAAAGGAAGGAGCACAGCCTGGAAGCCAGAAAGGAGGGGATAGTCTAAGCCTGTGTGAGCCCCAAGGGTCTGGGGAGGCCGGGGGCTGGGAGAGTTCCATGGTTCCTCCCTTCTACGTGTGGGGCCCAGAGTGGAGAAGGAGCAAGCCCCTGTCTTGATGGAAACAGGAGGCCCCTTATGTAAGTGTGTGATGCAGGGAGGGTGAGTGCTGGGGAGGAGAACTGAGTGAGGCAGGGAGTGAATGATACGTGGAGCGAGGTGCAGCTTCCCTGGGTGGTCAGAGAAGGAGACGCCGCATGGGTAGAGGCCAGTTTGGAGCGAGGGAGGGCGTTCCACAGGCAACTGATGGAAGTGTTCCAAGTTGAGGGAGAAACGTACAGACCCTGGAGTGGGAGAAAGCTCCACGATTTTCAGACACAGCAAGGAACCGGTGTGGCTGGAAAGGACTAAGCCAGGGGGAGAGAAGGAGAGAGTGTGTGGTCAGGCAGGGCCTGAGGGGCCTTGTAGATGAAAGACTTTGTATTTTGGGCTGGGCACAGTGGCTTGCGCCTTATAATCCCAGCACTTTGGGAGGCCAAGGCAGGAGGATTGCTTGAGCTCAGGAGTTCAAGACCAGCATGGGGAACATAGCAAGACCCTGTCTCTACAAAAACAAACAAAAACCCTCCAGTAACTATCATGAGTATGACAGATTTACCGTCCTCTGCAATTCTGAACATAAAGCTTTAAAATCAAAAGGCTTTTTGCAAATTTGGCACCACCCTGATTTGACAGCAAAATCTCGCCTAAAGAACACAAGGCTGTTTGTAATCTATACTGATTTCATTTAGGGTGAATATTCGTACTTTTTGCTGTATACATTACATTGAACTATGTGAAATTTTTTCTGCATGTCAAAAATGGTCAAATGTGGCTGGGCGCAGTGGCTTATGCCTGTAATCCCAGCACTTTGGGAGGCTGAGGCGGGAGGATCACTAGAGGCCAAGAGTGCAAATGAGCTATAGTACTGCCACTGCACTTCAGCCTGGGCGACAGGGCCAGACCCTGTCTCTAAACGATAAAAAATAAAGGATTTGTATTTTAGGTGAACCACGGAGCAACAGAAGGAGGGTTTTGAGCAGAGAGTGCCATGATCTGATTTATGTATTACAAGGTGAATGAGGTTAGAGAGAGTGTAAGAGCCAGGGCCCAGGAGAAACGGCCCGTCCCTGTGACATAGTGCTCTGTCCAGGCTGAAGCTGAGGCTAGAGTCGCCTCAAAAGTGGCACCAGAAGAATTGCCCCAAGAGAGCACCCCAAACCACCCCGAAATGAGGCCACTTGGGATTCCAAAGAGAGAGGCACTAAACCACCAGGTGATCATCAGTCCAAAGCATTTGGGAGGGGAACTTGCACAGTGCTACGGCGAGAGAAAGGGAGGGTCTACCCAGACACGTCCGTGAGGGTCAGGGTATGGGTTTACATGAGGGTTTAAGGAATTTGGCCCAGGGCTGGGGCTGGTTTCTTTCATTCTTTCATTTTTGTTGTTGTTGTTGTTTGGGGTTTTTTTGAGACAGCGTCTCATTCTGTAACCTCTCGTACTCCTGACCTCAAGTGATCCACTCACTCTTCGGCCTCGCAAAGTGCTAGGATTACAGCAGTGAGCCACCATGCCCGGCCTCTTTCAGTGTTTTGAGCAACAACCTAAACACCTTTATCAGTGCCTGGGAATGTTCAAGGCCCCAGGCGTGGGTTAGTGAAGCTTGCAGTGAAAACAGGCAGCCGGCGGGGTCGTAGTGAGGTCAAGGCGCTCTCAGTCAGGACAGAGAAAAAAGGAGGGGAAATTGGAGGGCCCTACAGGAAGCTACCGCCCCCATCCTTGGCCACACTGGCCTTGCCTTGAGCCAAGGAGTCTCCGGGGCCGGGCCTCGCGTTGGCTCCGGGCCACCCTCAGACCTGATTTTGCCCCTGCAGTCGCCCCTGTGCTCCTCCTGGAGTCCCACTGCGCGGCAGCCCGAGACACGGTGCAGTGCCTGTGCGTGGTGAAGTCCAACCCGGAGCCGTCCGTGGCCTTTGAGCTGCCATCGCGCAATGTGACCGTGAACGAGAGCGAGCGGGAGTTCGTGTACTCGGAGCGCAGCGGCCTCGTGCTCACCAGCATCCTCACGCTGCGGGGGCAGGCCCAGGCCCCGCCCCGCGTCATCTGCACCGCGAGGAACCTCTATGGCGCCAAGAGCCTGGAGCTGCCCTTCCAGGGAGCCCGTGAGTGGCGTGGACTTGGGGTGGGAGCCACAGGAGGGAGCGGGCACGTCTTAGATCCAAGCTCCCAAGGCTGACCAACAGCCACAGAGCATGGGCTATGCAGATTGACAGAAAGGTCAAATTCTCCCTTTCCGGTTGGAGAGGAGAAGCCGCCCTGAGTTTGCCCCGAGTTTGCTAGGACCTTTGAGGCATGAGCCCCTCCCCAGGGCCCTCTAGCATGAAAGGGATTGCCCTGGCACGAGGAGGCTCCGTGCCAATCAGTCAGTGCAAGGATGCCCCGGCTGTGTGACTACATTGACTGTCATCCCAGCATGTCTCCAAAGTTCTCAGGTGTCGTCACCACCACCCATAGCCCTAAGGGCGCCTGGGTCTTTTCTGTCCTCAGATCGACTGATGTGGGCCAAGATCGGGCCTGTGGGCGCCGTGGTCGCCTTTGCCATCCTGATTGCCATCGTCTGCTACATTACCCAGACACGCAGGAAGTGAGTGCCAGCTGGGGCTGATCTGGGGATGGGAGTCTCCAAAAAGGGGACCTGGTGGGAGATGGAGGCCCAGAGTGGGTGGGGGAAGGCAGCACCATAAGTGTAGAGAAGGCAGATTCTGTTCTGGGAATGTTCAGCTGGACAGAGGAGAGAGGGTTCCTGTTAATTCCAGCCCCTGCTGGTCAGGGGCACACCAGGGCCTGGGCTGAGCCCTTTACACACATCATTTGAGACCTGTTTGCCCACATTCTATTTTGACAGCCTCCCTATCTCTAGGAACTCTCCCCTACACACTCCAGTGTGGTGGGGAAAGCCCAGGTACCCCACTGCAGCCACAGCAGCAGGTCCACTTGACGCCAGAAGCCCCAAAGATTACACACATCTGGGGCAAAAAAAAAATAGGCCTTGGCCGGGCGCGTTGACTCACGCCTGTTATCCCGCACTTTAGGAGGCCAAGGAGGAAGGATTGCTTGAGGCCAGGAATCTGACACCAGCCTGGGCAACATAGCAAGACCACATCTCTAAAAAAAATTTTTTTTTAATTAGCCAGGCATGGTGGCACACACTGTAGTCCCAGCTACTTGGGAGGCTGAGGTGGAACGATTCTTGAGCTCAGGAATTAGAGGCCAGCCTGGGCAACATAGGGAGACCCCATCTACAAAAAAACAAAAAAATTAGCTACTAGTGGCACGTGCCTGTTGTCCCAGCTACTCGGGAGGCTGAGGAGGGAAGATCGCTTGAGCCTGGGAGGTTGAGGCTGTAGTGAGCTATGATTTCACCACTGTACTCCAGCCTAGGTGACAAAGAGAGACCCTGTCTCTAAAAACAAACAAACAGACAGACAGACAGACAGAAAGCCTCTCCAGCCCCAAACCATACCCACCTGGCCCAACTCAGCTGCAGCCGTGTTTCTTTCTTGTGGCACACACACATCAGCTGTCCTGAGAAATAAATTAACCCCTCTGCTCCACATCCTGGTGGCAAGAGGGGCAGAAAGACCCAGAGCCTATGAGGGGAACCTGGAGAATCCAGGTGGGGGTCCTGAAAAACGGCAGAGCTCAGGGGCCAGGTGGCTCGTCCCCAGCCGGGCAGGGGCCACAGAGGTGGGAAGGATGGGCTGTGTGGGTAGGAGAGGCTGGTGGTTCTGAAAGGGCTGCTTGCCACATCTTAGAGATGGGTGGGAGAACTCTGAGGTCCCCTGAGCCAAACTCCTAAAACACGTGGGGGTGCAGAAAGGGAGGGCAGAGAGAGGTCTGACGAGTCCTGCCCTGCAGAAAGAACGTGACAGAGAGCCCCAGCTTCTCGGCAGGGGACAACCCTCCCGTCCTGTTCAGCAGCGACTTCCGCATCTCTGGGGCACCAGAGAAGTACGAGGTAAGGACCAGGCTCCAGGCTGGCCTGGGAACCTGGATGCCAGGGACACTGAAGGCCTGGGAAAGGCCTGTGAGGCCAAGGGGCAGGGGAGTGGGAGCGGCCTCTCACAGGAGGAGAGGAAGGACATTCCAGGGCTGGGTTGGACCTGGAGGCTGGGGAGGAGGTGCCCAGGCCGAAGCTGTGTAGGGGGCGATGGGACGTGGGGCCTAAGGGCCCCCTCCCCTCCCTGCCTGTGTCTGTGACTGCATTTCCTTCTCCAATAGTCCAAAGAGGTTTCTACCCTGGAATCTCACTGAGTGCCCCAGGAGGTAGGTTCCGGGGGCCTCAGTGTGCCCTCCTCTGGGCCCTCCTTGGGCCCTGGGGTTGGCGTGCATGTCCGTGTGTCCCTGTCAGGCGTCAAGGTGGTCTCTGGTGATGTCCGGGCCTGCCCGGCAGTGCTGGCCTTGTCTAGTCTGTCCTGTTGCAGCTCCCTTCTGTCTGTGGCCACCGTCCTGTGTGTCCAAATTCCTGTGGCTAGGGGGTGGAGGGAGGGGTGGGAAGCGTGGGGGGAACCCACATGTCACCTGCAGGACCTCCCAGATTGAGGGCGGACCCATGCAGGACCCATGGGGGGGCACGTACCAAACCAGGTATTTCCAGGAATTTGGAAAGATGGGGTCCTGACTAGGTGGTTTTCACCCAAAAAGGTATTAGGGGTTACATTGTGTGCCCTCAAAACTCCTATGTTGAAAGCTTCCTGGACGGGGGCAGTGGCTCACACCTGTAATCCCACAACTTTGGGAATCTGAGGCGGATGGATCACTTGAGGTCAGGAGTTTGAGACCAGCCTGGCCAACATGGTGAAACCCTGTCTCTACTAAAAATACAAAAAATTAGCCAGGCGTGTTGGCAGGTGCCTGTAATCCCAGCTACTTGGGAGGCTGAGGCAGGAGAATTGCTGGAACCCAGGAAGTGGAGGCTGCAGTGAGCAAAGATCGAGCCATTGCAATCCAGCCTGGGTCTCAAAGAAAAAGAAGAAGAAGAAGCAGCTTCCTGGAGAAACTGAATTTGTAGGCAAATTTCAAGTTCAGCAATGATTAACACTGGCAGAAGCTCCAGAGTGGGACCTGGTGACCGCAGGGCTCGCTGGGCCTGCGGTCCTTGAGAAAGGAGGTTCTCGCAGGGATTTATTTGGGACTGAACTCAGGAGCTCTGAGGGTGCAAACGCTCTGTCCTCTGCATTGGGAAAAGGCAGGGAGCAGGACCCTGCTAATGGGCGGTTTCCCCTCTTAGAGCGAGAGGCGCCTGGGATCTGAGAGGAGGCTGCTGGGCCTTCGGGGTGAGCCCCCAGAGCTGGACCTGAGCTATTCTCACTCGGACCTGGGGAAACGGCCCACCAAGGACAGCTACACGCTGACGGAGGAGCTAGCTGAGTATGCTGAAATCCGGGTCAAGTGAAGGAGCTGGGGGCAGCCTGCGTGGCTGACCCCCCTCAGGACCCTCGCTGGCCCCCACTGGCTGTGGGCTCCCTTCCTCCCAAAAGTATCGGGGGCTGGGGCAGGAGGGGAGTGAGGCAGGTGACAGTGAGGTCCTGGGGGCCTGACCTCCCCCTCCTTCCCAGCTGCCCCTCCCTGCCAGCACCCCCACGCCCTCATTACGGCTCCTCTCTAACCTCCTTTACCCTCATCTGTCTGGAGGGGAGCTCTGTCTGTCCGTGTTATTTATTGCTACTTCCTGCCTGGTCTCCTGCCCCCACACCTGGCCCTGGGGCCTGTACAAAAGGGACATGAAATAAATGCCCCAAAGCCAAATGCCAGTCTAGATCCTGATGCTTTCTGACCCGCCTTTGGGCAGCCTGCCATCCCACCGTCTACAGAACGATGACAGAATTTCTCCTTGCCCTCGGCTGAGCCTGGTATGCAGGCAAGGGCCCAGGGATTTTAGCCTTGAACCCAGGGCCAGTGGCCACTAAGTTGCTCCCACTCTGAGCTGGTAGCTGCGAGCTGGGTCTGGTTTGACTTATGGATGATTTCACATAAAAATCCTCATGCTGGTTTTTGCCGCAGTCAGATCAGCTGACAGCACCAGGCTTGCACTTGTACGTGGACATGACTTGCTGAAAGGGAGGGTCCTGTGCACTGGCCGCAGTCCCCACCACTCCCTATTGTCCCACACCTGGCCGGCTTCCTGCACTGAGATTACCTCCTGGTCCCTGCAGCTTGGAGTGCGAGCCACAGATCTAGGTCTCACCAGCCCGTGTTGGTTTCACCACCATCTCTCACATTCATGCTGCAATTTGCAGCGTCAGCCTTTATACATCACTACATTCAGTTCCAGAAACATTAATTAAGCACCAGCTGTATACTGAGCCCTTTCTAGAGGCTCAGGCTGTCCTGAGAAGGGTCTCCTAGGACAGCTCTGTGACGATGAGAACACTGAGACTTAGAGAAGTTAGGTGATTTTCCCAGGGTCCCAGAGCTCGGAAACGGTGTGTCCAGGCCATGGGGTTGATGCTTCTGATTCAAATGCACTCTTTCTTTTCTTTTCCCTTCCTCCCTCTCTCTCTCTCTCTCTCTTTTTTTTGATGGAGTCTGTCTCTGTCACCCAGGCTGGAGTGCAGTGGTGCAATCTCAGCTCACTGCAACCTCCGCCTCCTGGGTTCAAGTGATTCTCCTGCCTCAGCCTCCCAAGTAGCTGAGATCACAGGCACTCGCCACCACGCCCGGCTAATTTTTGTATCAAATGCACTTTTTCTATAATACCTGTCAGGAAGTTAAAAAGGGCCAGAGTGTCTGGTATAAATGGGATTGATAACTAACAGTTGTTGAACGCTTTCTATGATTCTACCCAGTTTGCATTAATTAATCTCCATTAACCTCATTTACCTTCCCTAATAACTATGACAATGGTTCTCAAAGTGTGGTCCCTAGGCAGCAGCATCAGCAGCACCCAGGAACTTGCTAAAAAGGCAAATTTTCAGCCCCCACCCTAGACTTCAGGAATCAAAAACCCTGAGGTGGGGCCCAGGAATCTGTGTTTTGAGAAGTCCTTGGTGGATTCTGATGCACGTGCACGTTTGAGAACAAGCAGCTGAAGCATGGAGAAGTTACATCAGTTCTGTGGTCCCCAATTGTTAGCAGTGGAGCCCAGATTTGAGCCCCGACCACTGGCTTCGGAGGCCACACTCTGACGCTGTGCTACACGGCCATCTTGGTGAGAACCAACAGCTGCTCACAGAGCCCGGGTGCTGGAGGAGCAGTAAGGTTAAGCTGTGGGCTGCGGGCAGTGAGGGCAGGGTTTCCTAGACGGCAGCTCTCCCTGATTTTTTTTTGTTTTTTGTTTTTTTTGTTTATTTTTTGAGATGGAGTCTCACTCTGTCATCCAGTCTGGAATGCAGTGGCACGATCTTGGCTCACTGCAACCTCTGCTTCCCAGGTTCAAGCACTTCTTCTGCCTCAGCCTCCCAAGTAGCTGGGACTACAGGCGTGTGCCACCACACCCAGCTAATTTTTGTATTTTTAGTAGAGACGGGGTTTCACCATTGTTGGCCAGGCTGGTCTCGAACTCCTGACCTCAGGTGATGCGCCCAACCCACCCTCCCAAAGTGCTGGGATTACAGGCATGAGCCCCTGTGCCTGGTCTCTCCCTGCATTTTGAAGAAGGCAGAGGACACAGCACAGAGACCAAAATAAAGGCCTAGAGGCAGGAATAAACAAACCAGGTCGGGAGGGGAGGTGACATGGGGCTGCTTGGCTGGGATGGGAAGTCCACATGCAGGAGGAAAGGAGACGTGTGGGGGGCCGGGCTGTGGGAAGGGAAACCCTCTGTGGGGCCTGTCCAAGCTGGGAGGGTGCATGCCCTTTCTTCACGGAGCTCACAGTCTTGCAGGGACAAGGACATGAAAGAATCTCATGCACAATATCAAACTGCAACTGTGACACCGGCTTCCAAGGAGAAGCTCAGAGTTTTTACAGCAGGGGTCCCCAGTGCTATACTGCACACCCAGATACTGGTCTGTGGCCTGTTAGGGACTGGGCTGCACAGCAGGAGGCGAGCAGCCAGCGAGCAAGCATGACCACCTGAGTCCTGCCTCCTGTCAGATCAGCAGCGGCTTTAGATTCTCATAGCAGCACGATTCTTATCGTGAACTGTGCACGCAAAGGATCTAGGTTGCACACTCACAGATGGTGCCTGATGAACTGTCACTGTCTCCCATCACCCCCGGATGGGAACGTCTAGTTGCAGGGAAACAAGCTCAGGGCTCCCACTGATTCTACATGATGGTGAGTTGTATACTTACTTCATTATATATCACAATGTAATAATAATAGAAATAAAGTGCACAATAAATGTAATGTGCTTGAATCATCCCCAGCTCCCTCCCCACTCTCAGGCCCATGGAAAAATTGTCTTCCATGAAACCAATCCCTGGTGCCAAAAAGGTTGGGGACCGCTGTGTGACTTAAGGTCACAGGGGGCAGGGGAGGCTTCCCTATGGAAGGAAACTCACACATGTGTGAAGGCCCCAAGTGGGAACATGTTTAGCAAAATTCCAGGAGCTGAAGCAAGGCCAGAGAGGCATCGGATGGGGCTGGGGATACACAGGGGCCTCTCAGCAGCCGGGAGGGAAGCCTCTTCCAGATCCCCTGCATACATGCTCACCAGCCCTGCCCTGACACACCTGTCCCCTGACGACAGACTCTGGCTCCAGCAGGTCTGGCCTGGGAGGACTTCACCCAGAGGAGCAAAACATTGTCAATAACCAGGGATCGGGGAGTAACTCACGCTGCCCAAAGTGCAGCTTGAGGGCCCTGGGAGCCACTGTGACGCTACTGTGTATGCTTCATTTAGTATGCACCGGAACAACAGGAAACCAGAATGCCGCACCAGCTTCGGATGAGGCTAAGTCAAAATAAATAAATAAGAAAGAAATCAATCAACTGAACTGATTTTAAAAATGTATTAAATAAACATGTTGCAGGTGGCTCCTGAAGGTTGTAGGCAAACCTCTAAAGTTTGGGAAACAATGAGGGAATTTGACACAAAGACCATCCTTAGGAGGGACCGGCACTCAGCCATGGCGAACGTGTAGGACCGAGCCAGGTGCGGTGGCTCATGCCTGTAATCCCAGCACTTTGGGAGGCTGAGGCTGGTGGATGGCTTCAGCCCAGGAGTTTGAGACCAGCCTCAGCAACATAGCGAGACCCTGTCTCTACAAAAAATACAAAAATTAGGCAGGTATGGTGGCATGCGCCTGTAGTCCTACCTACTCGGGAGGCTGAGGTGGGAGGGATAGTTTGAGCCCAGGAAATGGAGTTTGCAGTGAGCCGAGATTGAACCATTGCACTCCAGCCTCAGCAACAGAGTGAGACCCTGTCTCAAAAAACGAACAAACAAACCAGTAGGACCTGAACTCAAGTTCACTCTCTCAGACTTTCCCCACCCAGCTCCTGGACCCCACCAGAATTCAACACATGCTCACTGAGCACCTCTGTGTGCCAGGCCTATGCTGGGCCCCAGGGTCACAGCAGTGCCCAAAAAGAATCACTCTGTGACCTCCCAGAGCTGACATTCTGCAGAAGAGACAGACAACGATCAGAAAGACAAGCAAACACATGACCGCACATCTGACAGTGAAGGAACTGCAGAGGGGTGCAAGGTCAGGCTGTGCTGGGTCAGGCTGCCATTTCAGAAAGAGAAGTCATTTGACTTGAGACCAGAAGGAAGTAAGGGAGGGAGCTCTGTGGGTTCCTGGGGAATGTGGGTCCAGGGAAGGCCAAAATCGAGTGCAAAGGCCCCTGGCGAGAATGTACTTGTTACCTTCATGGAACAAGAAGGAAAGAAGCATGCTTGAGTGGAGTGATGGAGCCAGAGTGGTTGCCCAAGGAAGCTCGATTACACAGGGCCTTGTAGGCCACAGGCAGGACTGGGGCTTGTTTGTTTGTTTCTTTGTTTGTTTGTTTTGAGGCAGAGTATCGCTCTGTTGCCCAAGGAAGCTCGATTACACAGGGCCTTGTAGGCCACAGGCAGGACTGGGGCTTGTTTGTTTGTTTCTTTGTTTGTTTGTTTTGAGGCAGAGTCTCACTCTGTTGCCCATGCTGGAGTGCAGTGGCACAATCTCAGCTCACTGCAGCCTCTGCCTCCCGGGTTCAAGCAATTTTCCTGCCTCAGCCTCCTGAGTAGCTGGGATTACAAGCATGTACCACCACGCCTGTCTAATTTTTATATTTTTAGTAGAGACGGGGTTTCACCATGTTGACCAGGTTGCTCTTAAACTTCTGACCTCAGGTGATCCACCCGCCTCAGCCTCCCAAAGTGCTGGGAATACAGGCGTGAGCCATCCCGCCCAGCAATGGAATTTAATCCTAGGTTTTTTTTTTTTTTTTTTTTTTGAGATGGAGTCTCGCTCTGTCACCAAGGCTAGAGTGCAGTGGCATGATCTCGGCTCATTACAACCTCCGCCTCCCGAGTTCAGGTGATTCTCCTGCCTCAGCCTCCCAAGTAGCTGGGATTACAGGCACGCACCACCATGCCCAACTAATTTTTAATAGACACGGAGTTTCACCATGTTGGCCGGGCTGGTCTCGAACTGCTGACCTCAAGTTATCTGCCTGCCTCTGCCTGCCAAAGTGCTGGGATTACAAGTGTGAACCACTGTGCCCAGCCAGGACTTGGGCTTTCAAAGAGCGCGTTGAGAAGCCGCTGGAGAAGTGAGTTCGGAGGGGTGTGATGGCAGGCTTGAGGCTTCAGAGGCCCACTGGCAGCTGCGTGGACAGTGAGCACAGGCTATCAGTGGAGGCAGGGACAGGGCTTGGGAGGCCCTGGCCATTGTCCAAGAGAGAGGAAGTGGAGATGGGGAGAGGGGTGGGGTCAGGACCCATTTTGGAGGAGGAAGTGGTGAGACTCACTTGAAGAGTCAAAGGTGACTCCAGCAGCTTCCTTAAGAGGTTGAAGAAAGCAGGAGGGGCAGGTTCAGTGGAGAACGCAAGAGTGATCTACTCCGGCCGAGTTCAGGCCCAGGGAGGCCCTCAGGGACAGGGAAGGCAGATGGCACCCCCTCCCTGGGAAATGCCAAGCCGAGGAAGAGTCAGAACACATGACACAGTGACTCAGAGAGATGGGGGCAGACGCTGAGATGAGGGTTGGCCAGGCAGGAAGGAAGGTGAGAAGGTCTCATGGCCTCACGTGCCAGTAGGGCTGGGCCACCACGTGTGGGAGGGAGGACACCCAGGCACCAGGCCATGGTCATGACACGGGTCTCTTTGTCCCTCCCGGTCTGCCAACCTCCTGAGTCACTCCTGACGGAGATGACTGATCCATCCCTGGCCCGCCTCCCACCCTGTCCCTGGGACAGTGCCTGGGGCAGGCAGCTCCATTATCCTCCTTGATGAAAGAGCTCCCAGCCAGCACTGGCCACTCCAGAGCCTCCTCCCCAGGTGGGTGATCATGCAGGGCTGGGCTCTTGCGACTGGCCGGGGGTAGAGATGCACCGCACTGCTGAGAAGTGCTTTCTAGGAGTTCAAGACCAGCCTGGGCAACACAGCAGACATTGTATGTAGAAAAAAAAATGTTTAAAAATAAGCTGGGCACAGTAGTGCATGCCTGTCATCCCAGCTACTCAAGAGGCTGAAGCAGGAGGACCACTTGAGCCCAGGAGTTTGAATCTGCAGTGAGCTATGAGTGCACCACTGCATGCCAGCCTGGGCAACAGAGTAAGACTCAGTCACTAAAAAAGAAAAAAAAAAAG
Organism: Homo sapiens; assembly: GCF_000001405.40. Lineage (NCBI taxonomy): Eukaryota > Metazoa > Chordata > Mammalia > Primates > Hominidae > Homo > Homo sapiens. The sequence goes on from NC_000019.10 coordinate 35,319,744, forward strand.
ATCGAATGTGGTGCTCATGCCTGTAATCCCAGCACTTTGGGAGGCCAAGGCGGGCAGATCATCTAAGGTCAGGAGTTTAAGACCAGCCTGGCCAGCATGGCAAAACCCCATCTCTACTAAAAATACAAAAATTAGCCAGGCGTGGTGGTACGCGCCTGTAGTCCCAGCTACTCAGAAGGCTAAGGCAGGAGAATTGCTTGAACCTGGGAGGCGGAGGCTGCAGTGAGCTGAGATCGCACCATTGCACTCCAGCCTGGACAACAGAGTGAGACTTGGTCTCAGAAAAAAAAAAAAAAAAAAAAAAAAGAAAGAAAAGAAAAAGGGGGAGAAAAAAAGGAGAAGTAGGCGAGCCTCTTTCTTTCCCCACTCTTCTCGCTCTCAACTCCAGGCTGCTCCTTAAACAGGAGGTGACAACCTCAACCTCGCAAATTAAAAAAAAAAATCTTTTAATTTTGAAATAATTATCACAGGAAGTTGCAAAGATAGAACAGAGAAGTCTGGCAGCAGCTGAGCCAAAGGCCCCTTCCCACCCTAGAGCTCGATCTGCCTGGGGAGCGGGAAGGAAATGACAGTTTAGTCCCAAAGGGCCTCTCTGTGAAGCTCAGGCTAGGGCTGAGTAGCCAGAGGTGGGTGAATTAATGTCTGCAGGGAGTGCTGGGTCAGCAGCGTAAGTGACAATGTCTGGAATAATGACAGCTCACTTTTACAGAGAGCCCGTTCCATAGCAGCCACCATGCAAAGTGCTGTAGGGGCTGGGGACCTGTCACAGCATAGCCCTGAAGTCATAACAGCAATCTTATTATCACCCTGGGAGGGAAACTGAGGTGATGTCACAACAAACACGTGGCAGACCTGGGACTGGAACCCGGGTCTTTTTACCACATGCTTGTCATGGGATGTGCGAGTTGCTGAGTGTGTCCTGTGTGTGCTGTCACCAGCCCGGTGAGGAAGGCACTATCATTGTTCCCGTCTTACCATCCTGGGCAGAGGTTGGGGGGTGAGGGGGACATAGCCAGGCAGGGAGTAGCCACCCAGGGCTCACAGGGACTCTGTTAGTTGCCTGCTTTCACTGCTTCCCTGGTAAAGGGGTGACAGTCAAGTCACCAAAAAAGGAGACCAACGACCTGTTTGAAGGAACAGGGAGGAAGAGTGAAAGCGCCGAGGCTGCGTTCTCAGGAGTCCTGCTCCTCCTCCCTTGCCTTCTCCACGCAGCCCTTGGCCTCCAGAAATCAAGACACGTCCACAAGCCCAATCTCCTCCTGTTAGAAGACTATGAGCCACACCTGGTGCTGTGGCCTGCAGAAACCTCAGCTACTCCTTCTAGGTGAGGAGCAGGAATTCAAGCCCCAAAGGGTACCCTCCCTGAGACCTTTGGGACCTGGCCACCTGGCTTGGAGTCCCCCATTGAGATTCCTGGGATTAAAAAAATAAAAATATACGGCCAGGTGCGGTGACTGGCTCCTGTAATCCCAGCATCTTGGAAGGCTGAGGAAGTGGATTGCTTGAGGACAGGAGTTGGAGACCAGAATGGGAAATGTGAGACCCCGACTCAATAAAAAATAAAAAATAAATTAACGGGGTATGGTGGCTGGTACCTGTAGTTCTAGTTACTCAGGTGGCTGAGGATTACTTGAGCCCACCTCAAGTTCAAGGCTGCAGTGAGCTATGATCACACCACTTCACTCCTTCCTGGGTGACAGAGCGAGACTGTCTTAAATTTTTTTTTTTTTAATAAGTATAGATTCACAGAAGTTGCAAAGATAGAATAGAGAAGTCTGGTGTACTCTTCACCCAGCATCCCCTGATGGTTACTTCTTAAGTCATTCAGGACAATATCAAAACCAGGAATTTGACATTGGTATAATGTGTGTGTACAGTTCTATGTCATTTTATCACATCTGGATGTATATAACAACAACTGCAGTCCAGATACAGAATTATTCTGTTACTACAAAGACCTCCCTTGTGCTACTCCCTTCATAGTCAGACACTTTCCCCTACCATCCCTAACCCCTGGCAACTTTTCATCTTCTCCACCTCTATCATTTTGTCATTTCAAGAATGTTATGCCTGGGCGTGGTGGCTCACACCTGTCATCCCAGCACTTTGGGAGGCTAAGGCAGGTGGATCACTTGAGGTCAGGAATTTGAGACCAGCCTGACCAACATGGTGAAACCCCATCTCTACTAAAATACAAAAATTAGCCAGGCATGGTGTTAGGCACCTTAATCCCAGCTACTCGGGAGGCTTAGGTAGAAGAATCACTTAAATCCTAGAGGCAGAGGTTGCAGTGAGCCGAGATCGAGCCACTGCACTCCAACCTGGGGGACAAGGGCAAAACTCCGTCTCAAAAAACAAACAAACAAAAAGAATGTTGTAACACATGTGATCCTTGGAGACTGGCTTTTTTCACTCTCTGTACCACTCTTCAGAATCGTCCAAGTTGTTGCCTGTATCCTCTTCATATCTCACTCCTTTTTATTGCTGCATAGTACTCCATGGCATGGATGTACCGTAATCTGTTAAGCCACTCACCTAGTGAAGGACGTATTGGTTGTTTCCAGTTTTTGGTTTTGCTTTTTTTTTTCTTGAGATGGAATCTTGCTCTTGTTGCCCAGGCTGGAGTGCAATGGCGTGATCTCGGCTTACCGCAACCTCTGCCTCCCAGGTTCAAGCAATTCTCCTGCCTCAGCCTCCCGAGTAGCTTGTGTTAGAAATGCTTGATTTTTGGTGCTGTAAAGAAATAGCACTTTAATGTAAATTTAATTTCTTCAGCAAGGCTAGTTTTACTTTCTGCAGAAAGGGTATACTCGCTAGCAGTTTTGCTACAAAAGTACACTGAACAAAGGAGACAGGGTCATTTATAACTTGATGCATCTACTTTATTGCTGTGTCTGGTTTCTATTGGCTGAAACGGGACCTCACATTCTGTATTTGTCTGGATTGGCTAGCAACTTAGAACTTTTTAAAAGAGGCAAAGGCAGAGGAGAACAAAGGAAGGAGAAAGTAACGTGGAATACTGAGAAAAGTAAAAACATTTCTAAATAAGGAAGAGGAACAGGCTTTGACTTAATGCTTTCTTGGACTAGTATAAGCATGCTAGGGCAAATCTTTAGGCTAAATTGTAGGATCTAAGAACATAAAGTACATTGATTTTTTTATTATGGCTAGTAGATATTTAAGAATGTTAGCACAGGTCTTTGAATAAATTTTGCTTCTAAGAGAAGTTACTATTTATTCTTAATTAGATGGGGAGGACAGTCTCTTTGAAAAGGAACTTCTACTTTACTATTTACACTGGGATTACCAGCATGTACCGCCACGACCAGCTCATTTTGTATTTTTAATAGAGACAGGATTTCACAATGTTGGCCAGGCTGGTCTCGAACTCCTGACCTCAGGTGATTGCCCTCCTTGGCCTCGCAAAATGCTGAGATTACTCCTGACCTCAGGTGATCGCCCACCTCGGCCTCCCAAAGTGCTGGGATTACAGGCGTGAGCCACCGTGCCTGGCCTGTTTCCAGTTTTTGGCTATTACAAACAAAGCTGCTGTGAATAATTGTGTGCAGGTTTTTATGTGGACATACGTTTTCATTTCTTAGGGATAAAATGCCCAGGAGTGCAATTGCTGGGTCATCTGGTAGGTATATTTTGTTTAGTTTTTCAGGAAACCGGCAAACTGTTTTCCAGAGTAGCTGGACCACTTTGCATCCCCACCAGTCGTGTGTGAATGTTTCAAGTTCACAGCATCCTCACCAGTGTTTGGTGTTGTCATTATTGGTTATTTAATTTTAGCTGTTCTAAAGCGGTATCTTGTCATGGGTTTCAATTTGCATTTCACTAATGGCTGGTGATGTGAGACATCTTTTCATGTGCTTATTTGCCTTCTATATACCTTCTTCAGGGAAAGGTGTCATCATGTCTTTTGCCTATTTTCTAACTGGACTGTTTTTTATTTATTTATTTATTTATTTATTTATTTATTTATTTATTTAGAGACAGAGTCTCACTCTGTCGCCCAGGCTGGAGTGCAGTGGTGGGATCTCAGCTCACTGCAACCTCCGCCTCCTGGGCTCAGGTGACTCTCCTGCCTCAGCTTCCTGAGCAGCTGGGATTATAGGCGCACACCACCATGCCTGCTAATTTTTGTATTTTTAGTAGAGATGGGGTTTTGCCATGTTGGCCAGGCTGGTCTTGAACTCCTGACCTCAGGTGATCCACTTTGCTTCCCAAAGTGCTGGGATTACAGGTGTGAGCCATCGTGCCCAGCCTGATTTTTATTTTATATATATATATATGTACACACACACACACAATATACATACACACACATATATGCACACATATGTGTGTTAAAGCTGTATGTAAAGCTGTTATATATTACATATATACTACATATATAACAGCTTTGCTGAGATATAATTCACATACCATAAAACACACCCATGTAAAATGTCCAATTGAATGGTTTTGGGTCTATTCACTGAATTATGCAACCATCACCACAACCAGTTTTAGAACATTTCATCACCCCAAAATAATCTCACATCCATTAGCAGTCACTCTTCATTTCCTCTTACCTTTCCCACCCCACCCCAGCCCTACGCAACCGCTACATCTACTTCTGTCTCTACAGATTTGCCTTTTCTGAATATTTCACGTGAATGGAATCATACAATATGTGACATTTTGTGATTGGCTTCTTTCACTTAATGTTTTCAAAGTTCATCCATATCCAGGCGCCGTGGCTCACGCCTGTAATCCCAGCACTTTGGGAGGCCAAGGCGGGTGGATCACCTGAGGTCAGGAGTTCAGGACCAGTCTGGCCAACATGGTAAAACCCCGTCTCTACTAACAATATGAATAATTAGCTGGGCGTGGTGGCGGATGCCTGTAATCCCAGTCACTCAGAAGGTTGAGGCAGGAGAATCGCTTGAACCTGGGAGGCAGAGGTTGCAGTGAGCCGAGATGGCACCACTGCACTCCAGCCTGGGCAACAAGTGAAACTCGGTCTCGAAAAAAAGTTCATCCATGTTGTAGTATCTATCAGTACTTCATTCCTTTTTATTATCAAATAATATTTTATTGTTTAGGTCTCCCATATTTTCTTTATTCATTCATCTCTTCATGGACATGTGGGTTGTTTCTGCTTTTTGGCTTTCATGAATAATGCTGCTGTAAACATTTGTGTTCAAGTTTCTGGGTGAACATGTTCTTATTTCTCTTGGTTATATATGTAAGAGTGGAGATGCAGGAGTGTATGGTAATTCTATGCTTAATCTTTGGAGGAACTGTTTTGAGACTTTTTTCCAGAGTGGCTGGACAATTTTATATTCACACTAGCAATATATAAATGATTTAGTTTCCATACATCTTTCCAGTATTTGATACTATCTTTTATTTTAGCTGTTCTTATAGATGTTAGTAGTGATATCTCATCATGGTCTTAACCTGTCTAAAGGCTAGTGATGTTGAATATCTTTTTAGATAATTATTTTCTATCCATATATCCCCTTGGGTGAAATTTCTCTTTATATCTTTTGCCAGTCTTCTAATTGGATGATTTGATTTTTTTATGTAGTGTTTCTATGTTGAATTTGAGAGTTCTTTATATATTTGTTCTAGATAGGAGTCCTTTGTCAGATATGTGGTTTGCAAATATTTTCTCTTAGTCTGTAATTTGTCTTTTCATTCTCTTAACTAGGTCTTTTACAGAGCAAAAAAAAATTAATTTTGATGAAGTTGGATTGATTTTTTTAGGGATCATGCCTTTGGTGTCATGTCTAAGAACACTTCATCAAGCTCTAAGTCTCACAGATTTTCTCCTATGTTATCTTCCAGAGGTTTTTTGTTTTTATTTTATTTTACTTTTTAATTAAGACAGAGTTTCGCTCTGTTGCCCAGGCTGGAGTGCAGTGGCAGGATCTCAGCTCACTGCAACCTCCGCCTCCCAGGTTCAAGTGATCCTCCTGCCTTGGCCTCCTGAGTAGCTGGGACTACAGGCACGCACCACCCAACTGGCTAATTTTTTGCATTTTTATGTGGTTGCTTTCGAGAATTTTCTCTGCCTCTTGTTTTTAGAAGTTTGACTATGATGTGTCTTGGCATGAATTTCTTTGGGTTTATCCTGTTTGTGATGCGCTCAGCTTCTTGAATCTGTAGACATATGTTGTGCGTGTGTGTTGTCAAATGAAGATAATTTGCAGCCATTACTTCTTGGAATATTTTTTTAAGGCCCACCCTCCTTTTCCTCCCCTTCTGGGACTTCAATGACAAAATGTTAGATCTTCTTTTATTATAGTTACTCATGTCCTTGAGGCTTTGTTCCATTTTCTTTCATCTATTTTCTTTCCATTGTTCAGAATGGGTAATTTCTATTGTTATACGTTTTGTTTCACTGCTTCTTTCTTCTATACTCTCCATTCTGCTATTGAGCCCATCCATTATGGTTTTTATTTCAGCTCTTGTATTTTTTAGTTGTATTTTTTAGTTCTAAAGTTTCCATTTGGTTCTTCTTTATATTTTCTATTTCTTTGCTGATACTTTTTATTATTTTATTTGTTTCAAGCACATTTATAATTTCTCAGTGAAACACTTTTATGATGGCTGCTCCAAAATCTTTGTCAGATAATTCTAACATCTGTGTCGTCTTGATGTTTGTGTCTGTTAATTATCTTTTGTTATTCAGTTTGAGAATGCCTGATTCCTAGTATGACAAGTGATTTGCCATTGAAGTCAGGATATTCTGGGCACTGTGTTATAAGATTCTGGATCTTCTTTAAATATTTTGTTTTAGTGGGCTTCCCTTTATACTGCTCCAGCGAAATAAAGTAGGGCACTGCCTGATTGCTTCCAGACAGGGATAAAAGTCCAGGTTCTCCATCCAGCCTTTCCTGAACCTGGGGGGTTGGGAGAGATGAGGCCTCCATGTTATTGTTTGGTAAGGGTAGAAGTTCAGGTTCCCCACTAGGAATCCATGACAACTCCCTGGCTGGGAGTGGGAGGGATGCTTCATTACTGCTCCCTATGTGGCTTTCACTGACACTGTGTGTGGCAGAGAGAGGGGGGTGCTTGTTACCACTGAGTGGTGGCGAAAGTCCCAACTCTCCACCAGGCCCCCTTTGACACTACTCCAATGGGGCCGGGTGGAATGCCTCATTTCTGCATTGGGGTGGCAGTGGATGTCCAGGCTGCCCACATGGTTTCCACCAACACCACATCGGGGGAGGGTGATCCCAGTGGGGAGGAATGTCCCAGCTCCAACTCTAGCATCACTCTGGCTGAGTATGGGAGTGGCCTAGGGTTCTTTGTTACAGCCTGGTGAAGGTGAATGTCTAGGTTTTCCATCCGGCCTTTGCTGACAAGGGTGATGATGGAACTTGGATGGAGCGGAGCAGGTATGGACTAAAAGAGCTCTGTCTTTCTAGGATGCCCCTTTCCTCGTTCTTTGGCTAGAAAAGCATAGTTTTGCTAGAACTTGTTCTGTTGGGACTTTTTCTTGTTTGTGCCCCTTGGCATTTTCAGTTGTTGGCTTCTCCAGTATTCAGCCTGAGATATATGAGGCAAAGAGAAATCCCAGGGAATTCACCACCATTCCTTAAGTCCCGAGGTTCCTAACCAGTCTGCTTCTCTCCATCTTTCAGTCTTCTTATGCTTGTCTTGTCACGTTCAAGGTTTTCAGTTATACTTGGCAGAATAAATAAATACATCTACTCCATCTTTCCAGAACATCACTGCTTTTTGTTCATTTTATTTATTTATTATTTACTGAGACAAGGTCTTACTTTGTTGCCTGGGCTGGAGTGCAGTGGTGCTATCATGGCTGACTGAAGCCTTGAACTCCCAGGCTCAAGCGATCCTCCTGCCTCAGCCTCCCAAGTAGTTTGGACCACAGGCATGGGCCACCATGCCCAGCTACTTTTCATTTTTTGCTTTTGTTGACTAGCCCCACAGAGTTTTGCTGTGTTGTTCAGGTTGGTCTCAAACTTCTGGCCTTAAGCAATCCTCTTGCCTTGCTCTCCCAAAGCGTATTACAGGCATAAGTCACCACACCCAGCCCTATCGGTGCTTTTGGAAGAAGGTGTTCTTCCCTCTCTCTGTTTCCCTCCCTATGGCCAGCTGCCCATAGAGGGCAGTGGTGCTGGAGTGAAGACCTCTCAGCGCATCCCTCTTCATCTGTAGGATGTGCATGGCTTCCAATGCTGTCTGTTCTGCTCCTGAGACACTCGCTGGCTACAGGATTATAAAGGTGATGAGGTTTCAGCCTAAAGACTCTCCATTCAATAACACTTCCTACAAGATATCTTTTTTGTTTTTTTGAGACAGGATCTGGCTCTGTCACCCAGGCTGGAGTGCCACAGCGCGATCTGCTCACTGCAACCTCAGCCTCTCGGGCTTAAGTGATTCTCCTGCCTTAGCCTCCTGAGTAGCTGGGACCACAGGCGCCCGCCACCACACCCAGCTAATTTTTGGATTTTTTTTTTTTTTTTTTTTAGTAGAGATGGGGTTTTACCATGTTGCCCAAGCTGGTCTTGAACTCCTGAGCTCAGGCAATCCACCCGCCTTGGCCACCCAAAGCGCTAGGATTACAGGCATGAGCCACCATGCCCAGTCCTACAAGATATCTTTTCTTTTTCTTTCTTTCTTTCTTTCTTTCTTTTTTTTTTTTTGAGACAGAGTCTCACTCTGTCACCCAGGCTGGACTGCAGTGGTGTGATCTCTTCTCACTGCAGCCTCCGCCTCCTGGGCTCAAGTGATTCTCCTGCCTCAGCCCCCTGAGTAGCTGGGACTACAGGCGCCTGCCAAAACACTTAGCTAATTTTTTGTATTTTTAGTAGAGACGGAATTTCACCATGTTCGCCAGGCTGGTCTCGAATTCCTGACCTCAAGTGATCCACCCGCCTCAGCCTCCCAAAGTGTTGGGATTCCAGGCATGAGCCACCGCACCCGGCCGAGATATCTTTTTCCTCCTCAATATCTATGTGCTCCTCCCTCAACCCTTGGGGGCTTCAGTGTAGGTGGTCAGATTCCCCACCATTTATGCCTATGATGAAAAGAGTGGAAATGGTAATAACTGGATGGTGTCACTAAACTACAAATACTTTCAGGTAGGCCTGTGCCTTTTTCAGCGGGCTGCAGTTCTCCTGCTTGGCTTGAGTCATTCGCATTTCCTGAGAGCTGGGTAGAGGGGGAGTTGTGGAGGAGCCCATTCTGAAACTGATCTGATATTGCAAACCCATACACGGAAAGGAAGAACTGCCCATACGTATTCGAGTCTTCCAATCTGACTCCGAGCCCGCATCCCCCTCAATCGTCTCTTTTCCCCACTCCCCAGATCACGGTGCTGCTTGGTCCCCCTCAGAGCCATAGAGAAGCAGGGGGTGTGGCCATGGAGGGGAAACCTCTGTCACCAGAGACTTTACTGTACTTCTCCTTTTGCTCTCAGATGCTGCCAGGGTCCCTGAAGAGGGAAGACACGCGGAAACAGGTAAAAATCATTTTGCTTTTATTTTGCATTCAACAAGCAAGTTATTACGGAACAGCAGTTATGGGCCAGGCATACCTCCCAGAGCTGGGAACACAGTGGGGACCTCCCTGGCTCTCTCTTACCGGTGTTACAACAGGTTGTAGACAGACCCCTGTCTTGAGCATCCTCCTTGCCAGGCCTGCTGAGTCTTCTGAGAGTAGGGTAGGTTATTGGATGCCCAGGAGGGAAGAAGGAGCCAGGGAGGTCAGCCCCAAGGTTCTGCAAGGCCCTCAACAGGCCTGGACTGAGGAGGTCTGGACAGCATGGCCCTGTCCTGAGCCTCTGTGCATAATAACTGCTGTCCCTAACCTCCACCCCACCCTCAGCCTTCCAATTCCCGGGCCTGGGGCCCTACTCCTGTGCTCCAGAGACTCCTGGAGCTCCTTGAGGCAGCACACAGTCCTGCTCTGGAGGCGCCCATCTCCCACTCATGCTGGGATGCTCCAGCCCGTCCCAGAGCAGGTTGTGGCTGGAGGGTGCTGGCAGAGGAGGGACAATGGCCCGGCTCCTGGAGGCAAGTGTTGGCTGCAGGGAACGGAGTCTAGTCCTTGCCACAGCCCTTGTTACCCCTTAGGTAACCTTAAGGGGATTTCAAAGAACTCTGGCTCTGCAACCCTGCTAAGTTTTTTATGGAACATGTAAAATAGATCCCATGGCCAAAGAAGTATGGACAATGTATTATACTATACTCTAATCCCCATGTCTAGAGATTAATGGTGTAGATAGAGTTTACTGAAAGGTTTTTAAAGTCCTGCAGTAAAGAATCTTACTTAAGCCAGGTGCGGTGGCTCACGCCTGTCATCTCAGCACTTTGGGAGGCCAAGTTGGGGGGATCACCTGAGGTCAGGAGTTTGAAACCAGCCTGGCCAACATGGTGAAACCCCATCTCTACTAAAACAAACAAACAAACAAACAAATCAGACGGGTGTGGTGGCACATGCCTATAGTCCCAGCTACTCAGGAGGCTGAGGCAGGAGAATCACTTGAACCCTGGAGGCAGAGGATGCAGTGAACTGAGATCACACCACTGCACTTCAGCCTGGGCGACAGAAGAATGAGACTCTGTCTCAAAAGAAAAAAAAAGAATCTTACTTAACTCTTTTACCCTGCCTTTCTCAAGTGTATGTGACCTTGAAGATGTTTTTTGCATGTGACATGATGAGTACCTGCGGGGCTGATGTCAGCTCTGCCTGGGGAATCTGCCTCAGCTTCAGACCCTGCACCCCAAATTCATGCTTAGCCCAGGCCAGACCCCCTTCCTGCTGTCGGCAAGCAGCTTAGCTTTCCGCACACCCATGAACAGATACCCAGCAGCCTTTGGCATGAGCCATGTGGCCCGAGGAGATAAACAGACAGAGAGAGGAACATTGATGCGTGTGAAATGTTGGCAGGTGAGTGGGAGGGGCTTGGGTTGGTGCTGAGACCGGAGACACACTCTGCTGTCACATCCTTCAGGGTCCCCGGGGGCCAGCACGGAGGGCCATGATCATGTAAATTGGGACTTAAATTTAACTCTATGTAAATATAACTCTATGCAGAGGTCAGGGATGGTAGAGGACAAGCTCACTGCAGAGAAAGAAAGAAAGATGGGCAACAGTTGCAGAACCTAACCCACAGATAGGTTTTGTTTGACCAGCTCTGTACATTTTTAGTTTATTTTTTATCTTTTTGAGACAGGGTCTTGCCCTGTCGCCCAGGCTGGAGTGCAGTTGCATGATCTCGGCTCATTCCAACTTCTACTTCCCGGGTTCAAGCAATTCTCCTGCCTCAGCCTCATGAGTATCTGGGATTACAGGTGTACGCCACCACGCCTGGCTAATTTTTTGCATTTTGAGTAAAGATGGGGTTTTGCCATGTTGGCCAGGCTGGTCTTGAACTCCTGACCTCAAGTGATCTGCCTGCCTTGGCATCCCAAAGTATTGGGATTACAGGTGTGAGCCACTGCGCCTGGCTCACCCATACTTTGTTACTGGTTTTAGAATTCCTTTTTACCTGGTCTTTCAAACCAAGTTTTGACCATGTCTGTCCCTGAGTATAATCCTTGATGAGTAGCACCAGAGAGAGCTCCACGTTACCCGGGGCCTGGCATTCAAAGCACTCAGTGGTCTGGTGCCACTCAAAGCCTGTGAGCCAGGCAGGAAGTTTATAAAATTAGAGATGGATGAATGGATGGATGGGAAAAAGCAAGCAAGGGAGGAAGGAAGGAAGAAAGGAAGGAGTTCTGGGAAGAGAGAGAGGCTGCCCCCGCAGGGCTCTCAGTTTGAAGGAGAGGTGCAGCACACTCAGAAAAAACTCCCGGCCAGGAGTGGTGGCTCACACCTGTAGTGCCAGCACTTTGGGAGGCCAAGGCTGGCAGATCACCTGAGATCAGGAGTTCAAGACCAGCCAGGCCAACATGGTGAAACCCCATCTCTACTGAAAATACAAAAATCAGCCAGGCGTGGTGGCACCTGCCTTTACCCAGCTACTTGGGGGGCTGAGGCCAGAGAAACGCTTGAGCCTGGGAAGCAGAGGTTGCAGTGAGCGGAGATCACACCACTGCACTCTAGCCTGGGAGACAGAGCAAGACTCTGTCTCAAAAAAAAAGAAAGAACTCCGTGAGCATCCCAAATGCCACATCCCCATAATGCAACCAGACCCGGTCCTCCCGGATCCAGGGGAAGGGTCGGAGCTCAGTGGGTGAGCAAGAAAAGCCACGTGGAAGAAGTAAGCGGCCAGATGGCTCAAAGACAAACTCTCCCCTGCTCAGGCTTGCACCCAGACACGACACCATGCATCTCCTCGGCCCCTGGCTCCTGCTCCTGGGTAAGGACTGTGGCCTGGGCTAGTACTGGGGTTCTGGGATGTCAGTGGGCACTGGAGGAGGAGGAAAGACCCAGGCAGAGAGGCGTCAACATAGGGTAGGGTGGGGGCAGCGGTGTGTATAGATAAATGTACATACAAATATATATGTTTCCCATATATACATACACTTCTCTCATTGCATCCTGCTGTCTTTGTGTATCTCTGTATTTCTCCCACTATCTTCAGAGGGAATTCTTTAGTCTTTAGAAAGCTCTCTGCTGGGTGCAGTGGCTCATGCCTGAAATCTCAGCACTTTGTGAGGCTGAGGTGGGAGGATCACTTGAGGTCAGGAGTTCAAGGCCAGCTTGGACAACATAGCAAGACCCCTATCTCTAAAAAGAATAAAAAATTAAACAAATTTTAAAATAAAAAATAACTTTTAAAAGAAGGCTCTCATGCCCCCTTAGTAATGCTTTCTGATCACTGTGGTGAGTTCTAGAATACTTGGCTTTCTCTGACTCAAGTAAATGGGTTTTTGAGCACCCTGAAACCCTCTACGCCTGGGAGGGGGCCTGCGTCTGGATCCCCTGCACCTACAGAGCCCTAGATGGTGACCTGGAAAGCTTCATCCTGTTCCACAATCCTGAGTATAACAAGAACACCTCGAAGTTTGATGGGACAAGACTCTATGAAAGCACAAAGGATGGGAAGGTTCCTTCTGAGCAGAAAAGGGTGCAATTCCTGGGAGACAAGAATAAGAACTGCACACTGAGTATCCACCCGGTGCACCTCAATGACAGTGGTCAGCTGGGGCTGAGGATGGAGTCCAAGACTGAGAAATGGATGGAACGAATACACCTCAATGTCTCTGGTAAGGCCTTCGGGGAGCGGGTCCTCTGCTCTGGGCAGGGGTGAGTGGGAGGCAGGAAATACCTGACTCCTGGCACAGAGCTCACAAACCGAGCTTCCTGCAGAGCTCAGGCAGGGGACGCCAGCGGATGACGATGGCGATGCAGCAGCACTAGACAGAGCTGCGGGACCTCGGATGTCCCATCTGACCCTCAGTTCCTGCCCCTCTGGGACCTGGATTCCAAAGTTATCGGATCTCCTGATCTTTCCCTCTTTCTTTCTCACCATGTATTTTTCAGCTTTTGTGACAAACTCGTGTTTGGCCTTAGTACTGGAACCATCCAAGCACCGCATTCCTTTAGTGGGGTGGGTCTGCATGTAACCAGCCTCAGCTCTCCCCCAGGCTGGACCGCCCCCTTCAGACATTGGGGTCTGAAGCTGCATCGCTCACCCCAAACTTAGGGCTGCTCAGAGCTCCCTATAGAGGAAACTGGGTGTGGAACGGAGTAACCACACTCCCTAGGGCAGAGGCCCCAGACCTGTGTTTGATGGGTCAAATCCACCCCTACATGTGCAGTGCCATAACTGAGCCTGTGTTATAAAAATCATAAAATGTTTGTTTTACTTTTTTTCCTCTTCTTTTCCCCTTCCCCTTCCTTTCCCTTTTTATGAGACAGGGTCTCGCACTGTCATCACCCAGGCTGGAGTGCAGTGGCGCGATCTCAGCTCACTGCAGCCTTGATCTCCCGGGTTCAAGCAATCCTCCCACCTCCAAAGTAGCTAGGATCACAGGTGCATGCCACCATGCCCAGCTAACTTTTTAATTTGTTGTAGAAATGGGTCTTGCTATGTTGCCAGGCTGGTCTTGAACTCCTGGCCTCAAGCAATCCTCCTGCTTCAACCTCTCAAAGCATTAGGATTACAGGCATGAGTCACCGCACCCGGCCTGATCTTCTGATTTTTCAAGAGACGATGGAAATCTAGATTTTCCAGTGAAATCTCCCAGCATGTTAATGTTCATGGCAAGTTCTCATGAGCTCTTCAAGGTCAGATGACACTGTTGTTGAACCCCAAAGGCCAGGTTTGAGCTCCCGATGCGTAGTCAGCCAAACACTGACACCTCAGTGCTTAGAAGCTGAGATAGGATTATTTAATTTAGCCAAAGCAAGGGGACAGAAGAGAGAAACTCTCAAATCTGACCTGACTTTGAGCGTTAGTGGGGGCTTTTATGAGTAAAGTAGGTGTGCAGGAGGTGACCTCCCGATCGTCAAAGCTGTTGTGCCCCTCGGCTCATCAAATTTCTGGATGTCATCAAGGAGGTCTGTGTGACCTAAGGATCATTGTTCTTTGAAAGAGAGACAAGTTCATTTATCTTGCAGGCAGCTGCCAGGGAGTCAGGATGTAAGTTAAACAATTATGAGTGAATTAATGGTTACCTGCTACTGAAATGACCAAATGTAACTAATCATGCATGGAGGAAGGAAAGGACAAAGAGAAAAGAAAAGAAGTAAAACGAACATCTTATAATTTTTATAACATAGGTTCAGTTATAGCACTGCACATGTAGGGGTGGCTTTGACCCATCAAACACAGGTGTGGGGGGCCCCTGCCACAGGGAGTGTGGTCACTCCGTTCCACACCGTTTCCCGGATGGGCAGTTCTGAGCAGCCTTAAATTTGGGGTGAGCAATGCAACTTCAGACCCCGCTGTCTGAAGGAGGTGGTCCAGCCTTGGGGAGAGCTGAGGCTGGGTGCACACAGACCCACTCCACTAAAGGAATGCGGTGCGTGGATGGCTGCAATACTGAAGGAAGCCATGAAAGTAACACAAGTTTGTCAAAGCTGAAAAGTCCGTGAACTAAACTGATAAAATTCACTTAGAGGTGGTGGGAATAGGCCGGGCACGGTGGCTCACGCCTGTAATCCCAGAACTTTGGGAGGCCGAGGCAGGCGGATCACAAGGTCAGGAGATCGAGACCATCCTGACTAACACAGTGAAACCCTGTCTCTACTAAAAATGCAAAAAGTTAGCCAGGCGTGGTGGCAGGCGCCTGTAGTCCCAGCTACTCAGGAGGCTGAGGCAGGAGAATGGCGTGAACCCGGAAGGTGGAGCTTGCAGTGAGCTGAGATCACGCCACTACACTCCAGTCCGGGCGACAGAGCGAGACTCTGTCTCAAAAAAAAAAAAAAAAAAAAAAGAGGTGGTGAGGTGGTGGGAATAGAACTTTGCAATCATTCAGAAAGCAGACATCCGGCAATGAGCATGAAAGAAAAGTAGATCACAGTTCCCAAGGAGGCTTAGTGTGGTCAAGGCCTTTCAGAGGGGATTTCGGGTGAGCAAAAGTGATTCAAAGTGGAGAAAAGCAGGACTGCGTTGGGTGCAGTGGTTCCCGCCTGTAACCCCAGCACTTTGGGAGGCTGAGATCGGAGGATCGTTTGAGCCCAGGAGTTTGAGACCAGCCTGGGTAACATGGCAAGACCCTGTCTCTACAAAATGTTTAAAAAACTAGCTAGGTGTGGTGGCACATGCCTGTAGTCCCAGTTACTCAGGGGGCTGAGGTGAGAGGATTGCTTGAGCCTAGGAGGTTGAGGCTACAGTGAGCTAGGATTGCGCCACTGCACTCCAGCCTGGGTGACAAAGCAAGACCCTGTCTCTAAAGAAAAAAAGAGGCCGGGTGTGGTGGCTTACACCTGTAATCCCAGCACTTTGGGAGGCCAAGGCGGGAGGATCACTTGAGGTCAGGAGTTCAAGACCAGCCTGGCCAACATGGCGAAACCCTGTCTCTACTAGAAATACAGAAAAATTAGCTGGGTGTGGTGGTGGGCACCTGTAATCCCAGCTACTCGGGAGGCTGAGGCAGGAGGATCACTTGAACTGGGGAGGTAGAGGTTACAGCGAGCCAAGATCGCGCCACTGCACTCCAGCCTGGGTGACAGAGGGAAACTCCATCTCAAAAAAACAACAACACAACAACAACAACAATAACAACAAAAAAACAAAGCAGGACTGGAGAGAGGTGGAATGAAGTGGCAAGGGGTTCCTGAGGGGTGATTTGGGACAGGACATCTAAAGCCAGGTGTACGCTCACGTCCTCAGTCCCCCAGGCTCCTGCACGGGCTCTGTTCTTTTGCAGAAAGGCCTTTTCCACCTCATATCCAGCTCCCTCCAGAAATTCAAGAGTCCCAGGAAGTCACTCTGACCTGCTTGCTGAATTTCTCCTGCTATGGGTATCCGATCCAATTGCAGTGGCTCCTAGAGGGGGTTCCAATGAGGCAGGCTGCTGTCACCTCGACCTCCTTGACCATCAAGTCTGTCTTCACCCGGAGCGAGCTCAAGTTCTCCCCACAGTGGAGTCACCATGGGAAGATTGTGACCTGCCAGCTTCAGGATGCAGATGGGAAGTTCCTCTCCAATGACACGGTGCAGCTGAACGTGAAGCGTGAGTCTCCCCGGCATGCCTGTGGGAAGGGCAAGGTCTGTGTCACCTTCTCCCCAGCCCCGCAGGGGGCATGCACCCAGGGCAGGGGGAAGCCTGCACAGACGGCGGCATCCTCCAGCCCTGGTCACGCCGCCTTGTCAGCCCTGGTGTTTCGGGAAAAAGATTTGCTCTAGCCTAACAGAATAAAATGGTCCATCCTCAAGCCATGACATGAATTGGGGATTATCTGGTTAGGTCTTTTTGTTCCCCTCTTGGTGGGGATTTTTTTCGCATCATTATCTTGTGCCTCATTCATTCAATAAATACGTATCATGAACCTACTAGGTACCAGGCCTTATTACGGCTGCCAATGGGGGGCATGGGGCGGTGGGCAGGGTGCAGCAGTGAGCAAAACTCTTGCCCCACGCGGAGCCAGCGCTGCAGTGAAAGAGACAGACAACAAATGGATTACCAAAGAAATACAGAGCATGAGCCAAGACATTAGAATCTGGAACAAAGCAATGTTAACAAAGAAATATACAACACTATTGTAGGTAGTGATATGTGTGTTAGGAAAAAAATAAGGCCGAGAGAGGGGAGTGATGGAGAGAGACCTCTCTAAGAAGGTGAGCACTTAGGCCGGGTGCGGTGGCTCACGCCTGTAATCCTAGCACTTTGGAAGGCCGAGGCGGGGGGATCACAAGGTCAGGAGATCGAGACCATCCTGGCTAACATGGTGAAACCCCATCTCTAGTAAAAATACAAAAAATTAGCCAGGCATGATGGCAGGCGCCTGTAGTCCCAGCTACTTGGGAGGCCAAGGCAGGAGAATGACATGAACCCAGGAGGCGGAGCTTGCAGTGAGCTGAGATCGCACCACTGCACTCCAACCTGGGTGACGAGTGAGACTCCATCTCAAAAAAAGAAAAAAAAAGAAGGTGAGCACTTAAGCTGACTGGAACGGAGGGAGTGGCTGAGGCCGGCACATATTTGGGAGAGGAGGATTTCAGGGAAAGAGAAGGGCAGGTTCAAAGCTTTGAGGCAGCAGCTGGGTGGGAGGACCTCAGAGGCTGAAGTTCACCGCCTCTGAGGGCCACATGGTAGGACAGGAGGCAGGAGATGGAGCAGGACTCTGGATCCCGAGGGCTGAGGTGAGGGTTTGGGATTCTATGCAAAGCACAGAACCCGCTCGTGGTTTCCAGCAGGATTGGCGAGGTCTGGTAGATGGTGTTAGGAACCCTGCGTGCTGCTGGTGGAGACCAAGAAGTAGAGGAAGTGGGAGGGGGAAGCTGAGAGCCGAGTTAGGAGGCTGTGACCATCACCTGGGTGAAGGGACTGGCAGGCCATGGCTTTGTCAGAATAAAAGCACTTTCCACACCCTCCACCCTCTGAGGATTCCCCGCCCCCTCCCCGACTGCCCCTCTGCTCCTCCAGACACCCCGAAGTTGGAGATCAAGGTCACTCCCAGTGATGCCATAGTGAGGGAGGGGGACTCTGTGACCATGACCTGCGAGGTCAGCAGCAGCAACCCGGAGTACACGACGGTATCCTGGCTCAAGGATGGGACCTCGCTGAAGAAGCAGAATACATTCACGCTAAACCTGCGCGAAGTGACCAAGGACCAGAGTGGGAAGTACTGCTGTCAGGTCTCCAATGACGTGGGCCCGGGAAGGTCGGAAGAAGTGTTCCTGCAAGTGCAGTGTGAGCCCCTCGGAGCTGGGGACAGGCCAGGCAGGGAGGTAGCAGGGGTGGACCCGGAGAGGGGAGCCACGGGGGCTCTCGGGGCCGTGTGCACAGGTTGGGGGTGCTCTCCTCACCCCTCCACTCGCCTCTGCCCCCTCTTCCAGATGCCCCGGAACCTTCCACGGTTCAGATCCTCCACTCACCGGCTGTGGAGGGAAGTCAAGTCGAGTTTCTTTGCATGTCACTGGCCAATCCTCTTCCAACAAATTACACGTGGTACCACAATGGGAAAGAAATGCAGGGAAGGACAGAGGAGAAAGTCCACATCCCAAAGATCCTCCCCTGGCACGCTGGGACTTATTCCTGTGTGGCAGAAAACATTCTTGGTACTGGACAGAGGGGCCCGGGAGCTGAGCTGGATGTCCAGTGTGAGTAGCCACGGAGCCTCTGGTTCTAGGGAGAGAAGATGGACACAGGGAACGGGGAAGGCAGATGGGGTGCAGGGCATTCCGGGGTCCTGGAGTCAAGAGCAAGGAGCAGCCAGGGTCTCCTGTTCACAACTGCTGTCTCAGCTCCTAGCATAGGGCCTGGCTCATGGAGGGTGCTTGGTAGATGCTTGTTTTTTTGTGTTTTAGTTTTTTTTGAGATGGAGTCTCCCTCTGTCTCCCAGGCTGGAGTGCAGTGGCACAATCTCGGCTCACTGCAAGCTCCACCTTCCCGGGTTCATGCCATTCTCCTGTCTCAGCCTCCTGAGTAGCTGGGATGACAGGCGCCCGCCACCACGCCCGGCTAATTATTTGTACTTTTAGTAGAGACGGGGTTTCACCGTGTTAGCCAGGATGGTCTCGATCTCCTGACCTCGTGATCCACCCGCCTCGGCCTCCCAAAGTGCTGGGATTAGAGGCGTGAGCCACCGCACCCGGCCTGTAGATGCTTGTTGAATGAATGAGGCCAGGTGCGGTGGCTCCCGCCTGCAATCCCAGCTCTTTAGGAGGCTGAGGCAGGAGGGTCTCTTGAACCCAGGAGTTTGAAACCAGCCTGGGCCACACAGCGAGATACCATCTCTACAAAAAAATACAAAAATTAGCTGAGCATGGTGGTGCGTGCCTGTGGTCCCAGCTACTGGGGAGGCTGAGGAGGGAGAATCACTTGAGCCCAGGAAGTGAAGGCTGCAGACTGAACTATGTTCCTGCTACTGCACTCTAGCCTGGGTGACAGAGCAAGACCTGGGTCTCAAAAAGAAAAAGAAAATGCTGGGACTGGGATTATAGGTGTGAGCTGGGCACAGTGGCTCACACTTGTAATCCCAGCACTTTGGGAGGCCAAGGTAGGCAGCTCACTTGAGGCCACGAGTTCAAGCCCAGCCTGGGCAACATGGTAAAACCCCATCTCTACAAAAAAAAATTAGCCTGGCATGGTCATGCATGCCTGTAGTCTCAGCTACCCAGGAGGCTGAGGTGGGAGGATCACCTGAGCCTGGAAGTAGAGGCTGCAGTGAGCCTGTGATCATGCCGCTGCACTCCAGCCTGGGTGACTGAGTGAGACCTTGTCTCAAAAAAAAGAATGGATTGGCCAGGCATGGTGGCTTACGCCTGTAATCCCAGCACTTTGGGAGGCCAAGGTGGGCAGATCACCTGAGGTCAGGAGTTCGAGACCAGCCTGGCCAACATGGCGAAACCCTGTCTCTACTAAAAATACAAAAAATTAGCCGGGCATGGTGGCAGGCACCTGAAATCCACCTACCTGGGAGGCTGAGGCAGGAGAATCGCTTGAACCCAGGAGGCAGAGGTTGCAATGAGCTGAGATCATGTCACTGCACTCTAGCCTGGGTAGAGTGAGATTCTGTCTCCAAAAAAAAAGAATAATTAACTGCAAGATACCAGGACTCCATGAGGGACACAGAGACTTAGCGTCCCTAGGCAGTGGCTGAGTCTTGAGAGATCTTGAAATTTTTAATGAGAACTGGGGCAAACTGTCTCATTACCTCTCCATTGTAAGACCCTTTTAACACAGTGAATCTTGTTACCATGTAGAGCACAGGACAAAAAGAACACATAAGCTCGATCCTTGGACCCTGAGATGTCATATGTGCTAACAGGACAGGGGTGCCCAAATCCTGAGCATCTCAGACAGCTGGATGCGTGACCACAGCAGCCACAGTGATGTTTGTGGAGTGTTTGCCACACGCCACACTCTGCTCTAAGGGAGTCATCTCATTTCCTTCTTGAAACAATTCCCAGGAGGTTAGGAACTCTCAGGACTCACCCCCCACCCACCCCGCACTGCCTCTTGTTTTTAAGATGGAGTCTCCCTCTGTTGCCCAGGCTGGAGTGCAGTGGCTTGATCTCGGCTCACTGCAACCTCCACCTCCCGGGTTCAAGCGATTCTCTTGCCTCGACCACCTGAGTAGCTGGGACTACAGACATGCACCAGCATGCATAGCTAATTTTTAAAATTTTTAGTAGAGACAGGGTTTTGCTGTGTTGGCCAGGTCTCGAACTCCTGACCTCAGGTGATCTGCCCACCTCAGCCTCCCAAAGTGCTGAAATTACAAGCGTGAGCCACCATGCCCGGCCTCAGGACCCCATTTGACAGACGTGTAAACTGAGACCTGCAGCCCATGCCCGTGCGCCTCTCAGCAGCCGTCTGGCTTCAGCGCTGTGCCCTGAACCCCTGCACCAAACCACAGCCAGGCCAGAGAGCCAGGGCAGGGTTTCTGTTCTCACACAGATGCAGGAAGGACGCACAAGCCCCCCTTTGATTAATTTAGGACCTGTGCAGATGCCCGGGACAGGTAGCGGGAGAAGAGGAAGCAGGAGGGAAGGGGTACTGTGGACAGCTGGCTTTTCTTTACTCACCTCTCTGGTTTTCTTCCAGATCCTCCCAAGAAGGTGACCACAGTGATTCAAAACCCCATGCCGATTCGAGAAGGAGACACAGTGACCCTTTCCTGTAACTACAATTCCAGTAACCCCAGTGTTACCCGGTATGAATGGAAACCCCATGGCGCCTGGGAGGAGCCATCGCTTGGGGTGCTGAAGATCCAAAACGTTGGCTGGGACAACACAACCATCGCCTGCGCAGCTTGTAATAGTTGGTGCTCGTGGGCCTCCCCTGTCGCCCTGAATGTCCAGTGTGAGTCCCTGGGCTAGGCAGGGGGATCTGGGAGGTGGCCCGGCTGGGATGAGGGGATGAAGGCAACGAGGCCGGAGCCTGGGCCAGTGTCTTCAACAGAATTGAGGGACAGGAGCCTGGCGTCAGGGCCAAGGGGAGGGGAGGCCTGGGGACAGCAAAAGGGACAGGGAGCGGAGAGGTCAGCTTGGGACCCTTGCCCTCCAGATGCCCCCCGAGACGTGAGGGTCCGGAAAATCAAGCCCCTTTCCGAGATTCACTCTGGAAACTCGGTCAGCCTCCAATGTGACTTCTCAAGCAGCCACCCCAAAGAAGTCCAGTTCTTCTGGGAGAAAAATGGCAGGCTTCTGGGGAAAGAAAGCCAGCTGAATTTTGACTCCATCTCCCCAGAAGATGCTGGGAGTTACAGCTGCTGGGTGAACAACTCCATAGGACAGACAGCGTCCAAGGCCTGGACACTTGAAGTGCTGTGTGAGTGAGGGCCGGAGGCTGGGAGTGGAGCAGAGAAGGGACCAGTGGCCTGCCTGGTAGTGACTTCGCACCCCCTCCCCCTGCCCGCCATGCAGATGCACCCAGGAGGCTGCGTGTGTCCATGAGCCCGGGGGACCAAGTGATGGAGGGGAAGAGTGCAACCCTGACCTGTGAGAGCGACGCCAACCCTCCCGTCTCCCACTACACCTGGTTTGACTGGAATAACCAAAGCCTCCCCTACCACAGCCAGAAGCTGAGATTGGAGCCGGTGAAGGTCCAGCACTCGGGTGCCTACTGGTGCCAGGGGACCAACAGTGTGGGCAAGGGCCGTTCGCCTCTCAGCACCCTCACCGTCTACTGTAAGGCCTCTTCCTGCTCTTGTTCTTCTTGGTGGTGGTCAGTCCTTCCTTCCTTCCTTCCTTCCTTCCTTCCTTCCTTCCTTCCTTCCTTTCTTTCTCTCTTTCTTTTCCTCCTCCTCTTCTTCCCCTCCTCCTCCTCTTCCTCCTTCTTCTTCTTCTTCTGCTTTCTCCCTCTCCTCCTCCTCTTTCTTCTCCTTCTCCTTCCTTCTTCTTCTTCTTATAGAGACAAGGTCTTACTCTGTCACCCAGGCTGGAGTGCAGTCGCATAATGACACCTCACTGCAGCCTCCAATTCCTGGGCTCAAGCAATCCTTTCGCCTCAGCCTCCTGAGTAGCTGGGACTATAGACATGCACCACCACATCCGGCTAATTTTTACATTTTTGTAGAGATGGGGTCTTACTATGTTGACCAGGCTGGTTTCAAACTCCTGACCTCAAGTGACCCTTCTGCCTCAGCTTCCCAAAGCCCTGGGATTAGAGCCATGAGCCACTGTGCCTCTCCCTGTTTCCTCTCATGCTCCTCTCTGGCCCTGTCTCCTCCAGTGACTTCCCGAAAAGCCTTCCAGACCAGCTGGCCCCTTCTTCCCCACCTCACTGTCCCCTTTCCCATTCACACCCCTTGCTCCAGGCCATCTGCCGCTGTGCTGGAGGAGTCGTCTTGTCCTGCGTCACCAGTCTCTCTTTTTCTACCTCCCCTGCAGTCTCTCCTGCCTCCCTCTAGGGTCCCCTCTCAGGCTGCTCCACCTTCCAGAAGTCCTGAGCTCCTACTGGGTCCCTGTCTCTCTCTCTCTGACTACTCTGTCTCTCTCAGCCCTGACAGGCTCCTTGTTTTTATCTTTTAAAACGTAAATGATTTTTTTTTTAAACGGAGTCTCGATCTGTCACCCAGGCTGGAGTGCAGTGGCGTGATCACGGCTCACTGCAAGCTCTGCCTCCCGGGTTCACGCCATTCTCCTGCCTCAGCTCCCCGAGTAGCTGGGACTACAGGCGCCTGCCACCATGCCCGGCTAATTTTTTGTATTTTTAGTAGAGATGTGGTTTCACCGTGGTCTCAGTCTCCTGACCTCGTGATCCGCTCGCCTCGGCCTTCCAAAGTGCTGGGATTACAGGCGTGAGCCACCGCACCCGGCTGATTTTTTTTTTTTTTTTTTGAGACAGGGTCTCACCCTGTTGCACAGGTTGGAGTGCAGTGGCACAATCTCAGCTCCTGCAGCCTCGACCCCCTAGGCTCAAGTGATACTCCTGCCTCGGCCTCCACAGTAGTAAACTTGAGTGGTTTTTAAACAGATCATACAAGCACCTGGTAAAAAAATAAAATGTAAGCATGAAAGGGTAAATAGTGGAAAGACAGACGCGGCTCACTCTTGATCCCTGAGAACTCTCATCCCCACCAAAGGTCCTCACTGCACACAGTCTTCCCATCTCACTGCACACAGTCTTCCCATCTCCTCCAGGGGTATTTTTCACACGCACAATTCACACACAGAGGTCTGTGCCTATATACCCTTCCTCATGACACAGACGAGGCAGAGCCCACACTTTGCCTGGGAATTTTCTTTGCTTTTTTCCATGTAATAATACTGTTTGGACATTGTTCTGTATCTATGCATACACAGAGTGTCTAAAGTCTGGAGGCTGGGCATGGTGGTTCATGCCTGTAATCCCAACACTTTGAGAGGCCATGGTGGGAGGATCACTTGAGCCCAGGAGTTTGAGACCAGCCTGGGCAACATAGCCCACACCTCATAGCAGGATCTCATCTCTACAAAAAATACCAAAAAAAATTTTAAAAACGAACAAACAAAACAATAACAACAACAAAAAAGAGTCTGAAAGCATATGGAAGATACCTAATTAATTTATTGTACTTTTTCAGATTAATAATTGGAAACATGGCCTTAAATTGAGGGAACCTGACCAGGCACAGTGGCTCACGCCTGTAATCCCAGCACTTTGGGAGGCCAAAGTGGGTGGCCACAAGCACTTTGGGAGGCCACAAGGTGGGTGGATCACTTGAGGCCAGGAGTTCCAGACCAGCCTGGCCAATGGTGAAACCCCATCTCTACTAAAAATACAAAAATTAGCTGGGTGTGGTGGCGCGCACCTGTAGTCCCAACTACTCGGGAGGCTGAGGCAGGAGAATCGCTTGAACCCGGGAGGCAGAGGTTGCAGTGAGCCAAGATCTCACCACTGCACTCCAGCCTGGGTGAAAGAGCGAGACTCTGTCTCAATCAATCAATCAGTCAATCTAGGGAACCATCACCAGCACGGCCGAAGGCCAAAGGAAAACATCTGAAACATGTTATCTGGAAATGTAACAGACACATCCCATCATATAAAACCATTGTTCCCTGGGTATCCCCTTTGCAGACAGCCTGAGAGCCTCCTCTTTTTCCTGGGGCCATGGAGTCCTCGCGTATGAAGGTTGCATACATCCTCCTCCCAGTGCCCTCTTCAGGGCCTAGGTCTGCAGCCTCTTGTTTTGGGCACGCCTGCAAGGACAGTTGCAAGATGCATTCCCATGTGGAATTGCTGGGTGGAAGACAGGTGCACTTTCAGAGCTGATCACACAGCTATACTGCCGTGAAGAGCTGCACCCATTTATGCGGGTGCGGGTCACAGGCTCTGGGCGTGCCACGTCTGTGGGAAAAGCAGCTCCTCAGGAGAATTAGTGCCTTATTCCTAAAGGGAGGCCCAGAGCAAGCAGGGGCCGTTGTCACCCTCTTCCTCTGCACCCCTGCACGCATGCAGGGGAGAAGGACGAGTCTGGCTGCAGAGAGAAGTCCAGGATGCCTTCCAGGCAAAGGCTGCCAGGGAGAGCTGGCCCCTCAGTTGATTAAGGTCTCTCCTTTCTCCACCCAGATAGCCCGGAGACCATCGGCAGGCGAGTGGCTGTGGGACTCGGGTCCTGCCTCGCCATCCTCATCCTGGCAATCTGTGGGCTCAAGCTCCAGCGACGGTGAGCTCCTGCCATCCCCCACCACCTCCTCTATCCCTTGGCAGAGGCCCGTGTCCAGTTGCTCCATCTCGAAGCCTCCAGCCTGTGGAGTCCCTGACCCTCACACATGTGCCTTTATTTCTCAGTTGGAAGAGGACACAGAGCCAGCAGGGGCTTCAGGAGAATTCCAGCGGCCAGAGCTTCTTTGTGAGGAATAAAAAGGTAGGATGGGGCTGGGCACGATGGCTCATGCCTGTAATCCCAGCACTTTGGGAGGCTGAGGCAGGTGGATCACCTGAGGTCAGGAGTTCGAGACCAGCGTAGCCAACATGGTGAAACCCTGTCTCTACAAAAAATATTTTAAAAATTAGCCGGGCGTGATGGTCCATGCCTGTAATTCCAGCTACTCGGGAGGCTGAGGCAGGAGAATCGCTTGAACCTGGGAGGCAGAGGTTGCAGTGAGCCAAGATTGCGCCATTGCACTCCAGCCTGGGTGACATACTGAGACTCTGCCTCAAAAAAAAAAAAAAAAAAAAAAAAAGGGTAGGCATGAGGCAGACTGTGAAGCTGAGTGGGGAAACAAGGTGAAGGAAGGGGATAAAATGTCCTCTGAGGAGACCTGGGCTGTCAGAGGCCAGGGAAGGGGACGAGGGTTGGGGAACAGGTGGTTAGCACTTCATCCTCGTCTCCCTCCCAGGTTAGAAGGGCCCCCCTCTCTGAAGGCCCCCACTCCCTGGGATGCTACAATCCAATGATGGAAGATGGCATTAGCTACACCACCCTGCGCTTTCCCGAGATGAACATACCACGAACTGGGTACTGAGGGTACCAGGAGGGTGACCCTGCACCCTGGGAGGGAGGCGGGAGGAAAAGCTCTGTCCCGCCTGCCCTCTTTGTGCCAGGCCCATGCCAGGCACCCTGATACATGCTCTGCCTCATTCCCACTCGGCAACAAGCCTCTGGGTAAGGGCCAGTCTCCAGAAGTGGACCTGCTCCTTCAAGTCAGCAGCACACATGCCCAGTCCGTTCTTATCACAAAGATCAAGACCTCATGATACACACCCACGCCTACTCCCTCCACGCACATTTGCACGAGCTCCTACTGTGAGCTTTGGGCACTGGGGAGGCCACAGGTTTTACATAAGGGGCTGAGGTTGGGGTGCTGTTGGGGGCTCTGGGTGTTGAGAGGGAGGAGAGTTCGTGGGAGATGCTTCATGCGTGGTCGTCTATCTGCCCTGTCTCTCAGAGATGCAGAGTCCTCAGAGATGCAGAGACCTCCCCCGGACTGCGATGACACGGTCACTTATTCAGCATTGCACAAGCGCCAAGTGGTAAGGAGGGTCTCCCCAGGTCTCCCCAGAGGGGCTGTGGAAGGCTGGGGACAGGGCCTGGCCTCAGTGGTGGGTCCCACATAGGAAGGAGTTGGGTAGGCATCCGTGGTGGCAGAGGTTGGGTGTTGGAGACGGTTGCTCCGGCAGAGCTGGCCAGAGCCAGGCAGGTACCTCCAGGTCCTGGATGCCGGCCACAGCCAGTTTCCTGACACGAGGACACCCGCCTGGGCTTTTGGACCCCCGGGTGGAATGAAGGAGAGAATGCGGAGAAAAGCGGCGGTGGAGGCTGGCGACAGTGGGGCCAGGCTAACCACCATGCGGTTTTCTCAGGGCGACTATGAGAACGTCATTCCAGATTTTCCAGAAGATGAGGGGATTCATTACTCAGAGCTGATCCAGTTTGGGGTCGGGGAGCGGCCTCAGGCACAAGAAAATGTGGACTATGTGATCCTCAAACATTGACACTGGATGGGCTGCAGCAGAGGCACTGGGGGCAGCGGGGGCCAGGGAAGTCCCCGAGTTTCCCCAGACACCGCCACATGGCTTCCTCCTGCGCGCATGTGCGCACACACACACACACACGCACACACACACACACACACTCACTGCGGAGAACCTTGTGCCTGGCTCAGAGCCAGTCTTTTTGGTGAGGGTAACCCCAAACCTCCAAAACTCCTGCCCCTGTTCTCTTCCACTCTCCTTGCTACCCAGAAATCCATCTAAATACCTGCCCTGACATGCACACCTCCCCCTGCCCCCACCACGGCCACTGGCCATCTCCACCCCCAGCTGCTTGTGTCCCTCCTGGGATCTGCTCGTCATCATTTTTCCTTCCCTTCTCCATCTCTCTGGCCCTCTACCCCTGATCTGACATCCCCACTCACGAATATTATGCCCAGTTTCTGCCTCTGAGGGAAAGCCCAGAAAAGGACAGAAACGAAGTAGAAAGGGGCCCAGTCCTGGCCTGGCTTCTCCTTTGGAAGTGAGGCATTGCACGGGGAGACGTACGTATCAGCGGCCCCTTGACTCTGGGGACTCCGGGTTTGAGATGGACACACTGGTGTGGATTAACCTGCCAGGGAGACAGAGCTCACAATAAAAATGGCTCAGATGCCACTTCAAAGAACCAGTGAACTCTTTTCAGTCTGTGGAGTCAGAGTGGGGATGAGGAGAGGGGAAAGTCTTCATGGGGCCTGGGGGGAAGGAAATGGAGTCACAGTGGTTTACTGATCAAACCAGCAGATTAGAGAGTCTGGTGTCTTGTTAGGAAAAGCATACTGGCTTTGCAGACAGACAAACATGAGAACTTGAATCTTGATTCTTCGGCTTAACTAGCCCGGTGATCTTGGCAGGGCTCGCCAGCTTGCCTGAGTCTCGGCTTCTCCATCTGTAAAGTGGAGAGGGAAAGGCCACTGCCTACCACGCAGGTGGCCCACGATAGGAAGTGAGGCATCGTCTTCTATATGCTGGAGCCACATTGAGACCCAGCACAGAAGCCGAAAGTCCCCCAGAAAACCAACCTCCATCCTTTATTTGCATTTTTCGAAGAATGTGAAAAGGGGAAGCCGATTCAAAACAGCTCTTCCCAAAAGTGACGCTACCCAATTCTTGCACAACCCATAGCTGCCAGAGAAAGTCTTGAAGACCAGCCACCCTGAGAAACCTCACAGCTTTTCTGTCATTCGAGGTCCTCTGCACCCGTTCTCTAATTCTGTTCACTGATTCAGACTTTCCAGTTAGGTGCCCCAGCTCCCCTCTCCGCTTCTCGGGTTTGATCTTTCTCCACCCATTCACCTGCTTCTGCAAAGGGGCTAAAGCCCATTCTCCTTAGAGGGCAGGGGTGTAATTATCTGATCATCAGGGAGATTGGCTCCTGGCACGTGGCAGGTGTCCCCAAACTGCCACCTTCCTCTCCCACCTTCCTTTCCCTCCCATCTCTGCTCAGTACCCGGACGGTAACTCTAGGAATTATGGTTCAGGGAGGCCTTGATCGCCCCATCAATCCACTTTGTCCCTGGTTTGATTCTTGTGAGCACCATTAACTTTTCTGGAGGAAGGTGAGGCTTTAAGAACTGTTTAAAGCCCAGGCGTGGTGGATCACGCCTGTAATCACAGCACTCTGGGAGGCCAAGGTGGGCAGATCACCTGAGGTCAGGAGTTCAAGACCAGCCTAGCCAACATGGTAAAATCCTGTCTCTACCAAAAATACAAAAATTAGCTGAGCGTGGTGATTCACACCTGTAATCTCAGCTACTTGGGAGGCTGAGGCAGGAGAGTCGCTTGAACCTGGGAGGCGGAGGTAGCGGTGAGCCGAGATCACGCCACTGCACTCCAGCCTATGCAACAGAGTGAGACTCCGCCTCAAAACAACAACAACAAAAACTGTTTAAATGAGACAGGAGGGTGTTGGGGTGTCTGTGCCCAAAATGGGGTCTGGTGTCATTCAACTCTTTCTTCATTCATTCTGCACACAGATACTGAGCACCTGGAAATGCACCCAGTACAGAGCCAGTTGTTAGGACACCAAAAAGATAAGGCGTAGGACCAACCTTGGGGATCTCTAGTCGAGAGCCGCCAAGGGTTTTTAAGGCAAGATACCCTGGAGGGAGCTGAGGCAGTCCTAAGCCTGAAGGGCCTGGCTTAAGCTCCCTGGCAACCATCGAGCATCTTCCCCTTCCCACCCTGTCCCTCAGCACAGCTGCTGACATAAACCTACTACATGGCTGATTGACCATGAGATATGGCCATCAATAGACATTGCTGAGGCGTGAAGAGCAGGTGAAGAGCAGGTGGCCAGGAAGCTAGGGGGCCAGGACTCCAGACGCAGGCCGCCCTCCACAACCCCAGCTCTCACAGTCCTCCCAGGGTCCAGACAATGGATCGTGCATTTAGGTTCCCAAACACCTGCTGTGCAACGTGTAGTAGACAAAGCAGACCAAAGCCTTTGCCCTCAGGAGGCCGGCATTCTAGCTCAGGAGCCAGCCAAGACGATGTCGCACTGAAGAAAGACAACAAAAGTGAGATTCACAGGAGGGATGAGTGTGGCTGAGGCACCCGGGAAGGCCCTCGGAGAAGGTGACCTTGGGCAAAGATCCAGACGCCAGGTGGGTGGGGCCAAAGCAGAGAAGATCTGGAAAACCCAATGGCTCCCCAGGGCTTCGCTCTTGCTGCAGGAGGGGAAACCACACTGCTGTGGATTCTTCCTCCATTCTGTCCATTTCTCAGTTCCCAACAACACACTGAACAGTAGGAGGCCAGTTCTCCGCTCACAGCGGGCGCTGCACCCCAGGTGCTGCTCTCGAGAAAAAGGCGAGCATGGACCAATTTAGTGGCTCCGAGGTATGAAAAGCAGTGAGATGGTGTCTTTGAGGGAGTTAGTGATAGGCTGAGACCCCCTTGCTGTCCCCCCTGAAGCCTGGTGACCAGAGCTGCCAGGAGGCCACACAGAGAGAGGTTTATGATGGGGGACCTGGAATTCGGAAGGGGCAGAGTGGTCAGGTGACCCATACACGCCTGAGAAAACTGATGTGGAGAGCTGTGTTGTCATTCTGAGGCAGGAAATAGAGACAGACTGACAGACAGACAGAAAGACACGGGCACATTGAGAGACAGAGACAGAATCACAGAGCAGAGCTGGCTTCTCACCAGCAGGCGTGGGCACACCTGAGAGAGCATCCAGAGAGGTTAGAAATCTTCCTTAGGTCCTCCTGGGAGGCTCAGGTGACCCCAGTGGGAAACATGAAAGGCTGGGAGGACTTCCAGGGCTGAGAGAAGGAAGCTACGCAGCCGGCCGGTGCCACATTCCCTGTGCCTTGGGGAGTGTCCCCCAGTGTCCCCAGCCATGCACCCTGGGGGGAGTCGGCTTGGACATCTGTGCCACCCCTTGACAGGCAGAGTGGGGGCCACAACCTGGGCCCTCCAGTGCTGGTCAGCAGAGGCTGCCCCCGCCCCTTGCCTTCCTCCTCCCGCTCCTTCCTCCAGCCCTGGGAAGGTCGGAAGCCACCACCATGGGGCTAGTGCGGAAGCAGAGGGAGAACAGAGGGGCCCTCCTCGCAAAAACTAAAACAAGCCCACAGCCTGTGCAGAACCGCACCCGGGTGTGATCACTCCTTACCCCACACACCCACTGCCACTTGGAGATGGCTTCATGGCTGCAGTCACAGGGCACCCTGTGTTGTCAGGGGTGAGCCAGTGAGGCCCGGGACCTGCCCAGGGGTGCATCAAGGGTGGAGAAGACCTGGCCCCAGCGCAGGTGTGAACAGGCAGGAGGGCTGGGGAGGGAATAGCGCTGGGTTGTGGCCGAGCCCCCAAGCCCTGCTCTTGAGAGGCACTGGCTACACACTCGGCCCCTACCCAGACAGGACCCCAATTCCTCCCTGGCCCCTCTGTGTTCCTGCATCTTCCCAGCCCCTCACCTCCTCTGGCGTGGCCTCACCTCCAGCCGGGATGCCCCATTAGCTGCTCACCCAAGCTGCTAGAACCTCAGGCTAATGGCCCTGTCACCCGCCCTCCTCCCCTTCCGGCTCACTGCCCATCCCGGGCATCCTCCATCAGCCCGCTGAGGGGACTGCTGAGCCTCAGAGACATCTGGCAGCACCAGGAGGTGGGTCCCTCTCTCTGTGGCTCCTCTCTTCACCTGACTGTTCCCCAGACCCCCAGACCCCCTGCCCAGGTGGCCCCTGAGAACTGCTAAGCTCAACCGTGACATGGATGGGGCCTGGCTGACCCTTGGGCTCTCCCTGGGGGACCCCCTTTTCCTGTCCCTGGCCACACCCTCACCTTATCCACACCCTTCTCCTCCCTGCTGCCCCGCCGGCTTTCCAATGTGGGTGGGGGGTGGGGGCAGCTCCTGCCTTGCCAGGGAACCAGGGAGGGCAGTGGGCTCAGGAGTCAAACTCCCATTCCCAGGGAAGGCTCAGGCTGTGGGCCCAGCCCTGTTCTGAATTCTCTCCACCCCTCCTCCCCACAGAGTCTCAGAAATCGAGAAGCTTTCTTCCTCTGGGACCTGTGCGCCACATCCTATCTCCTGTGACGCTGCAGGAGCTTCCCTGGTTTTAAGAGGTGACATGGTGGAGAGAAAGCACAGGACTGGGGGCCACAGGTCCTGGCTTCTCATCCAGGCTCCGCTGCTCCCTGACTGCTGCCTTTCTCTGTGGGCCTCGTTTCCTCCCTGATCCCACCAGGTGAATTGTAATTCTCCACACAGGGCTGGAACCCGCGAGTGATCCCAGGAGCCCCTCCTCTCCGGGGCCCCAAGATCTGAGGACAGGGAGCCAGGTTGCACACAGGAGCCGTGCAGGCCAGGACGGCGGCCCCATGGACCTGCCCCCGCAGCTCTCCTTCGGCCTCTATGTGGCCGCCTTTGCGCTGGGCTTCCCGCTCAACGTCCTGGCCATCCGAGGCGCGACGGCCCACGCCCGGCTCCGTCTCACCCCTAGCCTGGTCTACGCCCTGAACCTGGGCTGCTCCGACCTGCTGCTGACAGTCTCTCTGCCCCTGAAGGCGGTGGAGGCGCTAGCCTCCGGGGCCTGGCCTCTGCCGGCCTCGCTGTGCCCCGTCTTCGCGGTGGCCCACTTCTTCCCACTCTATGCCGGCGGGGGCTTCCTGGCCGCCCTGAGTGCAGGCCGCTACCTGGGAGCAGCCTTCCCCTTGGGCTACCAAGCCTTCCGGAGGCCGTGCTATTCCTGGGGGGTGTGCGCGGCCATCTGGGCCCTCGTCCTGTGTCACCTGGGTCTGGTCTTTGGGTTGGAGGCTCCAGGAGGCTGGCTGGACCACAGCAACACCTCCCTGGGCATCAACACACCGGTCAACGGCTCTCCGGTCTGCCTGGAGGCCTGGGACCCGGCCTCTGCCGGCCCGGCCCGCTTCAGCCTCTCTCTCCTGCTCTTTTTTCTGCCCTTGGCCATCACAGCCTTCTGCTACGTGGGCTGCCTCCGGGCACTGGCCCGCTCCGGCCTGACGCACAGGCGGAAGCTGCGGGCCGCCTGGGTGGCCGGCGGGGCCCTCCTCACGCTGCTGCTCTGCGTAGGACCCTACAACGCCTCCAACGTGGCCAGCTTCCTGTACCCCAATCTAGGAGGCTCCTGGCGGAAGCTGGGGCTCATCACGGGTGCCTGGAGTGTGGTGCTTAATCCGCTGGTGACCGGTTACTTGGGAAGGGGTCCTGGCCTGAAGACAGTGTGTGCGGCAAGAACGCAAGGGGGCAAGTCCCAGAAGTAACGCCACTGCTCGGGGGAAGGAGCATGGGGCAGGAGGGCCCGGCTGCTTCTCCAGGCCCCTGCGGGGGGCTGCTTCGGAGGAACTGCAGGGCAGCCTGGCCCGGAGGCCTCCCTGGAGCCACTCAAGCAGAGAGCGGCGCCTGCTGAGGGCAGCACCCCAGTCAAGAGAGGAGCACCGAGCCAGAGCACGGTGGCAGGGGGAGGTAAGTTTGCCCCTGCACGTGTCGAGGAAGTTTGTCCCTTCCTCGCCTATCTTTCTCTCCCCTCTGCACGTCCTCACCTGCCTGTCTTCCGTGGGCCGCGAGCAGAGGCCTTGTACTTACGGGAAGGAGGAGGCAGTCTGTTTCTGACCCACAGGAACTGCCACTCCGGTGATGCACTTGAGGACAGCTACTCTGAAATCAGTTCCCAGGAGAGAACATTTGATTTCCGAGTAGGAGAGGAGGCAGGAGGCAGGATAATGACGCTGTTATACCATGTGAAACTCGCAAGGGGGCAGCCTTGGAGCTTGGAACGGAGGCTGGCAGGAAAAGATGCTTCAGCCGGGGAGGGAAAATGCAAGGTCCCGCAGTGATGGGCAAAGGCTACGGAGTTGACTCTTGAACAACGTGGGGATGGGGTGCCGAACCCCACGCAGTGGAAAATCTGTGCATGACTTTGACTCCCCCAAAGTTCAACTACTAATAGCCTACTGTTGACCAAAAGCTTTACCCAGTATATAAACAATTGAGTAAGACATATTTGAAGCCAGGCACAGTGGCTTATGCCTGTAATCCCAGCACTTTAGGAGGCCGAGGCGGGAAGACTGCTCGAAGCCAGGAGTTCAAGAGCAGCCTGGGCAAGATAGTGAGACCCCCACCTCTACAAATAATAAAAATAAAAATAATTAGCTGGGCGTGGTGGTGCGTGCCTGTAGTCCCAGCTACTCAGGGGTCTGAGGTGGGAGGATCCCTTGAGCCCAGGATTGAGGCTGCAATGCCATGATCGCACCACTGCACTCCAGCCTGGGTGACAGAGCAAGATCCTGTCTCTGGAAAAAAAAGAAAAAAGACATATTTTGTATGTTATATATATTATGTGCTGTATTCTTACAATAAAGTAAGCTAGAGAAAAGTACATGTTACTGAAAACATTATTAGAAAGAGAAAATACCTTCACAGCACTGTGCTGTATTTATCAATACTGTAAGTTTTGTTGTCTGTTTATAAGAGAAGTTGTCTGTCTCAAGCGGCAGTAACCGCGGCTGCAGATCTCAATCTGTGGTAGATATCAAGCAGTTCAACCCTTTTTTATAATGTCATGACTTTTCTTTGCTTCTTGGAAGCAGCTCTGGCATCACTAGTGGCCCCGCATTTGGGGCCAAGGGGGTTATTCAAAGTTTACGGTATTGCATTAAACATGGTGAAACATATGCAATGACTATGAAAGATCACTTTTTACTTCTGTACACAGTGTACTGGCGAGAACTGCTCACCAGGAGGTGATTAGCTTCACGTGGTGTTGGAAGCAGATACTCAACAGTTGAGCTCACGGAGAAAGCACAGGAGGTGGCTACGAAATTATTATAGGAGTACAGTATGTCTACAGTAAATATGCACTTATGACTTTAATACTGCACATCTTTATGTTTGCTTGCATTTCTCTTGACTTCAAATGGCATCAAATAGAGTTTGTGTTTGCGTGCATATATTTTTGATAAATTTTAACTTTTTTGTTTTGTTTTGTTTTTAGACAGAGTCTTGCTCTGTCTCCCAGGCTGGAGTGCAATGGTGTGATCTTGGCTCACTGCAACCTCCGCCTCCCAGGTTCAAGCAATTCTCCTGCCTCAGCCTCCCAAGTGGCTGGGATTACAGGCACCTACCACCACACCTGGCTAATTTTTTGTATTGTAAGTAGAGATGGGGTTTCACCATGTTGGCCAGGCCTGTCTCGAACCCCTGACCTCAGTTGACCCACCCGCTTCGGCCTCCCAAAGTGCTGGGATTACAGGCGTGAACCACGGTACCCTGCCAATTTTAACTTTCTATAAGAGATTTGCCCAGCCTGGGCAACATGGAGAAACCCTGTCTTTACCAAAAATACAAAAAATTTAGCTGGGCATGGTGGCGTGTGCCTGTAGTCCCAGGTACTTGGGAGGCTGAGGTGGAAGGATGGTTTCAGCCTGGGACGCAGAGGTTGCAGTGAGCCGAGATCATGTCATTGCACTCCAGCCTGGGTAATAGAGCCAGATCCTGTCTCAAAAAAAAAAAAAAAAAAAGCTTTGTATCCATTTTGGCATACATAGACTAGTATGTATGGCAGTAAATAGACTAGTGGCAGTAAATAGACTAGTACCTACATATATTTTTTGTATTCGTGGCATACTTAACTTTTGCTTAATTTTAAAAATATATTTCTAGGCTTGTAGTTCCTCTGTAAGTTTTTTCAAATTGTTGCAAATCTCTGAAAATGTTTCCAATGTATTTATTGAAAAAAATCCACAAGTAAGTGGACCTGCACAGTTCAAACCTGTGCTATTCAAAGGTCAACTATATAGTCTGTAATACGTGATGGGTGTCACGCTGAGTGTCTACAGTGAGTGTTGTCTCACTTCAGCTTCACACAACGCTGTGGTTTAGCCTTGCCACTGCCGTACGGATGAGCGGGTGTTCACTACACGAAGGTACTGGGCAGAGGAGCAAACACTGACTAAATTCTAGCCTGTGCTTTGCTCAACAAGCCACATGCCTGCCTTGCTTGCATCAAGGGAAGGAGTATTGTGTTCTAATTTGAAGAAATACACCAGCCACTCCTTAGGCAGCACTTGGTGCGGGATGGGCTCCTCTGGAAAGGGAGCACCTAATTTGCACAAAGGTGCTGCACCAGGTAGCTACGATCCTGGAATGGGATGAAGAAACTTGCCTAAGGCCCTACAGCAAGGAAGGGGTAAAAGCAGGATGTGATCCTTCCAAGCAGAACCCCCAAGAGCCAGGGGACATTTGGGAAACCTGGGGGTGTGGGGGTTAACCCTGTATTTGTGGTCCATTTCGCAAAGGATAGCATCCCACATCCATGAGAGGGAGGTCAGAAGGGAGTGGCTGTGGCTGTGAAGGAGACAGACACCTGGGCACCTGCTCTAAATTACAGCAATGCCATGCACATGATGATGTATTGGAGCACAACAAATGGCAGCCACCAGCTGGGGTGCACGCACCAATTTCTACAAATGAGCTCTGTTCAGGCTGAAATGTCTACGCATGCAAGGATTTTTCTTGTAATTGATGATATATCCCCAGCGCCCAGAAGACAGAGTGGCACGCAGTAGGTGCTCAGTAAATGTTCGCTCAATGAATGAATGAATGCCTCTACTAGCCTTCCAAAGAAAGTTCTATGTCTGTTTTATCAATATGGAAACAGGCCAGAGAAATTAAGTAACTTCTTTTGGAAGCCAGAAACAAGCCCGGCACTTGTGCAGTGACAACACCAGGGAATTTCAGTAAAAACCCAAACTCCACCCCAGGGAGCCCCAGTGCCTCCTCCCGCATCACAGGGTGCCAGGGCCCACTCTCTTTGACTCCTGCTCCATAGCCCCTGCTGGGTACTGGGCTGCTTCTCCCAGTTCCTCCTGCCTCCCCCCACTTAGGGCAAATCCAGTGCCTCCCTGGGGCCCAGGAGACTCAGTGTGATCCACCCCAGGCGCCTCTCACTCCTGTGAGACCCAAACCTCCTATCAGCTCCCCCAGCAGGCCAAGTCTGTGCACCCGTGACTCCCCTGCCCCAATGTTCCCTCCAGTGGCTCTTTGCCTCTTCAGTATCCACGTCTTCATGATCCTTCCCCTACTCCATCCCCCAAGCCCTCACCACCAAATGTAATGTAAACAGCATGACAGCAAAAACTTTTTGTTCACAACTGCGTGTTGTTTTTTTTTTTTTTTTTTTTTTTTAGACACAGTCTCACTCTGTTGCTCAGGATGGAGTGCAGTGACACAGTCATGGCTCACTGCAGCCTTGAATTCCTGGGCTCAAGCGATTCTTCCATTTCAGCTTCCCAAGTAGCTGGGACCAGAGGCACATGCCACTAAACCCAGCTAATTTCTTTTTTCTTTCTCTCTTTTTTTTTTTTTTTTCCCCTGTGGACATAGGGTCTCCTCATGTTGCCCAGGCTAGTCTCAAACAACCTGTGCTCAAGCAATCCTCCCACCTCAGCCTGCCAAAGTGCTAAAATTACGGACCTGAGCCACCGTACCCAGCCTACTGCTGCACTTTTAACAGCTTAATTGAGATATTATGTACATATCATCAAATTCACCAATGTTAAGTGTACAATTCAATGATTTTTAGTAAATTTACTGAGGTGTGAGTCCATTACCATCAGCTAGTTTTAGAACATTTTCATGACCCTAGTAAAGGATTTTACTTCATGTTCATTTAAACTTAATCTTGGGCCAGGCGGGGTGGCTCACGCCTATAATCTCAGCATTTTGGGAGGCTGGGGTGGACGGATCACCTGAGGTCAGTAGTTCGAGACCAGCCTGGCCAACATGGCGAAACCTCATCTCTACTAAACATACAAAAATTAGCCAGGCGTGGTGGCGGGCACCTGTAATCCTAGCTACTTAGGAAGCTGAGGCATGAGAATTTCTTGAACCCGGGAGGCAGAGTTTGCAGTGAGCCAAGATTGCACCATTGCACTCCAGCCTGGGCGACAACAAGACCCTGTCTCAAAAAAAAAAAAAAAAAAAAAAAAACAACTTAATCTTCATTTCTACCTCCATCCCCCAGACAACCACGAGTCTACTTTCTGACTCTATAACTTTGCCTATTCTGGACATATCATATAAATAAATGAAATCTGACAATATATGTACATGGTCTTTTACGTCTGGCTTGTTTCACTCAACATAAGGCTGTAGTGTGTATGGGTAGCTCATTCCTTTTCTTTGCCAAATAGAATTCCAGTATATGGATGTGCCACTTTTTTATTCACTCACCAGCTGATGGGCTGCCAGGTAACATTTCCACTGTTGGTGACTATGACCAACACTGCTGTGAACATTTAGGACTGAGTCTTTAAGTAGACCTGAGTTTCCACTTCTCTTAAGTAAATACCTACGGTGGAATTGTTGGATCGCATGGTGAATTTATGTTTAACTTTTTAAGCAACTGCCACCTGCTTTCCAAAGCAGGGACACCACCTCCCATTATTCTCACCAGCAGTGAATGAGGCCCCTATCTCTCTACATTCTCGCCGACCATAGGCATTGTCTGACTTTTTGCTTGTGGCCATTCTAGTGGATGTGAAATCATATCTCATTGTGCCCTGTGATTGTTTGAATGAACTAATAGATCACCTGTGAAACTGGACAGCACTTGGGTTTGAACCCTAGTGGTGACATTTCACAAGCTGTATCACCTGGAGCAAGTCACTTCCCTACGGTGAAGGACAAGGATTTTATGACATAAAAGCGTTGCCCTAGAAGCAGTGTCTGCTATGGATTATGTGCCCATGAAAAGGCAGCTGCTGTCATCATCGCCACCACCATTATTATTGTTATTATTATTACATTGTCACCCCAGAGATAATCCTGCACCAGTGACAGGGAAAATAGCAGCTGGCATCCGCTGCCTGCTCACGACCACACGCCAGGCTTCCGTCAAACCACTCAACATGTATTAGTAATCTTTTAATCGACCTACATATTGTTTTAATTTGCATGTGTTAATGCGTTGATCTATGAGATGGGTATTATGATGAGCTCTGTTCTGCAGGGGAGAAAGCAGAAACATGGAGAATTTAAGTCATTTCCCCCAAATCACAAAGTCAGGAAGAAACAGACCTCACGGAGCTCGCTCTCTGTCATTGCATCACACTTCCTGCCCTTACAAGGCAAATTGGATAAATGCCATTCTAGAGAAGCAGACAAAATTCAAGTGAAGAAGGGGAGAGGAAGACGTCGGCTGGGGCCTGCTTAGAGCATCCCAGCTGAGACTGCATGAGGAGGGAGGCACGCAGTTGTGGAATTTGTTCCCCTTTTAGCATGCTGACCAGCCCTGGCAACGGAGCTCAAGGCATCTATGTGCCACTGCTCAACAGTGAGTGACGTCATGGGCACGGCCAGGTCTTTATCAGTTCTGCCGGATAAATAGCCAACTGCACTAGGTCTGGAGAGACAGCAAGGTGCTGTGCGGCAGAGCATTTGGGGTCTCAAAGAAGCAGGTGAGCCTGGGCCCGAGGGGCTGGGTGGAGGAGCACCTTGGTGCTTCTCTGCTGGGGAAGGGACAGGGGACAGGGCATGCTCAGGAAGACAGGCAGGCTGACCCCGCCTGGAAGGCACCCAGAGACAAGAGGGGTGGGCGTAGTGACCTCGTGCCCTTTTAGGGGAGATGCTGCTGGCCAGAGGCCGTTAGGGCCCCCACTACCAACTCCATGTTACTCTCTCTCACCAGTGGCCACCACCATGGATACAGGCCCCGACCAGTCCTACTTCTCCGGCAATCACTGGTTCGTCTTCTCGGTGTACCTTCTCACTTTCCTGGTGGGGCTCCCCCTCAACCTGCTGGCCCTGGTGGTCTTCGTGGGCAAGCTGCAGCGCCGCCCGGTGGCCGTGGACGTGCTCCTGCTCAACCTGACCGCCTCGGACCTGCTCCTGCTGCTGTTCCTGCCTTTCCGCATGGTGGAGGCAGCCA
This sequence comes from Homo sapiens, assembly GCF_000001405.40. NCBI lineage: Eukaryota > Metazoa > Chordata > Mammalia > Primates > Hominidae > Homo > Homo sapiens. The sequence goes on from NC_000019.10 coordinate 35,359,120, forward strand.
ATGGCATGCACTGGCCCCTGCCCTTCATCCTCTGCCCACTCTCTGGATTCATCTTCTTCACCACCATCTATCTCACCGCCCTCTTCCTGGCAGCTGTGAGCATTGAACGCTTCCTGAGTGTGGCCCACCCACTGTGGTACAAGACCCGGCCGAGGCTGGGGCAGGCAGGTCTGGTGAGTGTGGCCTGCTGGCTGTTGGCCTCTGCTCACTGCAGCGTGGTCTACGTCATAGAATTCTCAGGGGACATCTCCCACAGCCAGGGCACCAATGGGACCTGCTACCTGGAGTTCCGGAAGGACCAGCTAGCCATCCTCCTGCCCGTGCGGCTGGAGATGGCTGTGGTCCTCTTTGTGGTCCCGCTGATCATCACCAGCTACTGCTACAGCCGCCTGGTGTGGATCCTCGGCAGAGGGGGCAGCCACCGCCGGCAGAGGAGGGTGGCGGGGCTGTTGGCGGCCACGCTGCTCAACTTCCTTGTCTGCTTTGGGCCCTACAACGTGTCCCATGTCGTGGGCTATATCTGCGGTGAAAGCCCGGCGTGGAGGATCTACGTGACGCTTCTCAGCACCCTGAACTCCTGTGTCGACCCCTTTGTCTACTACTTCTCCTCCTCCGGGTTCCAAGCCGACTTTCATGAGCTGCTGAGGAGGTTGTGTGGGCTCTGGGGCCAGTGGCAGCAGGAGAGCAGCATGGAGCTGAAGGAGCAGAAGGGAGGGGAGGAGCAGAGAGCGGACCGACCAGCTGAAAGAAAGACCAGTGAACACTCACAGGGCTGTGGAACTGGTGGCCAGGTGGCCTGTGCTGAAAGCTAGGTCCTCCGGGGGAGGAGGGTGTAGCTGGCATGTCATCCTCAGGGCGCTTCCTCGCTCACGCCAGGAGGGACTTGGAGTGGCGAGCTGGGGCCCGATGGGGCTTGGGGGCAGAGTAGACATCTAGCCTCCCTAAGGGTATGCGCGCTAAAGCCCAGCTCTCGATCTCACCTCCATCCCCATCCACCCACACACTATGGATTGGGCTCTGGGAAGGGGTCAGGGTGAGAGGCTGCTCTGGAGAACAATGAGGTCCTCATAGCAGCAGGCAGCTCCTGTGTTTTCTTGAGGGTGGCAGAGGAGCTAAGAGCAGTGCCCAGGGTCTGAGGGGGCTGCCCAGTGAGTGGCAGGGGCAGGAGAGGGGAGAACCCCATCCTCAGAGCTGCTCCCAGCCAGCGAGTCAGGAGCGGGGGAGACAGGGCTCCAGGGATGAGGCCGCATTCTGCTCCCACAGCGCCTTTTCCAGAAAGTTCCCATTGCTCAATAAATGTGGATCATCAGAGACATTTATGAACAATGACAGAAGAAAAATTACCCAAATAAATGTGGAAGCAAGCAAAAGAGAACAGTGTTTCCTTCTTCTCCTGTTTTGTTCTGGTGGTGTGCTTGGGCCGGGTGGGACTGGTGGATGGAAGGAGAAAACACCAGACTCTGGAGGAAAAGGGCCAAACACCAGGATGCCTGGATGCTGGGAGAGGATCTGGCTTGCAGGGATGAAAATAACAGCTGCCCTGTCTAAAGGACTTGGCCTGACACATCATCTCCTTCTATCTCTCAATAGCCCTGTGAGAGGTACCAGCATTATCCCCAGTTTCAGATGAAGGAGTGGCCCAGAGAGGTGACACCTCCTACCTGAGATCCCATAGCTGGTGGGCGATTGAAGTGGGACCAGAAGCTGGTGTCAGTTGACTCTGACACCCATGCCCCTAAGCCACTCTGCTGTTCTCCATCTGTGTGTCACCTGTGGTCACCTGGCCCAGTCAAATGTCCCAAGTCAGATAAGTCTGTCTGAGCAGGACAAATATAAACAGGCCATGATAAGAAACAGAACTAAATGCAAAGCGTATTGACTATTTGTGTGGGTTCAACCTTTTCCCAGTAAAAAAGCCCTCTTGGAAAAAAAGAAAAAAAGATAATTAGTCAGCACAATGGACTTCAGGTTTCTGCAAAGTCAGAGAGATGTTCCTCAGAGCTCTATTCATCAAAATATGGCCATTCAGGAAGTTTTCATGTTCCCTGAGTGGTGGCCCATGAGAAATAGCTGGTCAGGACCTCCTCCCCAAGCAAGGCCACCTGAGACTCGCCAGCCCCTGTTTGCATGCTGTCAGCAGTATTTCAGAAGCATTTGTTGAACACCTATTGCATGCAGATGGCTGGGCTCAGAACTTCGGGGAGTTCGACACTAAGGTCTTTAAATATCTGCTTCCTCCCTGGGGTTAAGTGTGCCGGGAGAATGAAGACTGGCTGTGTGTGGGGAAGTGGATTTCAGGTGGAAGGAGAGGGACTCTGTGGAGAGTTGAAACCATGAGCTGTCTCTCTGTCCCACGGCTCACCTGTCCATCCCCAGGGCACTCAGCCCTGGTGGCTGCAAAGAAGTTGATGCAGGTAGGGGTGTTCATGGCTCAGAAAGGGGACAAAGGTGCCATGGAATCCTGCAACTTCAGAATGGGCACCGCCACCCCAAGGCAGAGAACAGAAAAACTGAAAACCTCACAGTCGAAAGAGAGCCATGAAGAGCTGGAGTCTCCCTCCTCCCCCAGGTTTATAAGAGGGAATAAGAGGCAGCTTCATGGGCTTTGCTGTCCCCAGCTATCTCCCAGCCCAGCCCAGTCTGTATAAGCAAAAGCCCAGGGGTGGGGAAGATGAAAAGCCATCAGGGTGTGGGTGATCGTGGGAGTGGGGGTGAGGAGGATGTTGGAGCATTTTCCATACATCTCAGAAGCCCAGGGAACGGGGCTGTCATAGAACGGGAGATGCATCTGGGGCTGCCGCTTGGTGCCATCTAGGTGGGGTGGGAGAAAGGCAGAGAGAGGAGGTGGGAGAAGACTGTGGGGGGTGCAGCAGCTGGCACCCTCTCCATCGGGCAGAGCAAGTAGGTGTGAATCTCCCATGGGTGAAGCGATCACACGCAAAAAGGAGGGAGATGGCATCTTTGGAGGGAGGTGGTGATAGGCTGAGACCCCCTCGTTGTCCCCCCCGAAACCTGGTGACCGGAGCTGCCAGGAGGCCACACAGAGAGAGGCTGATGATGGGGGACCTGGAACCTGGAAGGGGCAGAGTGGTCAGATGACCCACACACGCCTGAGAAAACAGATGTGGAGAGGCTGTGTTGTCATTCTGAGGCAGGAAACAGAGACAGACAGACAGACAGACAGACACCGGCACAGTGAGAGACAGAGACAGATTCACAGAGCAGAGCTGGCTTCTCACTGGCAGGCATGGGCACACCTGAGAGAGCATCCAGAGAGGTTAGAAATCTTCCTTAGGTCCTCCTGGGAGGCTCAAGTGGCCCCACCGGGGAGCTGAACAGCTGGCTGGATTTCCAGGGTTGAGAGAAGGAAGCTGCGCAGCCGGCCAGGGCCACATCCCCTGTGCCTCAGGGAGGGACCCCCAGTGTCCCCACCACACTCCCCAGGAGGAGTCCTTGGAGTTGAGGCCACTGCCTGAGTCCTCCAGTGCCAGCCAGCGGAGGTTGCTCCCGTCCCTTGTCTTCCTCCTCCCCATCCTTCTGCCAGCCCTGGAAAGGTCAGAAACCACCATTGCGGAGCTAGAGGGGAAGGAGAGGCAGAACAGAGGGGCCTCTCCTCGCAAAAACTAAAATAAGCCCACAGCCTGTGCAGAACCGCACCCGGGTGTGATCACTCCTTACCCCACACACCCACTGCCACTTGGAGATGGTTTCACGGCTGCAGTCACAGGGCACCCTGTGTTGTCAGGGGTGAGCCAGCAAGGCCCGGGGCCTGCCCAGGGGTACATTGAGGGTGGAGAAGACCTGGCCCCAGTGCAGGTGTGAACAGGCAGGAGGGCTGGGGAGGGAATAGCGCTGGGTTGTGGCCGAGCCCCCAAGCCCTGCTCTTGAGAGGCACTGGCTACACACTCGGCCCCTACCCAGACAGGACGCTGATTCCTCCCTGGCCCTTCTGTGTTCCTGCATCTTCCAAGACCCTCACCTCCTCCAGTGCCGCATCAGCTCCAGCCAGGATGCCCCATCAGCTTCTCACCCAAGCTGCTAGAACCTCAGGCTAATAGCCCTGTCATTCCAGCTCACTCCCCCCGTCCCCTTCTGGCTCACTGCCCATCCTGGGCATCCTCCATCAGCCCGCTGAGGGGACTGCTGAGCCTCAGGGACATCTGGCAGCACCAGGAGGTGGGTCCCTCTCTCTGTGGCTCCTCTCTTCACCTGACTGTTCCCCAGACCCCCAGACCACCCCTGCCCAGGTGGCCCCTGAGAACTGCTAAGCTCAACCGTGACATGGATGGGGCCCAGCTGACCCTTGGGCTCTCCCTGGGGGACCCCCTTTTCCTGTCCCTGGCGACACCCTCACCTTATTCACACCCGTCTCCTCCCTGCTGCCCCGCCGGCTTTCCACTGTGGGTGTCGGGGGGTCAGCTCCTGCCTTGCCAGGGAACCAGGGAAGGCAGTGGGCTCAGGAGTCAAACTCCCATTCCTAGAGAAGACTCAGGCAGTGGGCCCAGCCCTGTTCTGAATTCTCTCCACCCCTCCTCCCCACAGAGTCTCAGAAATCAAGAAGCTTTCTTCCTCTGGGACCCACGCGTGAAGTCCTATCTCCTGTGACCCTGCAGGTGCTCCCCTCATTTTAAGAGATGATGTGGAGAGAAAGCACAGGACTGGGGGCCACAGCTTCTCATCCAGGCTCCGCTGCTCCCTGGCTGCTGCATTCCTCTGTGGGCCTCCGTTTCCTCGGTGATCCCACCAGGCGAATTGTAATCCTCCAGGCAGGGCTGGAACCCATGAGTGATCCCAGGAGCCCCTCCTCTCTGGGGCCTCAAGATCTGAGGACGGTGAGCCAGTTGTACACAGGAGCCGTGCAGGCCAGGACGGTGGCCCCATGGACCTGCCCCCGCAGCTCTCCTTAGCCCTCTATGGGACCACCTGGCTTGTTTCACTTAGCGTAATATTTTAAAGATTCACTCGTGATATAGTACAGCAGTCCCCAAACTTTTTGGCACCAGGGACTGGTTTTGTGGAAAACTATTTTTCCATAGACCTCAGGGGAGTGGGGGGATGGTTTTGGGATGAAACTGTTCCACCTCAGATTGTCAGACATTATTTAGATTGCCATAAGGAGCGCGCAACCTAGATCCCTCGCATGTGCGGTTCACAATAGGGTTTGCGCTCCTGTGGGAATCTAATGCTGCCGCTGATCTGACAGGAGCTCAGGCGGTCATGCCAGCTTGTCTGCCCACTGCTCACCTCCTGCTGTGTGGCTGGGTTCCTAACAGACCACTCACCTGCACGGGTCTGCAGCCCGGGGTTGGGGAGCTCTGACGCAGTAGGTATAGGCAGCTCATTCCTTTTTATTGCCAAATAGAATTCCAGTGTATGGATGTGCCACTATTTTTATCCACTAACTAGCAGAAGGGCCTCCAGGTGAGGTTTCCACTTTTAGTTCTTTTTCTTTTTCTTTCTTTTCTTCTTCTTTTTTTTTTTTATACTTTAAGTTCTGGGATACATGTGCAGAACATGCAGGTTTGCTACATAGGTATACATGTGCCATGGTGGTTTGCTGCACCCATCAACCCGTCATCTAGGTTTTAAGCCCCACACGCATTAGGTATTTGTACTAATGCTACCCCTCCCCTTGCCGCCCATGCCCCGACAGGCTGCGGTGTGTGATGTTCTCCTCCTTGTGTCCATGTGTTCTCATTGTTCAGCTCCTGCTTATGAGTGAGAACATGCAGTGTTTGGTTTTCTGTTCCTGTGTTAGTTTGCTGAGAATTACTTTTGGTTCTTATGATGTATGCTGCTACAAACATTGAGGACTGAGTCTTTGCTTAGACAAATGTTTTCACTTATTTTAAATAAATACCTATGGTGGAATTATTGGATCACATGTTAAATTGATGTTTAACTTTTTAAGAAACTGCCACCTGCTTTGCAAAGCAGCTGTACCATCTGACATTCTCAGCAGCAATGAGAGGCCCCTGTTTCTCCACATCCTCACCATCACTTGTTATTGTCTGCCTTTTGCTTATAGCCATTCTAGTGGATGTGAAATGGCATCATTGTGCTCCGTAAGTATTTGAATGAAGAAATAAATTACCTCTGCACTGGAGAGCACTTGGGTTTGAACCCGGGTGGTGATATTTAATAAGCTGTATCACCTGGAGCAAGTCACTTCCCCACTGTGAGGCACAAAGGATTTCATGACAATAGGGGATGCCTTGAGAAGTGGAGTATCTCTGGATCTGTGGATTATATGCCTACCGAAAAGCAGTTGTTATCATCACCACCGCCACCATTATTATTATTACTGTCACCCCAGAGACATGCCCACACCTGTGACCTGGATGCTGGCAGCTGACAGGTGCTGAACACACACCATCACATGCCAGGCCTCCTTCAAAGTACTTGACACAGCTCTTATATGGGATTTCACAAAGGGCGGCACCCAACTCTCCCTCACTACAGGAGCAGCAGGGTCTCAGCAATGTAGGACAGTTCACAGAGTTGCATGCTCTGGACTTGGGGTAGAGACTCTGCCATGATGCCTATCTTAATTGTAGCTGGCAGAGAGGCGGATCTACAGTCCACAACAGCACTTTGGCTGGGAACCAAAGGATGAAGACTTTATAACCAGAAGGTCATGTGCCATGTAACAGGGGTGTAGGGAAGTAGATCATGCTTCTGTTGGCTTAGGACAAGGAGCTGGTGCACCCCTTACCCCTTTCTGTGTCACTTCAGAGCACCCCATCACGATCTCT